>NC_000002.12:72292625-72917625 GCF_000001405.40 Homo sapiens | reverse complement strand
GAGCTCGTCTCCCTCCTTTCGGAGTCCCGCTGGGACCGACCCCAGCCCCCGGTGTCCCCGCACTGCCCTGCCCAGCCCCGGCCGCCCAGCGCTGCGAGGCGCGAGTTAGCGGGCACCTGCCCCGCGCTCGCCCATTGGCCGCCGCTCACCTGCCCCAAGGTGGGGGGCGGGGCGGGGCGGGGCGAGGGACGGCGGGTGGGGAGGGAGCCCGCAGTCGGAGGCAAAAGCCGGACTGGAGCCTTCGCGGGGAGATCCAGGCCTCCTCCTCCCCTCGCCACTGGCTTCTCCTCGCGACTCCGCCCTTTAGCTGAGTCTGGTGGCCGTGCCGCCGTCTCAACCCACGCGGGAGCCGAAGAAGGCGTCCGAAGGGCTTGGGGCTAAACTCCAACCCTCCCCTCCCCGGTGTGTAGCTCAGCCTAACTCTCCCATTCGTCCCGGGATGTCGTTTCAGTTCTCAGAGAACTTGGATCCGAGCGGAGGGTGGATGTTTGGGGTCCAACACATTGGTTTTCCCGAAAACCAGCTCTCTGCCCCCCTGCTCTCCGGGACTCTCCCACTCACCCACCATCGGCCTCCTGGGCCGCGGTCTGAAGCTGCGACCTTGTTCCTGAGGTTTCGCGTTTTCTGGATGTCACGGGGGACAGCTCTGGAAAGGGGACGCTCACTCCCTTCACAAGGGGCCAGGCGGGGCACTGCGCGGGAGAAGCCGCCGGAGCGGTCCCACTGCCACCCTCCAGCTGTTCGCGGGGCTGGAAGCAGCTCCAGTGCCCAGACACGGTGCCGCGACCGGCTTGGACCAGGACGGCGGGCCTCGGCACTGGGAGATCCACCCCCTCGCCTTCTCTGAGGCTCTGGGGGCTCAAGTGTCGGCGGGCCGGACCAGGTCAGGGCCTCGGAGACACTGTGGCTTAAATTGAAGCTGGCCAAGTAGCCCGAGCCCATCTCAAGAGAACACGCCAGCCGTCAGGACACGCAGAAGCAGCCTGACCTCCCTCGACCTTCACCTTCCACCCGCGACCGCGGAACCGCGGACGACTCTGCTCCGGCCAGTTTTTCCGTACGGCGGACGAATTCCCCGGGGGCAGTTCTCACGACAGGCTGTGAGAGCCGGGACTCCCCAAACTTTCCCACCCCACCTTCGAGGCCGCAGAAAGGCGCCGCTCCGAGGCCTAGGAGGGCGCGGGCGGCGGTGGGGAGGCTGGGACCTGGACCTTGCCGGCGCACTGCGGAGAGGGAGCCGCAGAGAGTTCCGCTTCCTCGCCGCTGCCGGGGTCCATTCTAGCGGCCTGAGCGCTGCCTGGGCGCGCAGATCTGGGTTGGGCCTCCTGACGCCCCAAGGCCACGGGGTCCGTGCGCCGCGCAACTCTGCGGGGACTCCAGGCCGGGTCTTGGCAGCGGCCCGCCTGAGCGCCGGGAGCCGTGGTTTGGAGAGCGCTCAGGGCGCCCCGGCCGCCACAAAGCGGGTTAAAGTCTATTTTCCACTCGACTGCTCCGAAAAGCCCCCGCGCGCCGACGCCGTTCCGGCCCCCTTGGGCGAGGTGGGGAGGGGCGGCCAGGGGTGGGGAGGCGAGGCGGCCGCACCCAGCACTCCTCCGCGTCCTGGGAACCCCGGGGCCTGGCACGGCTGAGACACCGCAGAGGCGCCTTCGGAAGGAATGATGGAATCCGTGGGGAGCGCGGGTTCTCGCTGGCCTCTCCGGAGATTTCCAGCTTTCTGTGATGGTCTTTTCCTCTCGTTTGTGTCTCAGGCTCTTTATTTTCCCCCTCTCCTGTCTCCCGGCTCCCCTACCTCCCGACTTTTCCTCCTCTGATTTCTTCCCCCTCCTCCTTTTCCCCACCCTCAGTCTGGGAAAAGTGGAAGCGCCGCCGAGGGGGGGACCAGGACCCGACCAGGCCGTATCTCTAAGGGGGCGGGGGTGCGGAGCTGGGCAGAGGTACAGAAGGAGATTTTCGTTCCATATGGAAGGAGACAACGACGGGATTTTGTTGGAACAAGGTTCCCACAGGGATGCGGGTTCAGTTGGGTAAACGTTGCCTGGGCCTGTGCTCTGCGGTGACAGAGCAAGTGCTGGGGGCTGAGACAAGACAGGAGCCCAGCAAGCTGAACCCGGCCCGAGGGCCTTGCGCTCCTAGCCTGGTAATGAATCCCACCCGTTCTGTCGCAGACCCCCACCGAGAGGCTGGCCAGGGGCCACGAACTTGTTTAACTGGGCAGGTAGAGAAGCTTGGAATCTACCGACCGTCCTAGACTTGCATCTACACTGGCCACCTCCTTTCATTCGTGTGGCTCTGGGTATACTTGTTCATATCTAAATCAATAGACCTTTTATTACACCACCTTCCCTTGTGAGGCATTCAAATGCTGACATTTCTACTCGGGAGGCTGAGACAGGAAGATCTCTCGAGCCCAGGAGGTCGAGGCTGCAGTGAGCCGTGATCATACCGCTGCACTCCAGCCTGGGCGATACAGGGAGATCCCATCTCTAAAACAAACAACAAAAAACGTTGACATCCAGCTGTCTGTCATTAACTCCACTTTACAGATGAAGAAACAGCGGAGGATCAGTAACTTGAGTCTGGTCACCGTCTTGGTTGGGCTGGGACAGCCCCGGGGTCCCAGCCTGGCCTAGCTTCCACTCCCATTCCATCCCTGTGAGGATGCAGTCGCAGACTTCCCGGGGGAGGGGGAGGGGGTGCTGGAATGCGCTGGGTGATAGGAGTTCCGTTTTCGTCCTCCCTCACCTTTTCCTCTCCCAGCGCCCCTTTCTGTCAGCTTCCTCTCCAGTAATTCCCTAATTTTCTTCCTTTTCTTCCATAGCTCTGCTTATCTTTATCCCTTGGCCAGTTTCCTCTATTTTCACTCCTCTTAGGACCTATTCTCTTGTCGTTTCCTCTGCAGCAAGTTAAGAGAAGAATTTGTCACCCTCAGGGGGTCTCTAAGCCTGCCTCTGTGTACTGGATTCAGTATCAGTGCCCCCACCCCCACCCCAATCTTCTCCTGTGCCATCTCCCCTGCCCTGTTCCTCCCAGACTCTCATACTGCTCCCTCTACCACCATCCCCCACAACTGATCGTATACACAAATACTTCCCCTCTTCACCACTGGACAGCTGCCCATCTTAACCAAAACCCGTTCCCCCCACCACCTTCTGCTCCCTGCCCTTCGTTTCCTCCCACCCAAGCTGCTGAGCTCTGCCAGAGACTGGAGGCTCTTCACGCTGGAGTCCACTACATCCCACCCATCTTCAGGCTGCTTACCTTTCACTTTGCCCCTGTCCAGCCTCCCACCAGTTTCCTGGAGGTCCCATCTCCTGCAACCCGGAGCCTCACTTTTTGGAGAATAGCCCGATGCCTCCCAGGCTGATACAGCCTAGCCTACCTGTTCTGGCTCTGGCCCCACATTAACGTTTTCCCTCCCTCTCTCTATTTCTGGAATAACCTGGCCCCAAATCCAGACTCTCCTATTTATTAGTGGTGAGCCCTGGGCCAATTATTTTGCCTCAGCTTGCGTATCTGTGAAATTGCAAGCGTTATACGGGACCTCTGTGAGGAGTAAATGAGATAACATATGTGGTGCACTGGATCAATGTCAGACTCCAAAGAGCACTCAGTACAAGTTATTGTCTCTGCCTTTGTCCATGCGGAGAACTTGGGAATCACCTCAAAGCATCACTCTCTCATCCTCCACATCCAATCAGTGGCTCAGTCATCCAGTGATGTAATCCTCAAGTCTATATCCTCTTCCTTTTGCTTCTTTGCTGGCTAACTTCGTTCTTAAAACTCAGTTCATCTCCCTGGGAAGCCCTCCACCCCATTCTTTCATAGCATTCACCTGCGATGGGGGTTGTGTGTGTCTCCATCTGTCTCCCTCACAAGGCCATGACTCCCTGCTCCCTCTAGCTGGGAAGCTGCTATGTACATCTCGCCACCAGCACAAGCCAGGCAATGTTTCTCCAACAGAGATCTTGTGAGAATTTGGACCAGCCACACCCCCAGCCATCTCTCTTTCACCTTTCACCTCCTTCTTTCCTATTCAGCCTGACTTCATCTTTATGTCTCCTTGCCTTACAAAGAGTTTTCTGTCCTCATGTTTCTCTCAGTCTTTTGACTTGTCTTTTTCACCACAAAATTTCTTGAATGATTTTTAGTCTCTCTCCAATTCTCTCACTTGCCCTCTATCCAAGCCTTTGCAACCAGACTTGGATGCCCATCATATTAGGAAAATGGCTTTTGCAAAAGCTCCAAACATTTCATTATGGTATGAGGACAAGGGCAAGCAACACGTGCTTGTGGAGAGCACAATAAGTTCAACCTCATGGAGTTATTGAGACCTAATGAGTTATAATCTCCACCTGATGAACTTGGAGCAGTGCCTGGAACATAGTAGGCTTTTGATAAATATTAACTGCTATTATTTCATAGAGCCGTGCTAGGAGCCAAATGCGGTAATGTGGTGCTTGAGAAGTGGATGGCCCAAACAGAGATGTTCTGTAAATGTGAATATCCACTGCATTTAGTGTTAAACAGGCTTAGTGCTAAAACATTTAAAATATTAATATTTTTATATCGATTACACATAGTAATGGATATATTGAGTAAAATGAAATATCTTAAGAAGATTATTTTATCTATTTCTTTCTACTTTTTAAATGTGGCCACTAGAACATTTAAAATTATGTGTCTCACATTATATGTCTATTGGACAGAGTTATAAAAAATACAGATAATCCAAAAGGGGGGAGTGAAGGGAAAACAGAGATCTTATAATTGTCAAATCCTACTACCCAGAAACAAACATCGTGAAATTCTTACAGTATATCCTTCCAGTTCTTTCTATATGTGCCTCCCTTTAAAAAAAGGATCATACTGTACATAGTATTGTAACTTCTTTATCTTTATAACCAATCAAAGCATCTTTGCCTCTCATTAAATATTTTTTATTGTTGGACATTAATACAGTTTACAGATTTTCACTGTTTTAACAAAATTTCGACAAACAGCTCCATAGCTGTATCTTACCGCATGTTTGTGTTTCTTTTCTACATATTTCTAGCTGTGTAATTTCCAGATATGCAATATTTTAATTCTTTTGATCCATTGTCACTAGTTTGGCCTCTGGAAGTGTTCTATATAGTTATTCTTCCAAAGGCTGACTTTAAGAATCTCTCTCCATCCTCTGAAATGTTCATTAGGACACCTTATTTCCAAATTTGAGTCTTTTTTAGTCACAATTGTTTATAGGCTCCTCAGCATCTGAGTACCTTCAACCCCCTTTTCTTTTGGAAACTCCCTTCCCTTTATTTTCTGAACAAGATACTTGCCTGGATCTGCAAACTCTGGGAGTTGTTCCTTCATGGGCTCTACTTTCTTCTCCTAACTGTGGGCATCCATGAAGGCATCTTTATCCTTAGCCCTTCCCTCATTCCATGTATCATGCTATTTATTCTATCTATCTATCTATCTATCTATCTATCTATCTATCTATCTATCTATCTATCTATGTATCTACCAACCATCTATCATTATCAATTTCCACACTTTCAACCAATACTGTAATGCAGACCCCGGCAGGTTTGTAATGCCAGCCCTATATTTTTCTCCAGATCAAGTCACTGATTTTCAAATGCTTGTGAGAATTTTTCTGGAGGGGTTCCTACAGGCCCCCTAGACACTCACCATACCCCCAAACGGAGCTCAACATCATCCCCACCAAATCTGTGCCTCTCTCTGGCTTCTCTCTTCTGATAATAGCTGCCCCTTTCTGCAGGACACCCAGGCTTAGCAGCTAAGAGGCACCTGTGATACCTCCTTTCTCTCGGTCACTGCTGTGCACATCCAGTCAGTCTTTGCATTCTTTCATTTCTTTCTGTTCTCCTTGCCTCTAATTTGGGTTCTTATTACCTTTTCCCAGTGATTCTCTTATGATAGCCATTTGTGATCTCTCCTTTCTACAATTCGTCTTACACGTGGCTGGCTACCAGATTTCTACAACACAACTCTAACCTGTTAAAATTTTTTCACACAACTCTGGACCCAGGGTGTTTTTGTTTTTTTTTTTTTACCTCTCTGTGACTCAGTTTTTCATCAGCAATCTGGAAATAATAAGACCTGCTGTGGAGAGTTAAGAGAATTAGAATGAGGTGATTCATGCATAGCTCTTAGCACATAGTAAGCACTCAGTAAACATTAACTATTAGTGTCAGTGTTCCAATAAAGTTCAAACTCCTAAGCTTGGCATTCGAGGCTCTTCATGAGCAAGTTGTACCTGTCTAGCCTCATGTGTTCTGCTCACCTTTGGGTAGCCTGCCCTGTGACAATACTGCCACCAGCCAGAGCATTCATCCAGGGACTCTGTGCTCCCTGTGCCTCTCTGTGCATGTCCTGTACATTTGCTTTGCTCAAAAACATTACTCCAAGCCAGGTACAATGGCTCACACCTATAATCTCAGCACTTTGGGAGGCTGTGGCAGAAAGACTGCTTGAGGCCAGGAGTTCGAGACCAGCCTGGGCAACATAGCGAGACCCTGTCTCTACAAAAAATTAAAAATATTAGCCAGGTGTGGTGGTGCATGCCTGTAGTCCCAGCTACTCTGGAAGCTGAGGTGGGAGAATCACTTGAGCCTAAAAGTTCAAGCCTGCAGTCAGCCATGATCAAATCACTATACTCCAGCCTAGGTTAACAGAGTGAGACCCTGTCTCAAAAAAAAAAAAAATTACTCCAGAGCATGTATCAGTCCAACTTCTGAGAGGAGGAAAATTTTCAGTAGTGCACATAGTCAACTATTTAGAATGCCAACTTCATGAGAACGTCTATTTTGTTCACTGCTGTGTTTCCAACACAACACGGTTGTCTGGCATATAATAAATGTTCATTAAAGATTTGTTGACTGAATATAAAAATGTGAGAAACATGACTCAAGGTTCCATTTGTTCTGAGGTGTGTAAAAATGCAAGTTTTCATCATAATAGAACGTAAAGAATATACAGTCCTTGCCCTGTAGGGTTTGCCGTACCTCCCAAGATAGGTGGAATTCTTGCCTGACCCTCAGGGTGGGCTTCCCATCCTAGGCCCCATGTTGGAAGAAGATGCTTCTTGCAGAGCCTCTGACTGCTGGGAACGGAAACCCAGACACTTTGAACTGGGAGCCTGCCCAATAATTGGCTAAACTCTTGAGTGGGAAGGACTATAAATTCAGAGTTTCTAGTGTGACTCTATTACATAAAATGTGTGAACTTGGAGCAAATATCCCTTTCTTCTGAAAAAAAAAAAACACTTCAATGGATGCCTTGTAAACGCAAAGATAAACCACTTCAACGGATGCCTCATTTTTGCAAAGATAAACCAAAGACTTAATTCTTTAATGGAATCTATTAGAGACCACAAGCTCAAGTGTTCTGCATAATGTATAAATGTCTTCTCTATAACAGGATGTCATTTTTGCAGGTTAATTTAACTTAGGGAAATGTTTCTTTTCAACATTTGGGTCTAGTCAGCTCTGTCTCTGAAAATTAGGGTTCCTTCTTGGGAGTGTGTATGCATTCTGATTCAAATTGTTCTCCATAGAACTGGAAAATGAAGAGTGAGAAGGTCCATATTTTCATCTCCCACTGGGAGAGGACTTTTTTTTTCTTTTTTTCTTTTCTTTTCTTTCTTTTTTTTTTTTTTTTGAGACAGGGTCTTACTCCGTCACCTAGGCTAGAGTGCAGTGTTGCAATCATAGCTCACTGCAGCCTCGAACTCCTGGGCTCAAGCAATCCTCCTGGCTCAGCCTCCCAAGTAGCTGGGACTACAGGGATTAGCCACCACACCCAGCTAATCTGGTAGAGAGTGTTTTGACCTGAATTGCCAAAGCCCACCCTGAGCTATTCTGCTGAATGCTCACTCAGAATTTCAGTTTAGAAGGAATTTTTGGACTTTGGGAAATGTACTTGCATCAGATGATTATGTAGTGAGAGATTGGCTCAATGGGGCTCCAGGCAAGCTCAGCCCCTAGGAGTTCTGGAATGGGCACACTGAATCTTGGGCATAAATAGGAGGTGAATGAGAGCAGGTGAGATTTGGGCTGGAGCTGGGAGATGGCTTCCCCTTCCTAAAACTAGAGGGGCTGGACCTATGGGAGGGAGGAAGTGTGATTTTACTATTACATGGATGGGACTATCAACCAGCAGACATCTGGGCCATGAAATGCAATGAAAAAATGGGGCCATTTGGTATAGCTCAATGTCAAGACACTTCAGTAGGCCCATCCCTACCTATTTTGTTGTTCTGCTGGCCTGCTGACCTGCCTACCTCCCCAACTGCCCACTTACACAAATTTATTTGTTCATATCTGGATCTGAACAACTTTGTATTACACAGCACAGGCATTTCGTATCTTTTCTGAGTTGTTGAATAATTTGGCCAGAGTCATTTGTAGATTCTTTCTTTGTGAGTGTAATTATCTGAACATGATGTCAAATTTGTTTCTAATAATACAGTACACTAGAGGTCCAGAGAGCCTTCCCAGTACAGAACATCTAAGAACTTGTTTTATTTTGACTTTTTATTATAAAAATTTCCAAACTTACATAAAGGTAGACAAAATAGTATAACGAGCACCCACATACCGTGTAACCTAGATTTTACAATTATTAACGTTTTTCCATTTTGCCTCATCCTTTTTTCTCTGGAGTATTTTATTTATTTATTTATTTATTTATTTATTTAACAGAAATAGGGTCTCACTCTGTCACCTGGGCTGGAGTGCTGTGGCACAATCATACTTCACTGCCTCCTCAAACTCCTGGGCTCAGCCTCCCAAGTAGCTGGGACTGCTGGTACACCACTGCATTGGGCTAATTTTGTTATTATTATTATTTGGAGAGATGGGGTTCTCACCATGTTGTGCAGGCTAGTCTTGAACTTCTTGCCTCAAGCAATCCTCCCATCTTTGCCTCCCAAAGTGCTGGGATTACAGGCATGAGCCACTGTGCCTGCCTTGAAGTATTTTCAAGTAAATTACAGCCATCATGATATTTCAGTCCTAAATATCTCACTGTGAATCTCTATCGGGAATTTTTTTTAAAAGGAAACTTTTATTACATGAAATTTTAAACATATTTTGTAGAGAGAACAGTATAACAAACTTCCATATATTTACCATTCAACATTAGTTAATAATCTTTTGCTAGTCTTAAAAATATCTTTTAGAATGATGGTTGAACTGTCACAAAAATAAAGAAAAATCCCCAGTTTCCCAGAGATTGTAGAAAGCTTGAATTGAGACAAGGAAATGAGTTCTGAAGCTGCAGTGTGTGTTGGAACAAACTTCAATTCTCTGGTGGCCCGGAGCTTGGGTTGTAAAGGGCTCCAAGTGGGAGGAATAACACTTGGGATTCATCCAAGGCAGGAAATCAGATCAAAGATTCCCGAAAGGTGACATCCTTACTGAGTGAATGAGAAAAAATTTCACCCCAACAAAGGGAGGTGGTGGGCATATGTGCCTGGCTCAGCTTTGGCTCTGTGTAGAGGGGAAAAAAAGAAAACATGTTTTCCTCAGAGTTTCTAACCACAGCCCCATTCTCACTTGGATGTGGGACCAAACATTTTAGGAGCCCCTAAAAGACCCCAGGCTGAAAATTTAGTATGTCTTGGAAGAAGAAAACAAGTGTATTTATTCCTCTTCTAGAGGAATACATTTGATAGCCAAACGATTCCCCCAGATAAAGTTCCGAGAAAGATAAACTCATAATCAAAAGTCATCAAATATGCAGGAAAATAAACTATCACAAACTGCAGAATGAGACCTGCAAAAAGACCACCTATGTTAGAATTATCAAATATAGACTATAAAATAATTAGGTTTAATATGTCACAAAAGAGGTTATTAAAAAGAAACTAATACCTTGCATAAGAGTGCAAAATGGTACAACTCTGGAAAGTTATTTGACAGTTTGAAATAAAGTTAAACATATAAACACTCAGCCATTCTACTCCTAGATATATGTGCAAGAGAAAAGAATGCATATGTCGGCCGGGCGCGGTGGCTTTGGGAGTCTGAGGCGTGTGGACCACCTGAGGTCAGGAGTTCTACACCAGCCTGGCCAACATGGTGAAACGCCATCTCAACTGAAAATACAAAAATTAGCTGGGCGTGGTGGCAGGCACCTGTAATCCCAGCTACTCGGGGGGCTGAGGCAGGAGAATCACTTGAACCCGAGAGGCGGAGGTTGCAGTGAGCCGAGATTGCGCCATCGCACTCCAGCCTGGAGGACAAGAGCAAGAAAAAAAAAAAAAAAGCAAATGTCTACAAGTGATTGTTCCCAGTCACCAAAAACTTGCAACAATCCATGTTCCCATAAACAGCAGGATGAATAAATTGCTAGATTCATACAATGAAATGCAGCAAAAACAAAAACAAAAACCAACTATTGATTCATGCAACAACATGGATAAATCTTAAATACATTATTGGGTAAAAGAAGCTAGACAGAAAAATATATATGCTGTAAGATTCCATTTATATGGTACCTTAGAACAGGCAAAATTAATCTACATTGATAAAAGTCAGAATAGCAGGTCAGGTGCTCACGCCTGTTATCTCAGCACTTTGGGAAGCCGAGGCAGAAGGATCCTTGAGCCTAGGAGTTTGAGGCCAGCCTGGCCAACATAAGGAGACTCTGTCTCTACCCTGCCCCCCGCCCCCCACCCCCGCCAAAAAAAAAAGTCAAGTGTGGTGGCACACGCCTGTGGTCCCAGCTACTTGGAAGGCTGAGGCAGGATTGCCTGAGCCCAGGAGGTCGCTGCTGTAGGAAGCCATGATTGTGCCACTGCACTCCATCCTGGGCGACAGAGTGAGACCCTGTCTAAAAAAAAAAAAAAAAAAAAAGCAGTTATCTCTGATGAATTATTGACTGGAAAGTGGCACAGTCGAATGTTCTGAGGTCCTGGAAATGTTTATATTTTAACCTGGTGCTTACATGGATGTACACGTAGGGGAAAATTCATCAAGATATACACTTCAGATTTGTGCATCTTACAGAATATAAATTACAACTCAGTGTAAACAGAGGACCCAGCTGATTTGGAAAAGGACCAAAGAGAAATAAAAATTATAATAACTGAAATTAGCAACTCAATAAGAAGTTAGCAGATTAGATGTAGCAGAAGAGAGAATTCATGAACTAGAAATCAGAAGAGCTGAGGAAATGCAGCACATAGAGAGGCAAAGCTGCAGGGTACATCAAGAGGTTACGAGAGATGGAGTGTTGTGTCCAAAGGATTATCGTGTATCTAACCAGGGTTCTAGAAGTAGAAAACAGAGGGACTCAGGGAGAGGCTTCCTTTGAAGAGCTAATGGCTAAGAATTTTTTAAAAATTGATAAGCCAGTTGCTATGGTATGAATGTTTGTCCCCTTCAAAACTCAGGTTGAAATTTAATCTCCAAAGTGGCAGTATGAAAGCGTAGAGCCTTTAAGATGTGATAGGTCATAAGGGATAACGGCTCTGTCCTCATGAGTAGACTAATCCATTAATGGAGTAATGGGTTAATGAGTTATCATGGGAGTGAGACTGGTAGCTTTATAAGAAGAGAAAGAGAGACCTGAACTAGCATCTCAGCTTCCTCTCCATGTGATGCCCTTTGCTGCCTTGGGACTCGGCGGAGAGTCTCCACCACTAAAAAGACTCTCACCAAATGTGGTATCTTCAACCTTGCACTTAGCCTCCATAACTGTAAGAAATAAATTTATTTTCTTTATAAATTACCTAGTTTCAGGTATTCCATTATAAACCACAAAAAATTAACTAAGACACCAATCCTTGAAATAAGAAAGCCCATTGAAATTCAACAAGATAGACAAATCTACATATAGGCAATGTAACTGTAGAATGCGTAAGGAAAAAGGATCTTAAAAGTAGCCAGAGAGAGGCCAGGCGTGGTGACTCACACCTGTAATCTTAGCACTTTGTGAGGCCGAGGCAGGCAGATCACTTGAGGCCAGGAGTCTGAGACCAGCCTGGGCAGTATGGTGAAACCCTGTCTCTACTAAAAATACAAAAATTAGCCAGGGATGATGGCGTGTGCCTGTAGTCCCAGCTACTCGGGAGGCTGAGGCAGAAGAATCATTTGAACCTGGGAGCCAGAGGTTGCAGTGAGCCGAGATCATGCCACTGCACTCCAGCCTGGGTGACAGAGAGAGAACCTGTCTTAAAAAAAGAAAAGAAAAGAAAGGAAGGAAGGAAAGAAAGAAAAAAGGAAGGAAGGAAGGAAAGTGTAGCCAGAGAGAAAATATAGATTACTAGAAAGTGACAATTGGACTGACAACCAACTCTCAACAGTGGATGCCAGGAGAGAGTGGGATATATCTTCAAAGCACTGAGAGAAAATAACTTACAACTTAGAATTGTATTTCTGGCAAAAATTGTCTTTCAAAATAAGGGTGAAATAAAGACATTTTCAAACAAATCAGAAATGAAAATTTCTACCAACTGACCCTCATTAAAGGAATTTTAGGCAGAAAGAAAATTATTGTAGAAGAAAAGTTTGAGGTGAAAGGATGAATAGTGAGTAAAGTTAATACAATATAAATAAATATTGACTATATAAAACAGTAATGTCATTGCATAATTTGTGGGACTAAAAAAATAGAAATAAGTATTGAACAACAACAGCATCTAAGTTGGGGTAGTGTGTTGATCAAAGTTAAAGTACATTTGGATCGTACATTTTTCTAAAGGAGAGTAAAGATTATGATTAACTTTAGATTTAGAGAAATGAAATATGCCATCCAAGGAATAGAAATGGGCTACTACTTCCAAATTAGTAAAAGAGAAAAAAATAGAATTTAAAAAACTAGGACAAAAGATCATTAAATAGCAATAAAACAGTTTCTTAATAAAAACAGTCTGTAGAAAAACCTTAAATCCATGGTTTCTAGGCTATAGCAGGAGTATGCCACTAGGCTGAAAGAGCCTTGCTTTGGGACATTAATCTTGTTAGAAAATAACTGAGAAAACATGGAAAGTGTCTTAACAAGAAGTGTTAGAGAATCTGTCATTGGCATTCTCTTCTTGTAGATGGAACACAATCACTGAGCAATTCTAAATAAATACTTAAATCACAGGAATCTAAAAAGTGATGTCAAAACAAAGGTTTGAGTTTCTATTTTTCACAAAAATTTCCAAGAGTTTATCATCAAGTTATGATGCCAATAGTAATAGTGAGGAGTAGTCAAATATTTCATCATCAAGAGGAAATCAGAGTTGACATAAGGGTGGGTAGAGGGAGTAACACATTTTAAGCCAAGATTCTGCACATGGTTTGAAATTGGAAAGGAAGGAATGGGCCTTCTCACCCCCAGACTACCTTTAAAGTATAAAAAGTTCAAGGCAAATGAAAACATTTTTTGAAATATCTGAGTAATTGGATTTTTCATGGGTGGAACAGAGCATTATAAAAGACATGCAATTCTGTTCCCATTCTAGTTGTTCGCTAACACAGCTCAGGAATGAAAGAACAATCATAACTTGAAAAAATTGCTGGAAGTTTTCAGAACACGAGAAAAAATATAAAATGCATTTATATTTGATGTAGTTTTATAGTAAACGTATACTTTTTGGTGACATACACTGTCTTTTGTAAAGTATTACCTGGCTAACTAAAACCTAATGAGGAAAGTAGGATGTATTTGAAGTTGAAGATATTTTATTTCTGGGAAAATTGTGTCTGCCATGGGCATAGGGGATCTAATTTGCAAATGAAGGCAAGTGTTTTGAGTTTGAAATAAAAAAGAGAACTTTATAACTAATTTAAGTTGGTTTCTACAAATTGTGCAAACTTGTGAAAGTTAGGAAAGTTACTTAACCTTTCAGTGCTACTTTCTTTATCTGAAAAATGAGAATAAGTCATAAAACCTACCTTAGAGTTTTTTGGAAGGATCCAATGAGTGTATATAGGTAAAGCACTTAGAATAGTAATAGTGTCTGGCACATAGCATGTGCATATACATGGTACATACCATGTACCTTAATGAAATAATATACATGGGCATTGTTTCCATAAACCACTCATAAGATACAATGAGACAGCTGAGGGTATAATGGTGCCCAGCTCTCAACCTGTGCAAGCTCCCTGCAGAAAATGTCCAAGGCCATCTTAATTAAACAGCCCTTCACAGGTGCTATGATGTGTTAGTCTGTTTTTGTGTTGCTATAAAGAAATACCTGAGACTGCGTAATTTATAAAGAAAAGAGGTTTATTTGGCTCATAGTTCTGCAGGCTGTGCGAGCCTGGCTCCAGCATCTGCTCAGCTTCTGGTGAGGCTTCAGGGAGCTTTCACTAATGGTGGATGTCAAAGTGGGAGCAGGCGTGTCACATGGTGAGAGGGGGAGTAAGGGGTGAGGGGAGGTCCTAGAGTCTTTTAAACAACTAGAACTCAGAGTAAGAACTCACCCATTACCAAGAGGGGGGAACATAGCCATTCATGAGGGATCCACCCCTATGATTCAATACCTCCATGAAGCCCCACGTCCAACATTGGGGATCACATTTCAACAGAGATTTGGAAGGCACACACATTCAAACCATATCACATGGGTATAGATAGTATCACTGGGAGGCTCTCACACCCAATTATTTTGGAAGCTGATTTTAATAAAGTGTATGGCTGTGTCTACACTGGAGCTGCTGACACAAGTGGAAGATTTAATGTGTTGCCACAACGTTTATGGAAGATGAGCCAAGAGCTTTATACACACATTGTCATGTACATCTTGGGGATTTATTGGTGTTGAGATGTGTCGGGATATGAAAGAACTCTGAAGTGATCTCAGTACTGTCAATTATTTGTATGACACTATTGATGCATCTCTGAAAAGCTGGCAAATTTTCAAAACATTTGTAAGTGGAGTGAAGGGATACTGGAAACTCCAGAATTGTTGAAAATGTGTTGGATTATTGGTCATGATTGAGGGGCTTCTGCAGGTTATTCAAACATGGAAAGATGTGTCAAGCTATTTTTTGAAATATACAGGTGGCTGGTGCAGTGAGGTCTTGGCTGATTTTGGTTTCCAAATTTGAATTCACCTTTTGTTTATAAATTTTAACAAAATGTAAACAATGGGCTAAGTATTACAGGCACTGGTTTTCTAAGGAGCTTCTAATTGAAACTATAGACATTCTTCTCTTTCCCATCAAAGGTTAAATAAGCATTTCATGCTTTGTCATCTGAAAGAAGTGATAAATATTTTTAAACCATTCGAGAGAGAATGGAGAAATTATGCCAATAAGTAACCCCCAAAGGTTTCAAAGTGGAAAAAAATTCTTTTAAGAAAAAAAAAAGTTCATGGTAACTAAGGTAATACATTTTCCCCTACTACTTCAGAAAAACAATTTAGTATAAATGTTTATTTCCAATAAATAGTGGCCATATTACTAAACTTATGTTTTTCAAAAACCATAAATGGCAAAATGAAAGAAATTTCAGCAACACTTTCTCATGGGACAGTATATTAAATGAAGAAATAATTAGATACATGCAAAAATTTTCTGTGTCCCTGCCTGCTGTGCCCACACCTCCACCCACCCCCTACTGGTCCTAGGTGAACCCCGTGGCCTTCCTTCTGGTCACAGCCGATTGCATCAGGGTGGTCCCCTTGGGCTTATTACTGAACTTGATTTGGGGCCAGGCTCAGGCTCAATGAGGCTCTCTCAGGCATTTGAACTAAGGGCCCCAAAAGGGAGGGATATTTGGTAATGGGCAGGGGGCAGAGTGAGTGTGGCAAAGCAGGGAGGTGGGACCATGCCTGGAGCCTGTGAGGGCTGCACCTCAGTGTCAGCCCAGGAGAGCTGTCCCTGTAGAGAGGCCCTCCTGGCTTCAATCCTCATCCCCCCACCCCAAAGCCCTGTTGTATTCCAGGTCAGGAGCACCTCCTTTAACATGAAACTTCTCTACCCATGTCTATCTCCCCTGAGCAGCTCTTAAGACGTTGAGAGTAGTGCTTATGTCTGTTATCTCACTCCCCTCTACAGCAGATGGTCTCCAGGCACACTAGGAAATGGATTGATTAGGTTAAGAGGACAGTCAGGAAATCCGGCCAGCTGAAGGATGTGATGAGTGTGGAAAGCACTGCAGGAGGGGCCTCTCAACTGGATCCCCTGGATGGTGGCCGTCAGTGGCAGGGAGAAGCCTGGAGAAGTCTCAGATGCCTACTATTGAGAACAGGGGCCTGATAATGTAGACACTTGCCCCCAGGAGAGTGGCTCCATGTAAGCCCCTCTGCTTCAAAGGCATCTGTTATCTGGTCTCACCCACCTCTCTCTAACAGACCACAAACTACCAAGCTAGCTGGAATCCGCATTCCCACCCCATGCCCATTCCCCGCTCAGTGCTTTTGCTCACAAGGTTTTGGCCAGCTAGCGTGCCTTCTTTCTCCCCACCAATGCCAACCCTGCTCAACCTTCAAGGCGTGTTTTAGTCTCATGTCTTCCAAGAAGCCCTCTCTACCCACCTCCCCTAAGCAGTGCCCTTTGGAATTGTCAGATTGCCACTTACACTTGCATTTTTACAACTCAGGAAAGCCATTGGGAAGGGACCACGGACTCTGCGGCCATGACATGAAAAGAACAAGGTGGCCACTACCCTTGGTTCTCACACAGAAATTCAGGCCTTCCTCACCCACTTTTTGACTCAATCTATGGCCCGTCCCCACCAAAGGAAAGGAGAGTCAGAGAGGTTCCTTTCTCCCACATCCATGTCTGGGTTTCCAGTGTGTCCAGGGAGCCTTTGGTTTTAGCTCTTCTTTCTCCTTCTGCCTCCACAAAGGCACATGGATGCTTCTCCCAGGCTGCAGCCCACCCATCACCCCTACCCAGTCCTGGGGACAGCCCTGTCTGTCTCTGCCCCATCCTGCAACATCAGTCCAGGCCCCCAGACACAGCCCTTTGCAGCCAACCCTCCCTTGACCAGTGAAGAGGCTCAAAAAGAGGCCCTAGGCCAACCAGATGCTCCCTTTTAGAAATGTGAACTGAAAGACATGGAAGGAAGCTGCAGTTCAGTGTGAGCCTAGGCCTTGAGAACGGGACTGCATGCATGCTGAAGTCAAAGGGAACAAAGATGAAGTGTGAGCAGAGGCAGCGTGCTGGGAGAGAGGGAGGGGATGCTCGCTGACTGGCAGACACCACAATGGGCCCCTGAGAGACAAGGCTTGGGCTCCAGTTCCCACTTACCAGACATCTGGACAGTAAACCACACAACCCCAGAAGGAAAGAGGCCCCACAGGAACGGCATAGGCCAGGCGTGTGCAGGGAGTGGGATAGGCCAAGGAAGGTGCTGAGGATGTGAAGGATGAGGAAGAGTTAGCCAAGCAGGAGAGGAGATGGAGGGGGTTTCCTGGAGGTGAGAATGTTTGCCATGCTATCAGTAAGACCTCCAGGGGACATAGGCTATAACTGCCACAGCCACAACTATTACAACTATGGGTAAAATAGTGGAATTTTTTTTTTTTTTTTGTGACAGAGTCTCGCTCTGTTGCCCACACTGCTGGAGTGCAGTGGGTGATCTCGGCTCACTGCAACCTCCCCTTCCTTGGTTCAAGCAATTCTGCATCAGCCTCCTCAGTAGCTTGGACTACAGGCGTGCGCCACCACGCCTGGCTAACTTTTTTATTTTTTGTGTATTTTTAGTAGAGACGGGGTTTCGTCATGTTAGCCAGGCTGGTCTCAAACTCCTGACCTCAGGTGATCCGCCCACCTCGGCCTCCCGAAGTGATGGGATCATAGGCGTAAGCCACCTTGCTCAGCCAAAATGATGGAAATTTAATAGAGGTCTAAAACAGCAGAACTACATTTGCTTTGCTGCCTTTCTTCCTTCTTTCCTTCCCTCCCTCCCTCCTTCCCTCCTTCTTTCCTTCCTTCCTTCTCTCCTTCCTTCCTTTCCTCCCTCCTTCCCTCCCTCCTTCCTTCTCTCTCTCCCTCCTTCCTTCCTTTCCTGCTTCCTTCCTTTCCTCCCTCCCTCCTTCCTTCTCTCCTTCCTCTCTCTCTTCCAAATTACACTATCTTATTATTATCGAGGTATTGCATGTTCTCTGTGGAAAACTTTTCAAGATACAGAAAAACAAAAAGACCTCGATAAAATCCCACCACTCAGATAACCACTATTTAAAAATCTTACTGTTATTAATATTCATAATAGATAACATTTGTTGGGCTCTTTCTAGATACAAGACACCGTTCTAAGACTTTTCATGTATTATTTTAATTCTCACGACCCTATGAGATGGATATTCTTTTTAACTCGACTTAACAGATGAGGACACTGTTGAAGTGGGTGGCAGAACTGTGACTTGAATTCAAGCAGGCTGATTTAAGCGGTAATCAGTGTTCAAAATTTTGATGTACATATTTGTGGTCTTTTAAAAAAGATCATAAACTAACATGGATTTCTTTGTTTCTTTTTACAATATAGATTTTGAAAAAAATTCAAGTAAATGAAGGCATAGCTTATATACTTTATTTTGTTCAAATAATGCATCTGTGCTACAGAGAGTTAAAAATACAGATGATTTGAGAGAGGAAGACGAAAATCACTTGGAATCCTACCACCCAAAAGACCGTTGTTTACATTTAGGCATCTATCCCCCACTCCTGGAATGAATTTAGGATTAGGAACATAGGTGCGGCTCCTGAACCCAGCAACAACACTCAAGGAGTCTTTCAATGGGCTGGGGAATCACAGGAGCTTTTGGCAGTTAGGTGCACAGAGAAGAATGTGAACTGTGTTTGAAATCAGCCTGTTCATGGAATGTTGCACAAAATCTTTATAAACCACCCTGGTTGCAGCAGAAAGAGAACTGAGCTGGGGAGTCAACAAAGCTGGACTCTCCCCAACCTTCCAAGGGGCCTGAGGTGGGGGAAGTCATTTCCTATGCGGGCCTCAGTTTTCTCATCTGTATAGTGAACCACTGCAATTCTAGCAAGGAGTGACTGGCAGCAGAGCTTCCTTTCTGGGTTATCTGCAATATTTTGGGCGATTCCTGACACAGTTCCCACCCAGCTCTGGCACAAGAAACAAGAGGGCCGGTATTATGAAAGGGTTGGGGTCAGGGAACACCAAAGGCTTAAGGCCTCCCAAACGAGGGTGTGAGCTCTATTTTCCTGGAGGGCTGGGCCAGCCAAGCCGATTAGGGGCCCGGAGCAGCTGTGGGCTGAGGGAGGCCGCTGGGAGTGAGGGGATTGAAACGGCTCTTTCCCACCCTCTCCCCCACCAGCCTGCTCTGTGTAAAAATTCCAAACTCCCAATCAAACCCCCTTCTCTTTTCTCCTTTCATTCACCTGCCCATCTTCCTCTCCTCTTCTCTCCTTTTCTATCCAAACTCATAATTAATCGCTCAAGGCAAAAGTAATGAATGTTAATTGGCCATCTGTAGGAAGACTAATTAAAATCTACCACGCTGGGGTTTCAAACATACCTATAGCAACGGAGTGAATCGGGAATGAGGCGAGGAGGGACTGAGGTAACAGCTGAAAGCCTGCAAAACACCATTGGGCTTAGGTGTGAGGGAACCACGCCAGAGAGGGGCCGAGATGCTGGGGAGAGGGAGAGATGAAGAGGGAGGAAAAAACTTCCACGATTTGCCGCGCCACTACAGGGCCTGGCATTTTGTGGCTGTTCTGTTTTGTGTTCAACAAACATTTACACATTTCCTTCTCGCTGGACATGGCCTAAGGGCTGTCTGCAGTTTCTCAACACACAATTGTTGTACCCCAGTCACAGGCCTGAACACACTCATTTATCCAGGGACACCAGCCCCGTGTCAAAATCACACACACATAAATCTCATGCACAGCTTTGCATGAGTTCCTGCTTGCAAGGTAACAACCTGTCACGTGCGCACACATGCACACCCAATTATGAATGGAGAGCAACCCAGAAATACAACATGTGGTTATATACCAGCACTCATAATCACATATATGTACATTGTTGATGCATACATGATTTAAACCCACAGACCCACTGTTATTCAAATACAAATGCTCATGTGCGCTCACAGTAGTTTTCAAAGTTATGCTTACATTCACACAATAGGCTTATAGGTGTGCATGTACAGCTATACACCCAAACCCACATTTGCACACCACACCATTATCTGGTAAGTTTTACATCAGAACACTTATACACAGGTACACACACAATTACACCCCTCCATGCATAAGAAAAGCTGAATGTTCAAACCCGCATAAGACTAATTCTAGGGTGGCAAACAGTTTTATATATATATATATATATATATACACACACACACACACACACACACACACACAGACACACACACACACGGCTTGGGCCCAGGGCAGGCCCATGTCTGATTCATATGTATCCGTGATGTGCATACACAGAGACCCAGGTCCCTGGTGAGAACATATTCCGGGTGATGGCTTCTGGGCTCGAACCACTGATACAAGTCTTTGGCTTCATCTCCTCTCTCAGAACACCCTGCTGTGAGCACCATGAGCATACAACGCCTGTTAGATTGTTCCATCCAGCCTTTGGGCAGAAAGAACCATGGATCTGAGGACAGCATGAGAGATGGCCTGGAGTTAAGATGGTCTCTGATGAGGCCAGGACAGGCGTGAGGGTGCCAGCCTGTGGGATGGGTGGCAGGGCCTTTGTATTCAAGTCTTCAAGGGGTCAGTTCCGTGGATCACGGGAGGATTAAATGGGGTGGGCATGGCATTGTGGGAAGAGCACCAATACAGGGTGGGGTCCCTTTGGCCAGGGTCCCTCTTTCCTCTTACTTGGGGTGAAAAAGCTGCCCTCCTTACTAGATAGTTTCTGGGGCCTCTTTCTCATTGCTATACAATTTCTCTGTGATAAGCTTAGATTAAAGCAGGAGGAAGTGCAAACACAAAAAAAGAGCGTCCTGACATTTGGGGCCAGGGAGGGGGGTTGAAAACCTGGAAAGAGTCACCAGAGAAAAATTTCTACCCAAGGATCCTTACAGGAAAAGGCTCAACATTCTCAAATCCTCCAGGCTTTGTGCCAACACCCTATGCTCCTGGAGACTTGGTGTTTGAGGTTCTTGGACCTTTTGTGCCCGGAGTCGGTGCCCAAGGCCCATCCTCAGGTCCAGCAAGGAGAGTGGTGTGGAGAAGAGTGGGTCAGAGGAGGGCAATGTTCTCGGTGCCCCAGAGGGACCTGGGTGCGGGATACATTCCCAGAAGTGGGAGTCAGACATAAGAAGGACTTCCCAGCTCTCAGAGAAAAATCCCTGACTACCAGAAGTGACTGACACACACCAGACCAGGTGCTCATCACCCCCTCTCTGGGTTCCTTCCAGGTGGCATAGCTACCCAACATCTCGACCTGACAAGCAGGAGACCCAGCTGCTCTGAGAAGTGACTGCCCAGAGCCCCATGGCTGTAAGTGGCCGAGCCAGGCCACAGAAGCCAAGTCCAGCGGGCTATCTCATAAAGCTGGGCGGCCCCGTGGCCACTCCCTGTGCAGGAAGGGAAGGAGCAGACCTGCTTTCCAGGGCTTGGACTTCCTGGAGAGCCTCCGGGCCCTTGGGAATCTCCCTCTGCCGACCAAGTCCTCAGAATTCTCTGGGAGGAACAGGCATGCACACACTCTCACACTCACACACACACTGTCCTATGACAGCTTCTACATTTGGAGCTGACAGATGTGCAAGGTAACAGCTCGGCAACGCCTGTGCAGCTGAGGCCCTGGCGTCGCGAACGGGATTATTTCCAGCAAGGCTCAGGGCGGCTGCGTGAGTGCATGCCCGGGGTGTGTGTGTGTGTGAGTGTGTGTATGTGAGAGAGAGAGGGAGGGGGGAGAGAGAGAGGGAGTATGAGCGTGTGTGAGTGTGTGAGGGTGTGTGGCTTCTCCCGCCATCTCTCTCCCTTCGTCTAAATCTGTCTTACTACATTTTCGAATCTTTCTGCCTGTTTCCTCCCTGTGTTTCTGTCCCTCTCTCTATCTTCCTCTCTCACTGTCCAGCTCGCCCTGTCTCCGTCTTTGACTCTCAAGGTGTCTGCTTTTGTTTTTCTGCCTGGATGCTCCAGAGCAGAGAGGGGACTTACCTCCTCTCAACTCCTCACTTTGCCCTTGGTCCCTTTCGTGTGTCACCTGGGCAAGCCTCAAGGAGGGACTCTTAGAAAAAGCTCATTTTGTTCCACAAAATGATGCAGCTGTCCCTGTCCTTTGCATAGGGCTCCTGCCCTGGGGGTCAGATAGGGGGATCTGGGGTTGTCCTTTGGCAGTCCTGTGGACTAAGAGGCTGCTAGACAGCTTTCAGGTTAGTTAGCTGAGGAACCACGCTGAGCACTAAGGTCATCTGGGGGAGGAGCCCCCAAGGGATAGGCATTTCCTTCTCTCTCCCTTCCTCCTTTCCCCCAGCTCCTCACTGAAAAAAGAAGTCCGGGACTCTCCTGGCTCACACGAAGGGCTCTTAGGGCTGAAGATGGAGTTACCATGGATGAAAGGAGAGACAAAGGGTGAGGTAGGAGAGGCTGGCTGGGAAGTAACAATCATTCCCTCGTGGGAGTGGGCTCTACTTCAAAAGTCTGAGACAACATCTGTGCTGCTCCCCGCCTCCCAGCACCACAGGTGGGAGACCTCAGGACTGGGGAGTGGGGCAAGGATGGCTCGCTCCAGGCTCAGAGCCCTACCCTCCATCGGCTCCCCCAGCTAACCCCAGAGGTTCAGAGTGATTCCTCAGCTGGTTTCCAGCAAGCTGTCTAGTGGCTTCTGGTCCACTCCCCTGCTTTTACACCCCAGATCACTGAGAGATGATGTGAGGGCTGGAGAGGTGCCACCTCAGGGGGTTTCTACCCCAGGGGACTTGGAGTCATCTTCACCCACCTCCCTGTCATCACACGGGAGCCCAGTAGCGAGGGCACGCCTGGGCGCTTTTGGGTGTGCTCACCTGCCATATGAGTCAGAATTATCGCATGCATGCTAGCCTATGAGGCCATGTTCTATGGGAAAGGACGAAGGTGAAGGAGGCCAGGAGGCAGCATTCCAGGGCTTAGCTCTCTGGGGTGAGGCACGGGGAGATGCTAGGATGGAGTACATCCCGGGCGGGTGACCCTGATGGCTGACAACAGACTCAGCACCAGCCTGGGTGTGGGGGCACACATATGTATTCATAGGAGGAAGGACAGGAATTGGGGATTCGGGGGAACCTCTTGACCAGACTAATCCCAGCTGGTCATGCTCTTGGACACTGGCTTTGGCCTGGAATATTCCCCTCACTCCCCCTGCTCCTTACAGGCCAGCTGCTGGCCCCAGTGCAGGTGTATTAAACACAAAACCAAAAACTGCACAGCGCTCTCACACCAAAGACAAAGAGGAACCTCGTTTGTCTTTTAGCTCATCTATGGCCCTGCTCGCTCCAGCAGCTGGGCCCTGGGCATGTGCAGGCATGTATTTGTGTGTGTGCACTCACGTGTGCTCATGTGTGCGGTGGCCAAGGCCAGGTCATGCGGTTGGGGAACACAGATGGTTAGCCCCTGGAGGGTGGCTGCTTATGGCCTGGAGGCCGCCACAAAAGCCTCCATGCCTCAGTGTGGGTGGACCTGGGGAGGCTGAGTCCAGGGCTGGGAGCAAGGTCTGGGAAATCCCTGAGGGCAGAGACTGTGGGTCACTGAAGAGGCCTCGGGACCTGACAGGAAGAGTGATGCTGCCCATCTCTGATCTCCCCAATTCCCTGGGGGCCCGAGAGTCCAGAATCCTGGGCTGCAGGGAGAGATAGCCCAAGAGAGCACTTCCGAAGCTCTTACATCTCTGGGCTCAGAGAAGACAAATGTCAGGCATGGGAGGGCCTCGCCACCTCGTGGGGACAAGCGGTACTCCTCACTAAGCCCCTGGCCAACCAGCCTAGAGGGGAGGTACAGAGTCAACCCCGATGATCATCCACAAGGAGCTGGACTGGCACTGCCCACCCTCACACTCCCACAGGAGCAAGGGGCCTGGTGAGGAAACCTACCCACCACCCACCACGTCATGAAAGGCAGCCCAGGCTGCCATAATCCATGGCCTCACCACACTGGAAACACCTCAGACGAAGGTGTCCAGGAAAGAATCTTGGAGTTCACTGCTCTAAGGAAACTGAAGCCCAGAGAGAGAGCAGGGCTCTGCCCAACACCCCACAGCATCTCTGTCATAGACAAGGTAGTGGGACTGAAGGTTCCTGACTCCAAAGTTCACACATTTTCCTGTAAATCCAAGACAAGGTATCCAGACCAGACCCCACCCTCACCTCCAGGAGGCTGAATAGGGGCAGTACAGTGAGAGTTTTTGCCTCAAGTCAGGCAGGGGAGGATGTCTGAACTGTCTAGAGGAGAGGAGGCTTCCAGCAGAGTTCCAGGATGAGCTGGATCTTGATATTTAAAGGCAATAAATAATATTAGCATCTACAGGGCATTTACCACAATGCTAGCACTGTGCTGAACATTTACAAACATTAGGTCACTTAATGTTCAAAATAACCCTTCAGGGTAGGTGCCATTATAATCCACATTTTTCAGATAAGGAAACTGAGGCACAGAGAAGAAACTTGCCCTGGGTTACCAGCTGTGGCAGAGCAGGAACCTGAGCCCAGTGATTTCTACTTCGATGGGGGCATGAGGGCAAGGCATCTGCTGGACCAGGTAAAAGTTCGCCCATTCCCTCCTAGGGGAGCAGGCAGGGCACTGCCAGCTTCAGCCTAGGGCCTGCCCTTCAGCAAAAGGCGCGGCCTCCATGCGCCCTCTGCTGAGCACAAGGAGGAGTTCCCTTCTGCACACTCAGAGGCAGGCTGAGTCCTGGAGTCAGCGGGCAGGGGACCACGCTTCCTTCTCCCAAATATGGCCAGGGGCCAGGGTGCTGGCTGCAGACCACCACTGCCGTGGAGCTCGCAGCCCAGCCTATGTCTACCAACCTGCACAAGGATTGGCTTGGTTGCAGCCCTGATTTCTCAGAGCTTCCCTTTCTTGGAATCTTGCCCATCTCCCCCAAAGGCATGCTGGTCCTAAGCCCACCCCACTGACGACCTGGACCATGGGCCAGATGGACAATGCCAAAAGGGCCAATAGCAGCTGGCATCCATTCACAGCATTGCCACGTGGACAGGGGGTGGAATTGGCAATCCACAGAGTTGGGGAAAGGACCCAGGCTTTAGGGCCATGTGGAGGGCAGGCTGTAAGCTGGGCCCTAAAAGATGGGTATTCTGAATAGCCCAGGGTGAGAAAAGGGCTATCAAGGCTGGGGTCAGCGTGGGCAACAGCACAAAAAAGCAGGCATGCCGATTGTGGGCAACTTTGCACCTGGGCTTGCCACTGAGTGGGGCCTGATGACTGGAGGCAGATGGCCCCCGGAAAGCTCCCTAGGAAATAAGGACAACACCTCACTTTTGGGTTAACTGCCTTGGGAATGGCCTTGGGCCCAGTGAACCAGGCAGTCAGTCATAGGCCCTGTATCAGAGGAGAAAGCAAGCATGAAGAAAGGACAATCTGTATTTTATTTGTATCTGCCTTTGGCGTGTATACAGACACCCAGGAGCCCCTTCTCCCAGCCTGGGGGAGGGGTGGTAGATTCTGAAGGAAGGAGACATCAGAGTGAGGACACAAAGTTCAACAGAAGGTCCTGCTACCCTCAGCAAGGGGCATCTATGTGGGCTGGGACATGTACCGTCTGCCCTTCCTCCCATCCAGGCCATCTGCGAATCTACATGGGTCCTCCTATTCGACACCAGATCACTCTTTCCTCTACCCACAGGCTTGCTATGAGCAAGAGACACAACCTCCTCTCTTCTGTGTTCCAGCTTCTTTTCCTGTTCTTCCCACCCCTTAAGTTCTATTCCTGGGGATAGAGACACCAATACCCATAACCTCTCTCCTAAGCCTCCTTATAACCCAGGGTGCACAGCACAGACTCCTGACAACTGGTAAGGCCAATGACCTGGGAGCTCACAGCTGGCTGTGCCTGAGGGCAGGGCAGCAGGCATGAATGCTTCTATGTGTAAGGCAGGACTGCCCCTATGGCAGGGTGTGGGGAGCCACAGGGCTCTGGGGTATGTCTAAAAGTGGGGGCAAAAAGGTTCAGGAAGCCAAAAACATGGGCTTATTTGTCATAGAAGTCCACGTGGGCTCCAGACTTGAACTCGTCCTTTTCCAGTAAGCTCAGCAGTTTCTGGGCTGACACCTTGCAATCCACCAGCTTCCCCTTTGCCTTCAGCTCCTGCAGCCCTTTTCGCATGTCTGGGTCCACGGAGGTCTCCCGGGCCAACTGCTGCATGTCTGTGTCCAGAGGACCTAGAGGATGAAAAGGAGACGATGAGGGAACATGGCCAAGGCAGGGACAGAAGGTTTCAGGTCCCTGTTTTATGTCGGGGGTGGGGCTGAGTCAGGTCTGGCCAGAGGAAACACGTCATCTTGGCTGAAATGTGTGGTCAGGGTTGCCAAAGGCTCCAATTTGTCACCATCAAGTTCTGGACTGAAATTCAAAAGCCCACTGAACATGGACCCTCTAGACTACCATGTCTAAAACCAAGATTCTCATCTCCTGTCCAACCAGCACCACCTCCTGACATTCCCATTTCTATTAATGAAGTATTCTTTTCCCAGACTCAAAACGTCCATCACTTCCTCCTTCCCTCCCCCATCGTCCCCAGAGCCAACCAGGCACCAGGTAGGACCCTTCAGCATCTACACATCCCGACAATCAGGCCCTTTTTACAACCTTGCTTCTCTCCCTGCCTCAGCTCCTTCTGTAGCCCTCTACTAAACTCATTCTACTAAAACATCACTGGGGCCCAGCTGCAGTGGCTCACACCTGCAACCCCAGCACTTTGGGAAGCTGAGGCAGGAGGATCACTTGAGGTCAGGAGTTTGAGACCAGCCTGGCCAACATGGTGAAACCCTGTCTCTACTAAAAATACAAAAATTAGCCAGGTGTGGTGGCACATGCCTGTAGTCCCAGCTACTGTGGAGGCTGAGGCACTAGAATTGCCTGAGCCTAGGCCAAGTGCAGTGGCTCACGCCTGTAATCCCAGCACTTTGGGAGGCCGAGGCGGGCAGATCATGAGGTCAGGAGATTGAGACCATCCTGGCTAACATGGTGAAATCCCATCTCTTCTAAAAATACAAAAAATTAGCCGGGTGTGGTGGCGGGCGCTTGTAGTCCCAGCTACTCGGGAGGCTGAGGCAGGAGAATGGCGTGAACCTGGGAGGTGGAGCTTGCAGTGGCCGAGATCGTGCCACTGCACTCCAGCCTAGGCAACAGAGTGAGACTCCATCTCAACAAACAAACAAATAAACAAACAAAAACATCACTGGGATCACAACATTCCTCCGCTCAAAACCCCTCAACAGCTTCCCAGTAGCCTGGCCTAATACTCAAGGCATCCTAGTCTGCCCTCCTCTGGGCACACCTACTCTACAGGCAAACTGAAGACCTGCCACGCCCACAGTGAGCCTTCGCACCTTTATTTCCTTTCATCAGGAATGCCTTCCATCTGCCAACAACCAAGGTCAATGTCCAGTTCAGCTACCTCCAATAAAGCCATCTCTAGTCTCCCCACCTAAAGGAATTGTTCCCTTCTTGAACTGTTGCAAGCACGTTCTATTCTTCACATAGGAATCACTCATGCACCCCAATATTTGCAGTTAATGGTCCTCGAGGGCAGAACATCAGAGAATTCCAGGGTTGGAGGGAGAATTTATCTCCTGGTCCTTGACTATTTTCCAATGACCTGTGCATCCCTGCTGAGAGAGGACTTGCTGCCTTTCCAAACAGCCCATTCCATCTCTGAGCACCTGTTAGAACATTCTTCCTGAGACCGAAATGAAAACCAGACTGGCCTCTGCCTTGGTTCAGGCCCTGGGGACCTCCTGAAAATCTCAGCTCCCTCATAATGCCCAGGGCAGCCTCCTGAGACCAAACGCAGCCATGTGGACTTCTGGAGTCTGCTCTGCTCCTGGTTGTAGCTTACATTTGGTCACTGTTGTTTGTGCGAATCCTTGGGCTGAATTCAGAGTGGATGATGAGTTGAATGTTGGTTGTGAGAATAATTGTGCATGTGTGTTGGGGGGCAGGGGTGGTAGGGGCTGGGGTACTGGAGAACATGAGGAAGAACTTGAAAGCAAGGTGGGATCCAGCCCTGCCACATCTGTGCTTTGTGCAGGCCATTCTACCTGTCTGCCCTGGGAGCCTGACCCTATTCCCCAGGGACACAGGCTACTGGATTTCTGCCCAAGTTGCTCAGGCTTTCCATGGCTGCTCTGTCACCACCTTCTGATTGCAGCAACCTCAAGCCTAAAAGAGACTCCTCACTATTAAGACAGGGGCGCTGTGGCATCAGAAACTAGACCCAGTATCACAAGACTCCCTGTCCTTTGGCGTTCATGAGAGCAAGGGATCTATTCTATTTATCCCAGAATCCTCAATAGTGTTCCAGCACAGTTCAGCCAGGGATGGTCAGCACTCAACAAAGTCTGTCTGCTCTCCATACAGCTAGCATGTCCTGCAGCTTGCCTTAGTGTAGTGCTTTGCTAGGTGTTAGGAACACACATCTGCATAGTGCAAAGGCTTTCCTGTCAAGGGAGGGAAGGAGGCAAGCAAACATATGCAGACAATACAGTGTGGTCAGTCCTATTTAACAATGAGGCAACACTTCACAGGTCAGGGTCATTTTCACATACAGTATCTCATTCAGTCTTCCCAAGTGCCCTGTGAGGCAGGGAGCGTCTTCCCCATTTCACATGAGGAAGGCCTGGAACTCAAACCCCAGTCTTCTCCCAAACTCCATCTAATACCTCAGACCTTCCTGCCCCACCCTCCAGTCCAGGAAACTCCTCACTCTCTACCAGTATCCCCGGCCCCTGCCACCTCTATTTCCCCTGGGTCTGTATTTCCCCTAAGGGGTGATGGGTCAAGATTCAAGGACAAAATCCTGTGGGTTGTTTCCTGGAGGGGGCGGACTAGGCCGCTTGCCCAGCCCCCAGAGGCGCACCAGTGGGTTCTGGAGGACAGGGACGGCAGGACTTCCCACCTACCTGGGGCATAGTTCAGCACCCTCACATTAGGTTCCTCCAGCGCCAGGACCTGGAACAGCATATCACGAGCAGCCTTTCCTGCACAGTACAGCGCCCAGCCTTTGAAAGGTTGCAGGGCACAGAGGGACGAGATGTTAACCACGGTTCTGTTGAGGCCAGGACTGTCCGGGAAGGCCTTCAGGACGCTGGAAGTCAGGCAGAGCATGGAGGTCAAGTTCAGTGCCCAGTAGTTGTTCACTTGAGTGGAGTCACTCAGGTCCACGAAGCCTTTGGACACATCCCCAAGAGAGCCTGAAAAACCAACCCTTAGGAGTAACTCAGTGCAGGCGGGGCTTTCTTCTTCCCCAGCCCTCCCAAGTTCCTCCAGATATCCTCTTCCCATGCAGACCTAGAGGAGGAAGCTGCCTAGCGCTTCTGAAGAGGCTTCTCTCTTCCCCAGCTCTGCGGAAAGACACAGCTGGGGAACCTAGCCATCCCAAGCTGCAGAATGAGAAGGCACCTGCCTTGCCGTGGGGCTGAAGGAAAGCTCTAGCGGTCCTTTGGAGAAGCAGAGAGTTTACTTGTTTGGAGACTCCAAGCCCTGACTCAGGCCTCCGCCAGAGGGCGCAGAGCAAGGGGCTCGGGAAAGTTCTACAGGCGCTTTGGAAAACCCGGCTGGCCAATTTTCCAGGAAGTGGGGGCAGACTGTTGTCCCGACGGCACCGAGTCTTCCTGTACACCTCGCCTCCACTTGCTACTCAAGCTGGAACAACTAGGGCTTTAGATTTCTAGGCGTCCTATCTGACCCCTAGGAGTAGCCCTTAAATTCCCCAGCGGTGGAGGAAGTGGGCGCTCACATGGGGAGTCCGCTCCAGCCCCGGGGTCTTACCCGCGTTGTTGATAAGCAGCAGTCGCTGCAGCCCCTTGGGCCGGGGGAGCTCGCGCAGGGCGCCGAGCAGCTGCTGCAAGCCGGCCTCGGCGCCCAGGTCGGCGGGCACCCGCACCACGCGCAGGCCAGACCGCTCGGCGCCCAGCTCGGCCTCCAGCTGGCGCAGTGCCTCGTCGTTGCGGGCGCTAAGGACAAGCACGGAGCCGGGCGACAGCAGCGAGGCCAGGAGCGGGGCCAGCGTCCGGCCGAAGCCGCGGGAGGCCCCGGTCAGCAAGCACACAGCACGCCCCAGCCCGCCCTCCATGCTCCTGTTCTCCGCCGGCGGCGCTGGCACCCGAGACCAGGCAGGAGGCGGTGCGGCCGCGGGGGGCGGGACCGCTACGGGTGTCGGCGGGGCCGCCCTGCCGGGGCGGGGCGGGAACCTCAGGCTTCGGGCCGCGAGCGCCCAGGGGTGCTGGTTCCCTTGGGATCTGGTTCCCTTGGTTGCTGGTGGCGGAAGTCAAACCGTGGCGGTAGCCCAGTCCGTGCCAAGTGGGACAACAGAGAGGGCCGGCAGGCGCGGCCCACACGGAAAGCCCTAGCCCGGTTCCCAGCGCTGCCGTGTTCTTCGCCCGCAAGCTCAGCCTCCGGCTGGGACGCATGCTCGAATTTCCTCCCAGTTCCAGCCCTAACTTTGCACTACTGACCTCTTCCAGGGCAGGCCCTGCACTGGGTGCTGGGCGTCCCTGGTCGTGGCCAGTGAACACCCTGAATGAAGCTTATGCCTGTTTAGGAATTGAAGTCTCTGCTTGTTTGGGAGCTCACCGCTCTCTGGATGACAGGAGCTTCCTCTGGGAGAACCACAGTGGCTCCAAATGATATTAAAACCTTTCCCTTTTACTAGGCCCTGAGCAGCTCCGTGATCCCACCAGTAACCCCTGCTTCTCTGAGATTTCTGACTCCTGTCCCTAAAAGTGTGTTCCCCAGGATTCTGCTCCTGCTCATGCTACAGTCTCCCTGGCAGCAATTCCATCCACTTTCAGCTTCAAGTTTGCGCAATCATCTGTCTGTACCTCCAGGCAGGTGCTTCAGAAAAATCCACATTTTTTTTTTTCTAGGAGAGGAGGAACGTGAGACAAGTTGGCATGCAGCTACATATATTAAAAAGGAATCTCTTCATGGTTTCCTTCTTAGTGGCCGAGTGGTATTCCATTGTGTATATACATATGTCCAAATATTGTGTGTCAGTTTTTAAAAAACGAATCTCTTTAGAGTTTAGCAAGGGCAGTAAGTAACCTCTGATAACTTAGCCCAATTCCCCACAGGGCTGATCCCTCCCCTGGGGCTAAACAGCAAAGTTACCGCCTTTCCACTATTATTGCCAACTCTAAGGAAGAAACAACTTGGAGGAAGGCTTTTTTCTTTTCTTTTTTCTTTTTTTTGACAGAGTCTCGCTCTGTGGCCCAAACTGAAGTGCAGAGGTGTGATCACAGTTTACTGCAGCCTTGAATTCTTGGGCTCAAGCAATCCTTCCACCTCAGGCTCCTGAGTAGCTAGGATTACAGGTGCGCACCACCACGCCTGGCTAATTGTTTTTTAAGCTTTTGGTATTTTAACGCTGATAAGACTCTGTATATGTGTATACCATTTGAAGTTGCCCTGCTTTTCACTTACCTATTCACACTGAAGATAAAGATCTCATTGGCCCAACAGCTTACTATTTAAAGAATTTTAATAGCTTCTCCCTGCTCTCCAGGCCTTAGAAGACAGGTTGATGAAAGCACGATCCCATCCATCCATTCATTTGACATTTGTTAAATTTCTACCATTTGCCAGATTTTTGAAGAAAAGGAGGGAACAATGAAGGGATGGCAAAAAATCAGACCTAGACTCTTCTGAACCTAGCTGCTTCTAGGAGGAACCACTTGGGAACAGCCCCTAAGGAGAACGTGGTTTTCCTATACTAGGAGAGGGTCTGGAAAATTCTTCTTTTCTGAGGAAGATGATTATCTGCTCTCGCTAATTTTTGTGTTTTTTTATAGAGATGGCTCTTGCTGTGTTGCCCAGTGTGGTCTTGAACTGGACTCAAGCAGTTCTCCCATCTCAGCCTCCCAAAGTGCAGGGATTATAGGTGTGAGCCACCCCACCTGGCCAACAGTAACTCTTTTAAAAAGATACAAATGCCTGAAAGGTAAGAAATGTGTAAAAATTGTGTTAAAAACATAAGCCTGATAAAGGACATGGGTAGGGGAATGGGTGAAATTTGAATAAGGTCTGTAGGTTAGTTATTGGCATTGAATCATTTCCTGACTTTGACCAGTGAACTATTGTTATATCAGAGAGTGTTCTTGTTTTTGGAAGTACACAGAAGTATTTAGTAAAGGGGCATCATATCTGCAACTTACTTTCAAATGTTTCAGAAAAAAATTAGAATGAATAAGGCAAAGGTAAAATGTTAACATTTAGGAAATCTGCATTAAAAGTATTCAGGAATTCTTTATACTATTCTTGCAACTTTGTAAAAGTCTGAAATTATTTCTAAATAACAAAGTTTTTGAAATGAGTCATACTTTGGGAGGCTGAGGCAGGTGGATCACCTGAGGTCAGGAGTTCAAGACCAGCCTGGCCAACATGGTGAAAGCCTGTCTCTACTAAAAATATGAAAATTAGCTGAGCGTGGTGGCGTATACCTGTAGTCCCAGCTACTCAGGAGGCTCAGGCAGGAGAATTGCTTGAACCCAGGAGGCAGAAGTTGCAGTGAGCCAATATCTCACAACTGCACTCCAGCCTGCGTGACAGAGCAAGACTCCACCTCAAAAAAAAAAAAAAAAAAAAGCCATACTTATAAGTCAAAAGTAAAATGAAAAAGTGAGCAAAGTATATGAACAGACATTTATCCAAAGAAATTACACAAATGGTCAATAAGCACATAGAAAGATATTCAACATAATTTGCCATCAGGGAAATACAAATCAAAATTACGATAAGATACCACTTCATATCCATTAAGATGGCTAAAATAAAACAGACAGATAATAAATATTGGCAGGTTATATGATTTGGCTGTGTCCCCATCCAAATCTCATCTTGAATTATATTTCCCATGTGTTACAATTCCCATGTGTCATGGGAGAGACCCAGTGGAAGGTTAATTGAATCATGGGGGCGGGTCTTTCCCATACTCTTCTCATGATAGTGAATAAGTCTCATGAGATCTGATGGTTTTATAAGTGAGAGTTCCCCTACACAAGCTCTCTCTTGCCTGCTGCCATGTAAGATGCGCCTTTCACCCTTCACCTACCACTATGATTGTAAGGCCTCCCCAGACATTAATGGAACTGTGTTAATTAATGGAATGGAATTAACTGTGTTAATTAATGGAATCCACAGATTAATGGAACTGTGATTCCATTAATCCTCTTTTTCTTTATAAATTACCCAGCCCCAGGTATGTCTTTATCAGCAGTGGGCAAATGGACTAATACAGTAAATTGGTACTGAGAGTGGGGTACTGCTGTAATGATACCTTAAAATGTGGAAGTGACTTTGGAACCGGGTAACAGGCAGAGGTTGGAACAGTTTGGAGGGCTCAGAATATAAGAAATTGTGGGAAGGTTTGGAACTTCCTAGAGGCTTGTTGAATGGCTTTGACCAAAATGTTGATAGTGATATGGACAATAAGGTCCAGGCTGAGGTGGTCTCAGATGGAGATGAGAAACTTGTTGGGATTCACAGGATTCAAGTAGACATGTCTTTAGAGGTTGGGGAGGGGAGACACACAACTCAATCAACTAGGTGTGTGATAGAGAAGCAGGGCTTCCTCATTAAGAAATTTGCTAGACTATTGAGCCCCCAATCTTGGCTTTTCACCAAATTTGAAAAGCTTATTTTTGAGAGATACACACAAAGGAAGCACCAAACACATTTCAATGGATACATTTATGAAGACACTGTTTCTGTCATCCCAGTCATCACTTTAATGGCATGGAAGTTACTGGAGTGAGTAAAGCTTTTTGAAAAGCTTGGGAACAATAAGACTTCATGTAGCTCATGGGCTTTCTGGGCACATTTGAGTAAAGGGAAAAGGACTGGGAAGGATAAGCACACAGGGAACAAAGGTGTATTTGATAAAGGATGGCAATGAAGTGATCCTGGGCAGGGTTAGGAAAGCAGGCTTTCGTCCCTGCAGCGGCACTCCAACTTCAGGAGGTCCATGCTGGACAGCTCCCGTCTTTTACTAGTAGGTTGAAAGAAAGGAAAAGACAGCCAGGGTCCCTCTGCTTTCCTCTCTGCCAAGACTGAGCTTTTCATTACCCTCCCAAACTCATCTTTTCTTTATTGCTTCCTTTGCTCTGGGATTTCTCAATAATCTGTCACCTGGTGACAGCTGCTTTATGCGTATTTAGTTTCATTCATTCATTTATTTATGCATTCAATAACTATTTATTCTATTTATTGAGTGCCTACCAAGTACCAGGCTTTGAAGAGACCACATTCATGCTACTTATAGGTGCTGGAGATACATTAGTTTGCAAAATAGGCAAAAATTCCTGTCTTCCTCAAGCTTACATTCTTGGAGAGAGAAACAGACCAAAAATAAAAAAATAAAGTAAAACTTGTAGTATGTTGGATGCAGCTATGGTTTGAATGTGTGCCCCAAAGTTCATGTGTTGGAAATTTTTTTTTGAGACAGGGTCTCACTCTGTCACCCAAGCTGGAGTGCAGTGGTGCGATCTAGGTGCATTGCAACCTCCACCTCTCAGGCTCAAGAGATCCTCCCATCTCAGCCTCCTAAGTATCTGGGACTACAGGTGCATGTCACCATGCTCAGCTAATTTTTAATTTTGTTGTAGAGATGAGGTCTCACTATATTGCCCAGTCTGATCTCAAACTCCTGGACTCAAGCAGTCCTCCCACCTGGGCCTCCCAAATTGCTGGGATGTGAGCCACGGCACCCAGCCATGTGGTGGAAACTTAATCCCTAATGGAACAGTGTTGAGAGGTAGAGCATAATAAGTGATTAGGCCAGGTGGGCTCTGCCCTTGTGAATGGATTAATGTCATTGTCACAGGAGTGAGTTATTATTGCAGGAGTGGGCTTGTTAGAAAAGTGAGTTTGGGCTGGGCACTGGCTCATGCCTGTAATCCCAGCATTTTGAGAGGCCAAAGCAGGTGGGTAGCCTGAGCTCAGGAGTTCGAGACCAGCCTGGGAAACCCGGGGAAACCCCATCTCTACTAAAAATATAAAAAATTAGCTGGGCATGGTGGTGCATGCCTATAGTCCCAGCTACTCTGGTGGCTGAGGCATAAGAAGTGCTTGAATTCAGGAGGCAGAGGTTGCAGTGAGCTGAGATCGCACCACTGCATTCCCATCTGGGTGACAGAGTGAGATTCTATCTCAAAAAAAAAAAAAAAAGTTTGGCTCTCTCTTCTTCTTTCAATCTCACACATGCTCTCTTGCCCTTGCCCTTCTGCCTTCTGCCATGGAATGGTGCAGCATGAAGGCTCTCACCAGATTCTTGTGCCATGCTCTTGGGCTTCTCACCCTCCATAACTATGAGCCTAATAAACTTCTATTGTTCATAAATTACCCATCTCAGGTCTTCTGTTGTAGCAGCATAAAATAGACTAATACACATGATGATAAGTTTCAAAGGAAAATAAAACAAGGTTGGTAATTATGTAGTACTGAGGTGGAGAGTGCTTGCAATTTAATACTGGGTGATCAGAGAATGCCACATTGAAAGCATAGTATCTGAGAAGACAGCAGTAGGAGGTGGGAGAGTGACCCGTGCAGCTATCCAGAGGAAGACTATTTCAGGCAGAGAAAACAAAGCACAAAGGCTTCTAAGTGGGAGGGTGCCTGGGTTTTCTGAAGAACAGGAAAAGAGCAGGGTTGTTTTAGTAGTAGTAGCAAGGCAGAGAGAATTTAGATCAGAGAAGTCATGGAATGCCAGATTTGTACAGGGCCTTACAGGTGGTTGTAAAACTTTTCCTTTTATTAGGAGAGAGATGGGAAAGCACTGGAGGGATCTGAGCATAAGGAATCTGCTTAGACTCAGAATCATTCCTGCTTCAGTTTTGAGAATAAACAATAGACTCTAGGAAGGAGCAGGGAGACTATCTAGGAGGTTGTTTCTGTATTACAGATGAGAGATTCCAGAGATGTGATTCATTTGGGGATACATTTTGAAGACGAAGGCAAAAGGATTTGCTGAAGACATGGAGATGGCGTATACAAAAAAGGGAATACTTGGTGATGACTCCACAGTTTGGGGCCTTCGCACTGGGAAGATAAAAATTGCCATTTTCTGAGGTGGGGAAGACTGCAGAAGGAGCAGGGTTCTTTGGAGGAGATTAAAGTTCAGTTTTGGGGCTGGGTGCAGTGGCTCACGCCTGTAATCCCAGCACTTTGGGAGGCCAAGGCGGGCAGATCGCTTGAGGCCAGGAGTTTAAGACCAGCCTGGCCAACATGGTGAAACCCCATCTCTACCAAAAAATACAAAAATTAGCTGGGTGTGGTGGTGCATGTCTGTAGTCCCAGATGCTTGGGAGACTGAGCCAGGAGAATCGCTTGAACCCAGGAGGCAGAGGTTGCGGTGACCCAAGATCATGCCACTGCATTCTAGCCTGTGTGACAGAGCAAGACTTCATCTAAAAAAAAAAAAAATTAGTTTTGGTTGTGTTAACTTGAGATGCCCACTGGATATCAAAGAGGAGATATCAGTAGACATATATGTAAGTTTGGAGTAAAAAGGGGAAGTCTGGACTGTTGATACAAATTTGAAAGTCTTCAGCAGATAGATAGTTTTTAAAGCCTCAAGATAGTATGAGACCACTTAGGGAGTGAGTATAGATGGAGAAGAGAAGTTGTGGAGATAAGGAGGAATCCAGAAAAACAGACAGATATAGGGCTACCAAATGAAATAAAGGACACCCAGTTGTATTTTAAACAAATAATTTTTAATACATAATTATCTCATGCAATATTTGGCATAAACTTATACGAAAAGTTATTTGTTATTTACCTGAAATTCAGGATTAACTGTATTTTTGTTTGTTAAATCTAACATTTCTAGCCTGAGAACCACTGGCCATGGAGGCAGGAGGAAAATCAGGAAACTGTGATGTCTTGGAAGTATAATATAGTTTTTAAAGTACTTCAAAAAGAAATGTGTTATGGAAATGTCACAAACTCCTGATAAGTCAAGTACCTAGAGAATTGATTTAATAACATGGAAGTCATTGGTGACCTTCATATGAGACGTTTCTGTGAAATGGTGGATGCAAAAGTTTGATTGAAGTAGGTTCAAGAGAGGATAGAGGTAAGGAATAGAAAATGCCAAGGGCAGGATGTGTAGTTTACATGAAACCTACTCACTATCCACTTTTCTGTTACTGTTAAATCTTGGTCGCAGATCTACAGCTGAAGCACAGAATACTGTTCTTAGCCCCCACGATCATTCCATGTTTCCCTGTTTACAACAGGTTTTCTCCCATATGGACCTGCTTGTTTGCAGGGCACATTCTCCTCTTGTCACTGCCTGTTTCTAATCTATGGAGCCTCTGTCCCTGCTTACAGTAGTCTCTGCAGTGACCGCCCCCCCAGATTAGAAGATGCCAGTGTCAGCCTCCCTCAAAATTATATGTTGCCATCAATATAATGTGTTTAAAAAGGCCAGTAAGACAAATGAGGTGTGTCATTAAGAATTATAGCTGACATCTGAATATTCATTGCAAATCCAAGTAAGCATGCTAGATGTAACTTGAAGTGAAAACAGCAGTTATTATATACTTTTTATATGTTGATATTTTGTTACACTTTGAAGTATTATTGCTAGAGTAAAATTATGAGGTAATTAATGATGACTATAAAAGCTGTTAATTTTAAGTATCAAAAAATTGATTAATTTTAAATATCAAGAAAAGACTTTAAGTAGGCCAGGCATGGTGACTCATGCCTGGAATCCTAGTACTTTGGGAGGCTGAGGTAGGAGGATTGCTTGAGCCTAGGGGTTTGAGACCAGCCTGGGCAACATAGGGAGACCTTGTCTCTATGAAATAAAAAATTTTAAAAAATTAGCTGGGTGTGGTGGCACATGCCTGTGGTCCCAGCTACTTGGGAGACTGAGGAGGAAGGATTACTTGAGCCCAGGAAGGCACCACTGTATTCCAGCATGGGTGACCCAGTGAGTCTCTCTCTCTCTCTCTTTCTCTCTTTCTCTCTCTCTCTCTCAAAAAAAGAGATTTTAAGTAAATAGGGGGAATAGATTGAGCTAATACAAACCTTAAGGAAGTATGTGAGATAGGGGCCGGGTGTGGTGGCTTACGGCTGTAATCCCAGCACTTTGGGAGGCTGACGCGGGCAGATCACGAGTTCAGGAGATCAAGACCATCCTGGCTAACATGGTGAAACCCCGTCTCTAATAAAAATATTAAAAAATTAGCCAGGCGTGGTGGCGGGCGCCTGTAGTTCCAGCTACTCGGGAGGCTGAGGCAGGAGAATGGCGTGAACCCCAGAGGCGGAGCTTGCAGTGAGCTGAGATAGCACCACTGCACTCCAGCCTGGGCAACAGAGAGAGACTGCGTCTCAGAAAAAAAAAAAAAAGTATGTGAGATAGATAATTTAGGAATAAATTTTTATTTCTTTTGATTCAATAAGTATTTATTTAAATTGTAAGTAATAATACAGGCAAAAAATTAAAATTACAACTGAAAACTGCTACAAACAATAAGAAAACTTTGTAAGGCCACTAGTATAAAATAAATATTCTGAAATCAATAGTTTCACAGCCAGTTAGAAGTCCATATAAAATAGGGCAAAAAAAGAGAGAATAGTAGGTATAAATTAACAAAAATGTGCAAATGTATATAAGGAAAACTAAAACTTCACCAAAGAACAAAAAAGTAGACCAGAATAAAAAAGTATAAAGTGTTCTTGAACAGGAAGACTCGGCATTACATTACAAAGATGTTAGTTCTCCCTAAATTAATTAAATATTTTAATATAATCTTGATAAAAATACCAAGTTTTTTAATCAAATGAAACAAGCAAGAATAGATATAAGCTAAATGTAAAGCTGGGCACTGGCTTAATGCTGTACTGGAGGCGCGAGAAATGCTAAAAAGGGTATTATTGGGTCAAATGGCAAAAACATGAATGGTAGAAGAGATACAAGTATTGTATCAATGTAAATTTATGAAGTTGATCATTGTAGTGTGGTTATTTAAAAGAATATCTGTATTTTTAGGAAATGCACACTTGGGGAACTTAGGGGCAAAGGCCATGATGTATGAAATTTATCCTTAAATGGGTCAGCAAAAAAATTATGTACGAAAGAGAAGGAGAAGAAGAGAAGATGAAACTATAAAACAAATGAAAGGATATGTGACTATTTTTGTACTACTTTATGTTTGCAACTATTTGTGAATTTGAATTTATTTCCAAATAAAGAGTAAAAACGAAAAGAATGGGTAGAAAGAGTCTGAAAAGAAGAGCAATTGAAAGAGACTAGTCTGACCATAAATATTGATATGGTATGGTTTTGGCACATGAGTAGACACACAAAGAAACAGAAAGAAAAGTAAAGAAAAAGATGACTAGCATGGGGAAATTCAGTTTATGATAAAGGATGCATCTCAATGTTAATAAATCGTGTTATGACAAGTGGATATCTATCTGGAAAAGATAAAATTGGATCCATAGCCCACGCTATTCATCAAGATAAACTCCAAATGTAGCAAAGATTTATACAGAAAAAAATAAAACCTCAAAAGTAGTAGAAGAAAATATGGACGAATTTCTTTGTAACATTGGAGTGAGGAAGGCCTTTCTATGAATCAAAGTCTAGAAACCAAATAAAAAAAGACCGATATATTTTACTACACAAAAAAGTAGTTACAAGGCAGAGAAAAATAGGAAAATTTTGCAATTCATAAGACTGACAAAGCGTTCTTTTTTTGTCTTTTGTTTTTGTTTTTGTTTTTTGAGACTGAGTCTTACTCTGTCTCCCAGGCTGGAGTGCAGTGGCGCGATCCCAGCTTGCTGCAACCTGCGCCTCCCAGGTTCAAGGGATTCTCTTGCCTCAGCCTCCTGAGTAGCTGGGATTACAGGCACATGCCAGTATGCCCAACTAATTTTTGTATTTTTAGTAGAGACAGGGTCTCGAACTCCTGACCTCAAGCGATCCACTTGCCTTGGCCTCCAAAGTGCCTCCGCGCCCGGCCCCCACAACTTTTTTTTATTTTTAAATATATAAGGATTTCATTGAAATCAAGACAAAAAGACAACCCAATATAAAAACAGGCAAAGGATATAAACAGATAGTTCTCAGAAAAAGAGATACAAATGACTTTAAACTCATAGAAGATGCTCAATTTCACTCAAAATATGAGAACTGCAAATTAAAACAAAATTGACATGCCAATTATCATCTATGAGCTTGGTTACAAAATTCCAAATGTTTGATGACACATAATTTTGGCAAGAAACTCTTATGCATTGCTGATTGGAGCCCAAAAGATAACAATCCTATGTAAGGCAATTTGGAAATATCTCTCAAAATTACACGTTTCTATCCTCTGACCAGTAATCCCACTTCTGGAAATTTACCTCGAATATACTTCACGTGCATGAAATAACTTGTGTTCAAAGTCATGCATGGCAGCATTGCTTATAACAAAAAAAGATTGGAAAAGATCCAAATGGACCTAGTTAAATACGCTAAGTTACATCCTACATAATGGCATAATATGCAGCTATAAAAATGAATGAAAATTGCTCTTTATACTGATGTAAAAAGATCTCTAGAATATATACTGAATGAAGAAGGCAAAGTAAAAAATGGAAAAAAGTATATCTTATGCAAAATGCAATCTTGTGCAATAAAGGGGGGAATAAAAATATATACTTAGATTTTCTAACATTCACATATTAAATACTGGAAAGATCCTCAATAAATTATAAAACTAGTTAACTATAGAGGAGGGGGAGGGAAGTTGGAGTGAAAGCGGATATACTCAGAGTGTACCTTTTGCATTACTTTGACTTTTTAAGCCATATAAATGTATTCCCTATTCAAAAAATAAACAAATAAACAGCTTCTTAAAAACATAAATGTTCTTAAAAAAGAATAAGGAGTGATAATAGAGTTATAATCTTTGTAGACTTGCTTGGTATTTTAGCATTCATAACGTTCAAAGAAGTCTTCAAAAACTGTATTTAATTTTTATTTATTTAGTATTATTTAGCTTTGGGTCTTTCAAGAAAAAGTCCTATTTGGGAATTGTTTACATCTTGTTGAGGATGACTTCAAAGGAGAATATCAACTTTGCTAACCTAGAGTTTATGAGGAGGAAAACTCTAAAATGAAGTAGAAAAACTACCATGTTGAAACAGCTTTGATTAACATAGAATATAAACAATGAATTAAAATAAAAAAATTAGCCGGGCGTGGTGGCAGGCGCCTGTGGTCCCAGCTACTCAGGAGGCTGAGGCAGGAGAATGGCGTGAGCCCCGGGGGGGAACGGAGCTTGCAGTGAGCCGAGATCGCACCACTGCACTCCAGCCTGGGCGACAGAGCGAGACTCTGTCTCAAAAAAAAAAAAAAGTTTAGGGGAAATGAGGTATTTCAAACCCATTCTGTTTCTACTAATCATATTTCAAAACAACAGACTTCATAAAAATATTTCAAGAAGATAGTTCCTTTTACTCTTGAGTCTATGCAAAAATTTAAACAGAAAGCTTGACAAAAATATTGCTATAGACTGCCAACTATTTTTAGTAGTAGATGAAGAATTTTTGACATTTGATGAAGATATAAAGTTCCTTCTATAAAATGTGTTACTAAAAGCAGTTTCTAGAATTAAAGTCTGCTGTGTATAAAAAGGTTAATGATATTAAATGTGCTACTTTTGTACCTTCTATATCAGACACTTGGACATGAAGAAGCAACCAGAAGTCTTTTTAAAATATAAGATAGCACCATGGGTTACTGGCAATAAACAGAGAGTAGACCTTTTCTATATTCTTCTTCAGCCAAAGCAAACTATGTGGTATACAAGATACTGTGGAACTGCCTTTTCCTTGTCATGTACTTATTCAAGATGTTCACAAAAGATAATGCAACACTTATGACATATTAAGAAGTCCGCTTAAATACCAAAATAAAGCCTTGACCTTTTACTTTGCAGATCACTGTAACAACACAACAACCCATGTGATTTGCAGAGAAGAGTTTACTGGCTGGAACCTGCTGTAGATGTAACCAACTCAGTTGTCTTGTGAGGGCAATATTTCTTTCACTGAAACCTGTCGTAAAGATTCTCCTATCAGCTTTACGCTAGTGACGAGTTTGAAGCTGATGAGCGTGCAGTAAAACCTCAGATGCAGATGTTGTGATGGTTAATACTGAGTGTCAACTTGATTGGATCGAAGGATGCAAAGTATTGTTCCTGGGTGTCTGTGAGGGTGTTGCCAAAGGAGATTAACGTTTGAGTCAGTGGACTGGGAGAGGCTGACCCACCCTCAATCTGGGTGGGCACCATGTAATCAGCTGCCAGTGTGGCTGGAATAAAGCAGGGAGAAGTTGGAAAGAGCAGACTTGCTGAGACTTCTAGTCTTCATCTTTCTCCCGTGCTGGATGCTTCTTGCCCTCAAACATCAGACTCCGAGTTCTTCAACTTTTGGACTCTTGGACTTATACCAGTGATTTGCTAGGGGCTCTCAGGCCTTTGATCACAGACTGAATGCTGCACTGTGGGCTTTCCTACTTTTGAGGTTTTGGGACTCAGACTGGCTTCCTCGCTCCTCAGCTTGTAGATGGCCTATTGTGGGACTTGATCTTGTGGTCCTGTGAGTCAGTACTCCTAATAAACTCCCCTTCATATATACATATATCCTATTACTTCTGTCCCTTTAGAGAATCCTGACTAATACAGATGTGAATTCAGAATTTAAATTATATTGTTCCATCATATCCTATTTCAAGATTCTGGATTTAAAGGCAAATATTTTCTCAAGTGACTGTTTGAAGCAGCAAGTACATGGGAAAAATATTGTAAATAAAATTATATTTGAGGGCAATTATCTTAAATCTGATTTTGAAAATATTCAGATGCCGAGCCAGGAGGATCATTTGAGGACAAGAGTTTGAGACCAGCCTTGGCAACAAAGCAAGACCCTATCTCTACAAAAATTTAAAAATTTAGCGTGGTGTGGTGGCACACATGTAGTCCCAACTACTCAGGTGACTGAAGCAGGGGGGTCGCTTGAGCCGAGCAATTCGAGGTTACGGTGAGCTATGACTGGGCCACTGCTGCACTCCAGCTTTGGTGATAGAGTGAGACTCTGTCTCAAAAAACAGAAAATATTCAGAAAACATTTTCTTTCAGCAGTGCACAAAGCTTCAGTTTGTAAAACTGCCATAATGAAAATGTACTGTCACCATCAACTTCATCTTTAATCAAGAATGAAAGAAGATGTTTTTACCTTGATCAGGTACTATTAAAGAGAAAGAAAGGCTCAATAACATGGTAGCAACATCACCATCAGCAGGGTCTGAATGGCAGAGAAAGCCAAAAAAATATTTTGCTCTGGTACCTACCTCCAATGAAAATGAGCATCTATTTAGAATTACAAATATTCAGTATAGTGACCACAAGAGCAAACTGACAGTAGTGATGAATTACTATAATGGTAAATTGTTAAAATCTGACGATTAACACTGTGATAATACAATTCAAAAAATTGTATATTTGTATTCAAGCGTTCATGGCAGCATTATTCACAATAGCCCAAAATTGGAAACAGTGTGAAAGTCCATCAGATGGTAAATGGACAAATAAAATGTGCTGTACCCATACAACACTCAACAATAAAAAGGAACAAAGTCCTGATACATGCCACAACATAGGTGAACCTCATGAAAGAAGCCAGACAATGCATAACTATGTATTGTATAATTCCCCTTATATGAAATTTCTAGAAAGGGCAAAACTATAGAATCAGTAAGCAAATCAGTGGTTTTCTCAGACTAGGGGTGGAAGAGCGATGAGCTGCAAATAAGCATGAGATAACTTTTTAGAGTGATAGAAGGGTTCTAAAACTAGATTACAACTGTAAGAGTTATACAGTACAGCTCTTAATTTAGGCTTTTGATCCATTCTGAATTAATTTTTTGTTTTGCCTAAACAACAGACATTTATTTTCTCACAGTTCTGGAGACTAGAAGCCCAAGATCAAGGTGCTGTCAGGGTTGGTGTCTGGCAGGAGATGGCCACCTCGTCATTGTGTTTTCATGTGGCCTTTCCTCTGCACGCATGCATAGACAGAGAACACTCTCTGCTGTCTCTTCCTCACTGCAAATAAGAGGGTCATTCGAAGAGTAAGTGTCCCTCTCTCTCTCACTGGGGGGCCACCTCTTCCTTCTGGGCTGTTAACAGCCACAACCTCACCAACCTATCTGACAAGGGGGTCAGGCTGATCTCGAACTCCTGGGCTCAAGCAATCCTCCCGTCTCAGCCTCCCAAAGTGCTGGGATACAAACGTGAGCCACTGTGCTCCACCAGATGGCTATTTTAAAAAGAGAGAAAAAAAAAGAAAAGAAAATAACAAGTGTTTTGAGGATGTGGAGCAGTTGGATCTCTTGTGTACTGTTAGTGGGAAAGTAAAATGGTAGATACTTTACATCTTCCTTTCACTGTAGGTGATTTTTATTTCATTTTCTTGCCTAATTACTTTGGCTGGGACTTCCAGTACTATGTTGAATAGAAGTGGTGAAAGTAGGCATCCTTACCTTGTTCCTTATCTTAGAGGAAAGGCTTTCAGTCTTTCACCAATGATTATGATATTTGCTGTGGGTTTTTCATTTACAGCTTTTATTACATTGAGGTAATATTCCTTCTATTTCTAGTTTGTTGTATATTTTTATCATAAAAGGGTGTTGAATTTTGTCAAATGTTTTTCTGTATCAATTGAGAAGATCAAGTGGTTTTTCCTCCCCCCAGGTCTTGTTAATATGGTGTATTATAATGATTGATTTTCAAATGTTGAACCATCCTTTCATTCCAGGAATAAATCTCACTGGGCCATGGTGAGTAATTCTGAGTTCAGTTTGCTGGTATTTTGTTGAGGGTTTTTGCATCAGTGTTCATAAGGGATATTAGTTTGTAGTTTTCTTCTCTTGTAGTCTCTTTTTTGGCTTTGGTATCAGGGTAATGCTGACCTCATAGAATGAGTCAGGGAGTTTTTTCTCTTCAATTTTTTGGAAAAGTTTGAGAAGGATCAGTATTAGTTCTTTAAATGTTTGGTGGAATTAACCAGTGATGCCATCAAATCCAGGGCTTTTCTTTTATTCTTTTTTTTTTTTTTTTTTTGAGATAGTCTCGCTCTTTTGCCCAGGCTGGAGTGCAGTGGCACAATCTCAGCTCACTGCAATCTCTGCCTCCTGAGTTCAAGGGATTCTAGAGCCACAGTCACCTGAGTAGTTGGAATTACAGGTGCATGCCACCATACCTGGCTAATTTTTGTATTTTTAGTAGAGGCAGAGTTTTGTCACATTGGCCAGGCTGGTCTTGAACTCCTGGCCTCAAGTGATCTGCCTGCCTCAGCCTCCCAAAGTGCTGGGATTACAGGCATTAGCCAGTGTGCCTGGTCTAGATCTAGGGCTTTTCTGATGCCCCCAAATCAGGACTCAATTTTTGACTAGTGACTCAATTTCCTTATTCTTTATAAGTCTACTCAGATTCTCTGTTTCTTCATAATTTAACCTTGATAGATTTTGTGTTTCTAGAAATTTGTTCATTTCATGTGGGTTTTTAAATTTGTTGACATACAATTGTTCATAACACTCTCTTATAATCTTTTTTGTATCTGTAGAATCAGTAATAATGTCCCCACTTTCATTTCTGATTTTAGTAATTCGTGTCTTCTTCTTCTTTTTTTTTTTTCTTTTTTTGAGACAGGGTCTTGCTCTATCTCTCAGGCTGGAGTGCAGTGGCCTGATCATTTGAGCCTCCCAGGCTCAAGTGATCCTCCCACCTCACCCGCCTGAGTAGCTGGTACTAAAGGGGCACACCCAGTTAATTAAAAAATATTTTCATAGAGATGGGGTCTCACTATGTTGCCCAGGCTGGTCTCAAACCCCTGGGCTCAAGTCATCCACCAGCCTCAGCTTCTCAAAGTGCTGGGATTACAGGTGTGAGCCACTGCAACTGGCCTCATTTTTTAAAAGTCTATCTAGCTAAATATTTGTTATGTTCAAAGAACCAGCTTCTGGTTTTATTAATTTTCTTTATTGTTTTTCTGTTCTCTATTTTGTTGATCTCTGTGCTCATCTTTTAAATTTCCTTTCTTATGCTAGCTTTGGGTTTAGTTTGTTCTTCTTTTTCTAGTTCCATAAGTTGTAAAATTAGGTTTGACATCTTTCTTTTTTAATGTAAACATGTATAGCTATAAATTTCCACTACAGCACTGCCTTAAGGCACAAGACCATAAATTTTGGTATGTTATGTTTTCATTGTCATTTGAATTTCTACTTTGATTTATTGGTTGTTTATTTTCATAAGTTTGTGAATTTTCTAGTTTTATGTCTGCTTTTTTTTTTGCTTTTCTCTTCTTTTTCGTATTGTTTTGATTGGTAAACATGATTATTTAGTTTCATGTATAAATTATGAGTGCTATAAATTAGTACCATTTCTACTTGCTATCCACAATGACCAGAATAATCTCTTAACTTCATAATTCCTATTTTTTCTATCTTTTTACTTTACAACTAATTTCAGCCCCTTTTGATTTTTGAAAGTAGGTGCTTTATAATACATTTTCATCAAAAAATATATTTAACTGAAAAAGAAGTTAAATGAAATAGTCTTATACATTGAATTATCAAGAATACCAGAATACCAAAGAATAATGATACTTCATAGTTTATGTAATATATTTTCATAAAGTCAAATACATTATTTCATTTGGTTCTTACAATGTTTCTGAAATAAATTATCACCATTTTATAGTTGAGGCAACTTAGACATGGCAGAGCTAGAATGAGAATTAAGAACTGATTGATTTACTTACATTGACCTACATACTATATAATCAGAACAATATTCTATGTAGAATTGAAAAAAGATTAAAATATCCAATAAGAATGATAGTGTAAGGCCAGGCACAGTGACTTGTACCTGTAATCCCAGGGCTTTAGGGTGCTGAGGCAGGAGGATCACCTGATCTCAGGAGTTTGAGACCAGCCTGGGTAACATAGCAAGACCCATCTCTACAAAAAATAAAGATTAGCTGGGCAAGGAGGCACGTGCCTTAATCTCAGCTACTTGGGAGGCTGAGGCAGGAGAATTGCTTGAGCCGAGAAATTCGAGGCTGCAGTGAGCTATGATTGCACTGTAACCGCCCAGTGGATTCACCCTGCCTGCTGCCTAGACAAAGCCGATTTACCAAGACAGGTGAATTGCAATAGAAAAAGACTAATTCAAGCAGAGCCAGCTGTGTGGGAGACCAGAGTTTTCTTATTACTCAAATCAGTCTCCCCATTGAGAGTGGGGTTTTAAAGTCTCCAACATTTATTTTAGAAATGTCTATTTCTTTCTTCAATTATGTCAGTTTTTGCTTCACAAGTTTTGATTGTCTGTTATTAGGTGTATAAATGTTTATAATTATTTTACCTTATTGCTACATTGAACCTCCTATTAATGTATGATGTCCTTCTTTGTCTCATTTAATCTTTTTTGACTTAAAGTCTATTTTGTCCATTGTTAGAATAGCAACCCCTGCTCTCTTTTGGTTACTATTTGCATGGAGTCTCTTTTTCCATTCTTTCATGTTCAATCTTTTGTGTCTGTGAATCTAAAGTGAGCTTCCTGTAGGCAGCATATAGTTCAATCATATTTTTCTATCCATTCTGCTAATCTCTTTTGATTAGAGAGTTTAACTCATTTACATTTAAAATAATGAAGGATGAGGAGATACTTCTGTCATTTTGCTGGGTGTTTTCTATATGCCTTGTAGATTTTTGTCCCTTATTTCCTACATTACTGTCTTCTTTTGCATTTAGTTGATATTTTGTAGTGAAAATTTTCAATTCCTTTTTCATTTCCTTTTGTATACATTATACAGCTGTTTTCTCTGTGGTTAGCATGGAGATTTCATTTATTATTCTAAAGTTATAATATTCTAACTTGAAATTATACCAGTTTAATGTCCATAATATACAAAAATTCTGTTCCTTTATAGCTCTGTCCTCACACTTTCAGCTGTCAGTATCACAAAATTACATCCCTATATATTTTGTGCTTGAAAACCTAAATTAATAATTCTTTTAAGTGCAGCAGTCTCTTAAATTATGTAAAAATCAAAATGCACAGTTACAAACCAAAGTTATAGTAATGCTGGCTATATTTTATATTTTAAAAAATTATTATTATTTTTTTATGGAGACAAGGTCTTACTCTGTTGCCCAGGCTGGAGTACAGTGGCATAATCATAGCTCACTGCAATCTCAAACTTCTGGGCTGAGTGATCCTCCCACCTCAGCCTCCTGAGTAGTTGGGACTATTGTGCATGCCATCATGCCTGGATAAGTTTTAAATTTTTTGTAGAGACTATGTTGCCCAAGCTGGTCTCCAACTCCTGACCTCAAGTGATCTTCCCACCTTGGCCTCCCAAAGTGTCGAGATTACAGGTGTGAGCCACCCCACCCAGCAATACTGGCTTTTAGACTAATATTTTTGAAAAAAATGTATTAGTCCCTTTTTGTCATATAGCATCTCTTAAGTCATGTAGAAACAAAAAATGATGCCACAAACTATTGTTAAAATACACTAGCTTTTATAATGTCCCATGTATTTACCCTTATTGAGATCTTTGTTCCTTCATATGGTTTTGAGTTACTGTCTAGTATCTTTCATTTCACCTTGCATGACTCCCTTGAGCATTTCTTGCAAGGCAGCTCTAGTGGTAGTGAACTCCCTCTGCTTTTGTTTATTTGAGATTGTCTTAATTTCTTTCTCACTTTTGGAAGACATATATAGTCGTCCCTTGGTATCTGTGAAAGATTGGTTCCAGGATACCCTGTAGATACCAAAATGCATAAATTTTCAAGTTTCTTATGTAAATGGCATAATATTTGCATTTAACCTATGCACAACTCGCATATACTTTATTCACATACTTGATTGCTTATAATACCTAATACAATATAAATGCAATGTAAATAGTTGTTATACTATATTCAGAATTGTTTTTAAATTTGTATTATTTTTATTGTTGTTTTCTTAAAATATTTTTAGGCTGGGCATGGTTGCTCACATCTGTAATTCCAACACTTTGGGAGGCCAAAATGGGAGGATCACTTGATGCTAGGAGTTCAAAACCAGATGGGACAACATAGTGAGACCCCGTCTCGACAAAAACCTTAAAAATTAGCTGGGCATGGTGGTGCATGCCTATAGTTCTAGCTACTTGGGAGGCTGAGGCAAGAGGATTTCTTGAGCCCAGCAGTTCAAGACCGCAGTGAGGTATGATCATCCCACTGTACTCTGGTCTAGGCGATAGAGCATGAACCCATTTCTAAATATAAACATATATTTTTTGATACACAGTTGGTTAAATCTGTGGATGTGGAATCTAGAAGCTAGGTTTTTGTTAGTTGGTTCACTACATCATCATTTATTTATAGCACCAAAAAGTTATGTGTTCAATATTAATTAAATGGTTAAATAAAATATAGCACATTGAAGATAGTCTATGATGCAACCATTAGCATTATGTTTTAATTCTAAGCTCAGAAGGCTGAGCTTTTGTGTTTTTTTTTTAATGGTTTACTATTTTTTTTGTCTGGCTTCCAAAAGGAAAAAAGAGTAAAATGAAGGGAGAAAAAAAGGGCATTAACATTTTAAATCTCCTGGAAGTCACTTCAGCCAGAGAGGGAGGGAGTTGCAACAGTTGGGGGAGATACTACAACAATAGCTGCTGCCTCATTGTCTTTTTTTTTTTTTTTTTGGAGATGGAGTCTCCCTTCCTCCCCCAGGCTGGAGTACAGTGGCATGATCACTGCTCATTGCAGCCTTGACCTCCCAGGCTCAAGTGATCCTCCCACCTCAGCCTCCCAAGTAGCTGGAACTACAGGTGCATACCACTATGCCCAGCTAGTTTTTAAAATTTTTTGTAGCGACTGGGTTTCACTATGTTGACTGGGTTGGTCTCCAACTCCTGGGCTCAAATGTTCCTCCCACCTCAGCCTTCCCAAGTGCCTTTGTCTTCACCTCTGTGATTAGAAGCAGCAGTAGGCCATCAGAGCACAGATCCCTGATAGCTGAAGGACAAGGTCCTTTTTGCCCACCCTTGGCTCCCACAGGCTGTTTGCATCTACTGCAGGAACACATGCACAGCTGTCTGTCATGGGGCAGGAGTGGGAATTAATTGCTGCTACTGTGCTAAGAGCTAAAACTGACTGAAATTAACTACCTGTTAAGGTCCAAACCTTTTCCTAGAAGTTGCAATCTTTCAGTAGACTCCACAGTTCTAAAATAGTTACATCAGACAGATGTTGCCAGTGTAATTGTTGTCTAGGTGGAGAGACAGATTCTTGGTGCTTCCCTGAATCCTGAGTTAATTTTTGCATATGGTGTGAGGTAAAGGTCCAACTTCATTTCTTTTGCATGTGGATATCCTGTTTTCCCAAAACACCATTGAAGAGACTGTCCTTTCCCTATTGAATAGTCTTGACACCCTTGTCAAAAACCAAATAGATATGAAGATTTATTTTGACTTTATTCCATTGATCTATATCTCTATCCTTATGCCAGTACCACCATGTTTTGATGACTGTGGCTTTGTAGTAAGACTTTGAAATTGGGAAGTGTGAGCCCTTCAACTTTGTTCTTTTTCAAAATTGTTTTGACTCTTTGGGGTCCCTTAAAATTCCATATGAATTTTGGGAAAGGTTTTTCCAGTTCTGAGAAAATAAAACAGTTAAAGAAAAAAATGCCATTGGAATTTTGGTAGGGATTGCATTAAATCTGTGTATCACTTTGGGTAGTACTGTTATATCTTAACAATATTGAGTTTTCCAATGTACGAAGTGGGATATTTTTCCATTTATTTAAGTCTTCCTTAATTTTCTTCAGCAATGTTTTGTTTTTTTTCAGTAAATAAGTTTTGTCCCTTTTTAGTTAAATTTATTTCTAAGTATCTTCTTTTTGTTTTTAAAATGGAATTGTTTTCTTAATTTCCTCATTGAACTGTTCATTTCTACTGTATAGAAATACAACTAATTTTTGTGTGCTGATTTTGTATCCCGCAACTTTGCTGAATTCACTTATTAGCTCTATTGTGTATGTGTATGTGTGTGTGCATGCACGTGTGTACTTTTTAGGTTCTTCCGTGTATAAGATCATGTCATCTGTTTATAGAGATAATTTTACTTCTTCTTTTCCAATTTGTCTGCCTTTTATTTCATTTTCTTGCCTACTTGTCCTAACTAGGACTTCCAGTACTATGTTTAATAGAAGTGGCAAAAGTGGGTATCCTTGTCTTGTTCTTGATCTCAGTGTAAAGGCTTTCAGTCTTTCACCATTGAGTGTGATGTTTGCTGTGGGTTTTTTGTAGATGGCCTTTATCATGTTGAAGAAGTTCCCCTCTATTCCTATTTTATTGCGTGTATTTATCATGAAAGAGTGTTGCATTTTGTCAAATGCTTTTTCTGCATCAATTGAGATGATCATGTGGGGTTTTCTCTCTTTTTTTTTTTTTTTTTTTGAGACAGAGTCTCACTCTCTCACTTGGTCGCCCAGGCTGAAGTACAGCGGCGCAATCTTGGCTCACTGCAACCTCTGCCTCCTGGGTTCAAGTGATTCTCCTGCCTCAGCCTCCTGAATAGCTGGGACTACAGGCATGCGCCACCATGCCCGGTTAATTTTTGTATTTTTTGATAGAGACGGGGTTCCACTGTGTTGGCCAGGCTGGTCTTTTATTCTTTTAATGTGTATTTCACTGATTACTTTTCATATATTAAACCAGCCTTCCATCCCTGGGATAAATCCTACTTGGTCATGGGTATAATTCTTTTAATGTGCTGCTGGATTTGGTTTGCTAGTATTTTGTTGATCATATTTGCATGTATGTTCACAAGTGATATTGTTCTGTACTTTTTTCTCATAGTGTGTTTGTGTGGCTTTGGTATATTGGGTAATAGCAAAAGACATGAACAATACAGTTAAAACTTTGACTTAAAAGATACATGCTGTGTGTGTGTAGCTATTTTTTCAATTACTCAAGAACATCTACAAACATATACATAAAGATTTCCATAAATACCCCAAATTCTCTTAATACACTGTCACAAAATTAAAAACAGCAATAAAATAATTGTCCAAAAAATCAATTGGTGTTCTAAAATCATCTTTCCAAATAACTCAAGTAAAAGCAATAAAAGTCTATTCAGAAAATAGTAACAGGCCGGGCATGGTGACTCACGCCTGTAATCCCAGCACTTTGGGAGGCTGAGGCCAGCAGATCACTTGAGATCAGGAGTTTGACACCAGCCTGGGCAACACAGTGAAACCCCATCTCTAAACCCCATCTTTAAAAATACAAAAATTAGCCGGGCATGGTGGCATGTGCCTGTAGTCCCAGCGACTTGGGAGGCTGAGGCAGAATTGCCAGGAGGCAGAGGTTGCAGTGAGCTGAGATCGCGCCACGGCACTCCAGCATGGGCGACAGAGCAAGACTCCAACTCAAAAAAAAAAAAAAAAAAAAGTAGCAGTGAGAAAACAATTTTGTATAACAACAAAATTGTTCTCAGAGGAAAATTTATATTACTAAATATTTGTATTAGAAAGCAAAAAATACCAAAAACAAATGAATCAGAAGTATTCACCTTGTAGAAGTTCAGATTCTTTGTTTGCAAAAGCAGAAATCAACTCAGACAAAATAAAACATAAATTTTTGGTTCAGCTAATAGAACTGAAAAAGAAAGCTGAAAAGTTAGGCCCCAAAAGGGCAGGAACCAGGGTGGCTCTGGAGAACCAGGTAACAGAAAACAATGAATCAGCTACAGGATGAATCAGCTACCAGATGAATCAGCTACAGCTGTTTTCAGTCTTACTTTTCTTAAGATTCAGTTGCTATGGAGAGAGCATCCAACTATCGTAAGTTAGGTTTCACATCTATTTTTTAATCTAAAAATATTCAGTGCATCTTAATTGATCGTCTTGCCAATCATTAGCCAATAGAGAAATGTTAGTTCCCCAAGAAAAATTAAGGTAATATTATGAAGAAGGGGCAATGGATGTGAGGTGGCAAAAACAACAAATTGTTCCTTAGAAGCTAGATTTTTATTACTTTGTTCACTACCTCATCATTTATTTATAGCACCAAAAAGTTATGTATTCAATATTAATTGAATGGTTAAATAAAATATAGCACATTTAAGATAGTTTATGATGCAACCATTAGAGTTATGTTTTAAATTAATATTTAAAGATGGAAAAATCATTATGGAAAATAGAATAAAATCCGTATATCATCTATGAATTAAATTTCATTTAAAAGTTTTATTTCTGCATAAAACCAACACCAACACCTGAAGAAAATGCGTCAAAATGTGAATAGTAGAATCGTAGCTTGTTTTTTTCTGTTTCTCCATATATATGTGCATAAAACATATACATATATACACACACACATGCACATACACTGTAATGGGTTGAATCATGACCTCTAAAAATATCCATCCATGTCCTAATACCCACGCTCCTCAATAGTATCTTTGTAGATATAATTGAGTTAATGATCTTGAGATGAGCTCATCCTAGATTATCTGGATGAGTCCTAAATTTAACGATCCTTATATAGGAGACAGAAGAGAAGACACAGACACAGAGAAAGCCATGGCCATGTGAGGATGGATACCAAGATTGGAGTTATGCAGCTACAAGCCAAGGAACTCCTGGAGTCACCAAAAGCTGGAAGAAGCAAGAAAAATTCTCCTCTAGGGCCCTTGGAGGGAGGGTAGCCCTGCAGACATCTTGAGTTCAGCCTTTTTTCTCCATAAATGGCAGAGAATAAATCTGTGTTGTCACCCAGTTTGTGGTAATTTGTCCCAGCATCCCTAGAAAACATGTATATATATATACACACACACATGCACACAAATAAACAGCAGCCTTTCTACGTGTTATACAGGATGTGTTTTCCCCAATTTTCCACATTTTTCCACAGTAAAGATAATATATTGTTTTAAAAGTTGGGTATAAAGAAGTTTAGCAAATTTAATATCAGACAAAATAAAACTTAAGGAAAAAATTCAGTGGCCTATATTCTCCTGGGGCCCCTCCCTATGAGAAGCCAGCCTCTGTGACTCAGGGAACCCCTCCAGCCACGTCTCCTGTTTGCTGCTTTGAACGCTTGGGCTCTGATGTAGGCCTCTTCCTTTGGGACTTCGTTCGGGTTCCCGTTTCTCTCCTTCCCAGCTCTTGGCTACACTTCGCTTGGCTGGGTTGGCTGGAACTTTGGTTTCTCTCCTTCGGCTGCGGCAGCCTGGGTTCCTGCCCTGCCTGACCCTGGCACTCTGCATCCTGGCGTCTCCCTTGGCTGGGCAGGGGGAATTGCACATTTACAGAGAGGGGCTATCACCTCCTTTTCAGGTGCCCACAACACGCATAGAGGGATAGTGGGTAAACCCGACGGTAACACGCCTGCACCATCTGTGAATTCTGAAAACAAGCGCAAGGTAGGGCTTGTTTCCTACGCCAGGTGATTTCCTTTCTTTGGTAGGGTGTGGTGGGAAGACCAGGCGCTGAAAACTCAGGCCGCCTTATTTTTGGAAACCCAGAAGTAGAAAGTGGACCTTTGTGTCCTCGGTGCTCTCGTTGCTCGGTCTCCCCAGAAGCCGCCAAGAAAGCAAGTGCCATCGGTAACCGGGCGGATCCTGGAGAGCTCGTAGCTCCGCTGGGAGGCCCCGCCTGGCGGAGACTCCTTCCCAACAGCACCCTCAGCATCCTAAGCCGGCTTACGCCAGAGCCGCCAAGACACCACTAGGTGGCGCCAAAGCGCAGCCGGGACCTGGTGGGTTGGGGCGAGCAGCCTCAGGACTAGCGACGTCGGTAAGACCGAGAGTCTGATGCAGCGTGGGTCTCTGGGAAGGGGCTGTGCCCTTTGTCCACTGCACCTGCTCTCAGGGGTTGAAACTGCCCTGAATGGGGTATGAAAATCCCCCCAGCTAGAGATGTGAGATCACATCAAGTGCACATTTCCGGAACAAACAGGGAATCAATAAGCCTTGCAGAAGTCAGCCCACAGTAGCCGCGCAAACAATTAAGGTTGTCAAAGGACTGGAGGAGATTGGTCAGCCTCACGTTTCCTCAGATACTAGAGTTGCTCGCGAGAATATGCAAAGATTTCCCTTTGCCCAAGAGGGGCACTCAGGTGGCTGGGAGAGTGGAAGTGGCCTTGAGGTCCGATGGAGAAATGCATGTGCCCAGAACTAGGAAACGTGGGAAACAGGTCACTAAGCTAATGTCTGCAAAGTTTGTGGAAGGCGACAAAGGCTGGGAGGGGAAGATGACGTACATCTCAATGGATACTAAAGTGGAAAGGTGATGACCCCAGAACATTCAGATGACCCTCCCTTAATGCTACTAAAGTACCTCCACGACTTAGATCCAACCCCCCTGGGAAAAGGGGAAACACTAACTGGGAAAATCTTGGAAAAAAATTACTGAGTTTACCTGGAGATGACTAACATTAGGTGTGTGTGTGGTTGGTGGTTTGTTGTGGTTTTTATTTTTTTTAATTATATTTTAAAATGTCTGTGGGCACATGCATTAGGAGTAATGGATATTCAAAATAGAGGAAAACTGTGTAATAGAAAATAATGTTACATTTTCTAACCAAACTTGAACCTGTGGCCTGTGAAAAGCATATCAGCTACAGATAGTCATAAAAATGGACTGCATATAAGAAATTTCAATAAATTTCCAGAAGCAGAAGTGATATAGACCACACCCTCTAGCCACATTGTAACCAGTGAATACCTCAAAACAAAACAACCTGAAAACCAGCCACGTGAAAATCAAAAAAGAGGGAAAATTATCCAATAGCACGAGAGTCATAGAGAAATCAAGATGACCATATCAGATTCTTTAGAGAAAAAATGAATAAGAAAATGCAACATTTTAAGTGTGAGATACATGACAAAGCTGTGTTTTCATATGTCATTTCACAGCTTTAAGAGTTTTTGTTAGCTGAGAGAGAATTAATAAACTGAATATTCAACTTTGAATTTTAGAAAAATAAAAAAGCCCTTAAAAAGAGAGTAAAGACATAACTATGAAAATAATTCATAAAAGAACAGAGTTAGCTATTTTTAAATGCTGAAAGACAAATTTCACTAGAAGAAAATGCAAAATACCAACCCCTTATTTACCTTATCCTTCAGGAAGGGCTTAGCCATCTGTCTCAGTAGGGGGTCTTACTCCCTCCACTTTGCTCACTGTATCCTTCTAAAAAAGAGTCAGAATGCATCCTTCCTCATAGGTTAAAGCTCATGCCCACTAGATTTAAAGGTGACCTTGAAATCCTGCAGGTTCCATACCTGCATATCCTAGATAAGATAGGGAACGGTCCTCCTTTAGGACAAAATTGGCATAAGGATGAAATGAGTTACTGTAACCAATTGGAATGTGCTTCCCCTTTTGTGTGAGTGTATGTGTGTATATATGTATGTGTGTTCACAAGTGGGTGTGTGTTGTATTCTTTCAATCCTGGAATTACACTAAACTGTTGCATCCAGATAGTTTCTAGGCATCCATTCCCAACACACAAGCACATTTTTTTGTGTGTGTTCCATGACCAGTGATGAACATGCATTATAAACCAAGAATTTTGGTTAGTTCCAATTTTGCACCCAACATAAAAAAAAAAAAAAAAAAAAAAGGAAAAGGCTCCCAGAAAGGAACTAGCCTGATTTCCTTGTTCACCAATGATATGGTTAGGGTTTGTGTCCCCACCCAAATATCGTCTTGAATCGTAGTCCCCATAATCCCTACGTGTCAAGGGAGAGACCAGGTGGAGGTAATTGAATCATGGAAGCAGATTCCCCCAGGCTGTTCTCATGATAGTGAGTGAGTTCTCAGGAGATCTAATGGTTTTGTAAGAGGCTCTTCCCCCTTCGCTCGGCACTTCTCCTTCCTGCCACCTCGTGAAGGTCCTTGTTTCTCCTTCACCTTACACCGTGATGGTAAGTTTCCTGAGGTCTCCCCAGCCATGCTGAACTGTGAATCAATTAAACCTGTTTTCTTTATAAATTACCCAGTCTCAGGCAGTTCTTTATAGCAGTATGAAAACGGACTAATACAACCTATATCAATCATTTGTTATTAACCAAGAATCATATGCCAGGAACTCAGTGCCAAACAATCACTGCCTCATTTAACCTCTCATCATGAGAGAGGTACTATTATTATTGCCACTTAATAGACAGTGCTCACAGAGGGGTAAGAGTGACTTGCCCAGCATCAAACAGCTAGTCCAATGCTGAGTCAGGAGTATAAATGAAGTTTGGGGTATAAATGAAGTTAGAATAGCTCCAAAGATACTGGTCTTATCATTGTGCTATAATCTCTCATGCTTAAACAATTTTTTTTTGTCTATTCTTGTTTAATGCATATACAAAATACTATGTATGCTTGCCTTCGTCTTTTTTTTTTTTTTTTTTTTTGTCCCTACAATAGACCTGAATGAAGCAGGAGCCCTAGCAAAACCCAAGAGCATGGGGCACCATGTTGTAATCTGACCACCACAAGGTGGCAGCAGAATCTAAAGGTTTTCCACCGATGTACAGTCCGGAGGAGCCTTGCCTTTCATGTACCTGCACAGGTAGGAGAGGTCTCCCTGTTCTCAAAATCCTTTGGTCTCTAGTCTGGCTTCGGAGTCAGCTTTGCATCATTCTGCCACACTGCCTCCAACAAGATGAACAACACAGCACTGGCTTTCATTAAGACACCACTGTTGTTAATACACAGTGAATTTTCTGTACTTGAGTCCATTCCAGATATAAATTATTTAAGCAGCTACTCTATATACTGAATGTTTAGAAACTTAGTTATTTTGTTTTACAAAGGTTTATTTTGATTTATGAATAATACAATAATATAAAGGTTTCCTGAGTTACCGCTTCATCTTTTGTTTTGTTTTGTTTTGTTTTTGTTTTGGAGATGAGTCTCACTCTGTCACCCAGGCTGGAGTGCAGTGGTGTGATCTCAGCTCGCTGCAACCTCTGCATCCTGGGGTTCAAGCAATTCTCATGCCTCAGCCTCCCGAATAGCTGGGACTACGGGCGTGCACCAGCATGCCTGGCTAATTTTTGTATTGTTAATAGAGACGGGGTTTTGCCATGTTGGCCAGGCTGGTCTTGAACTTCTAACTTCAAGTGATTGGTCTGCCTCGCCTCCCAAAGTGCTAGGATTACAAGCGTGAGCCACTGCCCCTGGTCATCATTTTTTATTTGAAAAAAAATTTGCAAATCAAATATCTGATAAAGAACTTGATTGCACCAGCCTAGGCAATGTCAGACCCTGTCTCTACAATAAGTTAAAAAATTATCTGGGCATGGTAGCATGTGTTGGTAGTCCCAGCCACTCTGAAGGCTGAGGTGGGAGGATCATTTGAGTTTAGAAGTCTGAAGCTGCAGTGAGCCATGATTGCACCACTGCCCACTGTATTCCAGCCTGGGCAACAGAGCAAGACCCTGTCTCAAAAAAAAAATTAAAAAATGGGCAAAAGATCTGAATGGACATTCCCCCAAACAAATTTAATAATAAGCACATGATGATGCTCAACATCATCAGGGAAATGCAAATCAAAACTATGTTTCACTATGAAACACCACTTCACCCCACTACGATAAAATGAAAGTCAGATAATAATAAGGGTTGGTGAAGATAGGGAAACACTGGAATCCTCATGCATTGCTGGTGGGAATATAAGAAAATGGGACTGCTTCTTTGGAAAACAGTCTGTCAGTTCCTCAGTTCTTCAAGTGTTAAACGTAGAGTTACTAATTGACCTGGCAATTGTGCTTCTGCGTATGTACCTAAGGAAAATGAAACATATGTCAACACAAAACATTTTACATAAATTTTTATAGCAACATTATTCATAATAGTCAAAAGGTAGAAACGACTCAAATGCCCATCAGCGAACAAATGAATAAACACTTTGTGGTATATTTATATAATGGAATATTATTCAGCCATAAAAAGAAATGAAGTACTGATACAACTTGGTGAAACTTAAAAACATTGTTAAGTGGCAGAAGCCAAAATGTTGTATATCATATCATCCTATTTACATGAAATGTCCAGAATAGAGAAATCTATAGAGACAGAAAGTGAATTAGTGGTTGCTTAAGGCTGGATAGGGAAAAGGTATGGGTTTTCTTTTCGAGGTGATGAAAATGTTTTAACATTAATTGTAGTGATGGTTGCACAACTTTGTGAATATACTAAAAACATTGAATTGTACACTTTAAATGTGTGAATTGTATGACATGTGGATTTTGTCCCAATGAAGCTGTTACAGAAATAAAAACAAATTCTCATCTTATATCATGGGTAAGATATGTTCTTCTTAACAAAGCTATCTCCCTGTGTATGTTATTAATGGTGGGAATTTGAGGGGTTTCTTGTTTGCTTGTTTTAGTTTCCTTCTACTTCTTATATTGTGTCTGTTTCCATTGAGTTCCTTTATTTCCTGTTTATCATGGTCTCTGTTTTTCATGTTGGAGGGTTTCTTCAAATGTCTGGTGATGCTTAGCTATCCAGAGGAGCATTAGAGAGTTGATTGGAAGTCATATGCGTGTGTGTCTGTGTGAGTGTGTGAGAGAGAGAGAGAGGTGGGCACTCACTGACCAGTGGGCCAGTGAGAGCGAAAAGTGTTCTCCCAGTCCTCCAGTGGTAAGTGAACTGGGGGCAGGGGAGGGGCCCAGATGTTTCACCAGGGAACTCAAATGTCAGCACCTGAGTCGTCTTTCTTAGGCTGGCCAGATTCTCCTGAGGTTCTCCAATTTGCAGCATGAGTACGTGAGCCCAGCCCAGCATTCTGGATCTGAGCAGAGGATCACCTGGTAAATACTTATCCAGAGGCATGAGCATTAGACTTGGGAACACAGGGGACTGGGGGCTTATCTTGCCATGGGCTCAGAGTGCAATCAGTAACTCCTTTCTGGAATTTGGGATAAGAATGTCTGTCTTATCTACCTCATAGAGTTGTTGAGAGGGTAGAACCAGATAAAGCATATGAATATGCTCTGGAAGTGGTAAAACACTACTGGGACACATTACTGAATACTGGAAACAGAGGAATAAGGGAAGACTATTCTTCTCAAGGTTTCAAAATAGAGGAGATGGCTGAGTAGGCTGACATTATACCTCAGTGTGTTTCATGCTGTGATAAAGGCTGGCACAGAGTCTAGGGAGGACATGTGGGATGCGGATCTCATTCCATGTTGTTGTGGGGAGAGATCAGGAAAGCCTTCCCAGAAGTCATCTTCAAGGATGAGTAGTGGGTAATTAAGTGTAGAAGTTAGAGTGGTCTGCAAAGCCCAGAAACATTAAAGTGAATGGTTTGTTTGAGAAACATGTGGCTTCCTATGGCCAGGTGTAGGCTATGAATGGAGCCCCGTGAGGCTGGTGCTATGGTTTGGTTGCAGTGTGTCCTCACCAAAACTCATGTTGAAATGTGATCCCCAATGTGGCAGTGTTGGGAGGTGGGGCCTAGCGGGAGGTGTTTGTGTCATGAAGGCAGTAGTTTAATGTCCTCTTTTAGGGGTGAGTGAGTTTTCTCACTCACTCTCTCAGGAATGGATTAATTCCTGGAGATCAGGTTGTTAAAAAGAATCTGGCTTCCTCAGTTTCTCTTTCTTGCTTCCTCTCTCACTATGTGATCTCTTTGCACTCACCCACTCCCCTTCTGCTTCCTACCATGCGTTGAAGCAGTGTGAGACCCTCACTAGCTGCCCAGTCTCGAACCTTCCAGACACCAAAATCATGAGCCAAATAGACCTCCTTTCTTTATAAATTCCCCAGTCTCAGGTATTCCGTTACAGCAACATGAAACGAACTAAGACACTGGGGATGCTGGCAGGGTCAGTAACAGATCTGCTACATCCTCCTAAGGGTCTATATTGGAATTTTATCACGAAGGCAGCTTTATGACTTAATCAGATGTGCATTGCAGACATCACACACTTCTTCTGTTAGTGTGGAAAATGGCTTGGAGGGGACAATGCTGGAGTCAAGGAGGCCAGTGTGGGGCTATTGCAATAACTCAGAAACTGGATAGATGAATATAGAAGAGGGATGGATTTGAGAGATATTTACCAGGTGAAATCCACAGCACTTGGTGAACAACAACATGGGGAATGAGGGGAAAAAGTCATCAAGGCTGGCTCCCTGGTTTCTGGCGTGAGCAAAGACTAAATGATAATATCTGTCTCTGAGAATGGAGTATAGGAGAAGTGGATTTCATTCATCAATTCCGTAAAGATTTATTGAGCACCTACTACATGCTGGTCACTGTGCAGAACACTGGGGATACAACAGTGAGCAAAATAATATCATGTTTACCTCCAAGGAATTTACAATGTAGTGAGGTAAACAGACACTATAAAATGATCAGAAAACTATATGATTATGAATTGGGGAGTGTGTACAGGAGCTTTAAGAAAATATATCTCATGGTCTAATTTAGATTTTTTGATTGGGGCAGGTTTCCTTGGGGAAGTGATGTTTGCAATAAGGTGTGGAGGATGAAGGGGAATGGAAATGAGGGATGGGGGCAGTGGAGGGAGGAGTGCCCCAGGGTAAGGGGCCAGTGTGATGAACAGCTGAGGTAGCTTGAAATTGGATAGTGAGGGGGAAGTGGTGCAAGGTAAAGTAGGGGCTTGGGGGATGAACAGTTTGGGTTTTTATCATGATATCAATGGAGGGCCGTTCAAGGGTTTGAAGCAGATTAATGATATAATCTGATTTATGTTTAAAATATCTGCAAAATGATTTGGAGTGGGGTAAACATGTCAGGAGGATAAAGCTGTGGTCTAAGTGAGAGATGATGGTGGCATGAGGGTGCTGGCTGAGGAGAGGGAGAGGGAACCTACTTAGAACCTGGGGTTGAGGGATGAAAGATGCATTTCAATACAAGGATGAGGCAATTTTCCTGTGACCACACTCAGCCTTCCACACACAATTGCACCTTCATTTACACTTTCTCTCCCTTTTCCCTGTGGACTCGGTGCTTTGCTAGTTGCACAAGTGCATGGATGCCAGCAGACGACCACATCTCCGTTGTTCTTTCTCTGTCAGTCCTTGGAGGGAAAATTTTCTCTGTCCATCACCTCAGAGGGAGCAATCAGGATGGCTTTTGGTAAGAAGATAAACATACAGGAGTGAGATGAGCAGAGTGAGATCCCAAGGTGTGGTCACTTTAGCTCAACAAATGTGTGACTTCAACTAGCTGGGCCCTCCCCCAGAACCGTGGAGAAAAGCTAGCCAGCTGCTCCTCTGTAGACCGAGCTCCCTGGGCCCTGGTCCCTGGAGAAGTTGCACCAGAGTGCCATAGTGACAGAGGTTATGTGACTGACATAACCCCCACCCCCCCCAGTGCCCCAAGGACTCAGTGCACCACAGGTGGCAGGAGACTTGGGAGCTGGACCCCTGGGCTTTCCTGCAGGGCTCCTTAGTTGCCTTGGCAACAGACACAGCTGAGCGGGGGTGTTTTCTGACTTCAGCCCTCCATGATGGGCTAGTCCAACCCAACCTGAGACAAGGGGTGTAGGGGCTAGTGTAGGAAATGCCAGAGGCCACTGAGGAAGGAGCCAGGTGCAGAGAGATGGAGAGAAGCTAGCCACTGGCCTCCAAACAACAGAATCAAAATCAAGGAAATGCTCAAAAAACAACAGGATGGGGGCATGTCAAAAGATACAAGAACCAACCTAAAGGAGCTCCCAGCCGCCAAAGCTGAAACAATTTGTACAATAAAATAAATAGTATGGTATTGAATTATTGCCCTAAATATAATAAATACACATGTGTTCATAATGATAAAAATATGTGTTTGAATAAGTAAATGGGGGGTGGTGAGAGAGATCTTCCTTTCCCAAGAATTTTATTTAACATATGTAGATATTTCCTCCTCTAGGACATGGAGCTGAGTTCGCCTTCCACCCATGACGGTGGATTTGACTTAGTGACTAGATTCTAAAGAAGACAGTTTGGAAAGGGAAAAGTAGTAACATTAGGGTTGAAGAGCCTGGCAAACACTGCCTTAACCATGGCATGTCACGTAAGCATCGTGTTCATTTATATACCCGTCACTACGATGCAATGAGAAGGCACCTTACCTCTGTGGTTTTACTTCCAAAAACCTGTAACCCCAGCCCAGTTATGAGAAAAACATCAGCCAAACCCAAATTGAAGAACAGCCTACAAAATACCTGACCAGTACTGCCCCAAACCATCAAGCTCATGAAAAACAAGGAAAGTCTGAAAAACTACCACAGATTGAGAAAACCAAGAGACATAATGACTAAATGCAGTGTGGGATCCTGAACTGGATCTCGGAGCAGAAGAGGACATTAATGGAAAAGCCCAGTGAAATCCAAATGAAATCTGGAGTGTAGTTAAAAGAAATGTCCCAATACTGGTTTCTTAGTTTTGATAGCATACCACGTAATATGAGATGATAATATCAGGGGAAACTGCAACTGAGTCAAGGTATAAGGAGTTCTCTGCATTATTTTCACAATTTTTCTCTAAATCTAAAATCACTCCAAAATAAAAAGTTTATTAAAAATATGTATGTAAACTGGGCACAGTGGCTCACACCTATAATCTCAACACTCTGGGAGGCCGAGGTGGGTGGATCCCTTGAGGTCAGGAGTTTGAGATCAGCCTGACCAACATGGTGAAACCTCGTCTCTACTAAAAATACAAAAGTTAGCCAGGTGTGGTGGCGCATGCCTGTAATCCCAGCTACTCAGGAGGCTGAGGCAGGATAATTGCTTGAAGTGGGAGATAGAGGTTGCAGTGAGCTGAGATCACGCCATTGCACTCCAGCCTGGGCAACAGAGCGAGACTCCGTCTCAAAAAAAAAAAAAAAAAAAAGAAAAAGTATATAGAGGGTTATTGATTCACTATGTAAAAAGCTTCCTCACTTTTTTTTTTTACTGCTGCATAGTACTCCACTGTGTGGACTTACTATAATTTATTTAACCAAGTCTCCTACTGTTGGGTATTTAGGTTGTTTCTTCTTGTTATTAAAAACAGCAGTATGTGGGCTGGGCGCGGTGGTTCATGCCTATACTCCCAGCACTGTGGGAGGCTGAGGAATTGCTTGAGCCCAGGCGTTCGAGATCAGCCTGCGCAACACAGTGAGACCTTGTCTTTACTAAAAGTAAAATTTAAAAAATCATGCTTTGACCCTTGTCTGAAAATAAATAAAGAAAGAGAGAACAATGGTACCTGAATGATGTCATTTCCATGTGTGAGACTATTTGGAGAATAAATTCCTAAAAGTGTAATTGTTGGATTATAAAATATTGCTCTTGTCATTTGGCACTTGTCATTTTGATCAACACTGCCAATTTGCCTTCCCTAGATGTAGAACCAATTTGTACTTCCACCAGCAATGTAGGAAATGCCTCTTCCCCCACACTCTTCCAACATACATTATAACCAAACTTTAAAAAAATTATTTCTGCCAACCTGATGGGTAAAAAATGGTCTTTTGGTATAAGGAGTTTTTTGTTTATTTTGTGTCCAGACAGGGTCTCACTCTGTCACCCAGGCTAGAGTGTAAGTGGCATGATCATAGGTCACTGCAGCCTTGACCTCCTAGTCTCAAGTGATCCTCCAGTCTCAGCCTCCCGAGTAGCTGGGACTATAAGCATGCACCACCATGCCTGGCTAATTTTTAAATTTTTTTGTAGAGACAAGGTCTTGCTATGTTTCCCTGTCTGGTCACGAACTTCTGCCTCAAGTGATCCTCCTGTCTCAGCCTCCCAAAGCGCTGGGATTACAGGTGTGAGCCACCATGCCTGGCCCTGGTATAAGTTTTAATTTTAATTTTTCTTGTTATATATAGGGCTGAACATCTTTTCATTTGTTTCCCAGGCTTTCTTTTCTTTTTCTGTGAACTGTCTTTAGAGGATATTTTTGTAAAAAAGCAAAAACAAAAACAAAAGGCTGAGCACAGTGGCTCACATCTGTAATCCCAGCACTTTGGGAGGCCAAGGTGGGAGGATTGCTTGAGTCTAGAAGTTCAAGTCTACCCTGGGCCACAGAGTTGAGACCCCCATCTCTACAGAAAATTTAAAAAATTAGCTGGGCATGGTGGTGCACGCCTGTAGTCACAGCTACTGGGGAGGCTGAGGTGGGAGGATCGATTGAGCATGAGAAGTTAAGGCTGCAGTGAGCTATGATTGCACTATTACACTCCAACCAGTGAGACAGAGTGAGATCCTGTTTAAAAAAAAAAAAAAATCCCTCCAATGCTTCTAGATGTTAAAAGTTCCCAGAATGTCAAAAAATTGGAAGGAAGAGGATGGTAATGAACTTAGCAGTCTACAGATTCTAGGCAGCGACTCTAGGCTGCTGAGGTGAGGTACTCACTTCTGGGGCTCGTGGCCTCATTGGGGGGCTGCTATTATCCTCCCTGGCTTTCCACATAGTGGTCTGCTCAACAGTGCCTGGGCCGTAAAACCGGAAACGGGTGCTGAGTGGGGCTCTTCCTTTTGCCTGGTAATGACAGCTAAGGCTCAAAGCTGGAGACAAAAAACAAACAAACAGAAAACACACAACAAAATTCCAAAAATAAACAAGCAAAAATGCTAAGTACCTCATATTCCTAAAGAAAGTTGTCAAGAATTTAAATCACACCTCTCTTCCAGGGATTATGAAGAGGAGGTGAAAATGGTCCCACTAAGGACAACAATCAGCACCCCGCTATGAGAAGGAGGGAGGAAGGAGGAGCCACGAGTCTTCTGGGAGAGCAGACTCCTATGAGGCGCAAGTCTCCTGGCCCCTCTTGCCACAAGCCAGGCCAAGAAGAGACTCCAAGAGGACAATTCACAGAGACTGGGGAGAGAATGGCGCTCCATTTCCTGAGGTATGTCAGCTTAGACAGTGGAATTCCTGATCTTGCCCTGGTTTATCTAAGCATCAAAGAAGACAGATAGCAGAGGGGAGGAAGGCGGAGCAGCAAAGCAGCCTGCATTAGTGTTGAGCTGCCTGAGTTTCCTGAGGGCTAAGCAATGTGGAGGCGAGCTGGGCTGAGCTTCCCGACAGCAGTAACCCCTTGCCCTGTCTCCGGCCTGAATGAAAGGGGCCCTGGGTCTGATGTGCTAGAGGATCAGGTGCTGACCCTCTGCCAGCCTGGTCCTCTACAGTGTCTGAGACGTCCACGGGGCCAAGGGGATGGAAGTGCCCACCCAAAACCTGTGCCTCGCCCTGTAGACCGTGGTCCAAGGCCCAGGACTCCAGAATTGCCTGCCCAACTGGCTCTGAGCTCTCTTCTGGCACCTGTGTGGGTCTCTTCCTTCTCATCCTGAGGGCAGACCATGCTGCTGCCGGTATATTCAGCCTCTACATCTAAAGAGTGGCCAAGGAAGCCGCCGTTTGTGCAGCTGTGGATGGAGCTTGGACGTTCAAGGCATCCATGCATGTGCGAATCTAGTGGTCAGAGACCAGGCAAAGAGTGTTCCTCACCGCACCTCCACGTTCTCACACAGAAAGCCGAGCAGTCCGATGATTCTAAATTCAAATCTGGTCTTCTAGGTCATCAGAAAGGTATATTTGTTAAGGTATGAGGGTAGAACATATCTTATTCAGATTGACTTATAACTTCTAAATCAGCAGACATGTGGTATGTGGGTCTCCATGTCTGCCCTCGCTGCAGACCTAGCCATGTCAGTGTGGACCCCATCCCGGAGGACCGTCCACTGGCGTGGGACCCTAGCACCGGGAAGATGAGAGACGTCTTCCTGCGGGTGGGAGCTGAAGGAGGTGGAAGGTGTTGAGCTGCGTCTCCCACCTCAGGGAGCAGCAGAGCGGGACAGGCCCACAGAGTCCTGGAAAGAACTCTGGGCATCCCAACTCTATTCAAGATGGAGGTGAGCATGGTACATGTTCACCTATGTAACAAACCTGCACATGTATCACGGAACTTAAAATTAAATTTTAAAAAAGAATAAAATCTAAAAATAAAAAAATTAAAAGGAATAATGAAATAGAATGAAAGAGAACAGAATTTACTAGAGTGTATCTCATCAAAAAAAAAAAAAAAAAAAAAAAGATGGGGGCGAGCGACTGGGAATGGGCTGTTCTTTAGTCAGGAAGGAAAGCATTTTCCAGAAGCACCCAGAAGCTTTCCTTTTGGTCTTATTGGCCAGAACTGGGTTACATGGTCACTCTAGGGAAGCTGGTTTCTAACACAGCATCTTACAAAGGGGAACAGAATTGTCACTCTTGTCTCATGGTTCTCAAACCTGGCTGCACATCATCATCCCCTGGGCAGCTTTTTAAAAAGTACCAATGACCCAGGCCAGCTAAGTCAGAATTTCTGAGGCTGTAACCAGGATTGTCATTTTAAACAATCTCCACAAGCAATTTTTAAAATAATTTATTATTATTTTATTTATGTATTTATTTATTTTTCAAAACAGGGTCTTGCTCTGTCGCCCAGGCTGGAGTGCAATGGCACAATCTTCTGCCTCCTGGGCTCACTGCAACTTCTGCCTCCCGGGCTCAAGTGATCCTCCCACTTGAACCTCCTGAGTAGCTGGGAGCATAGGTGCACGCCACCACGCCCGGCTAACGTTTTGTAGAGACAGGGTTTTACCATGCTGCCCAGGCTGATCTCAAACTCCTAAGCTCAAGCAATCCTCCTGCCTCAGCCTCCTAACGTTCTGGGATTACAGGCATGAGCCACCGTGCCTGAACTGAAAAACAATATTGTAGTACAATATGCATAGCAGAATTGACCATTTTAACCTCCATGGGTGGTTCTGAAGCACTTGAGGACTGAGAATCACTAGACAATTATTACTTACATCCTAGGGCCCAACACTCTGCCTTGAACTACATTCAAGTTCTTTCAGCAAGAAAGAAGAGACAAGGCTATGTCTGTGTTACCTGCCACAGTACACGAAGCCTAGACAGTACGGTGCCCCTCATCCTCAGAAAAGGGCTGAAAAATGAAGTGCCCCAAAGTCCCCTTTCCTCTTGTTGGAATACAATTTTGAAAGATAGTGGTGGGGTTGGAGAAAGATATTCCAGGCTGAAGGAATAGCACAGTAAAGATCAGGAGAAGACATTTTGGGTTTGAAAAGCCTCTAAATATCAGGGAACCCGGGACTCAGTCCTTGGATTTCTTCTTCTGCCTGTGCTCATGCCCTCAGGAATCCCATCCAGTTTTATGGATTTAATAACATGTACATTTTTATGACTCCCAAATTTGCATCTCCAACCCTAATCTCACATGAACTCTAGACTCATATATTTAACTGCCTACTTGACACTGCAACTTGAATGTAAAGTAGACCTAACATGTTCAAAATCAAATTCCTAATTTCACCACCCACCTCCTCAACTTGATCTCTCCCAAGTCTTCTGGATCTTAGAAACAGAAACTCCATTCCTCCATTTGCTCAGGCCAAAAACCTTAGAATCATCCTTGACTCCTCTCTTTCTCTCACACCATATGTCTAATCCATCAGCAAAATTTGCCAGCTCTGCTTTCGAAATACATCTGAAATCCAAAAGCTTCTCACCACCCCTGTAGTGAGACTGCCACTGTGTCCAAGCCATCATCGTCTCTTGCTCAAACAGTCACAGTAGCCTCCTTCTAATTTATGTGCCCGCTTCCCTCCTTCTGGTCTGACAATCTGTTCTTCACAGAAAGGCCATAGTAACCTTTTAACACATAAGTCAGATCCTGACACTCCTCTTCTTAGAAGACTCCAAGTCTTCCATCCAGCCCCAGTTACTTCTCTGTCCATGGCTTTACTGCTCTCCTCACTCATTCCACTGATGACCATACCTTGATGTTCCTTAACCAGCTGGGAAGTATTCAAGGTATTTGCAGTTGCTGGTCCCTCAGGCTCTTGTATGTTTCCCAGGTCTTCACATGGCTCTCTCCCTTTCAGAAAGGCCTCCCAAGACCACCTAGCATTGTCTTCTCCATTGCTCCCCATCCTCCTTACCTTGCTCTATTTTCTTTATAACACTGATCACACCTGACATCTATAATTATTTGTTTATGTGTTATCATCTCCTCTTCTCATATTCCTAGTACCTAATATCTGGCACATAGATGGTATTCAATACGTTTTTATAAAGTGAATGGGTAGGGTTGAATAAGGAATATCACGATGGAGGATATTAGAAAGGTTAGGAAGGGGCTGGATTTTAGTGCCATGCTAAAAGTCTGAGTTTCATTTTGCTGGCAATAATCATTAAGCATTTATAATAGGGTATGGTATGCAGAATAGTGGCTCCAAAAGATGTCCACATCCTAATCTGTAGAATCTGTGAATAATCCTTACATGGCAAAAGGGATTTTTACAGACGTGATTAAGGATCTTGAAATGGGAGATTAGTCAGGATTATCCAGGTGAGCCCAGTGTAATCACAGGGGTCCTTATAAGTGAGGAGGGATGCAGAAAAATCAGGGTCAGAGAAGATGTAATGAGGAAGCGGCAATTAAAGTGGTTGAACATCTGGCTTTGAGGATTAAAGGAGACCATAAGCAAAGGAATGCAGTCAGTCCATAGAAGCTGGAAAGGTCAAGGAAATGGATTCTACCCTAGGGCCTCCAGGAAGAATGCAGCCTTGCTGGCACTTTAAGTCCAGTAAAACTCATTTTAGATTTCTGACTTACAGAACTATAAGGTAATACATTTGTTGTTTTAAGTAATTAAGTTTGTGGTGATTTATTACTGCAGCAATAGGAAACTAATACGTGGTAGATGTGATGCAATTTTTATGGTTTAGTAATATGATTCCATCACATCTCTAAAAACTAAACCTCAAGATACTTGCATCTGTAGCCTCTGCCCTGCTAAAATGGATGAATACCCCTGCCCCTATCAAAAGCTACTGTTAACTGCAGATTCCCCAAAATACCATTAGAAAAATCAAGTTGAAAGTAACTTGTTAGACTCACTGCAATAAGGGACCATACCCCCTTGCTGGAATCTTAGTAGTGTCTCAAAATGGGGAAATTAGGATTGGGTATTTATAGAGTTTTAGGGCCTGAGCTGGATGGTTTTAAGGTGGGTTTTGCAAAGTGGAAAACTGGTTAGGACTGGATAACAAAATATAAAACAGCTAAGGATTGGTGGGCACAGTTAGGCGAAAGTTTTGAAGTGAGTCTTCATGAACAAGTTATTTTCACTGGTTCATAGTATTACCTTCCAGGAGCAGATATTTTCCAGAGCAATCAGTTATTTTCACTTGGTCTCAGTGTTTTCTAATGTAAGGACATATTATGTTCTTGTGTTATGCCCTGTCCCAGCACTGTTAAATTTAGTAATGTGGAATCGTGCTGGTATCAGCTCTCTCCAAACACTGTGCTAGTGGTCTGGGTTCCAGTCCTTCTCTTTACTCAAGGACTTTAGTCCTCCAACTTTATCTCTCCCTTGAGTGATGTTGATTCTGCCCCTCTACTCAATCATTCTCATCTTGAACAAAATAAAAAAATAAAAATCTCCCCAGCAGCCCCTTTGACATGTGCCCTATTTCTGTTTCTCTTTATAGAAAAACTTCCTGAAAGAGCTGTCCATGGTGATTGTGGTCACCTCTTCACCCTCCATTCCAGCTGGCTGTCCCTCCTTTGCCCTCTCTGCTCCTGCTACACCAGCCTTCTTTTGGTCCCTGGAACACTCCAGATGTGTTTCTGCCTTAGAGCTTTGCACTCTCTGTCTCTCTTGCCTGCCCTGCTCCCCCTCACCCACTGTCTTCTCATGGCTGGCTTCTTGTCACTCAGAGCTTGAGGTTAAATTTCACTTCCTCAGAAATGCCCTCTCTAACCATCAGTCTAGAAATGACCTGTGCAGGCTCATTATGCCACTCCATTAAAAAATGTTTACTTATTCTCATTGTGGTAAAATGTAAGTAACACTTAATTTACCATTTGAACCACTTTTAAGTGTGCAATTCAGTGACATTAAGTGCATACGCATAGTCATGCAATCATCACCATCATTCATCTCCAGAATTTTTTATCTTCTCAAACTGAAACCCTGTATCCATTAAACAATGATACCTCATTCCTCCCTCCCCTCAGCCCTTGGCAACCTCCATTCTACTCTCTGTCTCTATGAATTTCAGTGTTTTAGGCACTTCGTCATAGTGGCGTCACGCAATATTTGTCCTTTTGTGTCTGGCTTATTTCATTTAGCATGTCTTCAGGTTTCATTCATGTTGTAGCATGTGTCAGAATTTCGTTCCTTTTTTTTTTTTTTTTTTTTGAGACAGAGTTGCCCAGGCTGGAGCACAATGGCGTGATCTTGGCTCACTGCAACCTCCACCCCCTGGGTTCAAGTGATTCTCCTGCCTCAGCCTTCCTGAGTAGCTGGAATTACAGGCATGCACCACCACACCCGGCTAATTTTGTATTTTTAGTAGAGATGGGGTTTCTCCATGTTGGTCAAGCTGGTCTCAAACTCCTGACCTCAGGTGATCTGCACACCTCGGCCTCCCAAATTGTTGGGATTACAGGCGTGAGCCACTGCATCTGGCCTCATTCCTTTTTAAGAATGAATAAGGGCTGGGCGCAGTGGCTCACGCCTGTAATCCTAGCACTTTGGGAGGCCGAGGTGGGTGGATCACGAGGTCAGGAGATCGAGACCATCCTGGCTAACACGGTGAAACCCTGTCTCTACTAAAAATACAAAAAATTAGCAGGGCGTGGTGGCGGGTGCCTGTAGTCCCAGCTACTCGGGAGGCTGAGGCAGGAGAATGGCGTGAACCTGGGAGGCGGAGCTTGCAGTGAGCTGAGATAGTGCCACTGCACTCCAGCCTGGGTGACACAGAAACACTCCATCTCAAAAAAAAAAAAACAAGAATGAATAATATTCCGTTGTATTGTATGTACATACCACATTTTATCTATTCATCTGTCAATGGGCATTTGGGTGGTTTCTACCTAGTGACTATTGTGAATAATGTTGCTACAAATATTGGTGTACAAGTATCTCTTTGAGTCCCTCCTCTCAATTCTTTTGGCTGTAGGCCTAGAATTGGAATTGCTATATCGTACGGTAGTTTTAGCTTTAATTTTTGAAGAACTACCACAGTGGTTTCCATAGTGGCTGTAACATTTTACATTCCTATCAGCAATGTACAAGTATTCCAATTTCTCCACATCCACACCAACACTTGTTATTTTCTGTTTGTTCATAATAACCATCTTAACGGATAAGGGTAGTATGTCACTCCATTTTAATTCTTTAAATAGCCTCTGCAACTATCTGAGATTTTACACACACACACACACACACACACACACACACACACACACACATCCCTTTTTCTCCCCTGATCATATGGTAAGCTCCATAAGCACAGGGATCTTGCCTCTCTTGTTTACCACTGTATCTTCAGCATCTAAGTATGCCTGACAAGTAATATCAACAACAACAATTACAATAGCAACAGCAAATGAAATAAAATAGCCAACGTTTATCAAGCACTACTTATATGCCAGGCATTTTTTTTTTTTTGAAACCAGATCTTATTCTGTTGCTAGAGTGCAGTGGCATGATCATGACTCACTGCAGCCTCGAACTGCTGGGCTCAAATGATCCTCCCACCTGACCATCCTGAGCACCCAGGTCCACAGGTGTGCACCATCATGCCCAGCTAATTAAAATTTTTTTTTTTGTAGAGATGGGGTCTCCCTATGTTTCTGGTGTTGAACTTCTAGGCTCAGGCAATCCTCCCTCCTTGGCCTCCCAAAGTGCTGGGACTACAGTCATGGACCACCATGCCCAGCCTTAGGCATGTCTTATAACAATATAACATTCATATAGGAGAGATATTATTATTGTTATCTGGATTTTACAGATTGAAAAATGGAAGCACTAGGGATATCAGCAACTTGTCCAAGGTCACACAGTTGGTGTCAGCGTCATTGTTCCAAAAATACTTTTTGAATAGAAGAGCAAAGGAATGAATACTGGTGAAGGAGGACTTTAGGAAAATAAATTGGTAGATTATTATAAAAGTTCTGGCACAAGATGTTACACCTTGACATGTGGTAATAGCAATGGTGCAAGCGAGAAATGCAGAGATCCAAGTCACTGCGGAAGTAGAATAATTGACAAGATTTCATGGTGTAAATGTGTATTCAGGGGTGTCTCTCTAGTGTGCAAGAAAATTAGATTGCTGGCCAGGTGTGGTAGCTCATGCCTGTAATCCCAGAACTTTGGGAGGCCGAGATGGGAGGATTGCTTGAGCCCAGGAGTTTGAGACCAGTCTGGGCAATATAGTGAGACTCCATCTCAAAAAAAAAATAATAATAAATTAGCTGGGCAAGTAGTGTATGCCTGTAGTTCCAGCTTCTCAGTAGGGAAGTGGGAAGGGGCTGAGGCAGGAGGATTGCTTGAGCCTGGGAGGTCAAGGCTGCAGTGAGCCATGATCGTGCCACTGCTCTACAGCCTGGGCAACAGAGCAAGGCCCTTTCTTAAAAAAAAAAATTAGATTGCCTAGGATGGGCACATAGGTTGTGAGAGAGGGGCCTTAGAGACAGACTAGAGGTGAGAAATAAACTAACCTCAAACACTTCTGATTACACCATACATTTGGTACTTGATTATTTTCAACTTAGGACCTTATTGTATCTGCCTTTGTAGAGTTTCCTATTTGGTGTAGAACACGATAATGTATCAAGCGTATCAAGTTTTTATTTTGTCTTCCATTCTCCTGATTTTCTTCTCCCATTCCAACGAGACAGCCAGGCTTTGGATACCATTGGCAGAGCTATTAGCATGGCAAAGCAGAAAGGAAAGCAGTCAGAAGGAAATCTAAATTCCGTGCTGGGTTGATGCTCCCTGGGGAAGAGGAGCAGGCTAGTATCTGAAGGAATAAGGCTGAAGTGGAGAGGGCAGAGAGGAAGGGAGAGCCCTTCAAGATTTGGGGGTGGTTCCCAAGCAGGCAGGAACCCTAGGCTGCCCCCTTGGGGCACCTGGGAGAGGTGGTGAGATGGTAGAAAGGAATGGCCTCTGAGTGGACTCCAGACCCCAGGGGTCCTAACCCCACAATACTTCCTAAGGGGAGGAGTGGTCTGGGAGTCGTAGAGCTACCTTACAAGGTCACCAAGGCTGGGGCAATAAGCATCTCATTTGGAGATTCCCCTAAATGTTCTGCTCTAGGAAAGCCCCCTAGGTCTTTTCCCAACCCTGGATTGGGACTGAATTTCCCAGTAATCCAGCAGAATGGGGATTTGGAGGTAGATTTAAATTGATTGAAGGGAATTGAAGTAATGCACCACTTCTTGCATACCCAATTTATAAAACACAATGTCTACTTGCTTTGTGTATGCTATACCAGCTTCCCCAAATAGATGAGAGATGCTCTCTGAAGGTACAGATCACCTTTATCATTCGTTTGGTCATCAAATATTTATTAAGCACCTACTATGTGTCAGGCACTGATTTAGGTTCTAAGAATACATTAAACAAATCAGACATGGTCCCTGCCTCCCCTTGGATTTACAGTCTGGTGAGGGAGAACGAAAACAAACACACAAACAATTATTATTTAATTACAAACTGGGATGAGTGGGATGAAGGAAAAGAATGCAGTCTTCATCGTAGCCTTAGATGATCTAACTCAGGAGCTGGCCCCTAAGCCAGTGCTGTACCAGTGAGAGGAACCAGGGGAACTAAGATAGCCCATGCCTCTGCTCCTCTATTGGAGCAGCATCTTGACCTGAGGCCTGGGCCCAGTGCTGCATTCTAGAATGGTCAGGCTCTCCCTATCCTTTCAATTTTGACTTTTAATACTGCAACTTCAATTGCCATGCTCAAGTGGTCCACATTCTGTTTGTTACCGTCTCTAAGGAGATAATTAACCTAAGACCTATGACCTCTGACTTGTCATGCAGCTCTCAACATAAATACAAATTGCAAAAGCCTGAAGAGGTCCAGGTCTTGGTGTGTTTGAGGGCCTGAAAGGTGGCTGATGTGGTTGGAGGGGAGTGGACACAGGAAGAGGGGAACAGGATGCAGCTGGGGGTGGCCAGGGGGAAGGTGCCCAGGGCCATGGTATAGTTTGGATTTTATTCTAGGTGCAATGGGGCCATGTAAGGATTTAAGGTAGAGAAATGTCTGTCACATTTGGGTTTTAAAGCATATCCCATAATGCCAAGTATTAGGGTAAACAGCTGTCTGTTTGGTTGCTTGATGATTACTTGCCGAATTTGAATTAAACTAGGGGTTGGTGGCTAGAGGGAGAGAATCTCTCTCTGGAGATGCTTTCCTTAAGGCTAATGGAGACAGGCAAGTGAAAAACCTCAAAGTTCAGAGTTGAAGCCCTTCAAGTTTCCAGCTACTTTAAAGGATCCCTGTCACAGCCAGATGCTGGAAAAGTTGATGAGTTGCCCTAATTTCTTCTTGTTCAGCTTTTCCCTTTTCCAGTCTGACAAAATTATAGAGGATCATTTTTTTTAATCCCCTGTGCTTCCCAATTTAGACTAATGTGTCAGAGATTCCAGGCCATTTGAGTAGAGCAAAGTACTGTGTGAAGCTTACAATTATAGGGGACAGATAAGTCAGGGTGAAGGATGGGGAGGAAAGCTGTCCACTCATAGAAAGAGAACTCTGAGCAAAGGAATGGACCCCCAAAATCAAGATCACAGAAGTTGTCTCAGGCAGGGACATGTGGGCGAGGTCTGAGTTCCTTACTAAGCCCCGTGGAAACATGGGTGATGTCAGTATGATTGTGGACTCAGGGGCCTTGCAGAGCAGGAGGGTGACATCACTGCCCAGGGGACCCAGTGAGCTCAGACTCCAGGGAGGCCTCGAGCACAGTCCCCAGTGACACCTGGAACAGCAAACATGGCCAAGAGGGCCCTGGGGGCTGAGCTGCTTTTGTTGCTGCTCAATTATCATTCTTTGTCTTTATCCTTCTGCCAGCATAGAATCATCCCTGGATACCATGGAGAGAGACAGAAGGAAGGAGTATTGATGCAATTGATGCACTGCACCTAGGAAATGTTAGGCCTTATAGGGAGACATATTTCTTCCTCTAAGAGAACCATCTGCTGGAACAGATCTCTGCCTCCAAGAAGCTCATGGTATACGTGGAGAGGCAGACTTGCAAACTATTAAAAGCAAAAATAAAAAATAAAAATAAAATAAAAGCTGTATGAGCTTTGAGGTTATGCCTGGCTACTAACTTCAGTCTGTTACTTGATTGTTAACCATCTGACCTTGGGCAAGTTATTTAACCACACTGGGCTTCAGTTTTTTTAATCAATAAAATGAAGACAACAATTCTTGGCTTACAGCAGGATGATCATGAGGATTAAATGAAAAAAGTCATATTATAGTCCTAGCACCCAGCAGGTGCTTCATAAATGGTGGCTGTGATTATTGCAATGACTCAAAGTCACACAGTGTGACAGGAACAATATAGAGTGATTGCCTGCCTGGGGTGGAAGGGAAGTCTTCTCTTTACAGAGGAAAGCTACACAAGCTGGATCTTAAAGAATGAATTCATCAATTAAGCAACAGAGAGGAAGGGGAACAGTATTTCAAACATGAAGAGCAGAATAGGCTGGGCGCCATGGCTCACGCCTGTAATCCCAGCACTTTGGGAGGCCAAGGCAGGTGGATCACTTGAGGTCAGTCGAGACCAGCCTGGCCAACATGGTGAAACGCCATCTGTACTAAAAATACAAAAATTAGCTGGGCATGGTAGTGTGCGCCTGTAATCCCAGCTACTTGGGAGGCTGAGGCAGGAGAATCACTTGAACCTGGGAGGTGGAGGTTGCAGTGAGTGGAGATCATGCCACTGCACTCCAGCCTGGGCAACAGAGTTAGAGTCTATCTCAAAAAGAAAAAAAAAAAAGCAAGTAGTTTAACTTATTTCAGTTCAAGCTATGCTAACTAAGTACCTTCTCTGCCAGGCCCTTTTTTAAAGTGCTGGGGCCACCAAAGTGAATATAATGTTAAGATTGACACTTAATTTAAGTACTTTGCATCTATTACTTCAATTTAATCCTATGAGGTAGGTACTAGTATCATCCCTATATGATGGATTAGGAAACTGAAGCATAGAGAGATTAATAATTTGCCGAATCACACAACTAAAAACTGGTAGAGTCAGGATTTTAAACTATACAGTCCGACCCCAGAGCCTGTGCTCCTCACTACTCTGCAATGAGAGAAAGAGCTGTCCTGTGGGTAAAAAAGTGGTAAAATCATGTGATAACTTCTAGGACAGAGATATACACAGGAGATCATGAGGCTAAAGGGGAGAATGAGATCATATAGGGAAGAATCCCCAGGGGACAGGGTAACTCTGCAGTTAAGTCTTACAGAATCAGTGTGCTGTTCCAGGTGGAATGAAGAACATTAGCAAAACAATGTTAAGACTGAAGGCAAGTAGACTGGTTATAATAGATCTGATGTGAGATGCAAGGACCTGGACTAGGAAGGGATGGATGAGATAAAAAGGAATGAACAGAAAAGCAAAATTAGCAGGACTTGGTTCATTATTGGATGTAGGACATGAGGAAAAAGGAGGAATCCAGGATGGCCACCAAGTTTCTGGTGAGAGCACCTGGGTGTCATTAACTGGATGAATTTGAGACATGAGAGAGCATAAAATCAATTTTGAAGCACCTAAGAGATATTTAAGAGTAGAATCCTTCAACAAAATAGTTGGAGACTTCATTATTTTCATTATTCCATTTTCAATAATGGGTAGGACAACTAGGAACAAGAGTACAATAGGTTTGAATAACAGCAGAATACATATTCTTCTCAAGTGCACATAGAACACTCTTTTTGATAGACCACACAAATACATTTTAAAAAACTGAAATAACGGCCGGGCATGGTGGCTCACGCCTATAATCCCAGCACTTTGGGAGGCCGAGGCAGGCGAATCACCTGAGGTCAGGAGATTGAGACCGGCCTGGCCAACATGGTGAAACCCTGTCTCTACTAAAAACACAAAAATTAGCCGGGTGTGGTGGTGCATGCCTATAATCCCAGCTACTCAGGAGGCTGAAGCAGGAGAATTGTTTGAATCCGGGAGGCAGAGGTTGCAGTGAGCCAGGATTGCGCCACTGCACTCTAACCTGGGCAACAGAGTGAGACTCCTTCTAAAATAAAATAAAATAAAATAAAATAAAATTGAAATAACACAAAAGCTGCGTTCTGCACCACAATGGAATTAAGTTAGAAGTCAGTAGCAGAAGGAAATTTGGGAATTCACAAATATATAGAAATTAAACAACACCTTTATAATAACCAGTGGATTAAAAACAAAATCACAAGGGAAATTAGAAAATTTATCAAGAGGAATGGAAATCAAAACACAACATACCAAAACTTACTGGATACAGCTAAAACAGTACCAAGAGGGAAATTTATAGCTATAAATGCATATATTAAAAAGGAAGAAAGTTCCCGAATCAATAGCCTAATCTTCTACCTTGAGAAATCAGAAAAATAAGAGCAAACTAAATCTAAAGCAAGCAGAAGAGAGGAAATAATAAAGATCAGAGGGGCCAGGCGCAGTGGCTCACGCCTATAATCCCAGCACTTTGGAAGGCCGAGGCGGGCGGATCACGAGGTCAGGAAATTGAGACCATCCTGGCTAACACGGTGAAACCCCGTCTCTACTAAAAATACAAAAAATTAGCCAGGCGTATTACGGCGGGCGCCTGTGGTCCCAGCTACTCAGGAGGCCGAGGCGGGAGAACGGCGTGAACCCGGGAGGCGGAGCTTGCAGCGAGCTGAAATCGTGCCACTGCACTCCAGCCTGGGCGACAGAGCGAGACTCCGTCTCAAACAAACAAACAAACAAAAAGATTAGAGAACAAATAAATGAAACAGAGAATAGAAAACAATAGGGTAAGTCAATAAACCAAAAGCCGGTTCTTTGAAAAGATCAACAGAATGGAAAAATCTTTAGCTAGACTGACCAAGACAAACAGAGGGAAGACCCTTCTTCTCCAAAAACTTGTAACTTTAATAAAGAAGTGCAAGAGTTGGCGCTAAAATCTGTAAAATATTTTTGTTTTGCAGCTAAAAAAAATTGATAAAGACCGAAATAAATGGAAAGGTATGCCATGTTCATTGATCAGAAAAGTTAATATTCTTAAGATGGCAATACCCCACAAACTGAACTGCAGATTGAAAAAGTCCTTATCAAAACTTACTAGGTGGCTGTTTTTGTTGTTATTGTTGCAGAAATTGACAAGCTTATCCTAAAATTCTTTTGGAAATGTAGGGACCTAGAATAGCCGAACAATCTTGAAAAAGAAAAACAAAGTTGGAGGACTCACCCTTCCTAATTTGAAACTTACTACAAAGTTACAGTAATCAAGAAAATGTTGTATTGACATAAAAGTAGAAATATGGATGCCTGAAATATAATTGAGAATCCAGAAATAAACCCTTACATTTATGATCAATTGATTTTCAACAAGAGTGACAAGATAATTCAATAGGGAAACAATAGTCTTTTTCAGTGAATGGTATGTTGACAACTGGACATCCACATGAAAAAGAATGAATTTGGGGCCCTACCTCACAGCATTTATAAAAATTAGCTTGAAATGGATACAGACCTGAGATAATACTATAAAACTCTTAGATAAAAACATGGGATAAACATTCATTGGCTTGGGTTAGGCAATGGCTTCTTAGATATGATACCAAATGCATAAACAACAGAAGAAATAGATAAATTTAACTTAGCTGACATTTTATCCTTCTAAGACCTCTATCATGAAAGTGAAAAGACAATCTACAGAATGGGAGAAGATATTTGTAAATCACATATTTGATAAGGAATTTATATCCAAATATATAAAGAACTCTTACAACTCAACAATAATAATAACATAAAATAAGCCAATTGAAATATGGGGAAAGAATCTGAATAGACATGTCTCCAAAGAAGATATACAAATGAAAAAGATGCTCACACCATTAGCTATTAGGAAAATGCAATCAAAACAATAAGATGTCACTTCATACCCACTAGAATAGCTAAAATGAAAAGAACATACAAAACCAGGCTGGGAGTGGTGACTCATGCTTGTAATCCCAGCACTTTGGGAGGCCAAAGCAGGCGGATCACTTAAGCCCAGGAGTTTGACAGCAGCCTGGGCAACATGGCGAAATCCCATCTCTATAAAAAAGACAAAAATTGCCAGCGGTGGTGGCTTGCAACTATAGTGCTACCTACTCGGGAGGCCAAGGCTGGAGGGTCACTTGGGCTGAGTTCAAGGTTACAGTATATTATGATCATGCCACTACACTTCAGCCTAGGTGACAGAACAAGACCCTGCCTCAAAAAAAAAAAAAAAAAAAGTTAAACATAGAGTTACCATATGACCCAACAATTCTACTCTCTATGTAGCTACACAAGAGAATTGAAAACATCCAGCCTGGGCAACATGGCGAAACCCCATCTCTGCAAAAAATTTTAAAGATTAGCTGGGCATGGTGGCATACACCTGTAGTCCCAGCTCTTCAGGAGGAAGGCAGAGGTGGCTGAACCACCTGAGGTGGGAGGCTGAGGCTGCAGGGAGCCATGATCATGCCACTGTACTCCAGCCTGGGAGACAGAGTGAGACCCTATCTCAAAAAAAAAAAAAGAGAATTGAAAACATATATCCATATAAAAACTTGTATGTGAATATTCATAGTGGCATTACTGACAATAGTTAAAACATAGAAACGGCTCGAACGTCTATGAACTAATGAATGGATAAAGAAAACGTAGTATAGCTATACAATGGAATATTATTTGGCCACAAAAAGCAATGAAGTACTGATACATGTTACAATATAGATGAATGCTATGAACATTAGGGTAACTGGAAAAAGTCAGACACACAAGGTCGCGTTTTATATTATTCCATTTATACGAAATGTCCAGAATAGGCAAATCTGTAGCGCTAGAATAGTTTAGTAACTGGCTAGGGCTTGGGAGGTTGGGTTGAAATGAGGACTTACTGTTAATAGGTATGGGGTTTCTCTTTGGGGTGAAGAAAATGTTCTAAAATTGATTGTGTTGATTGTTGCACAATTCTTTGAATATACCGAAAACACTGAATCACAGAATCTATGAGAATAGGAAAATAGCTCTTGTTATATGCTGCTGCTGCTAAGTTTGGCATGACTTGTAACGTAGCAATAGTACTGGAATAAGGGAGTTCTCATACAGTGATGTCTTTTTTTAAATGAGGAGGAGTGAGGCAAACTACTCTGTGTGCATGTGTGCGTAGTGGAGTTCTAGAGCTTGAGAAAATTAGTGAGGTGTTTCCAGTCAAACAGGTAAATATGAATGTGAGTTTACTAGGGGCAGGTAGAAGGCATTGGGGAAGGGAGGCACACAGACCTTTGCAGAGATTGGTACCTAAGGGTAGTGGCAGCACCAGTTTGCACATCTGTGCTCTCTTCTCCAGTTGCCTTTGGCACTTCAGGTGCATAGGACTAGAGAAGGATGATTGATTCACAGTTGGCATTTGGAAGGCAGTGCAGTGAGAGGACCAGGGCCAGGCATTGAGGATGATGATGGAAGAACAGAACCATCAACTTTGTCTCAGAAAGCCTGTAAGGGATATAGAGTTATCAAAGGGAGGCCAAAGCTCATTTAAGGGGGGCAGTAGCAGGAGTATTCTGGGAAAAAGTTAAAAGAGTCTGGCTTAAAGTACAAGTCAGTAGTGAGGAGGAATTAAGAGCAGTGAGGGAGAGAGATAGTCTGAGGGGTTTACATTTGGAATAGTAGTCAGGGGGCCATTATGATTGGAAGCAAAGATGAAATTGTTCTGAGTCTGTCTTCTGAACCAAGCTCTGAATGAAGCTTGGAGGGCAAACTTCCAGAGACTGATCTTTGTCCCAGCCATGTTGGCACAAGGCAACCAGTCCATGGATCTGCTCAGGTGCAGTGACTCACCCCAGGTTTCTTGTCTTTGTGTAGGACTGGGCTGGAACGACCCAAATTTGTGGCTATTGAATAAATAATAATAGGTGGTGGTTTATCTGTCAGAGAGAAGATAGGAAGGAGTCAGAGCTGATTTTGTCATGAATTCAGAAATTCATTTAAAATATTGAGTTTTTACCCAGGCATAGTGGTATGCACCTGTAGTCTCAGCTACTGGGAAGGTGGAAGCATGAGAATCACTTGAGCCCAGGAGGTCGAGGCTACAGTGAACCATAATCGCCCCACTGCACTCCAACCTGGGTGACAGAGCCAGACCCTGTCTCAAAAAAAAAAAAAAAAAATATTGAGTTTGAAGTGGTAGCAGGATTTTAAGCAGAAATGCTCAGAAGGCAGCCAGCATCTGGGTCTGAAGTTTAAAGGAAAACTTTCAAAGTCAAATGTAAAATTATTTTTTACCCTCTGGGATTAAATGAGATCACTCAGGGAGAGAGTGAGAAGTGGCTAGAAAAGAAGGCTGAAAAGAGAACTGAGCTTGTAGATGGACTAAAAAACATGGTGGAGAAGACTAAGAAGCTCAAGTACAATGGGAGCAGAATTAGAAGAGTGAAGTGCTCCAGAAGCTAAGGTAAGATAAACTTTTTTGAAGGAAGTGTGTATCAGATAGCTATTGTCACAAAAAAGTTATGTAACCAACCAACCCAAAAGGCAGTGGCATACAACACGAAGTATTTGTTTCTCACTTAAGAGGCTGTGGTCAGCTGGGGTGGCTCTAATTTAGGCTGCAGTTTGTAGATTGGCTGGGTATCTCTGCTCAACATGTCTTTCACTCTTCCTGGACCAGTGGGCTATACTAGGTATGGACTTCTCATAGTGTTTGAGACCAGAAAGGCAAGAGAGCAAGACCAACCATTTAAGTGCATTTCAGGCCTCTCATTAACACTTGTCTATCCCATTGGCCACAGCAGGTCACATGGCTGAACCCAAAGTCAAGAGTCAGGGGATGATACTCCACCTGTAGTGGGAAGAACTGCAAAATCACCTGACAAGTGAAGAACTGGGAATACTAATGCAATGAACTACAGACAGGTAGTCAACCAGGCCTGCACTCTAACATTTTGTGAAGACTTGAGTTAAGGGTATGAAAGGGGGCCCACTCCCCTTTTCTTCCTATTTCTCGGTTCCATACAACATCTGCAGTCAACAATGTCAAATAATGAGTAGAGGTCAGGTAGGATGAAGGCTGGAAAATGCTTTTGGATTTGGCAATCAGAAAGTTTAGGATCACCTTGAAAAGTTGTTTGTCTGGAGTGGTTTGAGTTAAGACATTAAGAGCAAGGGAGAGGTAAAGAGGAGGAGTGTAAAATACATTTCCAAGGAGTGAAGGGAATGGAGGAACTGGAATAGCTCAGGGAGCCAGGTTGAGGGAATTACCTTTGGTTGTAAAGACTCAAATGTGTGTTTACTGGTCAAGATAAAGCAAAGAGGGGAGACTGAAGCTCTAAGAGGGAAAAGAGATTATGACAGGACTGTTACAAAGAGATGGGAAGTCGACTTTGGAGAATGACAGGCTCTCCATTACTTTTACACAGGACATGGGTGGAATTGGATGAAAAGATGGTGAAGGGGAGGGAAAATGAGGACTTAATGATGGATGGTAGGCCTGTTGAAAAAGTGAGAGACAAAGGTATCTCCTAAGAATGAGAAGGATGGGGAGTAGAACTAGGGTTTTAAGTAGAGAGGAAAAGCTTATAAATAGATTCTGTGAGCCAGGTGTGGTGGCTGGTGCCTGTAATCCCAGCTACTGGAGATGCTGAGGCGAGAGGATTGCTTGAGGTCAGGAGTTCGAGACGAACCTGAGCAACATAGTGAGACCATCCCCCCATCTCCACTTAAAATAAATTTTTGTTTAAAGAAAAAAATTAACTTGATGCTGTGAGCAGGATTAGAAGTCAAAGGTTGGGTGAGGAACCCTGAGGTTCCAAATGATGTTGAGTAACATAAATGTGTCTGTGCTAGTTGCCATGGTTACAGTCTTATTTCCTGATTTCAATAGAAGGGTGTCCTGTGTGTGACTGGCTGGGGCAGGTATGGCAGGTGGTAAAGGAATTTACAAAGACAGTCATAGGTAATGAAAGGCAGATTTATTCGAGAAAGTATGAAGATACATTGCAAGGTGCAATGGGCAGCATAGCAGAGAAGGAGTTGTCTGCAAAGAGGCAGGGGTTGGAGGGAAGTTTTTTAGAATCGTACTGGAGGGGGATATGTGCAGAATGAGGTATTGGGAACAGGATGTTGTGCCAGCGGGTTGTCTGTGATTAGTCATCTCTCAGAAAAATTGTTCTACCCATCTGGGACCCCTTCCTCATTGTTGCTTACTTATCTTATCAGGACTCCACAAAAGAGGAGAGATTGGCAATGTGGGTATGGTGGAAGATCAGTATGTTAAAGGAAGCTAGAAAATTAGAGAAGATTTAGTCAAATTGGTGGTTCATGGGGATACACGCGGGTAGCAGCTAACTTATTCCAACAAGCCCTGGGCTAGGCCCCCTTCCATTAATTATTTCTAATTCTTACAATTGCCTAAGGTATAGGTTATAAGCTCCATTCTTTTTGAGACAATGTCTTCCTTTGTCACCCAGGCTGGAGTGCCGTGGTGTGATCATAACTCATGGCAGCCTCAAACTCCTGGGCTCGAATGATCCTCCTGCCTCAGCCTCCAGAGGAGCTGGGACTACAGGCATGCACCACCACTCCTGGCTAATCTTTAAATTTTTTTGTAGCCATTGGGCCTCTCTATGTTGTCCAGGCACATTGGGTCTCTTTATGTTGTCCAGGCTGGTCTCAAACTCCTGGCCTCAAGCAATCCTCCCACCTCAGCCTCCCAAAGCTCTGGGATCACAGGTGTGAGACACCTCACCCGGCCTTATAAACTCCATTTTATGTTTGAGAAAATTATAGCTTGAGGAAGCCGTATAACTTACCCAAACTCACCCGCTGATTAATGGAGAAGCCAGGAAGCAAACTCAGATTTCTCTGAATTGAAATTTTGGATAGAAGAAATTCCATCCAAATTTGTCTTAGATAAAAGGAAAAGACACTAATGATTATATAGAAATCAGGGATTATCAGGATTAAAGTGCAGGTCTCATAGAAATTAGAAAGAGGAAGAGGTGTACAGAAAAGAGTCAGAGAGAGGAATTTAATAGTCCTGGGGGAAGAGCAGTGTTTATGGAATATAGCAGGTCCTTGAATAACCAAATAATGTCATTTTGTTATAATATTGGAAAATTGAAAGATAGCTCAGAGCTGTCTGAGTTTGTGAGTTATGCAAAATTTATCAGGCTGAGAGAGACCTGAGTATGGGGCATTAGTCCTACCCCCACACCCATGCTTGGGGCAATTGTTAAAATATATTTTGTTCCTGACTAGCTGCCTCACCCATTATCTTCATATTCCTGGAGTTTGTGACACAAAGAACAATTTATAGCCAATCAATAGCTTATATTATTTTAATGTAAATTCTTGGTAAACTTAGAAACTGCCTCTTGTTTTTTCCTTTAAAAACTCAATTGCAGCTGGGGGAGGTGGCTCACACCTGTAATCCCAGCAATTTGGGAGGCTGAGGCGGGTGGATCACCTGAGGTCAGGAGTTCAAGACTTACCTGGCTAACATGGTGAAATCCCTGTCTCTATTAAAAATACAAAAATTAGCCTGGCATGGTGGTGGGAGCCTGTAATCCTAGCCACTTGAAAGGCCAAGGCAGGAGAATCGCTTGAACCTAGGAGGCGGAGGTTGCAGTGAGCCAAGATCACGCCACTGCACTCCAGCCTGGGCAACAGAGTGAGACTCCATCTCAAAAAACAAACAAATAAACAAACAAACAAAAAACCCCACCCATTTGTAACTGGCCAGGTGTGGTGGCTCATGCCTGTAATCCCAGCACTTTGGGAAACTGAGGCAGACAGATCACCTGAGGTCAGGAGTTGGAGACCAGCCTGGCCAACATGGCAAAACCCTGTCTCTACTAAAAATATAAAAATTAGCTGTGCATGGTGGCAGGTGTCTGTAATCCCAGCTACTTGGGAGGCTGAGGCAGGAGAATCACTTGAACCTGGAAGACGCAGATTGCAGTGAGGCAAGATCATGCCACTGCACTGCATCCTGGGCAACAGGGCGAGACTCCATCTCAAACCATCCCCTCCCGCCAAAAAACCCCCAAAAAACCATTTGTAACTGCCACTAATTGAAGTGTGTATTATTCAGGGCAACTTGAATCTATGCTCCCAGGTGGCCCTCTTCAACCCTTGTGCTTGAATAAACTCTTTTTAAATTAGATTCTGAACTTTTGGATTTTTTAGGTTGACATTTGATGAGAAAAAAATAGATTCCCAGCCAGGGCCACTGTCTGTGCGGAATTTGCACATTCTCTCTATGTCTGCCTGCATTTTCTCCTGGTACTTTGGTTTTCCTCCCGGTACTTCAGTTTTCCTCCCACATCCCAAAGATGTTCACGTTAGGTTCTTGGCATCTCTAAATTGTTTCTGAGTGAGTGTGGGTATGTGTGTGAGTACACCCTGCCATGCAATGGCATTCTGTCCAGGGTTGGTGCCTATCTTGTGTCCTGAGCTGTTGGGATAGGCTCTGGCCCCCTGCAACCCTGAATTGGAATAAGCAAGTTGGAAAATGAATGAATACAACTTAATGTACAAGAAGACATCCTAAAGTATCTGATAATTGTTTGGTGCACAACAATAAATGATGCTGTACTAAAGCACTCAGTGATTGTTTTTGAACCTTGGGTAGGAGGTACTCCTTATAATTTTTGTCTTGTAAACATTTATTCCTTGATTTAACCCACCACCACTACAATTGCTGTCACTCACTGGTTCACCAAAAAGTGGGTAAATCATTATCTTATTTGTTTTTATTAAACTTTTAAAAATGTATATCTAGCTCTTATTTCAATATTTAGCAATGGAAGTGTTTTGGTATTTATTTAGAAGTTCGATGATGTTTTTGAGATCAGAAATAGGCTGTAGAAACTTAACTCTTGTCTATATCAATGAACTGTGGTAAAATTGGTTTCATTATACACAGTTTCGCTTAAAGTTTCAGTTTCCAAGAACCTAATGGTGATTTTAAGTTAGGACTTACTATATTAAGGTAGAAGGTGAAGCCATGAATGGATTGTCCATGTGGCACCAGGAACCTGGCTGGGATACTTGGGATCGATCAGTAAAGTCAGAGTGGTCAGCACACACAGTCCCAATGTTGAAATTCCTTGGGATCATGATAAGGAATGGGGTGGAGAGAAAAACTGTTGAATAAGGAAATTTCCCTGACCCCTTTGTGGGTGGGAACTGGAGTGCATGGGCACTGGCAGGGGTGAACTCCACTCACTTGCTGCTCTACCTATTGTGGGAGGGAGAGGGCAGGTGACTGTGTGCAGGAGCTGGGACGAGCACCTTTGGGCACCAGCAAGACCCAACTCCGTATTGGTCCTGTGGCAGTATCTAGGGGAGGGAGCCCGTGACCCCTGAAGCCCCAGAGGAAGTGTTACAGTGTCCTTTTAGCTTTGTCATCCATGGACAGCTTAAATGTTAGCAGCTCAGTGGAGGGTCAGTGTGACAGACTTTTGCACCTGCACCCGGCATCCAGGAGGAATGAGGTCACACAGAGTTGAAGATGGTAAATGTGGGAGATTTTATTGCTGAGGAAGATGGCTCTCAGTGGGAAGGGGAGCTGTAAAGGGGACAGAGCAGGAAGGTAATTTTCCTTCAGAGCTACTCCATCAAGCTGTCCCTTTGAAGTCAAGCCCCTTATCTCCAATGTTCAACCATAGTCTCTGATGTTCAGCTGCTTCTCCTCTCTGCCAGTAGAGCCTGGGGTTTTTATGGGCACAGGATGGGGAGCGGGGCAGGCCATGGGTGGCTTTGGAAAAGGCAACATTCGAGCAAGAAAACAGGGATATATGTTCTCACTTTGGTCTGTGGTTCCAGGCTTGAGGGTGGGGCCCTTGCTGGGGACCTGTGCTCCTCTGCCCAGAATTTCCCTACCTCCTGTCCCTAAAACTGTGAGCCAAGAAGTAACATTTCGGAGAAATATGGACATTAGTAGATAATTATGGCATAATCTGATGCCCTAGACTTCAAAGGAGAGTTAGGGAATCAGGGTGTTGAAACAACAGCCTAGATGTGGCAGTGGAGAGCAGTGAGAATGCTGATGCTGCCTATCTACTCATGCAGAAGAGAAAACCAGTTCATTCTAGGTAAGTGGAGGGATGTGGTTTTGTGAAGAGGTCTCCAAGGTGTTTTGGAAGGGTTCTGAGAAATGATACAATCCATTATATTAATGTAGAAGCAGAGATAGAGTGGCAGAATGGTCACATAATAAACTCGTGGCCGTGAAGGGCCTGGGTGGGGCAGCATGGGCTACTGGTTAGGAAATAGGCCTTTGAATCAGATTGACCTGGTTCGAATACCAGCTTCATTACTTAATGGATGTGAGATGTGGGGTGTTGCCTAATATTTCAGCTTTCTTATCTGTAAAATGGGACACGTGATTTTTACTGCAAAGGATTGTTGTAAGGATTTAATGAGGTTGATATATGTGAAGTACTTACTTTGTATATTGTGCTTGGCACACAGAAAGTGCTCAGTGCATTTTTTGGTTTGTTTTTGAGATGGAGTCTCACTCTGTCACCTAGGCGGGAGTGCAGTGGCGTGATCTTGGCTCACTGCAACCTGCTTCTCCCAGGTTCAAGTGATTCTCCTGCCTCAGCCTCCTGAGTAGCTAGGATTACAGGCACCTGCCACCATGCACAGCTAATTTTTATATTTTTAGTAGAGACAGGGTTTCACCATGTTGGCCAGGCTGGTCTCAAACTCTTGACCTCAAGTGATCCACCTGCCTCGGCCTCCCAAAGTGCTGGGATTATAGGCATGAGCCACTGTGCCCAGCCTGCTCAAAACATTTTAACCACTAATGCTGGAACTGAATCAATGCGACTCACATTCTTTCTATTTGGAGGACATAAACATTAGACAGGCCATCTTGCCATCTTCACTGGAGGTTTCCAATACTGCTTACTGCAGACTTGTTCCTGTTGCTGAGATGTGTGGCCTCTGGCCTCTGTGGAGGCTCACAAAAACTGCTGACAGTAGCAGAAGCTAGTTTAACTACTGCTGAATGTATGTCGTCTATGCAGCAGCCTGGATGGGTGAAAAACTTGCTGAGTGAGATGCTAAAATGGGTGTCTGAAGGGACCCTCGGTCATGTATTTCAAGAGATCTTTAGAAATACAAAAGGCTCCATACTCTCCCTACCCCTCCTACATCTGTTTGGAATTGTTTAAACATGAGTAATGAAACAAAACGAGGACAGGCAGAGATTATCTAGAGACAGACAGGTTTATCAACTTGCTCTCTTCTTGGCAAATCAGGACTTGTAACCCATTCCCCTTACTACTGGTTTGTTTATTTTTAAAATGCATTCTTAGGTCATGACTACTATTTTTATTAAAAAAGCAGTGCATGCACAAGGAAAATAATTCCAAGAGTGCAAATGATAATTACAAATTACCTTCTTACTACTTCAAACTCCTTCTTTCCAATTTTTTTTTTCCTGGATGCCATTACTGTTAACAGTTTTTTGGGCATTTTTTCAGACAGATTCTATCTATGTAATATTATATATATGTATATGTGTGTGTGTATATATATCAAAGCGTATATATGAATATTTATTCTTTTAAAAAACAAATGAGGACAGAGTCTACATATTGTTTCATGCCTTGCATTTTTCCACTCAACAACTACAACTTGGAGACAGTTTCATGTATGACCATAGAGTCTTTTGTCTTTCTTTTTAATGATTGCATAATAGTCTATAGTATGGTTGTAGCACAAATTATTTAGCCTAAACTTCCAGTTTGGTTCTTCTCTCATGCCTTTTTTTTTTTGTCAGTGGAAACTCTCTTCTACTAGTCACTCTGGTACTAAACCTTGGAGTAATATCTAACCTTTTTGGTATCTAGTAAATCCTGTCAATTCTCTCTTTTTGATGTTTTTCCTACTTGTTCATTCTTTTTCATTCTCATTGCTGCTTCCCTGGTTTAGGCCTTCTCATCTCCTACAGTGTTGCCTTATCTCCAAATTCTCTGTCTCTGCACATCTTGCACACTTGCCCTTCACCAAATTTCCTAACGCCCACATTTTGATTGTGTCACTCCTCTTAAAAACCTGCACCTCTAATCCCAGCACTTTGGGAGGCCGAGGCGGGCGGATCATGAGGTCAGGAGATCGAGACCATTCTGGCTAACACAGTGAAACCCCGTCTCTACTAAAAATACGAAACATTAGCTGGGCGTGGTAGTCCCAGGGCGTGGGCCCGTAGTCCCAGCTACTTGGGAGGCTGAAGTAGGAGAATGGCGTGAACCCGGGAGGTGGAGCTCACGGTGAACTGAGATCCCGCCACTGCACTCCAGCCTGGGCGACAGAGCGAGACTCAGTCTAAAAAAAAAAAAAAAAAAAATTAGCCGGGCGTGGCGGCGGGCGCCTGTAGTCTCAGCTACTCAGGAGGCTGAGGCAGGAGACTGGCATGCACCCGGGAGGCGGAGCTTGCAGTGAGCCGAGATCGCCCCACTGCACTCCAGCCTGGGCGACAGAGCAAGACACTGTCTCAAAAACAAACAAACAAACAAACCCCCAAAAAACCTTCAGTGCCTTCCCATTCATTGTGTTACGTAAAAACTCAAGCAATGATTAATAAATCCGATTTTTAAATTGTAACTGATGAGTTCATGAAATGCAGATGCCTGGATCAGAATCTCCAGATGTATGACTGTCAGTCAGTCTGTATTAAAAAAAAATGTTTCCAGGTGCTTCTGTTGCAGTTGGTTGTTGGATCAGTGGAACCATTAGAACAAAGTACACATTTATCAGCCCAGTATTTAAGGCTCCTCGTAATTTCTCTCCAGCGAACCTTTCCAGACCCATCCCTTACTACTACGTCTTTACACGTCAGTGCAAATGAAATTCTTTTTGGCTGTCTGGATTCTCCTCACACCTTCCAGTTATGCCTTTTAACCTCCGAAACCCAGTGTCTTTATGAAGCCTTGGCAACCAGAAGAGATCTCTGAACTCCATTATCGGAACTGGCTTACAGCTCACAGTTTTGAATTCTCCAGCTCCCCGTGTCTCCCCCACTAGACTGTAAGGCCTCTGTCAGACATTAAGTTAGACTTTATTATTCGCGCCGACGGAGCCTTGGCACTTTGTGGCAAAGGTGGTAAACAAGAATTTGTAGGTTTAGTGCCACTGCCTGACTTGATCATCACTGTTTACGCACTGTCGTTAACTGTTTTTGCTTACAGTGGGCTTCAACTAGTATTTGCGGATTCCATGTATGAATGAATGGAATCCAACCTAGCATTTCCCAGAGAACTACAAATCCCAGCGGACATTACGCAGAACGCCGACGGACGCGGTGACGCAAGGGGGCGTGTCGAGCCTGAGGGAGGGGTCGGCCTGCGGGTAGCCAGAGGCTGGGGCGGCTGTGGAGCCTGTGGTGGGAGCGGCATTGTGGGGCAGGGAAAAGGTGAGCCGAGCCGACGGAGGGGACGCGCTGCGGGGCGCCCCCAGTCTATGGAGCGGGGTAAGATGGCGGAGGCGGAGAGCCTGGAGACAGCGGCAGAGCACGAGCGGATCCTGCGAGAGATCGAGAGCACTGACACGGCCTGCATCGGGCCCACGCTCAGGTACCCCGGGTGCCGGGACCACAGAGGGGCGGGAACGGGCGGGACGGGGCAGGCTCCTCTGGGTCGGGCCTCCGGCCGGCTGTCCCCAGGTCCGGCGCCGGCCCCTCCCTTCGGAGAGACCCTGCATACCGGGCGAGGCGGGTCTCCCTTCGCAGCCCCGACGCGGGGTCCCTTCCCGGCGCCCTACAGCCCAGTGACTCAGGACCCTCCCGCTGCCTCCCTCGGGGCAGGAGCAGCCTTCGTTCTCCCTCCGAGGCTGGTCCGGCGCTGGGGAACGAGAGGGCGCCCGACAGATGGTGGTGGCTCCCGGCAGATCTTCCCCCTGGGGACATCACCCTTCTCCCTCCGTCTCTAACTACGTCCTGCCCTAGACAGGAGTCCTGCTCTTCAGACAACACAGAATTTCACTCCATGGTCTAGTGCTCGAAATCAAAGTCTTGCCTCAGAATCACAGCCACTTCTCAGAAACGAGTCCCTGGAAATCCTAGGCCTGGATGGAAGTTTCCCCAACCCGCGCCCCTCTCCTGGGAGCCGCTGCTCCTTTATCCCTGCCTCCCTGTTACGAGGACGACCCTCGCCCACGGTGCAGCCTCCTCATCGCTGGGGAAAACTGACCCTGCTGCCGCCCCCCAGTTATCATTTTTTTTTGCACGCACATCTCCATTTTATTTGGAGATGTCAAAAGAAATCCCTACTTACCTCAACTTATTTAACAAATTTAGGTAGCACTTGTTACATAAAGTCCAAGACGTTGTATAAAGTGATTTACAAATGCAACTTATTTAAGCTACAAAACAACCGTATTAGGTAGGTTCTATTACTCTCCTTTTACAGACAGGGCACAGATAGGTTAAGTGACTTGCCCAAGGTCACAGAGAAAATAAAGTGGGGGACTCAGATTCCTACTCGGATAGCCTGGACCCAGACACTTAACCACTGTTTTGCCTCAGCTGGGGATTATCGGCTACCTGTACTTACTGTTGGTAACTACTCACTAAGCCCAGTTTTGAACTACTTTCCCCCTTCCCCTCATGTTACTGGTGTCCTAGAACCAACTCATCCTTATCCCTTACTGTTATGCATTCTGATCATGCAGCCAATACATAGATAACTATCCTACCCTCCTTGCACAGTCTTGGGTCACTGCCCCTCCCATCAGAAAAGTTATTACTCACTGCTTGCGTTTTCTTGGGGTAAGTTGACTCAGGAAAGACTAATTGGAGGGCAGGCTGGAAATTACTCCTCCTCTCCACTTGCACAGCTTCCTTCTCCAGGACACATTGTTAGCACATTTCTGCCAGTACCACCCCTGGTCATAACTATCCTTAGTAGTTTGCCTTTTGTCTCTTTATTTATTAAAAGCAATGGCAAAAACCGCAATTACTTTTGCACCAACCTAATATTCATTTATTGAGAGAGGGTCCCCTTTTGTCTCCTAGGCTGCAGTGCAGTGATGTGATCGTAGCTCACTGCAGCCTTGACTTCCTGAGTTAAGATCCTCCCACCTAAGCCTCCTGAGTAGCTGGGACTACAGCTGTGCACCACCACCACACCTGGCTAAGTTTTAAACTTTTTGTAGAGATGGGATTTTGCCATGTTGCCCAGGCTGGTCTCAAACTTTTGGGGTCAAATGATCCTCCCACCCCAGCCTCCCAAAGTGTTGGGATTACAGGCATGAGCCACCGTGCCTGGCCCCTTTGTCCCTTAAAGTGACTTTTAGCTCCCTTTTTTGGACCAGTTCTTCCACACAGTTGCCTGTCTCTCCACCAACCCCCATTGCCTTATGATCAGGACCATTGTGCTTTTCTCAATTCCCATTTTCTTCAGCTCTTAAGGGTCAATGGTCCTACACACATTTTCCTGTATACTTCAAATCATCTCTAGATTACTTATAATACCAAATATAATGTAAATACCATGTAAATATATGTTATACTGTATTGTTTAGGTAATAATGACAAGACAAATGTCTGTAGCATGTTTAGTGCGGATGCAACCATCCTTCTTTTTTTTTTTTGGGACAGGGTCTCACTCTGTTGCTCAGGCTAGAGTGCAGTGGCACAATCGTCACTGCTCACTGCAGCCTCGACTTCCTGGTGATTCTCCCACCTCAGCCTCCTGAGTAGTTGGGACTACAGGCGTTCGCCACCATACCTGGCTAATTTCTTATATTTCATATAGAGATGGGGTTTCACCATGTTGCCCAAGCTGGTCTTGAATTCCTGGGTTCAAGCAATCCACCTGCTTTAGCCTCCCAAAGTGCTGGGATTACAGGCTTGAGCCACTGTGCCTGGCCACTGTCTTTTTTTTTGTTTTTTGTTTTTTTTTTTTTTTTTTTCTTAAAACTTTGATTTGAGAAGTTGGTTGAACCTGCAGATACAGAGGGTCAACTGTATATACATTACGGTTTAAATATAAGTTACCCAGTCTCCCTAAAACTTGTTTCATTGTTGTTACTGAGTTTTTTCACTGAAAAGTGGGGTTTTGTGTAGATAGATGGATTAAGAGGTCTTTTGCCCTAAGGGGACACTGTAAAAAAAAGAAAGTTTGAGACTCATTACCAGTTTTACTTGCTTTTCTTGACTTCCTATATGATTATTATGGGCTCATCATTTTTGATCTCAACTTTTTTTTTTTTTTTTTTTTTAGCAGATTACACTGAGTCTTACTGTCAGACCCAGGGTTCATTCACTTGAATATCCTATAATACAAGGAGTACCCACTGCCTTTGTCTTTAGTCTAGCTGTCCCTACCCATATTCATAGGGGATGATCTCACCTTTTTTCCTTATCCCGTTCAGAGGCAGCAGCATGCACAGACTTGATGTTTCAGATCCCATGCCTTACTTGGGATGTGCCTCTATTGTCATTATCTCCTGTTTTTCATCACTATCATGAAACAGGTTTGATTAAGGCAGTAGCTCTCTTGCCTTAACTACTCTCAGTTGTAAACCTCGAACTTTTCTTCTTCATAGTATGTCTTTCCTCTTTCTTCATCTTTTGAGGTAACATTGTAAAGGCACCAGATTCTTAACTGTTCGTGAGATGGGTTTTCTAGCTGAAGAGAAACTAACGAACACAGAAAGTAAATTGAGAGCAGATATTAGATTAGTATATCCCTAAAATACCTGCTCTTCAAAAAAATCCACTTGGCTGTATTGCCTAACCAGACTCTTTCCTTTGCCAGCTATTATTTGTGTATCATTACTTGCTTTCTTTCTTTGCTATGATACGGATTATTTTTTCCAGTCTTACTCCTTTTTGTTTGAGGAGTCACAGTGGCTTGACTTTTTCATTATATTACTGTTATTACTTTAGTTTTGAGCTGTACATGCAATGTTGGTAGATTCCCATCTATCATAAGGATATACCACCTCTTCTTTTTCATTGTAATTCTGAAAGGCCCAAGCATATCCACACATAAAGAGGGTGTTGCCTAGCAAACTCTTTTGGGAAAGTAGCTATCTCTCTCTTTGTCTTTACCTTAAAAATTATTTTGTTATCTGTGAGTCCTAATTTTGGAAAGAGGCCTGTAAGATGTTAAAGCCTGCCTGTCCTGTTTTTAAAATAATGTTCATTCCTGCTTTGTGTTATAAATACTAAAATTTTGATGACAAATCATTTATGAACAATAGCTCCCTGTTTTCATTTTTCAAATCCCATCCCTATATCTCTACTTTTCCTTTATATCACTTACTCAGTAGAAGTCATTTCTTCACTTGGTACTCTGGGTAATAGCAATTAACATTCAGTCTAATTGTTGTTTAAGATTTTGTTTTCAAACTTAAAATTTAATATTGAAATACATTGCCATTAAAAAACAACTATATTGAGATATAATTCATGTATCATACAATTTACCCATTTAAAGTATACAATTAAATGGTTTTGGGTATGTATATTCGCAGAGTTGTGCAGCAATCACCACAACCTAATTTTAGAAAATTTTCATTACTCAAAAAGAAACCTTGTACCCATTAGTGGTCTCTCCATTCTGTTCCCTCTCTCTCCCTAGGCAATCACTACTTTTCTTCATGGGTTTGGCTGTTCTGGACATCGGGACATTTTGTATAAATGGAATCAAACAATATGGGTTTTTTTGGTAACTGAATGTTTTCAAGGTTCATCTATGTGGTAGCATGTATCAGTACTTAATTTCTTTTTATCGATGAATAATATTCCATTGTGTGGATATACCACATTTTATTTGTTCATCAGTTGATGGACATTTGGGTTGTTTCCATTTTGGGGCTGTGGAACAATGCTGCCATGGCCATTTGTATACTAGTTTTTGTAGAGACATATGTTTTCATTTTTGTTGAGTATGTACCTAGGAGTGGAATTTCTAGGCTGTAAGGTAACTCTATGTTTAACATTATGAGGAACTGCTAGACTGTTTTTCCAAAGTGCATGCGCCATTTTACATTCCTGTAGCAATGTATCAGGGTTCCAATTTTTCCACATCCTTGTCAACACTTGTTATCATCTTTTTTACTTTGCCATCCTTGTGGGTGTGAAGTTGCATTTCATTGTAGTTTTGATTTGCATTCCCGTAATAGCTGTTCTTTTCATGTGCTTATTGGTCATTGTTTATCCCTTTTGGATCCTTTGCCCGTTTTTAAATTGGGTTATTTGCTTTTCTTTTTTTGGTTGAGTTGTAGGAGTTCTCTATGTATTCTGAATATGTCCTGTTATCAGATATATGATTTGTAATACTATATCCTATTCTGTGATTTGTCTTTTCCATTTTTTGATATCTTTCATGTTCTTAGCTTTTGCTGCACAAAAGTTTTTAATTTAAATTAATTCCAGTTATCATTTTTTTTCTTATTTTGTTTCATGCTTTTGATGTTATATTTAGGAAACTTTTGCGTAATGCATGATCATGAAGATTTGCTCCTATATTTTTTCTAAGTGTTATATAATTTTATCTTTTACATTTAGATCTGTGATTCATTTTGAGTTAATTTTTGTTTACAATGTAAGGAGGAGTGTCCAGTTTCATTCTTTAGCATGTGGATATCCAGTTGTTCCAACACCATTTGTTGACTGCTTTTTTTATTTTTTAAAAAACCCAGATTCCTGGTTGATTTATTTTGATCTCCTTATCATGATTTATGTTCCTTATTTGTGGCAGAAATGTAACATTGAAAACCCTGTTATTGAGTTTATGTGATTTTTGCTAGCTAGCCTAACTTCCTTCATTTAGTATTCTCACCCAGGGAAGTTTGCTCTAGTTTTCAGCGAAAGTTTTTCTCTTTTTGGCTCAATTCCTGTATCATAAGAATGATTTGATTCCTATATTTGATCTTGGTAAATAACTTTAGGGACTGATTATTGTCTTCTGGAATTATTTTGTGTCATACTACTCAGTCTTATGTAACATAAAGTATATTAATGATACAGTTACCTTTTTCACTGTTAAAACAGTATGTCAACATATGGAATTTGGAAACTAGATTAAAAATTGCTTACAATTCTATAACACAGCTGCTGTTGTTTTGGTGCTTTTCCTTCTAGAACTTTGCCTTATATATTTTATTATTACAAAGCTTTACTTATGGGTGTAGGAATAATTTTCTGTCTTGCTTTTTTAAGTTGTTTGTTTATAAAGCTAGCTCTTTATAAACAAGAAACAAATTGAGGGGGATATTTTCAAAAGGCTGTTTTATTTAAGGTCATTTGATAAGTGAATATGGGGATGTGGCATCCACTTACTACTTCTGTGCCTTTGACCACATGGCTCTTATTTTTCCATCCAGCACCCTCTCCCATTAATTCATCTTTACAGAGATCAGTTAATCATAATCCTTGGTTCGTGACACTTTCTCATTATAGGTCCATGGCTCTCTTTAATAAATTAAATCAATTTATTTTTATAAGCAACTTACCACCCAAGTGGGCAATTTTTTCTCATCTAAAAAGTGATTAGAAAAATGAAGATAAAGCATCCTTCATGGTACAATGCAAGGTACCAAGCTAGGACTACTGCCTAGCAGGTAGCATGAATGATGCTTTCTCTCTCTCTCTCTCTTTTTTCTTTTCATACTCTTCCTCCAATGTAGATGGGGTGCCATGGTACCTGCTAGGCATTGGTCACTCAAGTGTGAGTCATCTTCCACCTTTACCCTTGGGTTTGCTATGTGGACTTAAGTATTTCTATTTTTTGAGTTTTGTTAGTTTAGTGGTTAGCCTATTTTTTTTGTTTCCTTTTCCTGGTCCCACATATCTAAGGGATATAATACTTATCAATAATCAATCCTGGGAGGGGTTATTTTGGGGTGGAGCAGAGAAAGGAGGAGGAGATAGGAAATAAATATATAAAAGCCCTTCAGGTGATTGTGATATACTCCGTCCTTGACAATCACTGAGGGGAAGAACATTCCCATTGCTCATGCTTATTTTTTAATAGTAGTGCCCTTTTAAAAATGACATTTTTATATTTTAATTATAAATGTAATAGAATGACTTAAGAAGAAACAACAACAAATAACTTAATTCTATTACCTTTCCACCACTTTTATATTTTTATATTTCCTCTTAACTTTTTTATATGCATGTTATTATATTAAATATTAGATGATTATTATGTGTCTTGCTTTTTCAGTTAACATGTTATATACAGGTTTATACATTATAATGATGTCACTTTAGTGGCTTTATTAATGAATTGATTCATTCATATATTCATTCAATATTGAGCAATGTCTATGTGCCAGATACTCTTCCAGGCTCTGGGGTACAGCAGGCAGCAATATAGACAAGTCCCTATCCTTATTGAGCTTATAGAGTCCGGAGTGGGCACTTACAGAATAAATGAATAAATATATAATGTAGTGCTATTTAGCGATTAATGTTACATAATGACTGGGTTATTGCTTTCAATTAGGGGATTAGGAAAGGTAGCTTTGGCAAAGGTTTGAATAGAGTGAAGCAACAAGCCATATGGCTCTCTGTGAGGGAAATACCTTCCATACAAAGGGGACAGTAAGTGCCAAGGCCCTCAGGAAAAGGATAACGGTGGGAAGTGGTGGTAAGAAAGTAGTCAGGGTCCAGATCATGTAGACTAAGAAAGAGACTTTGATTTTATTCTAAATGTTATGGAAAGGTACAGGAGAGTTTTTATTCTGAGCATTATGGGAAAGTACAGGAGAGTTTTGAGCAGGAAAGTGACATGTGGTCACTTAGATTAAACAAGGAATGTGGCCAGGTACAGTGGCTCATGCTTGCAATCTCTGCACTTTGGGAGGCCAAGGAGGGCAGATCACTTGAGGCCAGGAGTTCAAGACCAGCCTGGCCAACATGGTGAAACCGTGTCTCTACTAAAAATACAAAAATGGCCTGGCACGGTGGCTCACGCCTGTAATTCCAGAACTTTGGGAGGCCGAGGCGGGCGGATCACGAGGTCAGGAGATCGAGACCATCCTGGCTAACATGGTGAAACCCCGTTTCTACTAAAAATACAAAAAAAAAAAAAAAAAAAAAAATTAGCTGGGCCTGGTGGCAGGCACCTGTAGTCCCAGCTACTTGGGAGGCTGAGGCAGGAGAATGGCGTGAACCTGGGAGGCGGAGCTTGCAGTGAGCCGAGATCGCGCTACTGCCCTCGAGCCTGGGAGACAGTGCGAGACTCGTCTCAAAAGAAAAGAAAACAAAACAAAAATTAGCCTGGCGTGGTGGTGGGCACCTGTAATCCCAGCTACTCAGGAGGCTAAGGCAGGAGAATCACTTGAACCCAGGAGGTAGAGGTTGCAGTGAGTGGAGATCGCACCACTGAACTCCAGCCTGGGCGACAGAGCGAGACTCTGTCTCAAAAACAATGACAACAACAACAACAAACAAACAAGGAATGTTCTGGCTGCTGTGTGGAGACAGAGTAAGAGAGGAAACAGGGAAACCAGTTAGGGGATGTTTGCAGTAATAAGAGGCAAGAGATGGTTATGGCATGCAATATGGTAATAGGGAGGAGGTGATGAGAAGTAGCTGGATTTAGAATATGTTTTGAAGGTAGTGCCAAAACGATGGATTAGTTATGGGAATTAAAGAGAGGATCAAGGATGATTCCAAGGCTCTTGGCCTAAGCAATCAGATGATGGTGATGCCAATTATTGGGATAGGGAACAATAAAGGGAGGAACTTTACTTTTCTTTGAATAACTTATTACAGCCTGACATTTTATTTTTGATTGTCTACCCTGTTGGAATGTCTGTTCAAGGGGGGAAGGGATTTTGTTTCTTTTGTTTGCTGCTGTATCCTGGGAACCCAAAGGGTGCCTGGCATATAGTTGGTGCTCAGTAAATATTTGTTGAACGAATAGAAGAATTAAAAAATTGTATCACCAACTGTTAATTATCTGGGAATTAATTAACTGATTTGCAGATTAACTGTCTTAAAAATATGACTTCTTTTTGAGAGAAAATAAAACTAATGAAAATTTCAAAAGCCTCTACATATCAGAAATGTTTTTTATAACTACATATAACTTTATAGTTCTTCTTTCTCTTCATCAGTCAGAAGTGTAATCTAAAATAATTTTTAAAAAGCCTGTCATTCCTCAGTGTTCTTTGTAGTGCTGTCAAAAGTTTGCAGGTTTAAGAATAGTAACTCTAATGATGAAAGCATTATGATCTGAGTGCATGTTATATAAATAAAGCTTAACATTTAGCAAAAAGTTGAAATTGTACATTTGGGTAAAAAGGGGTGGATAATGTTAAATAAGTTTCATTACAATATGGAATAGGAGAATAAATTTTTTTGTGGTTTGATAAAGAGAAACTTGTTTTTAAAAAATGTCCTCATTGAGTTATCAAGCAAACTGGAAAAATGAAAAAATTATGAAGAATCTGTGGCTAATAAGACAATGTTGATTTGGTTCAGTTAGCTAGCAATGGGCTCTGTGTTTGATTTTGTTTGAGTTAAATAGACAACAATTTTCATTGAAGCTCTTCCAGTGGAGGTTATGCTGATTTGTTATCTGATTGATTAGATTCACACCACAGAAAAATTAGTAGCCATAGAGAGAAATTAAATGGGAGTGTAGCATTTGCTAAGTATTCCTGTATTAAATTTCAAGAGTTTGTTAGTTATCATCAGATCAAATATGTAATTCTGAGGAACCTGAGCTCCTGGAAATCTTATCTACTGTAATTTTGAAAATAAAAAATGATATAGGTAAATTATCTTGTGTGGGTTTGAAATATTTTATTTAAAAAGTGGAAAGAAAAGGATATGAATCATAGATCTAACAAACATTTTTTGTCTCATTCCTTCTATTTCCCCATTTTATTCGTTTGTTGTTTATTCTTCCATTGCTTTCTTATGCAAATAGGAGCATATATTATCTTATTTTCTCCTTTTTACAAAATAAATAGTGTTATTGTATAGACTTCTGCAGCTTAGTTTTTTAGTTATACATATATTTTTGAGATTTGTCCATATCAGTATATAGAGGTTTTCCTTATTTTTTTTAAATAGCTACATAGTATTCCATTATGTAAATATATCATGGTTTATTAAACTAGTTCTGTTTCTGGATATTTGGATTATTTCCAGCCTTTTGCCAGAAAAAATAATGCAGGAAGGGATAGCCTTGAATATTGGTCATTTTTTATTGCACATTTCTTTTTTTATTTGTTTTGTTTTTGAGACGGAGTCTTGCTCTGTCTCCCAGAGTGGAATGCAGTGGCGCAATCTCTGCTTACTGCAACCTCCGCCTCCCGGGCTCAAGCGATTCTCCTGCCTCACCCTGGCGAGTAGCTGGGATTACAGGTGCCCATCACCACGCCCGGCTGATTTTTGTAGTTTTAGTAGAGAAGGGATTTCACCATATTGGCCAGGCTGGTTTTGAGCTCCTGACCTCAAATGATCCGACCGCCTTGGCCTCCCAAAGTACTGGGATTACATGCCTGAGCCACTGCGCTAGGCCTATTGTACATTTCGTACTGTATCTATAGGATAGATTCCCACAAGTAAGATTGCTAAGTAAAATGATGAATATATCTGGAATTTGGTAGGTATTACCCACTTTAGAGGTTGTACCATTTTGTTCTCCCTCTAGCAGTCTATGAGATTGCTCATTTCTTTGTAGCTCTTTCAATAAAGTTCTCCGTAGCTTTTTCAACAACCCAAAGACTTTTGGGCTTTTGTCAATATGATGTGATAAGTAGTGTTTCAGTGTAGTTTTTATTTTTATTTTTCTTATTGTGAGTGAGGCTGAAAATCTCACAATAATATGTTTAAGGGCTTTTGTGTATGTCTTTTGCTTATTTTTCTATAAGGGGGATATTTTCTTTTTTCTTTTTTTTTTTTTTGAAACAGGGTCTCTCCCTCTCTTGTCCTGGCTAGAGTGCAGTGGGCAATCTTGGCTCACTGCAACCTCCGTCTCCTGGGCTGAAGCGATCCTCTCACCTTAGCCTCCTGAGTAGCTGGGACTACAGGTGCGCGACACCACGTCCAGCTAATTTTTTGTATTTTTGTTTGAGACGGGGTTTCGCCCTGTTGTCCAGGCTGCTGTCGAACTCCTGGGCTCAAGCCATCCGCTTGCCTCGCCACCCAAAGTGCTAGGATTACAGGCGGGAGCCACCGCACCCGGCCCGGATTTTTTTCTTTTTGATATTTGGGCGCCCAGGGTAAAAAACCTTTGATGGTTATATGTTGCTTAAATGCATGACGAGTATGTACAGTGGAATTAGTTGTGATTGGTAAATAAACCATTGTTTTTAAGAAACGAAAGTTTCAAACCTGCCTCTTTATTATTTTAGTCATAAAGAGGTATCAGTAAACAAAGCCATTTTATTTTATTTTATTTTTTTGAGACGGAGTCTCGCTCTGTCGCCCAGGCTGGAGTGCAGTGGCACGATCTCGGTTCACTGCAAGCTCCGCCTCCCGGATTCATGCCATTCTCCTGCCTCAGCCTCCGGAGTAGCTGGGACTACAGGCGCCTGCCACCACGCCTGGCTAATTTTTTGTATTTTTAGTAGAGATGGGGTTTCACCGTGTTAGCCAGGGTGGTCTTGATCTCCTGACGTCGTGATCCACCTGCCTTGGCCTCCCAAAGTGCTGGGATTACAGGCGTGAGCCACCACGCCCGGCAGAATTATAATTTTTTTAAAAAATTGAGATCTGTTAACTCCCAAGAGGACAATGATTTGATGAAAGAAATTTAAGCATGTAATATAAATTGCATACCTGCAAACCTGTTAGATCTTTAAAATATACATTACGCAGTGAAACATTTAAGGGAGCAAGAACCATCACAATGCAACTAACTAGATTACCTTAATTTGATTTATGATAATACATATGGACTGGGACTCTGTTAAAACACCTACTTGTCATTCAGTCTTGAAGATCATCATATTGACATGCACTTTGAACTTGCATGAATTTACCTTCAGTTACTACTGTGGTTTGATAATTGATTAATTATTACATAAAAGCAAAAACAAAAGCAACGACAACAATAACGAACTTCTTTTATAACAGTTCTATCATTTCAGTATTTAGACGCTTCCAGTGTTTAGAACTCTAAATAAATGTTCTATTGTACGTTAGATAAATGATGAAGGCCATTTGCCAAAAGTGATGATTTGGATTAAAATATAGGCTCTCTTTCATTATATAGTTTTTGATTAAAAAGCTGTGGAGGAACACAGACTTTCAATTTGACCTTGTTTTCACAGGCCTGGAACATGACAGATTCTGTGACTCACGCATATCTTTTGGTACTATGATATTGTGTAGTGGCATACTGACATCTTGTTGCACATTCCAGCCAAGTCTCTTTCTTCTTGTTGTTCTCAACATATCAGTTTTCAAAACTTGCTTCTTTATGTTTTTTTTCCCTTTGCAAATTGTGCCTTTGTTTCTTTCCTCCTCTTTGTGCTTGACTTTGTATCTCCCTACCACTTCCTGTAACTTAGAATTTTAAAACACACATTGTCCAGTGAAATATCTAAACGAGCAAGAATCATCACAGTGCAAACCAATTTCTACTTCCTGGGGAAGCTCTGATGCTAATAAACAATGAAATTCTAAAGATATTGATATGAAATGTGGTCTTATCAAGCAATATGAGTGAAGAAAAACAGCAGACATTGGGCTGGACTAAATTTATCCTATGAAAATTTTTGGTATGGAGTTTGATTTAAGGAAAGTCATATTTATGGAATACATTTTTTAAAACGGAAAAAAATAATGCAGCTAGCCAAGTATTTTGTTTTTGGTCAGGTAAAGGATTTCCTTGACATTTGTAAGGAAGAGGTATACAATGATCTTTTGGCATTGGAGTAGCAAAAATAAGAGGAAAGTGAAATGAGAAAAGCTCTTGAAACCCCAAGAAAAATAGATTATTAGAGGCATTTTAAATGATAAATGTGGATTTGATGGTATACTTTGTTATTTGATATTTAAAATTTGGCTGGGTGTGGTAGCTCACCTGTAATCCCAGCACTTTGGGAGGCTGAGCAGGAGGATCACTTGAGCCCAGGAGTTTGAGACCAGCCTAGGCAATATAATGAGACTCTGGCCTCTACAGAAAACAAAAATTAGCTGGGCATCGTGGCATGCACTATAGTCCCAACTAACTAGGGAGGCTGAGGTGGGAGGATCACCTGAGCCCAGGAGGTTGAGGCTGCAGTGAGCCAATGTCATGCCACTGTACTCTAGGCTGGGTGACAGAGTGGCATCCTGTCTCTGAAATAAAGAAGTAAGTACAATTAAACTTTTGAGATAATTATAGAATTCATATGCAGTTGTAAGAAATAATACAGAGATCCCCTTTATTCTAGATACTAGTCTATTGGATATGTGGTTTGCAAATATTTTTTTCCTACTCTGTAGCTTGTTTTTTTACCCTCTTAAAAGGGTCTTTTGCAGATCACAAGTTTTTTTAATTTTGATGAAGTCCAGCTTACCAATTTTTCCTTGTATGGAGCAGGCCACTGTCTTTATTGGTGTAGCTATATGTAATATCCTGATACTGGTAGACTGATTCTTCTTTATCTTTAATCTTATCAGAATATTTTAATCTTGTTTTATCAAAAGTTTTAGCTAATGTTTCTTTGCCTTTTTATATAAAATTTTCTATAAATTTTTATTTATTTATTTTTTAGAGATGGGGGTCTCCCCCAGTCACCCAGGCTGGAGTGCAGTGGTGCAATCTTAGCTCACTGCAGCCTCTAACTCTTGGCTCAAGCTATTCTCCCACCTCAGCCTCCCTAGTAGCTGGGATTACACACACAAGCCACAGTGTCAGGCCACCTTATATGTTTTTAGAATAATCTTTTCTACATCAGCAAAAAAGTCTGCTGAGATTTTGATAGAAATTGCATTAAATCTAAATGTCAGTTTGAGGAGAATTGACATCTTTACTAATGAGTCTTCCAATCTACAAATATTGTATGTATTTCCATTTATTGAGATCTGTTTTGCTTTCTTTCAGCATTGTATTTAGCATACAAGGTTGGCACATATTTTGTTAGATTTATCTGCAAGTAATTCATTTTCTTTTTTTAAGTGATTTTAAATGTTATTGTATTTTTAATTTCGGCGTCTGTGTCTTCATTTTCTATTATATAGAAATGCAATTCATCTTTGTATGTTTACCTTGTATCTTTGTGATCTTGCTGGACTCATTTGTTAGTCTAGGAGTTTTTGTGTAGATTCCTTGGAATTTTCTGTGTAAACAATAGTGTTATCTGCAAATGGAGAGAGTTTTAGTTATTTTCCAATTTTTATGCCTTTTATTTCCTTATTTCACTGGCTAGAACATCTAGGACTATGCTAAGACTGGTAAAAGTGGATATCTTTGCCTTTTTCCTGATCTTAGAAGGAAAGCATTCAGTCTTTTCTCATTAAGTATCATGTTAACTTTAGGTTTTTTTGTGGATGCTCTTTATCAATTTGAGGAAATTTTCCTCTATTCCTATTTTCTGAGAGTTTTTATTGTGAAAGAGTGAATTTTGTTAAATGCTTATAATGCATCATTTTATATGATCATGTGATTTAAAATATTTAGTCTGGTGAAATCTGTTTTGAACATTGAATGAACCTTGCCTCTTTGGAATAAACCCTACTTGGTCATTGTATACACTTCTTTTTATTTGTCTCTGAGTTCTATTTGCTGATATATTGTTAAGGATTTTTGATCTATACTTATGAGAGATATTGGTCTATAATTTTATTTATTTTTTATTGTCTTATGTCTGGTTTTGATAGAGTAATAGTAACTTCTTAAAATGAATTGAGAAGTAGCGCCTCACTCCTCATCTATTTTCTGGAAGAGATTTTAGAATTCATGCTAATTCTGCTTCAAATATTTTGTAGAATTCTTCAATGAAGCCTTCTAGGCTTGAAGATTTTAAATTGCAAATTCAATTGACTGTGTAAATTACTGTGTCATATTGGTGAGTTGTAGTCTGTATTTTTTGAGGAATTGGTTTATTTCATTTAAGTTGTTAAATTTATCGTGCCTTTTTTTTTCTTTTAAGCAGAGTCTTGAGTCTTGTTCTGTCACCCAGCTGGAGTGCAGTGGCACGATCTCAGCTCACTGCAACCTCCGCCTTCCAGGCTCAAGAGATTCTCATGTGTTAGCCTCCTGAGTAGCTGGGATTACAGGTGTGTACCACACCTGGCTAAATTTTTGAATTTTTAGTAGAGACGGGCTGGTCTTGAACTCCTGGCATCAAGTGATCCTCCCACTTCGGACTCCCAAAGTGCTGGGATTACAGGCCTGAGCCACCCCACCTGGTCTATTGTGTTGTTTTTTTTTTGATATGAGGTTGCTCAGACTAGAGTGCGGTGATGTGATCTCGGTTCACTGGAACCTTCACCTCCTAAGTGATCCTCTCACCTCATCCTCCTGAGTAGCTGGAACTACAGGTGAGTGCCACCATGCCACCACTTTTTGTACTTTTTGTCAGGGCTTTGCCATGTCACCCAGCCTGGTCTTGAACTCCTGGACTCAAGTGATCTGCCAGCCTCAGCCTTCCAAAGTGCTACTATGCCTGGCCTATTGTTTTCTTTTATTATTGCTTACTGACGTATGGTTATATTCCCTTTTTCATTCTTTATATTGGTATTGTGTCATATTTTTTGATTTGCTACATATTTGTCAATTTTATGGTTTCAAAAAACCAAACTTTGATTTTCTCCGTTGTTTTTCTGTTTTAAATTTTATTGATGTCTGTCCTTATTTGATTATTTCTGTCCTGCTGCTTACTTTGGGTTATTTTACTTTTTTCTTCCTAGGTTCTTGTGGTATAGGAGCATAGATTATTGATTTGAGATTTGTCCTCTTTTCTAATGTATACATTTAAGGTGTTAAATGTATACATTTTTCCTTCAAGCATTGCTTTACCTGTATCCCATCAGTTTTGATATGATGTATTTTCATTTTCATACACTTCACTGTATTTTATTTATTTATTTATTTATTTATTTATTTATTTATTTATTTATTTATTTTAGAGACAAGGTCTCGCTTTCTCACTCAGGCTGGGCTCAAAGAATCATCGTGTCTTAGCCGCTTGAGTAGCTGGGAATATAGGCGTGCACCACCACAGCCAGCTAATTTCAAATTGTTTTTTGTAGAGATGGGAGTCTCACCATCTTGCCCAAGCTTCATAAAATTTCCCTTTAGGCTCCTATTTGATCCATTAATTATTTAAAAGAGTGTTGTTTAGTTTCCAAGTGTTTGGACATTTCCTATCTTTCTGTTACTGATTTCTAGTTTGATTTCATTATGGTTGGAGAACATACTGTATATGATTTCAGTTCTTTTAAATTTGTTAAAGTTTGTGTTATGGCCCAGGATATGCTTTTTCTTGGTATATGTTCTGTGGCTGCTTGAAAATAGTGTGTGTTCAACTGCTGTTGGGTGTTGTGTTTTATAAATATTGAGTAAATCTCATTGGTTAATGGTGTTATCTGTTGATTTATGATTTTCTGTCTAGACAGAGGCAATTGATTAGTTCTATCAATTGTTGAGAGAGGGGTGGTGAAGTCCCTATGTATAATTGTGGAATTATCTGTTTCTTATTTCAGATTTATCCGTTTTGCTTCACATATTTATTAGCTCTGTTGTTTGATACACATTTAGTATTGCTATGTCTTCTTGGTGTCATCTTTTTTGATTTGCTAAATATTTGTCAATTTTATCTTTTCAAAAAACCGAAACTTTGTTTATTTGATTTTCTCTGTTGTTTTTGTTTTAAATTTTATTGATGTCTGTCCTTATTTTATTATTTCCTTCCTGCTGTTTACTTTGGGTTATTTTACATTCTTGGTGGGTTGATCATTTCATTGTATAATGACCTTCTCTGTTTTTGATAATTTTCTTTGTTCTGAAGTCTACTTTATTTGATGATAATATAGGCATTCCTGCTTTGCTTTGATCAATGTTTGGATGATATGTCATTTTCCATCCTTTCATTTTGAACCTGCCTGTATCGTTATATTTGAAATGAATTTCCTATCAACAGCATATACTTGTATTGTTTTATAAAATCCACTTTGTTGATCTCTATCTTTTAATTGGTGTATTTAAACCATTTACATTTAATGTAATTATTTATATCCCAAGGCTTAAGCTTGAAGTTTTATTTTTTGTTTATTCTTTCCTTTTTTGTTTCTGTTTTCTTTTTCATGCCTTCCTCTGTGTTATACTTGAACATTTATTTTGAACTCTATTTTGATTTGTTTGTTGTGCTGCTGCTGCTGCTCTTGTTGTTGTTGTTGAGACAGAGTCTTACTCTGTCACCCAGGCTGTAGTGCAAGTGGTGTATTCATGGCTCACTGCATCCTTGACCTCCCAGGCTCAAGTGATCATCTCACCTCAGCCTCCTGAGTAGCTGTGACTATACCACACCCAGCTAATATTTTAATTTTTATCTTTTATAGAGGCAGGGTTTTGCCATGTTGCCCAGGCTGGTCATGAACTCCTGTGCTTGAGGAATTCTGCCTCTGCCTCCCAAAGTGTTGGAATTACAGGCATGAACCACTGCACTCAGCTGTGTTTTTTGAGATAGGATCTCGCTCTGTTGCCCAGCTGGACTGTAGTGGTGTGATCATGGCTCACTGCTGCCCTGATCTCCTGGGTTCCGTTGATCTTCCCACCTTAGCTTCCCAAGTAGCTGGGACCACAGGTGTGTACCACTATGCCTAGCATTTTAAAAAATTAATTAATTAATTAATTAGTTTATTTGTTGTAGAGACTGGGCCTCATTATGTTACCCGGGCTGGTCTTGAACTTCTGGGCTCAAGCCATCCTCCTGCCTTGGCCTCACAAAGTTTTGGGATTACATATATGAGCCACCATGCTTGCCCTCTGTTGTGTTTTTGAGTGTACTTTTTAGTATAGTTTGTGTGTGTGTGATTTCTCTAGATGCTACATTATTTATATGTAACTTATAGTCTACTAGTGTCATTTTACCAGTTTGAATGAAACTTTGTCTTTCTTTATATCTCTTTACATCATCCACTGTTTACAATTGTGTTAAATATTTCCTACACAAACATTAGTATCATATCAGACTGTGTTATAATTTTTCTTTCTAGTGTCAAACCTAGTTTGGAAAACTCAGCAAAGTAAAGCCTATTGTCTTTACCTATAGTTTTTCTTATTGTGTTCTTTTTTCCTTTTTGATGTTCCAGGATTCCTGTTTTGTTGTTGTTGTTAAATCATTTCTTTTCTGGTTAGAGAACTTACTGTAGCCATAGTAGGTGTTATACTTATGGGCTATAGGAGATGTTTTGACACAGACATGCAATGTGTAATAATCACATCATGGAAAATGGGGTATCCATCCCCTCAAGCGTTTATCCTTTGTGTTACAGACAATCCAGTTATAATCTTTTAGTTAGTTTTAAAAATGTACAGTTAAATTATTATTGACTATAGTCATCCTGTTGTGCTATTAAATACTAGGTCTTATTTATTCTTTTGATTTTTTTTTTTTGTACTCATTAACTATCCCTACTTCTCCTCTGAACCATCCTATTACCCTTCCCAGCCTCTGGTAACCAACCTTCTACTCTCTATCTGCATTAGTTCAATCGTTTTGACTTTTAGATCCCGCAAATAAATGACCTCCAGTTGTAACCATGTTATTGCAAATGACAGGATCTCTTTCTTTTTAGTGGCTGAATAGTACTCCATTGTATATAAGTACCACATTTTCATTATCCATTCATCTGTTGATGGACACTTAGGTTGCTTTTAAATCTTGGCTATTGTGAATGGTGCTACAATAAACATGGGAGTTTGGTTCCATAAACTCATATGGAACCAAAAAGGAGCCTGAATAGCAAAAGCATACCTAAGCAGAAAGAACAAAGCTGGAGGCATCACATTATCTGACTTCAAACTATACTACAGGGATTCAGTAACCAAAATAGCATGGTACTGGTACCAAAACAGGCACACAGACAAATGGAACAGACTAGAGAGCCAAGAAATAAAGTCACACACCTACAACCATCTGATCTTTGATAAAATCAACAAAAACAAGCAATGGGGAAAGCACTCCCCATTTAATAAACGGTGCTGGGGTAACTGGTTAACCATATGTGGAAGACTGAAACTGGACTCCTTCCTTATACCATGTGCAAAAATCAAGTCAAGATGGATTAAAGACTTAACTGTAAAATCTAAAGCTATGAAAACTCTGGAAGCGAACCTAGGAAATACCGTTCTGGACACAGGCACGGCCAAAGATTTCATGATGAAGACACCAAAGCATTGGAATGAAAACAAAAATTGACAAATAAGACCTAATTAAACTAAAGAGTTTCTGTGCATTAAAAGAAACTATCAAATGAGAAAACAGACAACCTATAGAATGGGAGAAAATATTTGGAAACTATGTATCTGACAAAGGTCTAATATCCAGCCTATAAGGACTTAAAGTAACAAGCAAAAAGCAAAACCCCATTCAAAAGTAGGCAAAGGCCATGAACACTTTTCGAAAGAAGACACACATACAGCCAACAAGCATATGAAAAAAAAAAGCTCAACATCACTAATCATTGGAGAAATGCGAATCAAAACCACAATGACAACCATCTCACACTACTCAGATTGGCTGTTATTAAAAAGTCAGAAAATGATAGATGCTGGTGAGGTTGCAGAGAAAAGGGAATGCTTATACACTGCTGGTGGGAATGTAAATTAGATCAGCCACTGTGGAAAGTAGTTTGGAGATTTCTCAAAGAAATTAAAACAGAGCTAACATTTGATCCAGCAATCCCATTACTGGGTATATACCTAAAGGAAAATAAATCGTTCTTCCAAAAAGACACAGGCACTTGTATGTTTATTGCATCACCATTTACAATAGCCAAAACATAGAATCAACTTGGTCTTTGCCCATCAGTGGTGGATTGGATAAAGAAAAGGTGGTACATGTACACCATGGACCACTGTACAGCCATAAAAATGAATGAAATCATGATCTTTGCAGCAGCATGGATGCAGCTGGAGGCCATATTCCTAAGCAAATTAACACAGGAACAGGAAACCAAATACTGCATATTCTCACTTATAAGTGGAAGCTAAATGTTAAGTACACATGGACATAAAGGTGGGAATAGTAGACACTGTGGACTACTCAGTGGGGAGAGAAGGAGTGGAGTGTGGGTTGAAAAACTACCTATTGGGTACTGTGTCACCACCTAGTGATGGGATTTGTACCTCAAACCTTAGCATCATGCTATATACCCATTAACAAACCTGCACATGTACCCCTGAATCTAAAATGAAAGTTGAAATGATAAAAAAAGAAAAAATAGAAAATATATTTATATATACTGTGGAATACTATTGAGCCTTATGAAAGAAGGAAATCCTGTCATTTGTGACAACATGGATGAACCTGGAAGGAATTATGCTAAGTGAAAGAAGCCAGGCACAGAAAGAGAAATACTACATGATCTCACTTATATGTGGAATTGAAAAAAATTTAACTCATAGAAGCAGAGGGTAGAATGGTTGGTGGTTGCCAGAGGCTGGAGGAGGACAGAATGGGGAGATACTGGTCAAAGTATGTTAAGTTTCAGTTAGACAAGATGAAAATCTTTAAGAGACCTACTGTACATCATGGTGACTATAGTTACTAATAAAGTACTATATGTTTGAAAATTGCTGAGAGTAGCTCTTAAATGTTCTCACCACAAAAAAAAAGTATGTGAGGTGACAGATATGCCAATTACCTTGATTTAATCATTTCACAATGTATACATATATCAAAACATCATGTTGTATAGCATACATTTATATAATTTTCATTTGTTGATTATGCCTTGACAAATACTAAAAATAAATAGTAAAATTATATGTTTTGCCATTAAAAGAAAAAGAAAGTAGCCTCTTTTAGTATACAAAGTTCTGGCAGTGTATAAAGCTGGGAAAACTAAGCCTACAAAGGTGCACCAGATGTAAACTGACATCACCTCAGTTATCAAATTCATGCTTTGGACAACATGATCCAGAATTTGTCCGTTACCAGACTTAGTAAAATAAGTCAGAAATTTATTATAAGTTAATTCTAAAAAAGAAAAAGAAATCACAGGTGTCATCATTGTGTTTTTATTTCTCACATCATTTCACAAACTTTGTGAGGAGTTTTGTTTTTGCTGCTTGGCAGTCTTTGACAAACTAGGCACCAGGAGGACAAGTCCCATATTGCTTAGATCAGCTTTAGGTTACAGCAGTTTGTTGATAGGAGGAGAGAAATTTCTCAAGATGTTTGAGGCAGAATTCTAGAAGGTTTTCATTTTATTGCAACAAGTTACTAGAAATACTTTGAAATTCTCTTGATTCTCCTTGGTTTCGTCAGTTGGCTAATCTCTAAGGGCAATCATGTATGGAGATGGTATCTGGGATATCTTTTTTAAGAGTTTAAAGGCTGGCCGGGTGTGGTGGCTCACGTCTGTAATCCCAGCACTTTGGGAGGCCAAGGCGGGTGGATCACTTGAGGTTAGAGTTTGAGACCAGCCTGGCCAACATGGTGAAACCCCGTCTCTACTAAAAATACAAAAAAATTAGCTGGGCGTGGTGGTGCGTGCCTGTAATCCCAGCTACTCGGGAGGCTGAGGCAGGAAAATTGCTTGAATCCAGGAGGCAGAGGTTGCAGTGAGCTGAGATCGTGCCATTGTACTCCAGCCTGGGTGACAAGAGCGAAACTCCATCTCAAAAAATTAAAAAAAAAAAGTTTAAATGAAGGGTAAGTGATAATTTTATCTGGTCCAGAAATTCAGATTTTGTATACTTGAGTAGAAATATGAGCATTTTTTGCAAAATTATTTCTGGTGCTGTTGTTTTGCACCATTAGGTTCCGTTCATCAGATAAAATTTTTAAATGACATTTTATCCAAATCAGTATGTTGTCACTATAATAATGATTTACTAATAAGCAGATCCGTCATTTTCCTATGCGCTCTAGGAAGAGCTGCATTAGACCTTGTCTATTGTAGCAATCTTGTTCTCTGAGGCATAATAGACAAAATAGGCAGTCAGACCAATTAAATAAACAAGTAAATAAAAATTAAATTCACTCAGAAGCATATGAAGAGAATGAGTCTGCAGGAAAATGCTTGAACTAGTTTTGCTTTTTCTACATCCTAGAATCACTAGTGAAAGCAGTATCATTCCTGTTTGATGGAAAGCCAAGGGTCAGAGAACAACCTATTCTTTGTCTGCCTGAACCTAGAATCCCAGAGCTGTGTTGCTTTATCACTAATAACTTGTAAAGATGAAGCTTTAGGTGATATACATAGCTCAGAAGCTCCTGTCAGCCTAACCTCTATGAACTATATACTCTGATGTCTTAAGATTTCTAATTTACTATGGAAGTTTGGGTATGGCCTAACTTAGGTTAATTCTTAAGTATGGTTTCTTTGTACAGTTGTGCTGGTTGTATAGTACTCAGCTGTACCATATCTAAGGTTGTGCCATTTATAGCTTAGACAATGTAGATTTGTATATTTATTAGGACAATTATACAGCAGATGGCAGCCAAGTGTCTTGAATAATGGAAAGGTACCAGCAGGCAAGTATAGACCCTACTTTTAAGTAGTAAAAGTTTCTTTCAAAACTAAATGAGAACTCTTTAAAGTTGCATTTATAGATGCAATAATTTTAAGTGAATGGTCTATGTATTCATTCCTTTTTCCCTGTGTTTATTATTTCTCCCACATTTTCCTTATTTTAATACTGACAGCATTTTTTTTCTTCCCTTGCAGAAAGGAGCTCTTAATTTGCTCTCAAAGTGTTTTGGACTTTCATTTTTGATGTGTTTAGTTTGTTCACAATTTCGTAAATGAAGCCTTAATATGGATGTTCTTGCCATGTTGAGATGACAATGCTTAGATCCAGTTAATAGCTTCATTGTATGTTGAATAAACCTCACATCTTTGCCAGAGATTTGGTTATTACTCAGTTGTGATTCTGTCATTGTGTGGTCAGTTGGGATTCCAAGTTCATTTGTTTTTTTTTTTTGCTCAGAATTTCCAGAGAGTTGCCCTGGGTAGCACTAAGTTTTTTATATTATTCACTATTTTGAGATGTCATTTCTATAGTTGGTTTTGGGAATTTTATTTGTTCTTTTTGCATCAGTATTAGTCATGGTGCAGGTCAGTGCACTTGGGGTTACTGTCTTATTTCTGATATTTTGAATATGCTTGGGGTCTTTATCCCCCAAAGTTTATCAGCAAGCAGGATCTACTGGTGGAGACATTACCTGTATTTGTTTGAGATGTATGTGGCACTAACAATTCCAAGAGGAGTTTAAATTGGTCTTTCAGATCACCACGTTTTGAATTCATCTTAAGAAGTGTTTTTCAAACCGGAGTGTATCAGAACCACTGGGAGGGCTTGTTAATACAGATTGCTGGGCTCCACCCTCAGAGTTTCTAATTCAATAGGTCTGGGGTAGGGCCTGAGAATTTGCCTTTCTATCTAGTTTCAAATGATGCTCATGTTACTGGTTCAGGTACCACACTTTGAGAACCACTGCTGTAAGATAAAATTGTTCTCTTCTGTATCTATACTTCATAGCATCTAGCATGAAAGGAAGTAGGTTTAGGTCTTTGAGAAAACTATTGGAATCTTAGAATTTTTTTCCCAAGATGAAAAGGGCCTTTTCTTTCTGATTTTGAAATAATACGACTATATAGTAACACAATTTAAACCATACAGAAAAGCTTAATGATAAAGAAAAAATTACTTAAAGCCACATTATCAATATGGTAAATGTTTTGGTAAACATTTCAAATGTTTTCTATGCATTTATATACATTTATAATTTTATTTAAAATGGTTCAATTTATACTTGATATAGCCTACTAAAAGTCAACAATACACAATAGATACAGATATATATTAAGTATAGTATTATATAGATTGCACAATATATTTAGCCAATGATAGTGGTAAGCATTCAGATTGCAGTTTTTTAGCAGACACTTTTTTTTTTTTTTTTGAGACAGAGTCTTGCCCTGTTGCCCAGGCTAGAGTGCAGTGGTGTGATCTCGGCTCACTGCAACCTCCACCTCCTGCGTTCAAGCGATTCTCCTGCCTCAGCCTCCTGAGTAGCTGGGATTACAGGCACGTGCCACCATGCCCGGCTATTTTTTTTGTAGTTTTAGTAGAAATGGGGTTTCACCATGTTGGTCAGGCTGGTCTTGAACTCCCGACCTTGTGATCCGCCTGCCTTGGCCTCCCAAAGTGCTGGGAGTACAGGCATGAGCCACAGTGCCCAGCCACAAGTTCTTATACTACATCTTTATATATGTGTCTAATAATCTTATTATGAATTCCAAGAAATGATATTGCTGGGTCAAAGGAGATGTGCATTTAAAATTTTGATGCATATTGCCAAACTGCCTTCCAGAAAGGCAGTATGAGTTGAGACTTCCACTAACAGTGCCTGCACTTTGCCTATAAAATGAAATGGTTTTAAGGAGACTGTAATAACTTCTTTTACGTGAATCTTCTCATGGTAGAAAGGTTTTCTTTAAGACAGTCAATGACTCTTCTTGGAGCAAATAAGAATTCTGATAGGTATGGAATGGAGAGAGGGTCCTTAGTTCTACAGTACCCCTTCAAATTTCCATCGTGGTTTTGATAGGATTATTTAATCTTGGTGAGCTTCAAAACACTGTTCCAGTCATTTCTTTATTTTCATGTTACAGAAAGCACCTTCTTAGATGACAGACGCATTATTTATCCTTCATAAGTTTTATTGAAAGTTTCTGTAAAGGGCCTTTACTGCAGGATAGAGACAGTCAACATAGTGCTTTAGGAATCATCTGGAGACCAGTGAAACAACTAAAAATATACTGAAACTTTAGGTGAAAAGAAAATCTTTAAAATAAAGTCAAACCATTTTTTCAGTGATGTATTTTTTCATTTTGTTAATTGTCTCTACATTTTTTGACTTATTGATAAACAGAGAGCACACTTATCTTCTTTTAAGTGTCTTTAATTATAAATTATTTGCAAGTACTAAAATATTTATGTATGTTATCAAACATACACAGAAATATAGAAATTTAAAAGGACAAGGTACAGTTATTGATAGAGCAGGGATGCTAATGTTTTCTTTCTATACCTCAGTAGAAATTGCTGTTCTATACAGGGCTTATTTTCAAACTGCCATTTTCTGCAGATAACAAGGGGCTTCCTAATTTGGGGCATATATCTGAACTGAACTTTTGTATCTGTCACAGTTCTACCAAGCCCAAATACGTATTCTGATATTCCTAAGCACTGTAATGCACTTTAATGTGTCTTTAATGTTTTTAATGTTTCTTTAGCAAGCTTTGAAAAACTGGTTATTTGTAATCACCACAGTAGAGAATGAGAGGGAAAGAGGGTATCATAATATTTGTTCCTTTAGGTAGATGGAGAAAGTCCATTATTTTACATCGTTGATAGAGTGTACATCATCTTGACTTTAGATCCAGTTCTATTCAGGTATTATAAAAGGTATCATAAAAATAATGTTGGCTTATCTCTTTTTATTACATAAATTTTATTGTGGTGTAGTAGTTAAGAGTCCAAGTCCAGACTTTGGAGTTAGATTACTTGAATTCCCTTTCTGGCTCTATTACTTATTTACTGTGTGACCTTGGGTGAGTCACTTTATCTTTGTGTGTCTCACTTTTCTCATCTGTAAAATGGAGCTAATAAGGGGAGCTGTCTTACAAGGCTGTTGTGAGAAATGATGTCTATCTTGTAGTCAGCGCTTTTATTAAATGTTTCCTGTTATTAATAGTTATTATTACTAAATTAACTTCAAAATAGTATAAAAAGAAACATTTTTTAAGTTAAAAAATTTACCTATAAATTAAACAACAGGTATTTTGATTTTTTTATGACAGGCAGAATGGCATAACTTTCTGGAGTCCTCCTGCCTAGTTTTGAACTCTGGCTTTTTACACTTTGGTCAAATCAATTTATCTTTCCTTTGATTACTCATCATTTAACTGGGTGATAAGAATAGTGCTTATCTCAAAAAATTGTTATAAAAATTAAATGAATAGTTACATATATAGAGCTTAGAAGAATGCCTGGGAATAATAAGTGATCAATAAAAACTATATATTTTATTCTTTACAGATACTTGAAAAAACACATTTATGCATTTTACTTTTTAAAATCGATTATTTCATAAATTCTTTTTATGTTCACATTTGGTATATTGGCAATTTTTAATGCCTGTGTACTATTTTTTTTTTGAGATACGGTCTTGCTCTGTTGCCCAGGCTAGAGTGCAGGGGCATGATCTTAGCTCCCTGCAGCCTCTGCCTCCAGGGCTCAAACTATCTTCCCACTTAAGCCCTTGGAGTAACTGGGACTACAGGTGCATGCCACCATGTCCAGCTAATTTTTGTATTTTTTGTAGAGATGGGGTTTTGCCATGTTTCCCAGGCTGGTCTTGAACCCCTGAGCTCAAGCAATTCGTCTGCCTTGGCCTCCCAAAGTGCTGGGATTACAGGCATGAGCCACCAGGTTGAGCCACTATTTTAAAATAGTGAGAAACTTTGAATTCTGAATAATAATTATCTTACCTCTATGTTAGAAATCAAGTGTTTTGTTTTGGTTTTCCTATTTCTTCAAAAAGGAAAGTTTATTCTTTTTATAAACATTTAAAAACATACAGTTTCTTTTGCATAGGCTTTTATATTAAAGTACATTTTAAAACTTTAGAACACATTTTATTTTACTTTTTTGAGACAGGGTCTTGCTCTTTGGCTCAGGCTGGAGTGCAGTGGTGCCATCATAGCTCACTGCAGCTTCGGCCTCCTGGGCTCAACTGGTCCTCCCACTTCAGCCTCCTGAGTAGCTGGGACTACAGGAACATGCCACCATGCCAGGCTAATTTTTGTATTTTTAATAGAGGTGGGGTTTTGCTATGTTGCCCAGGTTGGTCTCAATCTCCTAGGCTCAGGTGATCTGCCCACCTCGACCTCCTAAAATGCTAGGATTATAGGCCTGAGCCCCTGCCTAGAACATATTTTATTTTATTATTTTATGTTTGTTTTTTTTTTTTTTTTTTTTTTGAGACAGGGTCTCACTCTGTCACCCAGGCTGGAGTGCAGTGGTGAGATCTTGGCTCACTGCAGCCTTGACCTCCTGGGCACAAGCGATTCTCCTGCCTCAGCCTCCCAAGTAGCTGGGACAACAGGAGCGCGCTACCATGCCCGGGTAATTTTTGTATTTTTTTGTAGAGACGAGGTTTCCCATGTGTGCCCAGGCTGGTCTTAAACTCCTGGGCTCAAGCAATTCACCTACCTTGGCCTCCTAAGGTGCTGGGATTACAGGCGTGAGCCACCACACCCAACCTTAGAACACATTTTATATGTAGGTCAAATGACTACATATAATTATACCTGGAAATAAATTCATTATTGTTATTATCTCATATTACCATCAGGGTTTTTATTGTTGTTGTTGTTACCCAGTTGCACAGGCTTTTATTTTACTGGGTTATTAGTGAACTTTATAACTGTATGTGTGTGATACATATCATCTTCTCCATGTTTTTATGAGTAATTATGGTGTTGCTTTGGCCTGTGTTCCCTATCTTTTGTGGCTCAGTCTTTAAAACTTAAAATAAAAATATATATAATATGGAATACTTTAGTTACTATTTGCTGAAATAATGGAATTTTTATGGTTTATGGCAACCTAAGGGACCAAATATTTGAAAATGGCAAAGTGTGTGGGTCACCGTATATATACTTCTTTTCTCTTGGAATCTTAGAACCTGCTTAGGTGTCTCACAAATATGTGCTACTTAGCACTTTTGAGTCTCCACATAGTTATTTTGATTAGTATTAAAAATGTCTCGCATGGTGCTATTTTAGGCCAGTATGTTACAGATCAGAGTTTAACTTTTAAAAAAAGTATTCAAATTTTGTATGCCTTTTTTTTTTCAATTAGAATTTGGTTAAGGTGACTATGAGTTTGTGATAAATGTAGCTTAAGAATTGTTAAAAATTAGATGTAATTATTTTTCTCTGCTCTCTAGAGTTACACAGAATGAATTCTCATTTTTTATGTTTGTCTTTTGCAAGAGGTAAATCTTCAGAATGGAAAATGGCCAGATTTACTTTTTGTCTTTGTAGGTGTTCTTATTTATTTGGTTTATAAACATTTCTTAAATATCTACTTTGTCAGTTACTGTGTTAGTCCCAAGGGAAGTAAAGACAAAATTAAGAGAGCAGAGTTTATTGGGATTATCTTTGGCAGTATACTCAAATTCTTAACTTGAAGAATCATGTTAAGTAATTTTTCTGAATGTCAGATATATTTTTCTTCTCAAGGAAAACAACAGTTCACAAAATATTAGAAATATAGGAAGTGAAATTTGTTGCATCATCCCTTTTTTGAGTGATTAGTTTTTTCCATTGGGGGGTAGGGATGAAACAAAATTCTTCATATGCTGATAATTATTATTATTAATTAATTAATTAATTAATTAATTTTGAGACGAAGTCTCGCTTTGTTGTCCAGGCTGGAGTGCAGTGGCACGGTCTCAGCTTACAACCTCCGCCTCCCAGGTTCAAGTGATTCCCTTGCCTCAGCCTCCTGAGTAGCTGGGATTACAGGTGCCTGCCACCATGGCTGGCTAATTTTTGTATTTTTAGTAGAGATGGGGTTTTGGCATGTTGGCCAGGTTGGTCTCAAGCGCCCAACCTCAAGTGATCTGCCCACCTTGGCCTCCCAAAGTGCTGGGATTACAGGCGTGAGCCATTGCACCCGGCCACATATGTATATTTTACTTAGTCTTTTCCCTCCAATCCATTCCCTACTTTGTTCCTTTTCTTATAAAATGTCCAAATTCTAGATCATTTTATCTTTTATATTCTACTATATTAAGACCTTCTCTTATCTTTTTATTATCTCTTTTCCCACATTAAACTAAAAAATAGGAAGTTCTTTAGCTACCTAGAGTACCTTCCTTTTCTGAGAGGATCGGAGAAAAGGGACTTATTTTGTCAGGACTAGGCAGAGATATAGCAAAAACTGAGGAATATTTTGTAAAAACAGCTCTTTCCTTATCCCTTCAGAAGATCATCCTTGCTGAGGAAGAGGACCAAATTAATGCTGCCTAGTTAGTGTGGGAAGAGATGAATCAAAGAAAATTATGGTGTGGTCAGTTGTGCCCATTGGCTAGGAGCATGATGATGCTCATAGATCCCAATTCCTATGACTCCCATTCCTTTTATCTAAAGTTCCCTTCCTCAATTTGAAGTCCTCTCAGAAGCTTAATTTACTCTGTGCCTCCCCTTCTGAGAAGTATTTTAAATTGAGATATATTTGTATAGCATTAACTCTGCCTTTTTGGGAAGTTTACTTTGTAATACAATCTTATTCCCTCTTGATAAATTATCCCCTCCTCTTTTATGGGTGCTCTCCTGAGGATGGAGTGATACTGCCTCTGGTTGCAGATTGAGCTAGCTGTCTCCTCTAGCAGTGGAAATGAGTGGGGATGTCTAGGAGCATTCTTCCTCCAAATCTTCACTATGTTGAGTAACATGGGTCGTGCAAGGTAGAGGGCCTATGGCGTGTGCCAAGATTTATGGGATAGGAAGATTTTTTTTTTTTTAAATTAGGATTCTAAACAAGAGCTGTGGGACGGAAGGGGAAGATAGAGACATGAAAGTGGAGGCGAAGAGATTCATTTGTTAAAAAATGAATTATTTAGTGCCTAATATGTGTTCAGGATAGAAAGATGAATAAAATAGAGTTCCTGTTCTTGAAGAGCACATTGTCTAGTGGGGGAAAAGATTATGTAAACCAAGCTTGTTAAAACATTATGAGGCTTTTTTTTTTTTTTTTTGGAGATGGAGTCTCACTCTGTCACCCATGCTGGAGTGCAGTGGCATGATTTCAGCTCACTGCAACCTCCACCTCCTGGGTTCAAATGATTCTCCTGCCTCAGTCTCCCGAGTAGCTGGGATTACAAGCACTCGCCACCACACCTGGCTAATTTTGTATTTTTAGTAGAGATGGGGTTTCACCAACATTGGCCAGGCTGGTCTTGAACTCGTGACCTCAGGTGATCCACCCGCCTCGGCCTTCCAAAGTGCTGGGATTACAGGCGTGAGCCACCGCACCCAGCCTCTCTGAGTTTCTTTTGTCTTCCTCTTCCACTTTTAAAAATACCTGAAGGCTGGGCTTGGTGGCTCACGCCTGTAATCCTAGCACTTTGGGAGGCCAAGGTGGGCGGATCACCTGATGTCAGGAGTTCGAGACCAGCCTGGCCAACACTGGCAAAGCCCCATCTCTACTAAAAATACAAAAATTAGGTTTGCATGGTGGCACGCACCTGTAGTCCCAGCTGCTTGCTGAGGCAGGAGAATCACTTGAACTTGGGAGGCAGAGGTTGCAGTTAACCGAGATTGTGCCACTGCAGTCCAGCCTGGGTGACAGAGCGAGACTTGGTCTCAAAAACGAACACACACACAAACAAAAAACACTTGTGATTATAATGGGTCCACCTGATTAATCCAGGATAATTACCATATCTCACAGCTGATAAGCACTTTAATTTTACCTGTAACCTTGATTTTCCTTTGCCATGTAACCTAATATATTCATAGGTTCCAGTGATTAGGACATGGGCATCTTTGGGGGACCATTATTCTGTCTACCACAGAAAAGGGGCAGTTTTTTTGTCATTCACTTGTTTTATTTTATTTTCTTTCTTTATTTTTTGAGACGGAGTCTTGCTCTGCTGCCCAGGCTGGAGTGCAGTGGCGTGATCTCGGCTCACTGCAAACTCTGCCTCCCGGGTTCACGCCATTCTCCTGCCTCAGCCTCCTGAGTAGCTGGGACTACAGGCGCCCGTCACAACGCCCGGCTAATTTTTTTGTATTTTTAATAGAGATGGGGTTTCACCATGTTAGTCAGGAGTCATTCACTTGTTTAGAAACTTGTTTGATTTATTGCTTACAAAACATATTTTTAATATTTTGGGGGAACTGGAATCCAAATGTGATGAAATGTCTTGTTCCTTTCACCAAAATTATGTTTATATAGAACTAATTTTCAGAGGGGCTGATTAGAGGTCCATCCTGGCTTTTAAGGCCTTTTCAGTCTAGCCCTGGCCTAACCTCTGGCTCTCTTCTCCTCTAATTCTATCTTCCAACCCTAGTAATCTCTATTTCTAGCCCAGTGATTCTCATACCTTTCTGTACCTCAGAAATATCTGTGAAATGACAAAAAAGTATGTGCCCAGACCCCTCCTTTTCCAGTTAGGCTTGAGAACCACTGATGTAGCCACACTGTACTAATTGTTATTTCTAGACGACTGCATGTGTTTTTGTACTTCCATGCTTTTGCCTTTGCTCTACCTTTGTACTTGCTTTGAATTTCATCTCTTTCCTTTCCTCCCTTTACCTCTGCTGGATAGAATCCTAGTAATCAAGGGGGTGAGATGGCATCTCTTCTGTGATGTTTTCCTGACTCATTTCCTGTTAGAATTTCTCTGTTAATTTCTTTCCTACTTCTATTTCCTATTTTATGTATTTCTGTTTTAGCAATTTGCTCATTATTTGTACTTGTTCACGTTTGTTTCCTGAGCAGGTTTATGAATTCCTTGTTTCTATCACCTGGTATATACAGTGAGTGAGTCATAGTAGGTGCTCAGTGTTTCTTTGGTCATTTATCAAATAACAATGAATTTATTTATCTGCTTCTGGTTTGATCATAATCTATCAGCACCTTCTCCAAGAAGTGAACAGAGGACATAGGTATTTATAAAGTGGTAGGAACCGATTAAAGTGTTTTTGATTATTAGTATGTTTTATATGAATTTTTTTTTCTGTTTATTTCTCTATATCTCCTCAAGATATCTGGGTAATATTCACCAAATCTCAGGATTACTTTTGGGATTGTTTGACTAAAAATAAAGGTTATGTGACATTTACTTTGGTGAGCTCTGGTCACCCTAAAGTTAGGCAGTTATCATTTCAGAGCAGCTGATACTGTGTTAAGAGATCCATGTGACTGCCAGTTGGAGACTCATGTGACACATACTTAAGATGCCATAGTTAGAGAAACAGTGGTTTCGAAAAAGAGCTCCACATCAAGCCAACTGGCAGATTATCTGTGTTTGATCAAAATTGAGCTGCTTCTACAAGGGGAACTATTTAGCATGTGACAGGATGTTTATATATGACGATTAATGTGAGTGTACTGAAAAACATGGCAGTGATTAGCAAGAGGGTAATTAGTTGTTTATAAATTTGTATTTATCTCTCATGAGCCCCAGGGGACACCCCTTTCCTGGACTGAGATTTAGAGCAGCTCCTGCTGGCATACCATGGCTTCGGTGGATGCTGAGTTATTTTCTCAACATACTCTTCTCTTCCCTTTTATTAATATGTCTCTACATACTATTTACCAGCTTTTTGCCCATGTCATACTTCCTACTCTGGGTACAAATTATTTTGGCATCCTCTTTTCTTAGATACCCTCTTCTATTTCAAGTCTATACCTCTTCAGAGGCAAAAGGAGCTCATCTTCTAGTTGAGTTATTCCCCTTTAATCGTTTTTCCTGTAACTCTACCCAGTGACTTTCTCTTACACCTATGTACCTCGCTAACCTGTTTGCAAGAAGTGTTCTTTTCATCATTTTCTACCTGACAGCCATACTTACTTTTCAAGGCCTCGTTCAAATGTCATCTCTTTTTTTTCCTGACTCCTCCAGCTAGTTCAGTCGTTTATTTTATTTACTTCTAAAGACCATACCTGTTCATATCTCCATTATAGAATTTATTACATTACTCTTAGTTGGTAGTTCTTCTCTGCTCTCAAGACTAAGCATTTTACCTTTCTATGCGTTTTATATTTGGAACCAATGCATGATAGTACGATTTGGGATTGGTGAGAGATAAGCCTTTATTTTGTAAAGTTACTCTATATTAAATGCAGGCTGTTCTTATTTTAGGAAAGAGTGTGTATGAAAGTTGTGGGTCTGGAGTTAGATTCGTGAAACACAATATGCACACTTAACATTTGGAAAGTCTTTGTATATTCTTTATGTACCCTTTGTGTAGATCTATGTTTGTTTGAAGACTACTACCCTAAAGAAATTTTGGTGCATTTCCCAAAATTCAGGTTATGTGTAAAGGAAGTGTTCACAGCACAAATGTACACAGTAGCTAAAACATGGAAACAGTTCAGATGTCCAAAAATAATATGATTGATAAATAAATTATAGTATGTTCATACAGTAGAATATTATACAACAATGAAAATGGATGAACCATAGGTAAGGCAGAACAACATGGATTGAGCTCCTTACTTATATAATACTGAAATAAACAGAACATAAAAGAATGCAGTCCTCTGATTCCCTTTGTAAAATAGTTAAGAATAGGCAAAACTAATCAATATTATTTGTAGATGTATACATATATAGTGAAATATAAAGGAGAATAAGAAAGTGGTTACCAGAAATGTTAAGGTAATGGTTTTCTGTGTGGGAAGGAACAAGATAGTGATTGGAGAGAGATACTTGGTAGAGTAAAAGTAAAAATGATTGTGGTAACCAAGCAACTTTGGGCAAATTATCTCATCCATTAGCCTCGGTTTTTTTACTGTGAACTGGAATAATATAACCACCTAGTGAAAGTTGTAAGGATTGAGATAAACTATATAAAATACTTAGCTCAGTGACTGGCTCATAGTAAACACTAAGTGTACTATTTTCCTTATTATATTGTATGTCTCATCATGACTCGAAGCAGATGCTATAGGCTTTTGCTAGGGAGGATAAAATTTAAAAGTGGATGAAATTGAAGTAAGAAGAAAAGCTAGAAATGGTAACGACAAGGAAACATTTGGATGCTACTGATACTTTGTGTCATATGCCATGCTAACTGGGCATATTATTTTATTTAATCTTCAAAATAACCCCAAAACTAGATTCAGTTAGGATAAGCGGAGTTAACTCATATCTTTTTGGCTTAGATGTCATTATTACCATTTCACAGCAGATCAGTTCTACACCTAGACAAAGGGTTCACGGTTCTATATCTAACAAGTGGCCAGGCTGGGATTTGAACAAAGATTTTTTTCACTGTGCTGTTATTAATGATTAAATTTGACTTGGAAGTTTTTAGAAAATAGTTCTTAGTCTGTATTCAGAATGCTCTTAGAAGTAATTAGCTGAGATGTATCTTGAGAAAGGTCTACTGAAGAACATTGGATTCTATCCACTTCCAGGGAGGTGCTCCATCATTCCATAGCTAGGCAACAGAACCTGGTTGAACTAATCCATTTTATTCCAGGCATCTAGGATAAATTCTTTAACAGAGCCCAGACTGAAATGCTGAAGCTTGGATTTTGGGAAATTATTTGGAATCTATGTTTCAGTGAATTCAAGATTACAGGCAAAAACTTACAGGGCTGGCTGCTGAATTATATTTCATGTTGATTCATTATATGTTCGCTGCCTTTGATGTTTATTGTGGTGAGGCCAGATTTGATAGTTTGCAGTCAGATTCACTATTTACTTGAAGGTTTAAAAAGATGACTTCATTAAAGATTGCTTATCCACTAGGTTTGTAGATACATATCCTTTGGGTATTGACTACTTCCCAGCTTTCACATCATTTGTTCTCACATCATTATTATTTGTTAATAAGCATTTATGTGGCCCTTGATCTTAAATTTATTTATTTATGTTATTTTTAGTTGGCATGTAATAATTGTACCTATTTATATATTTAGTTTTTTGAGACAGGGTCTCACTCTGTTGCTCAGGCTGGAGTGCAGTGGCACTGTCTTGGTTTGCCACAGCCTCAACTTCCCTCGGCTTAAGCCATCCTCCCAGTTCAACCTCTTGAATAGCTGGGACTACAGGAGTGTGCCACTATGCCTGGCTAGTTTTGTTTATTTTTTTGTAGCAACACGGCCTCACGATGTTGCCCAGGCTGGGCTTGAACTCCACAGCTCAAGTGGTCCTCCTGCCTCAGCCTCCCAAAGTGCTGGGATTACAGGCACGAGCCAGAGCCACCACACCTGGCAAAGTGTACATATTTGTAGGATACGGAGTAATACTTTGATGCATGTATACACCGTGTAATGATCAAATCAGGATAATTAGCATACCCATCATCTCAAACGTTTATCATTTCTTTGTGTTGTGAACGTTCAAAATAGGATAACTATTAGCAGATGACAGTTATTGAAATTTCAATAATTTATTGAAAATATACACTAAATTACTGTTAACTATACTTGCTCTGTAATGCCGTAGAATACTGGAACTTTATTGCTCCTATCTAGCTGTAATTTTGTATCCATGCACCATGGCTCCCCATCCTCCCCTTCCCCATTCTGTTCCCAGCCTCTAGTAACCATAGTTCTACTCTCTACTTCTGAGTTCAATTTTTTTTAGCTCCCACATGCAAATGAGAACATGTGGTATCAAATTTATTTTCAATAGGCCTATTTTCAGTTCAGAAAGTATGGTTAATATTGTTTTCTATTTTAGCATAAAGATATAGTTAAGTGGCTTGTTAAAAACCACCTAGAGAATAGTAGTGATATCAAGATTTATATTGTCAGCTACTTGTTAATTCTAATAGTAATGCCCTAGTCTAATTTTCTAGACTCTTATTTTGTTTTCTACGTAGTAGTTTTGGATTAAAATGGACTACTTTTTTCTTACCTCCTATATTACTTAAGAAAGGCGAAATGAATAATTTGTTTATATTTAACTTTAAAATTTTGGGAGCCTAGAGTAAGTTGAAAGCATAGCTTTTGTGGGACTGCTTCAGGTTCCAGAAACTAGTTGTAAATGTCACCATCTTTACCTTATTTTAATTTTTTCCCTATGAAAGCGCATATTATAGATTTATTCTCCCTGCAGTTGAAGTGTTGATGGAAAACTAAATGCAGAATTCCTTTCTCATTTCGATTTAGATGAAAAACCCTCACTTTTGCCACTTGGTTTGTAGAAACTCACAACTTAGTGCTTCTATATTACTATTTTAATTTTCATAGGTTTATGTGATTGTATTCAGTATTTTCCATCTTATATTTAAAAATTTAAAGAATTATCTCACCAAAGGTTTCTACTGTTACCTTGGGTGGAAGTGTTTTTTGTGTTAGAGGCTGGAAATACCCTTATCAGAACAACCCATTTCAACTTACTGTTAGCATGGGGATTTATGGCTGCCAGATGGGAATTCTTTTTCCTAGTCAGCCCTGTGCCATTTCTCTGAGTGTGGTAGCCTTATGGGGGAAATCTGTGAGCATCCAGGTAAATTGGTATAGGACTTGGTAAAATTTATGAATAGAGGCAAAAAAATCAGAGCAGTTTTGTTTTCTATGAATTAGATGGTGTAGACAGTGAATTATTTATTTTTCTGAACTCTGGGAGTGTTAGGCTATGAGTGTGTCAAGTTCCCCCCTGCCCTTTGCTACCCAAACTTTTTATTGAGAAAAATCCCTAACTTGCAAAAAAATCGAAAGAACAATCACCTAGATTCAATAATTAATTATTGACATTTTCCTATATTTACTTATCTATATACATTTTTCCTCTATATGTCAGATTGGTTTTTTATTATATAGCTGCAAGAAAATTAAATTTGGTGTCATCAGTTAGTAGTTATCCTAATTTTCACATTCTGCCTGAAAGGTAGAACATTTTGCCTTCTGAGTCATAAAAAGAACTAGTTTTGTTTCTGATATGAACATTAATCATGATACAAACATATTCATGTAATCAGACCCAACATTTAGGAACTTGGGAGACATAGGTAAAATGAAGTGGGAGACTATTATTAATTCACATTTGACTCAGAGTTGTTGTCAAGAATGCCAGTGTCTCCAAGCTGTGCTCCAACAAACCACCAAACATGCCCATCTTAGTCTCTTTCCTAAAGTTTTTCATCATACATTGCCTCAGGGTGGGGATGAAGTAGGTAGAGGAAGAGTCAAAAGAAATTAGCATTTATTGCTTGGAGCTAGATGTACCACGTATGTTAGCTCATTTGATCATAATGATTGGCAATCTGGGTGGGACTTGTCAATACTGCTTCTTAGAAGATGACAAAAGTCTTAGTTCCTTTGGGATTTTGGGAGGCTTGATAGTGCTAAGTACAGAACTTGTAATTATGTTTTGTGCTTTTGCTCATTCTAATTAGAAAAACCCAGTGGAAAATTGCAAGATAAACCAGCTCAAATACAGCTGAATTCCACCACATCAGTGTTTTTAGAAGAGATGGTGCCAAACATGGCACCACACCCAGAGTGAGCTAGACACAGCCCATGAAAGAGCCTAAATCAGGAATTCAGTGGGGAAGTTGTGACTCAGTCCAGGATCCTAGAGAAAAAGCTGACATGAGGATCTTAGGAGAAAACTAAAGCAAAGAATGAGGTCATAATTTGCTCAGGTTCTGCCAGTGGTAGCACAAGGAATATGGGAGATTCTTTTTGTTTTTATCATTTCTAATTTTTTGAGACAGGGTCGCCCCCCTTTTTTGAGGCTCTGTTGCCCAGGCTGGAGTGCAGTGGTGCGATTACCGCACACTTGCAGCTTCGACCTCCTAGGCTCACGCGATCCTTCCACCTCAGCCTCTGGAGTAGCTGGGACTACAGGTGCATACCACCACACTTGGCTAATTTTTAAAATTTTTTGTAGAGATGGGGTCTCACTGTGTTGCCCAGGCTGGTCTCAAACACTTGGACTCAAGTGATCCTCCTGGCTTGGCCTCCCAAAGTGCTAGGATTACAGGTGCGAGCCACTGCACCAGACCCAGCTGGCAGATTCTTGATATTCCTGAAGGATATATGTTGTTAAGAACCCCAGATTCGATACCTCATGGTTTGCAGGTAAAAAAACAACAGCAAAAAAAGAACCCCACTTTCCAGAATGTTGCTAATTGAAACACTGATGCTGTGTTGTTTGCTAGGCTCATGCAGAGGCTAAATGACTAGCCTTCACATTCAACTTCACACTTATATTTGTACTGAGTATTTTTAATAATAACAACAGTTAATGCTTATTTACTACTTACTTTGTGCTAGGCCCTGTTTTAATCAATTTTACATATTAAGTCATTTAAAACAACAACCCTATGAGGCAGATGAGGGAACAAGATCAGAGAAGTTGAATAATATAGAAATAACAGGTAGACTAAGGAACTGGGATTTGAACCTAGAGAGTCTTTGTTCTTAACTATTATGCTATATGAAAATTACTGAACTATGTCAGGTAAGAACACTATGAGGTAGGCATTATCTCATCCCTTTTATAAATTATTTCTTTAAGGTCATGCTTGAATAGTAAAAATGTGGATACCAAGTATTAAAAAAAGTCTTTTATTCATGTCTCTCTTACCTAGTTCTGATAGCTGAATGGGTCTTCTTTTTAGTCTATTGAATTTGTAGTGTCATCTCTTAGAAGTTAGACCAGTTCTGGCCTGGGCAACATGGTGAAACCCCATCTCTACAAGAAAAAAAATATACACAAAAAAATTAGCTGGGCATGGTGGCACGTGCCTGTAGTCCCAGCTATTTGGGAGGCTGAGGTAAGAGGATCACCTGCAGTGAGTCCTGATGATACCACTGCACTTGGGCAGCAGAGTGAGACCCTGTCTCAAACAAACAAACAAAGAAATTAGACCAGTAATTTCTTTCTGGGTCTTAATTAAAACCTTCTTGAACTTTATGTCATATTTAAAAGTAAGTTATAATCTTAAACTTTCCTTAAAGCTATCTTTTATGGAAAATCAGAAGGAAAAAAAAAGAAAAAGATAAAGAAAACCCTGAGGCCGGGCACTGTGGCTCACACCTGTAATCCCAGCACTTTGGGAGGCTAAGGCAGGCGGATCATTTGAGATCAGGAGTTCGAGACCAGCCTAGCCAACATGGTGAAACCCTGTCTCTACTAAAAAAATACAAAAGTGGCACATGCTTATAATCTCAGCTACTTGGGAAGCTGAGGTGAAGGAACTGCTTGAACCCAGGAGGCGGAGGTTGCAGTGAGCCGAGATTGCGCCACCACACTCCAGCCTGGGCGACAGAGTGAGACTCTGTCTCGAAAAAAAATAAAAAATAAAAATAAAAAAATAAATAAAATAAAACCCTGGGGATTGAGATGACTTTTTAAAGGTTTTCTGAGATGAATTCATACTTGGTACCAGTTGATGGAATCACTTTCCAACAATATATAATATATTTAAGGTTGTTAGGTAGTTGTTTTGGCTTATAGTTCATTGTGAGATTTCTTTGTGATCAGATTGCTTCTGTTGTATCTGTATTTGTTTTTTCTTAGTTCCTATAGTTCATAAGCCATACAATTTGGCATTTAAATTAAGGCAACTCAGTGTTGATGTAATCAACAATTCCCCATTGTGATTGCCCTAATTAAGCCCTCACTGTTTTTCACTTGGACAACACCCTCCTTACTAGCGTCTCTGTTTCATTTTTTATAATTTTTTCAACAAAAGCATACTTAAGATGGTCTACTATGTGTGAAATGCTGTGCTTAGCACTGAGTGTATCAGTAAATAAGACAGACATGGTGATTGCCCTAGTGGAGTATATAGACTACTGGTCAGCGAATTTTCCATACTATTGCCATAAACTTACAAAAAAATCCAGATCAGATCTTTGCTGGTTCTTTTTTGCCTACCATATAGGCTCTTTATAGTCAGGTTTTAGCATACCCTAACAGTTCAAATAACTTCTTCAATGAAGGCAGTTTTGGTATTTCTCTAGAAGCAGAAACAATTATTTTCTTGATCCTAGTTCTCATAGCATTTTATAAAAATCATCAACATAGTACAAGTGACATTGCATTATAGTTGTTTACATTAGTCACCTCTGATAGTTTTTGAGGTTTTTGAAAGGAGGGATAGTATTTTGCTCATTATTGTTTTATCCTCAGTGTGAAATACAGTATCTGGAATGTAAGTGCTCAATAAGTGTTTGAATTATGGTATAGTTTTTGTACTTGCTATCATTTCATGTGTGCATGTCTTGTTTCTCCAACTTCTAGGTCACAGACTGTCATATAATTTCTTTGTATTTCTTCTGGCATCTATGTTGGTATAGAGGACATAATCTAACCCTAAATAAATATTTATTCATTGTTACGATTCTTTCAATATTTTCTGTATATTAACTTTCATTGTTTAGAAAAGCATTTCTTGCTTCCTTGTTTTGTAGAATGTCTTACTTAAATTTTTTATTTTATTTTATTTTTAGTGAAGACAAGGTCTTGCTGTCTTGCCCAGGCTGATCTCAAACTCCTGGGCTTAAGCCATTCTCCTGTCTTGGCTCCCCAAAGAGCTGGGATTACAGGTGTGAGCCACCACACCCAGCCTGGCATTCAACTTTATAAGTGAAGCAGAGCATAAAAGTTTGGAAAATTTGCAGCCTGACTATGTGATAGAAAAGAAAAACCCGTTTTCTGGGGAGCAATTTAAGCCAGCTGCAGAAATTTGGATAAGTATCAAGGAGCCTAATGTTAATCCCCTAGACTATGGGGAAAATGTCTCCAGGCAGCCCCTCCCATCACAGGCCCATAGGCCCAGGAGGAAAAAGTGGTTTTGTGGGCCAAGCCCAGGGTCCCTGCTGTGTGCAGCCTAGGGATTTGGTGCTCTGGTTCCCAGCTGCTCCAGTTGTGGTTGAAAGGGGCCAATGTATAGCTTGGGCTATGGCTTCAGAGGGTGCAAGCCCCAAGCCTTGGCAGCTTCCATGTGGTGTTGAGCATGTGGGTTCACAGATGTCAAGAATTGAGGTTTAGGAACCTCTGCCTAGATTTCAGAAGATGTGTGGAAACGCCTGGATGCCCAGGCAAAAGTTTGCTGCAGGGGCAGGTCCCTCATCAAGAAACTCTGCTAGGGCAGTGCAGAAGGGAAATATGGGGTTGGAGCCCCCCACACAGAGTCCCTACTGGGGCACTGCCTAGTGGAGCTGCGAGAAGAAAGCCACTGTCCTCCAGACCCCAGAATGATAGATCCACTGACAGCTTGCACTGTGTGCCTGGAAAAGCTGCAGACAAGCTGCAGACACTCAATGCTAGCCCATGAAAGCAGCTGAGAGGGAGGCTGTACCCTGCAAAGCCACAGGGGCAGAGCTGTCCAAGACTGTGGGAACCTACCTTTCACATCAGTGTGACTTGGATGTGAGACCTGGAGTCAAAGGAGATAATTTTGGAGCTTTAAAATTTGACTGCCCCCTGGATTTTGGACTTGCATGGACCCTGTAACCCCTTTGTTTTGGCCAATTTCTCCCATTTGGAATGGCTGCATTTACCCAATACCTGTATCCCCATTGTATCTAGGAAGTAACTAACTTGCTTTTGATTTTACAGGCTCATAGGTGGGAGGGTGTTGCCTTGTCTCAGATGAGACTTTGGACTGTGGACTTTTGGGTTAATGCTGAAATGAGTAGAGACTTTGGGGGACTGTTGGGAAGGAATAATTGGTTTTGAAATATGAGGACATGAGATTTAGAGGGGCCAGGGGTGGAATGATATGGTTTGGCTGTGTCCCCACCCAAATCTCAACTTCAGTTGTATCTCCCAGAATTCCCACGTGTTGTGGGAGGAACCCAGGAGGAGGTAATTGAATCATGGTGTATGGTCTTTCCTGTGCTATTCTCATGATAGTGAATAAGTCTCACGAGATGTGATGGGTTTATCAGGGGTTTCCGCTTTTGCTTCTTCCTCATTTTCTCTTGCCGCCACCATATAAGAAGTGCCCTTCACCTCCCACCTTGATTTTGAGGCCTCCCCAGCCATGTGGAACTGTAAGTCCAATTAAACCTCTTTTCCTTCCAAGTCTTGGGTATGTCATTATCAGCTGTGTAAAAATGGACTAATACACTACCCAAAACAATCTACAGATTCAATGCAATCCTTATCAAAGTATCAATGTCATTTTTCATATAAATAGAAAAAACAATTCTGAAATTCATGTGGAACCAAAAAAGAACCTGAATAGTCAAATTGATTCTGAACAAAAAGAACAAAGCAAGAGGCATCACACAGCCTGATTTTAAAATATATTACTAGGCAATAGTAACCAGAACAGCATGGTATTGGTATAAAAATAGACACATAGACCAATGGAGAAGAATTCAGAACCAGAAATAAATCCACCTACTTACAGCTAACTGATTTTTGACAAAGGCACCCAAAGCATACATTGGGGAAAGGATATCCTCTTTAATCAATAGTGCTGGGAACACTGGATATCCATGTGCAGAAGAATGAAACTGGACCCCCTCACCGTTTACAAAAATGAACTCAAGAAGGATTTAACATAAACATTAAACATAAGACCTGAAACTATAAAGCAACTGGAAGAAAACATAGAGGAAACACTCCAGAACATTGGTCTAAGCAAAGATTTTATGGCTAAGATCTCAAAGCACAGGTAACAAAACAAAAAATAGACAAATGGGAATATACTAAACTAAGAAGCTTCTGCACAGCAAAGGAAATGGTCAGCAGTGAAGAGACAGCCTGTTGAGTGGGAGAAAATATTTGCAACTCTTCATCCAATAAGGGATAATATCCAGACTATACGAAGAATCCAAACAACAGGAAAAAAATCTCCACATTTATTCTCATTAAAAAGTGGGCAAAGGACATGGATAGACATTTCTCAAAAGGAGACATAGAAATGACCAACAGGGGCTGGGTGTGGTGGCTCACTCCTGTAATCTCAGCACTTTGGGAGGCTGAGGTGGGCAGATCACGAGGTCAGGAGTTTGAGACCAGCCTGACCAACATGGTGAAACCCCATCTCTACTAAAAATACAAAAATTAGCTGGGCATGGTGGCCCAGCCTGTAATCCCAGCTACTCAGGAGGCTGAGGCAGGAGGATCACTTGAACTCGGGAGGCGGAGGTTGCAGTGAGTTGAGATTGCGCCACTGCACTCCAGCCTGGGCGACAGAGCGAGACTCCATCTCAAAAAAAAAAAAAAAAAAAAAAAAGAAAAGAAAAAGAAGTGACCAACAGGTATATTAAAAATGCTCAACACCACTAATCAGAGAAATGCAATCAAAACCATGGATATATTTTACCCTAGTTAGAATGGCTATTATTAAAAAGACAAAAAAAAAAAACCCCAACAAACAGATATTGGAAAGGGTATGGAGTAAAGGGAGCTTTTATACACTTTCTTGGGAATGTAAGTTAGTACAGTCACTATGGAAAACAGTATGGAGGTTTCTCAAAAATAGAACTATCATGTGATCCAGCAGTCTCACTACAGTGTATTTATTGGAAGGAAAAGAAGCCAGTATATCAGAGGGATAACTGCACTTCCATGCTGTTTTGCAGGGCAAAAAACATAGCAAAGCTACAGAATCAACCTAAGTGCATATCAATGGATGAATGGATAAAGAAAACGAGGTATACACAATGGAATACTGTTCGGCTGCAGAAGAGAATGAAATCATGTCATTTGCAGCAAGGTGGATGGAACTGGATGTCATTTTGTTGAGTGAATTAAGCCCAGGCCCAGAAAGAAAAATACCACATGTTGTCACTCATATGTGGGAACTGAGAACATTAATCTGGAGGTAGAGAATAGAATGATAGATACCAGAGGAGTGGGAGGGTGGGTGTGTGGGAGGGAATAAAAAGAAGCTGGTTAATGGGTACCGATACACAGTTAGAAGGAATAAGTTTTAATGTTCTATAGCAGAGTAGGGTGATTATAGTTAACAATTGTGTTTTGTCTGTTTCAAAATAGCTAGAACAGAGGACTTGAAATTTTCCCAACATATGGGAATGATTAATGCTTGAGGTGATGGACACCTTAAGTATCCTGACTTAATCATTACACAGTCTATACGTGTAACAAAATATCACACATTTTCCCACAAAGATGCATAAATTTTGTATCAATAAAATAATTTTAAAAAATAAAAAAGAAAAGGTAAATCTAAGCCAAAAAGAAATTATGAGATGCAGAATCCTTGGAGATGGTGATATTTGAACTGAGTTTTGAGGAATGGCTAGGATTTGGATTTGTAGATAAAGGAGATTTAGGCATTCTATAATAGTAGGGAAGAAACAAGAAACGGTCAAGAAAATATACTTTGTGATGTTGTTAGGATGATATACTCAATATTTCTTTTCTTTTCTTTTCTTTTTTTTTTTTTTTTGAGAGTGAGTCTCGCTCTGTTGCCCAGGCTGGAGTGCAGTGGTTTGATCTCAGCTCAGTGCAACCTCTGTTTCCCGGGTTCAAGTGATTCTCCTACCTCAGCTTCTTGAGTAGCTGGGATTACAGGTGCTCACCACCATGCACAGCTAATTTTTTGTATTTTTAGTAGAGATGGGGTTTCACCATGTTGGCCAGGCTTGTCTCAAACTCCTGACCTCAAATGATCCTCCCACCTCGGCCTCCCAAAGTTCTGGGATTACAAGTGCGAACCACTGCGCCTGGCCTATATACTCAATATTTCTTTTTCCCTTCCAGGTACGTATGATTGCATGTCCTTTCTCCTTGGAAGTTAGTTGTGGCCATGTGATTTGTTTTGACCAATCATATATGAGTTTAAGTCGTATGAGTCACTTCCAAGTAGAAGTTTTAAGAGTCTATTATTTCCTCACTGTGCTTTTCCTCTGTCACAGTGACCTGCAGTGCTCTGGCTAACTGGCATGCAGGCCACATGCGATCTGTTGCCAATTTTTGTCAATGCAATTTTATTGAAACATAGCCATACTCATTTGTTTATTGTCTATGGTGGCTTTTGCACTACAACAGCAAAATTGAATTGTTGTGATAGATGCCATATGTCCCATAAAGCTGAAAATATTTACTTTGTGGCTATTTACAGAAAAAGCTTACTGACTCTAGATAATTGGCTGCTTCTCAGAGTAAGGACATTGTAGAGGAGAGCCTCCTGCTGACCCACAATGGACTCATATCATCAGCCAGAAAGAAATCTTTATTGTTTTAAGCCACTGAAATTTTGAGGTTGGTTGTTATAGTAGCATAATCTAGTCTATCCTGGCAATTAGACTGTTTATAGGATTAAAAAAAATCGGTTTGCTTAGAGAGGAGAAAACCTTGTGTAGAGGAACAGTATGAAGAAAAAATGGATAGAAATGTTAGGGTAAGATTGGGAAAGTACTAGACTGTTGAGCTCAGAAATTTAGATTTTATTTAGAATCTTCAATATGGATTCAGGACTTGGTATCTTTTTCAAGGGACAGAAGAATAGCATGGCCAGAACTTTATGACAGAAAGATTAATCTACCAATGGTTATATTAATAGGAGCATTGGGAGTAGTAATTTAGTTAGGAATTTGATCACTTGTAAGCACAAAATAAAAATAAAAACCCCTGAAAACCCAATTTAAAAGTTTTTTTTTCCTTAGTGTAACAATTACAAAAACAACCTAACAAGGACTTTCTTATCCTTTTTAATGCTTAATAGCAACCTCAGATTTTCTGTAATTTGAGCCATTACACGGGGAGGAAATACCATTGTAAAGGGAATTGGTATAGCTGCTGTTGAATTCTTTATTTACTCTGACTTCCTCTTTTTTAGATAAAGCAAGCATATCATATACTGTCATCTACTCAATGAAATTTGGTGTCAGATAGCCTAAGGTAGTATTTTAAAATGAAAAACAGTCACTTTAGAATTAGGTTCTACTCCATGTCCTGTTGCCTAATCTGCCGTGTGTAGTGTGAATTGAAGGAAACCTTTGACAGCTTGCCAAGTTACATGAATGCAGCTAAGAGTACATAGCAACTCTTCAAGATTTAGATAAAATATTTTAGGGCACAGAATACTTCAGGTTTTTCAATGCAGTTTTGTTCTACCTATACTGTTCTGAAGATAAATAGAAGGAAAAAATAGAACAATAACAACAAAAAATGCTGAAAAAATCTTTGTATAATCAGGTTATTTTATAAAGTGTTAGAGCTTGTTCTTTTAGTCCTGTTTTGCTCTGCTGAGAGGAATGATTTCTTGTTTTGATTTTATTGTCATAAGGGCATTTGGAAATTTAGAAAATTCATTGTATTGTAGGTATGTTTTTATTGTTTAGTAAGCTATATTTCTTTTCTTTTGGAGTTTATATGTTAATAATACAAAATGTTATGCAGATCATTTTTAAAAAGATATAAGCAGCATAGAATTGTTTCTTTGCCTTTTTTTCCAGATTATGAAAATAATACATGTAATGGTTGGGACTCTTTGGTTGCAAGTGACAGAAACTCAGTGTGAATTAACTTAAACAAAAAAGTTTAAGTTATACCAAGCATCTGAAAACATAGGGTGAAGTTGGTATTAGGTCAGACTGTAAGAAAGGACTTTTGTATTGACCAGAAGGTCTCTTCTCTTTTTCAGACTTGCCTCTTTCCTCCCACCTCTGTGTCTTCTCTCCCTCCGTTGTCTTCATCTTGTACTAAAATGGACTTTTCCCATGAAGCAACGGGCATACACCAGCAACTTTAGGCATCTATTGTATCTCTGAGACCAAAGAGGAAAAGGACTTTCTTTTTTTTGTCAGCTTCAGTTATTATAATCTTAGGAAAATGATCTGATTCCCCACCCCTTAGACAATAGTCTAATTCTTATGTGTTCTGGGACCTGGGATGTTATGCTTGGCCCAAACTTAGTCCCATGTTTAATTTTATGGCTGTGGGGTGTGGAGTGTGTGGTCTTTTGCCAGAGAGCATTGGCATGGGGCTTGGGGTCTGACCAAAATAGTTGCCACTATAATGCTTATTGATGTAAATATGGCAATAGTTAGAAAAACTTAAAGCGGAGCAAAACTATTCATAAACTTATTATTTTAGCATATTTGCTTGATAATTTTTTTTACATTTTGAACATGTTTTCTATGTTGTTGAAACACACATGCACACGTGTATATATATAAAATTTGTGTATGTATAACAAATGTATTTATGATGTTACATAATGTTATATATATTTTGTATGGGGACAGCAAGTTATAATATGTACATTTATATAATATAATATATATATGCTTATAATACAGTGGCAGATAGAGAAATGGATGAGTGTGGGATTCTGAGTTTTTATACTTTCACTGTAATCATGGCTCTACTCACTAGCTTTGTAACTTGGGCAAACAATTTATCTTGCCTGTGATTCAGTTTCTTTATACAATGAAGGTAATACTGTCACCCTGTATCATGGGTGTAGTTTTGGGGTTTAGCAAGATGATAAGTGAAAAATGTTTAGAACAGTCCTTTATAAGAAGTAAACATGGAAGAAACATGAGCTATTGTTTTTATAAATACTGTAATATTTATGTTATACTATACATACTATATATGGACATATTCACTGTATATGTTAATATTGTATTAACATACAGACAGGTACATGCATGTGTTATGTTGTATCCTGCTTTTTTAAAAAAACTAATATATTTGTTTGCTCTATTATATTTTTAGAAAATTAATAACCCTGAAGAAAACGAATTTTGGAACTCGGTGATCTTAACTTTCCTCTGAAACATGACATTTTGGGAAAAACTTTACTTGTGTATGATAGTCTTTACCCCAAAGGAGTGAAGTCTTTAGAAAGAATGGGAGATGACTAATAGCAAATCTTAGTCATGATTTGTAGTCCTTCGCTTGAATGTGTTTGTCAGATTAGTACATCCCTTTCCTGAACTGAAAGGATAACTGTTTGGCACAAATAGGCTAAACATTAACCAGGGCCTCCTCACCAGTGTATGAAATGGTACTTTTTTGGTAACTAGTATACAGCACATTTGTTCCTACCTATGCAGGCACCAAAGAGTTAATTCTGTTTCTATTGTAAACAGTACATTATTCTAGAAGGAGCAGTATGCAGAATAGAGTTTGAGTACTAGTTTTCTGAACCTCTAAAATAGAAATAATAATGTCCCTTTTTTCTTGCAGCTATTTTTGTCTTGAAGCTTGTTTTGTTTAGTTTTAGCTCTCCTTTGGTTTGTTCAGTTAATCTTTTGGTTATTGTTTGCTTAGAATATCTTTTTCCATCCTTTCACTTCCAACCTATTTCTATCTTGGGATCTAAAGTGAGTGTTTTATACATGGCTTACAGTTGGATCATGTTGTTACTATTTTTAAAAAGTCCATCATGTCAAAGAAAACAAACAAATGACAGCAAAACAGCTTATCATGTCAATCTCTGCCTTTTAATTGGAGAGTTTAGTCCATTTTCATTCATTGTAATTACTGATAAGGAATGACTTACTTTTGCCATTTTGCTATTTATTTTGTGTGTCTTCTGTATTTTTTGTTCCTTGGTTTCTCCATTGCTGCCTTATTTTGTGTTAGATAGGTATTTTCTAGTGTACCAATTTGATTCATTCATTTATAAACTATAAATTTTAACTTATTTTCTTTGTGATTTTTCTGGGGGTTACAATTAACATCTTAATTTATGAATATCTGGTTTGATACCAATTTAGTTTCAATAGTATACAAAATCTTTGTTACTATATAGCTCCATTTGTCCTTTTTGTTGTCATTATAAATTACATCTTTATACAATGTATGCTCATCAACAGAGATATGTATTGTTTTTTGCAGTCTTTTAAATCATATAGGAAAAAGGAGGAGGTACGAATGAAAAATTCAATAATACTGACTTTTGTATTTACCTATGCAGTTATCCTTTAACAGTTTTCTTTATTTCTTTGTATAGATTTGAGTTACCATTTAGTGTTTTTTCTTTCCAGCCTGAGGGACTTGCTTTAGTGCTTCCTAAAGGTCAGGTTTACTAGTGACAGAGTCTCTCAGTTTTTGTTTATCTGGGGATATCTTAATTTCTTTTTCATTTCAGAGGATAGTTTTGCCAGGTAATGAATTTTTGCTCAATGTTTTTTTCCTTTCAACATTTAAAAAATTTAAATAAAAAATATTTAAAATAACATTTTAAATATGTTATCTCACTGTCTTCTAGCCTCCATGGTTTCTGATGAGAAATTTGCTGTTCATCTTATTGAGGATCCTTAATACACAATGAGTTGCTTCTCTCTTGTTGCTTTCAAGAATCTCAAGAGTCTGTTTTTCTTTTTTTGAGACAGAGTCTCGCTCTGTTGCCCAGGCTGGAGTGCAGTGGCATGAGGATCTTGGCTCACTGCAACCTCTGCCTCCCAGGTTCAAGCGATTCTCCTGCCTTAGCCTCCCAAGTAGCTGGGATTACAGGCATGTGCCACCACGCCTGGCTGATTTTTGTATTTTTATTAGAGATGGGGTTTCAACATGTTGCCCAGGCTGGTCTTGAACTCCTGACCTCAGGTGGTCCTACCACCTCAGCCTCCCAAAGTGCTAGCATTACAGACAGGATCCACTGCTCCCGGCCTGTCTTGTATTTTGACAGTTTGATTATAATGTGCCTTGGTGTGGATGTTTGTGAGTTTATTCTACTTGGAGTTTGTTGAACTTCCTGGAAGTATATATTCATATTCTTCATCAGATTTAGGAAATTTTTGGTCATTATGTCTTCAAATATTCTTCCAACTTCTTTCTCTTTCTCTCCTTTCCTTTTGGAACTACTGTTATATATTGTATGTTATATATGTATTATGTCCCAGATATTCATCTTGTATTAACTTTTATAAATACATCTCCCCATTTTGTTGTCTATTTTTTCACCTAATTCATATTGCAAATTCTTATACAGAAACTTAACTTTTTTTTTTTTGAGACCTGGCTGTCTCACCCAGGCTGGAGTGCAGTGGCATGGCACGATCTCAGCTCACTGCAACCTCCACCTCTGGGGCTCAAGTGATCCTCCCATCTCAGCCTCATGAGTAGCTGGGACTACAGGTGTGTGCCCCCATGCCTGGCTAATTTTTGTATTGTTTGTAGAGATGAGGTTTCTCCATGTTGCCCAGGCTAGTCTCGAATTCCTGAGCTAAAACAGTATGCCCGTCTTGGCCTCCCAAAGTGCTGGGATTATAGGCGTGAGCCACCTCTCCTGGCCAGAAGGTTAACATTTTATTTAGTAAAATCGACCAGTCTTTTTCTTTGTGGCTTCTGAATTTGATATCTTGCTTAGAAGGGCCTTCATTACCTTAAAAGTATAAAAATATTATTCTGAATTCCTTTTAGATATGTAGTATTGGTTTCTTAATTGAAATTTTTGTTGAGATAATTGCAGTTTCACATACAGTTATAAGAAATTACATATGTAAGGGTATATGTATATATGTGTGTGTGTATGTGTATTTATCTCTATATGTTTTTATTGCCTGCTCTATAGTGATGCAATTTATAAGAAATTAGAGAGAGACTCCATGTACCCTTTACTTAATTCCCCTCAGTAACATCTTGCAAAACAATGCTATAATATCAAACCAGGATATTGACATTGATATAATTCACCTACATTATTCAGTTTTCTATGGTTTTACTATAGGCATTTGTGTGTATATATTTAGTCCTGTACAATTTTATCTCATGTAGGTATGTGTATTCACCACCACAGTCAATATATCGAATTGTTTCATCACTGTAATGATTGCTATGGTACCTTTTTATAATCATATCCACTTCCCTGTTTCCCCATCACTAATTCTGCCAACCACTGTCTCCATTGTTAAAGTTCCGTCATTACAAAATTGCTGTATAAATGAGGTCATATGTTACAACCTTTTGGTATTTTTTTTTCTTTTTCTCAGCATCTCAGCATAATTCTCTGGGGATTCATTTGTTGTTGTGAGCATAAATTGTTTATTCCTTTTTTTGCTGAATAGTACTCCATGATATTGTTATACCACATTTACCTGTTGAACACCTGGGCTGTTTCTTGTTTTGGACTGTGGCATAATAATAAATTGCATTTGGTCTTTGACCCTGACTTCTGGCACAGAATTCCTAAACTGCATGGAATTTCTCAAGTGAGAAGGCCATAGGTTTATGTTTTGTTATTCATAAGAAGCTCCTTTCAACCATACCTGAGTTTATGCTAATGAGATAATTCTTGATGAGGCCCTAGATAGCTTTAGGAGAGGGAGGGGCTAGTTGCCAGAAAGACCAAGCCTTGATTAGAGGGTTGGAATACTCAACTTCTTCCCCCAACCTCCAGGGAGGGGAGAGAGCCCCAATCACCAATGGCCAGTGATTTGATCAATCATACCCATGTAATTAAACCTTCTTAACAACTCCTAAACAATAAGGAGTTTCAGAGAGCTTCCAGGTTGGTGAACACATTGAGTTGCTGGGAAGGTGGCATGTCTGAAGGGGACATGGAAGCTCCTTGCATCCCCCTCTTTCTCATAACTCTCCCTATGCACCTCTTCCATTTGGATTCTCCTGAGTTATACCTTCAATAGTAAATCAGTAAGAGTAAGTAAGCAAAGTGCTTAACTGAGTTCTATATTATTCTAGTAAATTATTGAACCTGGTAGGGAGGGGAGGCATCATGGCAACACTTGAATTTGTAGTTGGCTGGGCAAAAATCTGGGACATCTGGGCACTTAGTTTGTGACTGATGCATGATGTTTGTCAGTTTTATGGGACTGAGCCCTTAACCTGTGGAGTCTGATGCTAACTCCAGCAGATAGTGTGAGAATTAATTAGAATTGTGAGACATCAGTAGTGTCAGAGAATTGGTGTTGAAAAAGATACTACATATTTTTTGTCAGGAGGAGAAAGAACCATTCATTGGCTATTATGAATAAAACTCCTGTGAACATTCCTGTACTGATTTATATGTATATATATTTCAACATAAGTTAACATTTCTCTAGGGTAAATGCTCAGGAGTGCAGTTGGCTGGACTGTATGGTAAGTGTATATTTAGTTTTTTTAGTAACTTCAAAAATATTTTTGCAACTGGCTGTACTGTTTTATATTTCCATCAGTAAAGTATTAGTGATGTAGTTTCTCTTCATTCTCACCAGTATTTGATGTTGTCACTATTTTTTATTTCACCCATTCTGATGGATAGTGATAATGTAGTATTATTTATTATGATTAGATTTTCAGCTCATCTTTATTATTGTGTTCTACAGAATCACCAGCTTATTATTTGGACTACATATGCAGAATTTTCTGTTGCTACCAGTTCATATTTTCACTGAGGTAGCCTGTTGCCCTTCCAAAGATTGCCAGTATTTACAAACATTTCTTGTAAGACTGGGTGATAATATTAATGAATGTGTTTTTTGATACTATGTAATGAAATATATCAATATTTGGAAAACCTATACAACCCAGTGAATCAGTATTTTTTAAATGACCAGTGCCTGATGTTACAAAATCACGTGAAATATTCATTTGAAGTATAACATAGACTAATGGGTTTTAATGTAACAAGGTACAAAAAATTTACTGATGTGGTTTCAGATTTCACATTGTAACTTTAAGAAAGTATCATTTGTCACATTCTAAAATTATACCAAAGAATATTTATATAAAATTATCTGAAAAGTCTTTGAAAATACTTTTTAGTTTTCCAGTTACATGTATTGTGAGGCTGAGTTTTCTTCATATACTTTAACCAAAACTGCGCATTGCCATAGGTTGAATGCAGAGGCTACAGAATCCAGATGTCTTCTGTTAAGACGACATTAAAGAGACTTTCACAAATGTAAAACAAACTATTTTAACTATTTGTTTTTTATTTGTATAAAATATACTGTTTAACTTGTAGTGGGTTCATTGTTAATTTTAAATGAATTAATTATTTTCAAGGTTCTCAGTTTTAGTTTTTTTTTCCGACTTTCTTGAGGTATAATTTTAAAAAGTATATACCTAAGGTATAGAATGAGATGTTTTGATATATATACACATTGTGAAATGATTATTAAAATTGTGCTAATTAACATATTCATCAACTCACATAGTTGCCTTTTTTTTTTTTTTTGGTGAGAAAACTTAAGATCTACCCGGTATGGTGGCTCATACCTGTAATCCCAACACCTTGGGAGGCTGAGGCAGGTGGATTGCTTGAGCCCAGGAGTTCCTGACCAACCTGAGCAACATGGTGAAATCCCATCTTTACAACAAATGTGAAAAAAATTAGCTGGGCATGGTGGCTTATGCTTGTGGTCCCAGCTACTTGAGAGGCTGACATGGGAGGATCACCTGAGCCTGGGAGGTTGAGGCTGCAGTGAGTCATGATTGCACCACTGCACTCCAGCCTGGGCAACAGAGTGAGACCCTGTCTCACAAAAAAAAAAAAAAAAAAAAAAGAAAATCTAAGGTCTACTGTCTTAGCAAATTTAAATTATACAATATAATAATGTTATTAACTATAGTTACCATGTTGTACATGTTCTTTTATAGTTCTCTGTGGTTCTTTTGTAGCTCTCTACATTTCTTTTGGATGATTATTTTGAAATCTTTTTCAGACAGTTCGTAGATCTTCATTTCTTTAGGGCTGGCTACTGGAGCTTTATTTTGTTCCTTGGGTGGGGGGATTATGGTTTTCCTGTTTATTTGTGATCCTTCTGGCTTTGGTTTGGTAGTTGTGCATTTGAAGATGTAGGTACCTCTTCCAGTCTTTACAGGCTGGCTTTGGCAGGGAAAGCCCATCACCCAGTCAGCCTACTCAGAATCTCTGAACAGGCTGATTGGTCGAGTGCATAGGTTGGCTTTCTTCTGAAGTCCTTGGGTAGGCTGGCCTGGTCCCTGGGTCAGCAGGTAGGCATTCCTAGCACCTGGGTTTATAGGATCAGTCCTGTTGCCTGGGTGTGTGGGCCTGGATTCTGGGGTCATGGGGATCAGCCTGGTAAAAGGATCTACTGGGTTGGGCTGGCAATGGGGTCTGCAGGAGCAGGCCTGAAGCTTGGATCCACAATGACTAACTGGCAATGGGGCAGTCTTGGCGTCTCTTTCCATGGAGGTGAGCCTGGTGCCTGGTACCATGTGGCTGGGCCTAGAACCTGTTTCTGTGGGGACTTGCCTGGCACCAGGTTCTATTGGGCAGGCCTGAAGCCTGGGGCTTTGGGGGCCATCCTGGCACTGGAGCTTGCCTTAAGCCTGGTCCTGCAGGGGCAGGCCTGGAGCCTTAGGTCACTGGCTGTCCTTGTGTTGGATTTGGCCTGGAGCTTAGGTACATGGCGGCTGGCCTGGCACCAAAATTCACTGGGGAGGCCTGGGGCTGGGGTCCCCAGTGAAGTAGGGTGCTCATATCATTCTCGTTTTCCTCCAGCGAGGGTCTCTCTTGTGAGCTTGGGGGAAGGGAATCATGGATAATGTGAAGCCGTCTTTCATACCCCCTTTAATGTATATTTTCTTATTTCTGCATTCTACCTAGGTGCTGTGATCTCTTACCTGGATTCCTTAGTTCTTTTGAATATATTTTTGTACTTGGATGTTTGTTCAAACTGATGTTTCTGTGAAGGGATGTGTGTTGGAAACTCCTATTCTGCCATCTTGCTGACATCGCTCCTCAGTTTTAATATCTAAAATAGCACATACTAATATATATATAATTCATATAAGCAAAAGCTCTTTAGGGTACTCAGTAATTTTTATTTTTCCTCTTTTCTTTCTTTTTTAGAGATATGGTCTCACCATGTTGCCCAGGCTGGGCTTGAATTCCTGGCCTGAAGCGATCCTTCCACCTTGGCCTCACAAAATGTTGAGATTACAGATGTGAGCTACCACATCCAGGCTCTCAGTAATTTTTAATAATGTAAAGTAGTCTTTTGTCCATAAATTTGGCTGCTTGTTTAGATAAAAAGAAACTGAAGAGACATGACCACAAAATGTAATTCATGATCTTAGACTGGATACTTTCCAGTAGGAAATGAAAATGCTCTAAAGAGCATTATTGGGATAATCTTCAAAATTGGAATTTGGACTGTGGGTTAGATATAATTGTATCAATGTAAATTTCTTGAATTTCATAATGGTACTATCATTATGTAAGAGAGAGGAGGTACAGACTATAGTTTTACAGGCATGATATATGAAGCCTACTTACAAATGGTTTAGAAAAATAAGCATGCATATATATGTAGGGAGAGAATGATAAAACAAATATGGCAAAAATTAGTGAACTCTGCATAAAGGCTATACAAGAGTTCTGTGCAATGTGAAATTATTTCAAAATAAAAATTACAACAATTATAAAGAATATAATGAATATCTTAGAAGCAATTTTTACAAATTAATTGGCGAGTGTTTTATTGTGCTTGTGATGAGTATGAAATGTTTTCAGCAGTTGAAGACACTTCTGGTTATGTAATAACTTTGTAGTTGTCACCACTTTTCAGAGGATACTCTTTATGCTCTGCTGCCCCCTAGTGACTTTATGCTCATCAGCAATTGTTTCTTCCAAGTGTAGTAAGTTGGAAATGAAGAGCACTATAATCATTATTTAAAAACAACTTAGTGTCAAGTCAAATAATTTTTCTGGGGGCGAGGGGGAAGACACTACCATGAAGCCATATCTAATGGCTTCCTTTTTTTCTTTGAATTTTTAAAAAATTGTATTTTTGTTCTTGTGGTTCCTTTGTATTGCATCCTCAGTTCTCTCTGTCTCTCTCTGAAGGTAATATTTACTGATTTCTCACCCAAGGGCAACAATGAAACTTAACTTGTGTACTCTTCTGTTATTCTTTCCTCTTAGCATTAAATATCAGGGAATAGTATTATCTTAGTGCTTTACTTTGTAGTCAAGCATACTTGATTTGGCCCATAATCTCTCATTTGTAATCCCCAAATCCTAAAGGCTCTAAAAACTATTTGTTGTCAAAATCTGCCTTAATTCATTTGGCAAGAAAACCTGATGTGAATTGACTTAATATATTAATAATCTTTATATTTACCACTTTTGTGAATATTCCTATATTTTACTGCTGAAATATGAATGTGTTTGATTATGGAATGCTTAAGATCTTACTGGGATGTTACATAATATGTGACAGATGAGCTGTATTTTTTTTAAATGTACAGAATTTGGTATTATGAAACATTTTGCTACAAGGATTTTCGATTAGGGATTGTAGACCTGTAGTTGATTTGCCTAGCTTTGGCTCACAGTTACTGGTATAAGATAGTTGACTAGTTTATTCTACTTTCTATCTTCTCTCTTTTTTTTCTTAGTTGTATAATTTTTATGTACTATTTTTATGTATCATACTTGATCACTTTTAATCTGACCTTGTTTTTGTCTTAGAGTTGCAGTTAAATATATTCAGTCTTCATTGACATTCTTTTTTATTGAAGTTTTCCCTGTCATCTAGTTGGGTTTGTGTTCCTCCTCTAGTAGTTGCCTTAAGAAGGACTTATGTGAACAACAATTTTTGAGTTATTGTATATTCAAATTTTAGCTCTATAGACTTTATATTTAAAGGCTAGCTTGGTTGAAATTAAAGTTCTTGGCTCATGTTTTGTTTCCTTGAGTATCTTGTCTTCTGGTGTTCAATGTTGCTGTGGAGAAGTCTGATACTTGCTGGTTTTTCTTTTTCCCTAAGTGCTTATTCTTGATTCTTATTATTTTTGGCTGTCTATTGACTCTTCTTCTTTCTATTTTATTTTATTTTATTTTTGAGATGGAGTCTTGCTCTGTCGCCCAGGCTGGAGTGCAGTGGCACGATCTCGGCTCACTGCAACCTCCACCTCCTGAGTTCAAGCAATTCTCCTGTCTCAGCCTCTCGAGTAGCTGGGATTACAGGCACGTGTCACCACACCCGGCTAATTTTTGTATTTTTAGTAGAGACAGAGTTTTGCCATGTTGGCCAGGCTGGTCTCGAATTCCTGACCTCAGGTGATCTGCCCGCCTTGGCCTCCCAAAGTGCTGGGATTACAGGTGTGAGCCACTGGGCCTGGCCCTTCCTTTTTTAGTTATTAGACATTACTCAAAGAATTTCAGCATGTATCCTTGACTCAGAGTATAATATAAATTAATATTTTTATCACTTCCTTGACACTGCTAGGAATATGTAACACTTTTTCATTTATCCTTTCCTACATCTTACACTGTTGTCATGAATTTTAATTTTACATGTAATTTTGTTCCCACACAACATTATCCTTATTATTTCGTAGAGTCACCATTCATGTATGTTTACTCTTTTGTTTGATTCTTCATTTCCTCCTCCATCTCTGTGCTTCATTCTGAGGTCACTTTTCCTTTTGTATGCAGAACTCCCTTTAGCATTTCTTTTAGTGAAGGACTCATTTATTTTGTTTGTATGAATAATGTCTGTATTTCACCTTATTTTAAAATTGCAGTAAAATATACATAACATATACTTTACCATTTTAACCATTTTTAAGTGTACAGTTCAGTGGCATTAAGTATATTCACATTTTTCTGTAGCCAAAACTGCCACCTATCTCCAGAACTTGTCTAATCCCAAGTAGCTGGGACTATAGGCACATGCCACTGTGCCTGGCTAATTTTTTTTTGTAGAGACAGGGTTTAGCTTTGTTGCCCAGGCTGGTCTTGACCTCCTGGCTTCAAGCAATATTCTTGCCTCAGCCTCCTAAGGTGCTGGGATTACAGGTGTGAACTACCACGGCTGGCCAAGTATAGTTTTCTTTACATTCATCATGCTTTGGGTTTATAGGGCTTGAAACTATGGACTGATATCTTTCATAAGTTTTTAGATATACTTGGCTATGATGTCTTTAAGTATTGCTTCTGCACAATTATACAATGATAAAATTTCTTTCAGGAGAGTTACAGATTTAAAAATATTTTCATAATATCAGTTAGATGTTATTTACTTAAAAAAAAAAAAAAAAAGCTTAGGCCGGGCACAGTGTCTCACGCCTCTAATCCCAGCACTTTGGGAGGCCAAGGCGGGGGGATCACCTGAGGTCTGGAGTTTGAGACCAGCCTGACCAACATGGAGAAACAAAATACAAAATTAGCCGGGGAGAAAGAAAATACAAAATTAGCCGGGGGTGGTAGCGCATGCCTGTAATCCCAGCTACTCGGGAGGCTGCGGCAAGAGAATGGCTTGAACCCGGTAGGCGGAGGTTGCAGTGAGCCGAGATCGCACCATTGCACTCCAGCCTGGGCAACAAGAGCCAAACTCTGTCTCGAAAAAAAAAAAAAAAAAAAGCTTGCATTCTCCTAGGGGAATAGAATTGAGTTTCTTAGAGGCTGCATGATGTGAAAATATCATTGTTTCAGTGGTGAATGTTATTTATACTTGTATGTTCTTTTATGTAATTTTTTTCTTCTGTTTCAATTTCTTTCTTTCTTTCTTTCTTTTTTTTTTTTTTTTTAACGGAGTCTCACTCTGGCCCCCAGGCTGGAATCTGGAGTGCAGTGGCATGATCTCAACTCACTGTAACCTCTGCCTCCCGGGTTCATGTGATTCTCCTGCCTCAGCCTTCCGAGTAGCTGGGATTACAGGCCCATGACATTACTCTCCTCTAATTTTTATATTTTTAGTGGAGACGGGGTTTCGCCATTATTGTCCAGGCTGGTCTTGAACTCCTGACCTCAGGCGATCCGCCTGCCTCGGCCTCCCAAAGTTCTGGAATTATAAGCGTGAGCCACCGGACTTGGTCTTTTTTTTTTTTTTTTTTTTTTTTTAACAAGGTCTCTGTGTCTCCCAGGCTGGAGTGCAGTGGTCTAATCTCTGCTCACTGCAACCTCCACCTCCCAGGCTTAGGTGATACTCCCACCTCAGCCTCCTGAGTAGCTGGGACCACAGGTGCATGCCACCATGCCTAGCTAACTTTTTTGGTATTTTTTGTAGAGATGGGGTTTTGCCGTGTTTCCCAGGTTGGTCTCAAACTCCTTAGCCTCAAGCAATCCGCCGGCCTCGCCTCCCAAAGTGTTGGGATTGCAAGCGTGAGCCACTGTGCCTGGCCCAGTTCCAATTGTTAATGTGGCTAATGTCAACAAACATAACACATACACAAAAGTTCTTGGGAAACCCAAGGGAAATATATATTATAATATATATTTGAGACCGAGTTTTGCTCTTTTGCCCAGGTTGGAGTGAAATGGCGCGATCTTGGTTTACTGCAACCTCCGCCTCCCGGTTTCAAGCGATTCTCCTGCCTCAGCCTCTCCAGTTGCTAGGATTACAGGCGCCCGGCACTACACCCTGCTAATTTTTTGTATTTTTAGTAGAGACGGGGTTTCACCATGTTGCCTAGTCTTGTCTCGAACTCCTAACCTCAGGTGATACACCCGCCTCGGCCTTCCAAAGTGCAGGGATTACAGGCGTGAGCCCCCGCACTCGGCCAGGAAACCCAATATTTTTTGAGAGCATAAAAATAGTGCCAGGCAAAAAATTTTGAGAACTGCTGGCTGAGGGCTTTTGATGGTGTCCCATGTTTCATTTTTCTTACATTCTTCTGTATTTTACATCCTGTCCTTTCCTTGTTCTCTTTGGGCTTCAATGTGGATTTTTTTTTTCCTTTTTTTTTTTTTTTTCTTTTGAGACAGGGTCTCACTCTGTCACCCAAGCTGGAGGGCAGTGGTGATCTCGGCTCATTGCAACCTCTGCCTCCCGGTTTCAAGCGATTTTTGTGCCTCAGCCTCCCGAGTAGCTGGGATTACAGACGCGCACCACTACGCCCGGCTGATTTTTCTATTTTTGATAGAGATGGAGTTTCACCATGTTGGCCAGGCTGATCTCCACCTCCTAACCTCAAATGATCCACTTGCCTCATCCTCCCAAAGTGCTGGGATTACAGGTGTGAGCCACTGTGCCCAACCTCAATGTGGATTTTTTCAATTGACTTATTTGCTGGTAAACCATCTATGGAGTTCGGAATTTTAAAAACCCAGTTCTGGGTTTTCTCCAGTTTTATAATAAAAAAACAAATCGTAAGGCTGTAGTGAAATTCTCCATCTTCTCATGTGTTTTGTTCTTTTCCTTTTTTCTTGTGGTATTAATCATAGCCATTTTTAAAGTTCTTATCTGATAAGTTCAATATCTAGATCATCTGTGAATCTTGATTTTTAGTCATGTGATTTTTAGTCATGTGATCTTCTCTTGGCACACTTGGTAATTTTGGACTGAATAGACATTAAAAAAATTGTGGAGGTTTTGGATAGTGTTTTCTTCCTTAAGTGAAGGTCCCTCCCCTCTGCTCCCACTTTTGGTAAGGCAGATGGTATGGCAATATTTAATCCAGTCAACGACTGAGCTGGCTAAATCTAGGGTTCAGCTTTAGTTAGGGTGTGGCTCATTACTGCCTTAATGCTATTGTCCTCCAGACATTCCAAAGAGCCTGGAGTGATGACTAGGAGCCCTTCCCTTGGTAGATCCTTAATTCTTTTCTTTCCTTTATACCTCAATACTACCTAACATTCTGTTGGCTTCTCTGAGTCTTTTTGCTTATCTTAACCTCTCTCTTTGTATAGCTTAAGAATTCAGCAAATGTGTTGAGAAAATAATAACAGTGCTATGTATTCTTCCCATCTTTCCTCTTCAGGATTCTAACCTCTTATGCCTCTAATTTAAGGTACCGGGATTCTCTAAAACTGTCAAAAGCTGATTTTCCTGCCTTTTGGTCTTGACTTTCTGCTTGTTCCCTTTCCCGGGAACTTCAGCCTCTTGAATGGAGATTTGGTACTTACCTTGAGGGGGAAAAAGTGACTGAAGCATATTGGCAGACCCATTCTTACTATTCCCCTCTTCTCCAGTGTTCTGTTCCCTTAGATTCTGGTTGCCGGAGCAGTTCTGTTTTTTGTTTTTGTTTTTGTTTTTTTGAGATGGAGTCTTGCTGTGTCACCCATGCTGGAGTGCAATGGCGCAATCTCGGCTCACAGCAACCTCCACCTCCCGGGTTCAAGTGATTCTCCCGCCTCAGCCTCCCCAGTAGCTGGGATTATAGGCACCAGTCATCATGGCTGGCTAAGTTTTGTAATTTAGTAGAGAGGGGGGTTTCACCATGTTAGCCAGGCTGGTCTTGAACTCCTGACCTCAGCTGATCCACCCACCTCAGCCTCCCAAAGTGCTGGGATTATAGGCCTGAGCCACCACGCCTGACTGCCTGAGCAGTTCTGTTAGTCCCTCAGGAAAGAATATCATAAACAGGTATGCAGAAGACCTGGAGAGGTATTCATTTATTTATTTTTATTTTAAATTTTTTTTTGAGAGAGGGTGTTGCTCTGTTGCCCTGGCTGGAGTGTACTGGAGCTCACTACAGCCTTGAACTCTTGGCCTAAAGCTATCCTCCTGCCTCAGCATTCCAAGTAGCTGGGACTACAGGCATGTGCCACCATGCCCGGCTAATTTTTTAAAAATTTTTCTTCCTAAATGGAAGGGACCTTATCAAGTCCCTTTTTTTTTGTAGTGATGGGGTCTCACCATGTTGCTCAGGCTGGTATTGAACTCTTGGGCTCAAGTAATCCTCCCACCTTGGCTTCCCAAAGAGCTTGGATTATAGGTGTGAGCCACCACACCTGGCTGGGAGTATCAGTTTAGATTGGAGCAGGAGAAAGGAGAATTTCAAGAAAGAGATTTACAGGCAAAGGGATTCCAGCCAGGAAGGAATGGCAATATTAGTATACGATCTGGCTTAAAAGTGAAGAATATTTGTATAGTTAAAATAATGCAAATGTTATTTGTTTGTTTGCAAAGACAAAGTATGGGCCATCTATGAAAAACAATTATGATTATAGAACAAAATATATGTGTTTATCAACTCTATCAGTGTAAAATTCATTTCCACAGTTGGAGAAAGTAAGGAAAAGATATAAAGAGAAAGTAAGGGGGTCAGGCACGGTGGCTCATGCCTGTCATCCCAGCACTTTGGGAGGCTGAGGCAGGATTGGTTGAGCCCAGGAGTTTGAGACCAACCTGCGTAACATAGTGAGACCCCATCTCTACAAAAAATAAAAAAATTAGCTGGATGTGGCACATGCCTCTAGTCTCAGCTACTCTGGAGGCTGAGGTGGGAGGATTGCTTGAGCCTGGGAGGTCAGGGCTACAGTGAGCTGTGATCACACCACTGCACTCCAGCCTGGGCAACAGAGTGAGACTCTGTCTCAAAAAAAAAAAAAAAAAAAAAAAAAGAGAGAAAATAAGGGAGAGGTAATGCTTCATTTTGCATAGTTGGGAATCAAGATAATCTGTTTTTAATAATACAAGAAACAAAAGCATAACTATATTATTTATATTACAAAAGCAATCTTTAGAAAAACTAAAAGGGGTATATAAGTATTGAGAGGAGAGGAAAAGGAATGATATGGTATCATGAGGTAATTTTTGATCAATTATAGTAGGAAATAGACAATATCTAAAATGGATAAAGGGAAAATGGCAATATTATCTTTTTATTTTATATTATTTTAATTTTTTAAGACAAGTGCTCGCTCTGTCGCCCATGCTGGAGTGCAGGGGTACAATCACAGCTCACTGGAGCCTTGACCTCCTGGGCTCAAGTGATCCTCCCACCACAGCCTCCCGAGTACCTGGTACTACAGGCATGCCACCACACCCGGCTAATTTTTGTATTTTTTGTAGAGACAAGGTTTCACCATGTTGCCCAGGTTGGTCTCAAAGCCCTGGGCTCAAGCAATCTGCCTGCCTTGGCCTCTCAAGCTGCTGGGTTTACAGGTATGAGCCACCACACCCATCCAATATTATATTATTTGAAGATATGGGCTTACTTCTCAAAAATTAAAAATAGAAACATTTATAAAAGTTCAAATTGGGCTGGGTGTGATGGCTCATGCCTGCAATCCCAGTGCTTTGGGAGGCTGAGGCAGGGCAGATTGTTTGAGGTAGGAGTTCAAGACCAGCCTGGCCAACATGGTGAAAACCCATCTCTACCAAAAAATACAAAAATTACCCGGGTGTGGTGGCACGCACCTGTAGTCCCAGCTACTTGTGAGGCTGAGATAGGAGGATCACTTGAGTCTGGGAGGTGTGCAGTGAGCCAAGATCGTACCAGTGCACTCCAGCCTGGGTGCCAGAGTAAGACCCTGTCAAAAGAAAAAAAAAAAAAAGAAAAAACACGTTCAAATTGACTTTCTCTGGAAAACAGGAATGGAAATTCAAGAAGCTCAAACAACTCCTTGAGCAGGATAAACATAAACAGCAAAACAACACCAAGGTACTATACAAAGGAATGACAACAATAGCTCTAAATACAGGAAGGGGGAAATGGAAGTATACTCAATTAATTATAAAGAAAACAGGATAAGAGGAGATAATTTATGTTAACACAATTACCTATATGACTAGGTTTAACTCTGTTATCTTGCTGTTTGTTTTTTGTTTGTCTTATCTTTTTTTTTCTCTTTATTTCTCATTTCATATTCTCCTTAACTGAATTAGAACAACCAAATATTTTTAAAGATTCCATTGTTAGGTATACCTTCTTAGTGTTTTTTGTTTTGTTTTGTTTGTTTTTAGTGGTTGCTTTAGGGTTTACAGTATGCATCTTTAACTTATTGCAATGTATTTTCAAATGCTATTGTACGTGTTTGTATATAACATACAATCCTTAAAACAGTGTATTTTCATTTCACCCATTGATCTTTGAGTTATCATTAATTATATTTTACTTCTACATGTGTTTTGAATTCCATAGTTCATTATCATTATTTTTGCTTTGAACAATCAGCAATCTTTTTTTAAATGTTATCTTTTAAAACATTTTAAAATAATAATAATATTTTATATGTTCCTATATATTTACCAGTTTATTTGCTCCTTATGCTTTTGTGAAGATCCAGATTTTGAACAGATTTTATATTATTTTTGCCTGAGGAACTTACTTTAACAGTTTTTATAGTGCGGGTCTGCGGACAACAAATTTTCTAAGGTTTTGCTTTGTTGATTGATATGTTTGCTAGGTATAAAATTCTTGATTTACAATTTTTTTTTTTCCTTTAGCACTTTACAGGTATCTTTCCATTGTCTTCTTCTTTATATAATTTGGATGAGAAGTCTGCAGTCATTCTTTCTTTGTGTTTTATGTGTTATTTTCTTCCCTCTGCTTTTGCTTTTAAGGTTTATTTTTCTTTATTAGTGTTTGTTAGCAACTCCAAGAAGCCTTTTCTGACTAATCCATTTCTGTGCTGAACATTCCTTTATTTTTCATGCTATATCACCTAAGTGTAACAGATTTAAATGTATTACTTTATACACAGGTTTTTTCTTCTTTTCTTTTCTTTTTTTTTTTTTTTTGAGACGGAGTCTCACTCTGTTGCCAGGCTGGAGTTCAGTGGCACCATCTCGGCTCACTGCAACCTCTGCTTCCCCAGTTAAAGTGATTCTGCTGCCTCAGCTTCCCAAGTGGCTGGGACTACAGGCACATGCCACCACGCCCAGCTAATTTTTGTATTTTTTGTAGAGATGGGGTTTTACCATGTTGGCTAGGATGGTCTTGATCCCTTGACCTTGTGATCTGCCTGCCTCAGCCTCCCAAAGTGCTGGGATTACAGGCATGAGCCACCATGCCTGGCTTTTTTTCTTTTTTTTAAATTTGAGATGAGCAGTATGTTGCTCAGGGTGATCTTGAACTCCTGGGCTCAAGAGAACCTTTGACCTCAGCCTCCTGAGTAGCTGGGATTACAGGCATATGCTACCATCCTTAGCTCCTGAACAGTTTTATAATTACTTTTCATTGTGGTTTCTTATATATTTCCTTACTAATTATAGTATGGGCACCCTCAAAGGAAGATATTCTTTTCTTTTTGTTTTTAGTAAATTCTCAGTCAATAGATACTAAATGAGCCTATGGCAGGAAAATGCCCAAACCACCTAACATAGCCAATCTTGTTAAATTTCTGAGAAAACAGTGTCTATTTAATTTGCTGAGGCCATTTATTTTATTATTTAATAGTCAAATTTATCTTGCCCTTTAAAAGTCTATTTTAGTTTGATCTATTTTGAACATTAAAAAAAAAGATGCTGCTGCTTTCCCTCTTTAAATAAATAATCAAGTTACCTTATAAATTGGAGAGCTAGAATGTGGTGGTGATATTTCATAGCTTTTGGAGAGTGCCCTAAATGCAATGCTTTGGAGAAGTAATTTATTGGCAAGCAACTTTGTTTCTTAGTGATGATTGGGGTCACAGTAGATCATCACTTTGTTGAGTTTAGAGTTCACCTGTGTAGAATATCAGATTCTCTAAAGAAGTTATACAGCCCAAACCAGATTGATCTATTGATAATGGAAGAGTAATGAAAATGTACAGTAGGCCTCAGGTAGATATCTAACAAATTTTAATCATATGTCTTTTTTTTTTGAGACAGAGTCTTGCTCTTCAGCCAGGTTGCAGTGCAGTGGCACAATCTCGGCTTACTGCAACCTCCTCCTCCTGGGTTCAAGTGATTCTCCTGCCTCAGCCTCCTGAGTAGCTGGGATAATAGGTGCACACCACCACACCCAGCTAATTTTTGTATTTTTAGTAGAGATGGGGTTTCGCCGTGTTGGCCAGGCTGGTCCTGAAGTCCTGACCTCAGGTGATTCACCTGTCTCAGCCTCCGAAAGTGTTGGGATTACAGGCATGAGCCCCCCTGCCTGGCATCATATGTCATTTTTGAGAGAAGTGAAATTTGCTTTCCACAGTTACCCATTGTAATTTTTTAATTCCTTGTATTGAACTAATCATGCAGTTTTAGTGGTCTCTCTTTTCAGAAAGATGTCTCTTAACATGTTAAGCTTTATCTTAAAATATTTGTATTGTTGGTTTAGTTTTTCCTCAACTTTTATGGTTTGAGTTTTGTTATCACTTGTGTTAAATTTTATTTTCATTGCTCTAGGACCATTTTTTCAAATAAATTCATGTAGATCAAGGTTGTTTCAGGTCTTTTTTCTTTTCTTCTTCAGTGTTAAATTAACTTGTCTACATGCTCATTTCAGGTCAGACATTTGATGAACATTATTACATGTTTCACGTTTTAGTCGTACCATTCATAGTATTAAAAACAAAATCAACTTAGTATTATTTATGGAGTTTAACATATAGTTGATTTCTTGATCTAAGTAGAAAGTAAAATTATTGAATAGAATGGACACTAAGATGACTTCATGTAGAGACAGTTGACAAAAGTGAAGTCTTCCTCTAAGTCTGTGACCATCAGTAAACTAACACTGTCTTGAAACCTAAAAGGTTATGTAGCAAAGCTTACTCTATGATATGCCAGGGAAGTTTGCTGGGAGTATGATCCAGATCATTGGTTCTGGATGCTAACATTTGGAAATGATTTTTTTTGGTGGAGCATCTGTGACCTTGGAACTATGAATTATCTTAAAATTTCTTTTCAAGAGAAGGAGCATATGAGAGGAAGGGTAAACAAAATATTTTGTTTATAATTTGCTATAACAATGATTTAATACAGCTTAATATTAAACAGCTCTGGAGACCTAAAATTTATCTCACTTGGTTTTCACTGGTGTTTCTCTCTGACACATGGTGTGAATCAACTGTCCTTCCAACTTGAAAGAGCAGAGAGTTCACTGACGCAACTCCCTTGTTCTGGGAATTGTTACTACTGTGCCTTCAAAAGGTAGGGACATTAAAAGCTTTGGCTTGTGGCAAATTCTCTCCAAGTTGGACACAGTTAGGGGGCTGAATATTGGCTTAAGGAAGTGAGGTTGGTGGCTTTTTCTATTTCCTGGACTTTTTCTAAAGAATCAATATTAACTTTTTCAAGTCTCTACTTGATGTTTTGTGATTAACAGTCTTCCCCGTTAAAATTGGAAACCAGCAAATCTCCGTTTAAATGTTGGTGCATGCCAGGGTTCTTCAGTTCTTCTGTCTTAGATTCTAGAGTTTTTTGGGTTTCTGCCCTTTCCCACGTGGATTTTTTCTTTTGTGAAAATCTTTCTGTACCTACTTAACAAAGGGAAACATTGAAATGAAAAGTTGAAATGGCAAAGTCATTGTCCCAAAAGGTCTCACAAGACTGGAAAAATGAACCATAGTTAATAGTAGTAAATTGTAGATTCAGAGTATCAACTACATGCCTATAGCAATATGGAAAAACACATGGAAAAATTTTATGACTCTGAGTTCAATATATAGCATGATATGACTGTCAAAACTGCATAAGCATTAGTATTAGGCTGTTAATAGGAGCTAAGTAACAAGGTTAAAGGAGATGGGCCTTATTTTTCTCATTTGACCATGCTTGATTTAAAAATTTTTAATATTTATAGAATGCTTTCTGTATGCCAGGTACTGTTCAGAATTCTTACATTATCTCATTTAATCTTCACACAGCAACTGTATGAATTGGTTCCTACCATTATCTGCATTTTGCTGATGTGGAAACTGAAGTATACAGAGGTTTAATAAACTTGCCCAAGATCACACAACTATTAAGTGGTAGAACTAAGGCTCAAATCCTGAAAGTCTGGCTATGAAGCCTGTGTTCTTGCCCACTGTGCTATACTGCCTTTGTTGTTACACTTAAAGAAAAGTGACTGCTGGAACATGTCCAGAGGGTAAAACTACAATTGAAAGGCTGTTTATATGTAGAATAGTTGAATAATTTGAGATTGTTTAGTCTGGAGAAGGAGAAAAAGGGATCAAGGACTTGTTCTCACTGGTCCTTTGAAGGCAAAAATAAGATAAATGGTGAAAATTATAGAAAGGTAAGTTTTAGTTTTCTATAAGAACTTTGCAACAGCTGTTGAAATGGGATTGGTTGCTTTGCAGTGAACTTCTTTTTACTAGAGATGTTCCAGCAGAACTTGGACTAGTATTTATGGACATAGCTGGAAAATTTGTTATGTCTGTGAAATTGGGCTGGATCATCTCTGAGGTTCCTTTTTTCCCTGTACACTTCAATGTTAAAGAGTTTATTAAAATGGGCTAGTCTATACTGTCCTCAGACAAATGCTTCTAGAAAAAACACACAAAATTGTTTCCTAATGGAAACATGGCACCTATGATGTGAGAGGAGGGGGACCAGATTTATTTTTGTCTAAAATGTTTCTTTGTAAATAGCTTTATGATGTTTGTAGGGAGTTTTTTTTTTGCATATCTTGTAAGTGGACTAGGAAGCAAAAGAAAGTGGCTTACTTTTTCAGTTGACAAATCAAGTTATTTAGTAATAGAACAGAGATTCCATCATAATAACCATTGAAGCTACTCTCTTCTTTCCCCTTCCCATTTGAGGGATAATAAAATAACATTAACTTATGGGTTCTGTAGTTGCAGTGGAAGGGATCTAGGAATCTGCTACATCAATTCTCAAATTAAGAATTTCAGGATATCAAATATATGTACTTTTTTTTTTTTTTTTTTTTTGAGACAGAGTCTCACTCATTCTGTCACCCAGGCTGGAGTGCAGTGGTGCAAACATGGCTCACTGCAGCCTCGACCTGTAAGGTTCAAGTGATCCTCCCTCCTCAGCCTCCTGAACAGCTGGAACCACAGGCACACACCACCATGCTCAGCTAATTCTTATAACCTTTTGTAGAGATTGGGATCTTGCTATGTTGCCCGGGCTGGTTGCGAAATCCTTGGCTCAAGCAATCTTCCTGCCTCGGCCTCCCAAAGTGCTGGGATTACAAGCATGAGCCACTGTGCCTGGCCCATATGTATGTTTTAAAACCATTTTGATATCATGATTAATTACAAGAGGAAGTTAGAATATGGAAAAGACACTGAATTTTAAAAATTCTGACCAGTGGTGATTGCTTCTTGGGTTTGTGAGGGATCGATCCTGAGAAGGAGTTTTCATTTCATTTGTCAACCTAAAAAAGAAACTCAGAGAGATAGGCTGTCTAGAACAAAAGAGTTTATTTGGTAATAGCAAAGGCTTGCAACCTAGGGTGTACATGCTATGAAAATCATGGGCCCACATGAGGAAAACTGGGACAAACTGGAAATTTTTAAAGACAAAGAGAAATTTACACAAACTGCTTTGAAACAAAGCTCATTGGTCTCAGGGACACATTGCAGGGGTTGGCACTAATTCATTTGGGGAGATAGCTGTTGCTAGGCAACTGTCCAGGTCTGAATGTCTTATCTGAAATACTGTAGGCCAGAGGAAATTCCTGTGATAATCTCTGTTTGCTCTGTGTACAAGTACTAACAAGATGTCCAGATATTTCAGGAATGCAAGGGAGAGAGTTTCTTTATGGCCTTCCCCGACTTCATTTTGGTTAAAGTTTTGACATAAGTGACTCCATTTTGTTATTGTTAACCGCCACATTATTGTTTTAAGCATTTATTTTATTTTAGATAATTATTGAAAATTAGACTTGTAGTTACACTGAATTTTTGTTGTTGTTTGGTTTTCATTTTAAGTAATATTTTATTGAGCATCTACTATGAACCAGTTACTATTCTAGATTCTTAAATGCATTTTATTTTTTCAGTTGGAAAAGCAATACATGTTTATTTAAGTAATAGATAAAGTAATACAGAAATAGAAAAAATTCAGAATTGCATCATCTAAACATTGTATTAGTTTGCTGGTTTTCTTTCTGTCCTTGATTGTTTTCTATAGAATTGAATTAAAATATTTGAACATATTTATCTTTATATTGAATGTGTATATAGTTTTACATCTGTTTCTTCACCTCACCTTCCTTCTTACTCTCCTCTTCCTCTTCCTTTTACTCATCTTCCTTTTCCTTTCCCTCATCCTTTTTCCTTCATTTTATTATACTTTATATAACTGTGGCAACCTGGGAAAGGTAAATGCTTCTATGTACTGGCAATGTGAAAAAGGTTGCTTCATGTGCAAAATGATGATAATAACTATTCTGCTAGGATTATATTTGGGGAATAAGTGAGTTAGTGAATATAAAATGTTTAACAGGATTTGGCACGTATTTTAAAAATGCTTACTTTTACTACTATTTTATAATTTTGGGCTGAATTTAACCTTTAATGGTATGGATGATAGTGCAGTAATAAAATAGCATAGATTAAATTACTGGGTGGTCAAATAATTGGTCTCTGTTTTTGTTTGCTTTTCATATGAGTTGGTACTATAAGTAACTTTTTTCTGCTAATGTTCTTGAGCCATCACTCCAAACTCAGAAATATATATCACAACTTTTTTCAGAACCATGATTAGGTTATAAATCGACTTAGCTGTCCCACATGTTGTGTGGCTGGATTTCCCTACAGACATCTATGATAATCATTTAATAGAATGCTTAATCCAGGCCAAAATAAAGTAATGAAAAATTTTGAAATACCAGGACATTTAGCATTGTCCTTTGTTCAGCTCCCTATGACTCTGCATTACAGTGTCTAGGTTTGGCATGGGACTGATGTTTATCATTATGATACAGAGTTCTTGGCTACTTTTATGTTTTACCAAATATAAATCTTTAACAGACTCCACCTGACAACCCCCGCCCCAACACAGTTAAAAACGTCCCCCTTAAAAAAAGATTTTGCCAACAAAATGTTTCTCTCCTTTGAGAGTTAACTTTGTAATTTGGAGCATATAACCATGATGTTTGAGAGCTGTCTGTTTCCATTGTTGCAGCCTGATTGTCCATGGTTTAATCATCAGTAGTTAAGAAGTAAAGCCAAAAATGGCTCCAGGCTGCTCAGTACCATAAAAAATTTCCACCTGGAAGCAATTTTTTCTAAAAGCCCGTAGGGACTGCTGTCACCCTCCCCCTTCTGTTGGCAACAAGGGCCAGAAACATCAGTTCTCTTCAGAGCCAGGTCTTGTTGCAGTTTAATCATCTTCCTTCTCCTAGCTTCCAGAGGAGGTTAGAGGAGAGCTAGGGAAATAACAAATTATTGCCAGACACTACTCTCCTCCTACAATAGATTTCCTTTAGCCATCTAAATTTCTCCTTTCTTCCTCTGTTTCTTTCTTTTTCTGTTTAACATTTTAGCTGAAGTGCAAATTATTTGCACTGCTAGAACTTGAATTAACTTTTTGGTAAAAATATTTATTATTGAACTCTAGTGCTTCTCTTTGGGGTAAGATGAAATGTTGAAACATTTTTGGGCACTGCTTTGGCTCTTTGTCACTTTATAATGCTTTCTCTGTGGGATACAGCCATTGTTCCAGGTGTAAACTCTCAAGGAACTCATGGTCTTATAGGGGAGATAGACATGTAAATAAATCATTACTGTATAGAGTGTTCACCGTAGTACCCTTTCAAAAATATGAACAAATAAACATTTCAAAGCAAAAGGACATGAACTGTGCTTTCCACCAGTAAATATCATTAGTAGTGGTGCCCATTCATTTCTAGGCCCATTATCCTAATGTAACTTCTGGATAATACTAGGCATTTGTTCAAGAACTTTGAGGCAAAACAAGATGACAGTACTCCTGGTGAAATTCACCTCAAACCACATATGGCTTCATAGGTTCAAGGCCAGTTCAAATTTATACAGTGTCAAAGTGAGAGCCAGTTGGTGAATGATTATACCATGACTGTTAAGGAGTAATTCTTATCCTATATCCTTATCATACACTCCTTATCAAGGATAGGGCTAGGTGCTTCAATAGATTTTGTTTCATTAAAAAAAATAGATTTTTAAATATATTCCTTATCGAACTAGACTATGAGCAGGCACTGTGGCTCACACTTGTAATCTCACCAGTTTGGGGGGCCAAGGTGGGAGGATCGCTTGAGCCCAGAAGTTTGAGACCAGCCTGGGCAACATAGTGAGACCCCATCTCTGCAAAAAAAAATTTTAAAAAATTAGCTGCTTGTGTTGGTGCATGCCTGTAATCCCAGCTACTTAGGAGGCGGAGGCTAGAGGGTCCCTTAAGCCCAGAAGCTAGAGGCTGTAAGTGAGCCATGATTGTGCCACTGTGCTCCAGCCTGGGCAACAGAGTGAGATACTGTCTCTAAAAAAAAAAAAAGAAAAAAAAAAGCTATTAAAAAAATGAAATACATAGAACTAGACTAATACATGCTGCAAGAGACTGTTATTGTAGATTAAATTTGGCTGGGTGTGGTGGCTCACACCCTATAACGCCAGCACTTTGGGAGGCTGAGGTGGTAGGATTGCTCGAGGCTAGGAGTTTGACAGTACCCTGGGCAATGTAGCAAGACCTCATCTCTACCAAAAAGAAAAAAAAAGAAATTGGTGTCATTTGGGAAAAGATGCCTCATATCAGCAAGTAGGAGAAAAATGGTATTGAATTTGAATCTTTAAAGAATGGACTCATGATCTTGTTTGGTATAAATTCCTCCAGAGTATGCAAGCTTAAGCTCTTCGTGGCTGCTTTGGTTTTATGAACCAAAGCAGTTTCTTGTGTTCTACCTTGTTGGTAAGAAGAGCAGCTTCTGAGCTGGGCATGGTGACTCTCACCTGTAATCCCAGTATTTTGGGAGGCCGAGGTGGGAGGATTGCTTGAGCCCAGGAGTTTGAGACCATCCCAGGCAACATAGTGAGACCTTGTCTCTACAAAAAAATGAGCTAGGCATGGTGGTGCCTGCCTGTAGTCCCAGCTACTCAGGAGGCTGAGGCAGGAGGATCGATTGAGCCTGGGACACAGAGTGAGACCCTGTCTCAAAACAAAAACAAAAACAAATCCTAAAAACTAAAAAGGTAAGGAGCTTCTGTATCAGGTTATAGTAGTTGTATTAAGGAGAGACGTTTTAGGAAAGAGTTGAGTTTTGAGCTGAACCTTGAAAGATGAGTAGGAATTTGCCAGAGAAGTGATGGTAAGGACATTGCAGGCAGAGGGAATACATGCTACACTCAAGGAACTTCAAGTAGAGTTGTAGAGTGAATGTGGGGAGTATTCAGAGATAATGCTGGACATGGAGGGCATCTTACATACTATGCTAGGGACTTTGGACTTGATCCTGAAACAAGATCCTGAAGTTGTGTGTATGTGTGTGTATTTCTGTCTTTCAATTTCCAAGTACAAGGTCTCATTTAAAAAATTACTGTCAAAGAAGTATTGAAGATGGATTGTTACGAATATAAGGGGAAAGTGATAAAAACAGTGTTCAGAAGAGAGATGATAAGGACATGAGTCAAGGCAGTAGCTGGGGAGAATAGGGAGGGGAAAGAGCATAGAAGAGCCATTATTTAATTAGAAGCGGTAGGTCTTGGTGACTAGTTATGAGGAGGTGTGAGGTGAAGTGAGGTGTCAAGGTTAATGTACATATTTCTAGTTTAGGTAACTCAGTGGCTGGTGTTATCTTCAATTGAGATGGTGAATACTAGGAGTGAAATGTGGGTTTGGGTAGAAAGTTAAATTCTTTTTTTTTTTTTTTAATTCAAGAGACATGCCCCTTGCCATATTATCTGGGCTGGGTTTGAACTCCTGGGTTCAAGAGATCCTCCCATTTCAGCCTCCTGAGTGGCTGGGACTATAGGTACATGCCACCATGCCCAGCCGAGTAGTTTTTGACATGCACGGTTTGCGATGTCTTTGAGTCAGGTTTATAGGACTTGACAGAGATATATCCTGGTATTATTGGTTTGGTAACCAGACTTGTTTAATACTAACAACTGAGGTATTGATGAGATCTCTGAGGGTATATATATATGTGAAGAGTGAGAAGAAGTGGTCAAGGAGGTATTCAGGGGTAGAGGGAAGAAGAAGAATTATTGAAGGAGACTGAGAATGGGGAGAACCAAGAAGGAGTGTAATAGAAGCCGTGGGAATAGAGATTTTAAAAAGAGGGGATAGTTCATGGTGGCACATACAAAAGTGGAGTCAAGTAAATGATGAAATTAAAAGTGAATATTTGATTTGACAATTAATAGTCTTTTATTGACTTTAGCAAGAATATGTTCATTGTGAGTGGTTATAGGTAAGAAACAGATTACACTGGTTTGAAGAGCGAGTCTAATTTGAGGAAATGGAGGCAGTAAGTATAGTGTGCTCTTTTAAGATCTTAACTGAGAAAAGGCAGGGGTGAGGGAGGGAGGGAAGAGGGAAGGAGGGAGAGAGAGAGAGAGAGAGAGAGTGAGAGAGAGAAAGGGAAGGGAAAGGATGCCAGAAGGAAATTTATCAGAAGAGAGATTTTCATTTAGTGCATTTTTTTTTCTTTAAAATAATGGGCTGTGTTGTTTTGTTAAGATGGGGGCATGTTTCGAAAGAAATCAGCTTCCCCCCACCAAAGAAAGTATTGATGGAATAACCTTCCTGGAGTGGAAGATATATGAGATTTTTAGAACATAGGATTAGTCTTGCATTGAGATGACCTATCTATTTCATAGAGATAAGAAGGAACAAATATCAGGGTAGACAGAGATATAGACAGATTTGTGTATTGGAATGCAAGAAGTTAAGAATATTTTGTGCCTAATAAGCCTGAATTTTTTAAATGTAATACATGACAACACCATTTATTGTGAAAGGCAGTTGTAGGATTGAGATTGGCATCTTAAAGAGAATGGTGACAGTTTGGAAATGATGCTGTAAGTAATGGAAGAATGAGCTGATAAAAGACATACCAAAAGTTTGCATGGGTCTAGGGGTCCATATATTTATATAATTAGCTCCATCATAGCAAGCTTCTGCATGCTACCAAAGTTTAGCTATGAAGAGAAGGGATAAATAGGCAGCCAGTTCTAAATGTTTGATAGATGTAACTGAGCAGAGATGGGGCTGCTTTTGGTAAGGCTTATGTCTTTTTATTTTGAGGATCACAACTTCATTACATCTTTTATCAATTCTAGGAACTTCACAACTATTTTAAAAAAATTTTACCTGCCTCTTATTTCTTACTGGAGCTCCCATTAAACCCATTGTATTCTCCATTCTCTTCTTTAGTGTTTTCCGTCTTTCGTCTTTCTGCATTTTGTACTGTTTATATATACACCTCCTAGTTAAGTATTTTCCTTTCCATTTCTTGTTTCAAATAACAGTTGTTATAGTTTTTATTCTAAAAGTTCTATATTTCATTTCCAGATTATCTATTTGTAAACCAAAAATAAAATTTTAAGGTGCCCCCACCATCTCAATGGACCCTTCCTCTCGGTCAAGGGCATTCCAGAGTTAACCTGAAAATCTAAGTCTGATGAGAAACATTTACAGTCTATTCTCTCTGCAGCCTGCTACTTGGCGGCTTCATCTGCATGATAAAACCTTGGTCTCTACAACCCCTTATTGTAACCCAGACATTCCTTTCTACTGATAATAACTCTTTCAGCCAGTTGCCAATCAGAAAAATTTTAAATCTACGTATGACCTGGAAGCCCTTCCCCACTTCAAATTGTCCTGCCCTTCCAGATCATACCAATCTAAATCTTACATGTATTGATTGATGTATTATGTCTTTCTAAAATGTATAATAGCAAGCTGTATCTCAATCAGCTTGGGCACATGTCATCAGGACCTCCTGAGGCTATGTCACAGGTGTGTTCTTAACCTTGGCAAAATAAACTCTGTAAGTTGACTGAGACCTGTCTCAGATATTTTGGGTTCATATATTCATTTTTGATAGTTTTTTTTTCTTTTCTTGGTAATTCCTTTTTATATTTCTTTAAACATCTTACACATTTATTTTTAATGTATACATATTAATTTTAAGCCATTGCAAGCCTGATTTTGCTATTTGTGTTTCTTCTGATTCTTGTTTTTATACTTTGTTTCCTTGTATGTTTTATGACTTTTGATACTTAAGTTCCAGTTCAATGGAGTATTATTTGTGAGAATTCCTAGAAGTATAGGTTAAGGTATATTTCTCTGGAGAAGATTTGCCTTTGCTTCAGTTGGTTATTTGAGGGTATTAACAACCATGCTGGGACTACTTTAAAAATAAATTGTCAGTTGAGATTTCTCAGACCACAGAAGATTGATAGTATGAGTGTAGACCTCCCTTCTGTGAGAAGGCTGGCATGTGCTTTCAAATTATCATGGGAGTTTTCTCCTTCCCTCACCCAGAGCTAACACCAGATAGGCAAGTTTACTTGCAGTCTCCCTTTATGAGGAAGTGTTTTTCTATTTTATCTTTTACTAATGATGTATTCTGGGGTATCTTCGCTTCATTCATTTGAAGGCCTCTGATTTGACTCCCCATCTTGTGTGGGCAATAGGCCATGTCTCTTTTTCTCTGTATGGCTATAAAATAGAAGCATTAGGTCAGAGGTGATTAGAGAGATTAGGTTAGAGGTGGTTAGAGGTGATTAGGAGTTTGATAGTAGAAATGTTTTTCACAGTGTATCCAATCTTCCATACGGTTCATGGAACTTCATCCTATTTTGCCTGCTTTGTTCTTTATTATGTTTTAGGATGGAAACTACTCTGATGCCTTTCCATCCATCCTCTTTCATGTACTTAATTGCTTATAGAGTTAAAGAGTTTTAAATTGTGGTCACTTTTGGCCATGGGGTATCAGCAAACAACCACTTACGGGTGAAATTGGACCAGGAGTTGAATGTGGTGTTGTTAGGTCTGGTTCTTTCTCAGAAAATTAGAAAAAAGTGTGTGTGTGTGTTTGTGTGTGTGTAGGTATGTGTGTGTGTGAGGTATGTATATGTATATATGTGTCACCCACATATATAGCATATATACTATATATAATACATGCATTTATATATATAGTATACATAACATATACATCTACAAATGAGGTTACTTACATTTATTAGGGTTTGATTCAGAGATTCTAGGAAACTTGCATGGTCTATTTTGTTAAGTCCACATTAAATCTACATGCATAAGTGGATCATGGCTATTCACTGCTGTGTTTCTACCATACTAGTGTTAACCATTATTGGTTTGTCTTTCTCTGTTAATAGCTTAATGATACCTATCATCAGAACCATAATGATAATTTTAAGTGTGGAGACCGAAGTGTTCCAAAAATTATTCATTTTTCTTTTTTCTCTCAGTAGAATCATGTTTCAATACTTAATACACAGTCTCTTAATATTTGCATATGTCTTCAGAGTAATTATTTAATTAAATATGTAGGGTGGTGCAAAAGTAATTGCAGTTTTGTGATTTTTTTAATGGCAAACATTAAAAGTAGTGGCAAAACTGCAATTACTTTCCGCTTTAATGGCAAAAATTAAAAGTAATGGCAAAACCGCAATTACTTTTGCACCACCCTGCTACTGAATATCTTTTGTAAAGAATCTGGAAGAGTTTTATCAACATGCCCTAGATTCAGACTCATTATGTTGATGATAGATACTAAGTGAACTGGTCATTTCATCTAGCTCCAACATCACATGTTTAAGTGTTAAACTTAACACACTGAATTACATGCAGTGAGACCAGAGCTAACCTACCAAGTGTATTATAACTCCTAAACAACTGTATTAGTACTCTGCTTTCAGCAGTTTTCTAGGTTAGAGTCAATAAGTATCACCAGGCTGTAGAGGTACTTTTTTATATCTTATCTTATAATTAGCAGCAACATTCATGATCTAACTTTTATCTGCCAGATTTCATGACCACCACTGAAAGATACAATGAAATAAAATCTTTTTGCACCTAACACAAATAGATACAAAGGACAAAGTGAAGCCACTAATAATCCTGTTTTGCCTTTATATCTTCAGTTACTGTTGGTGATTACTTGTTCTAATAGTGTGACATTATCATAGTAGCAATTATGGCAGTCTCTATGTTCTTAATTTGGAGTTTCCTTGTTTTCATTAGTTTATTTCCTAATAGTCTGTTGTTGATTTGACTGATGTTTTGGGACAATTCCCCCTTCTCCACTTTCCTGTGGTATTTAACCAAAACCAGGTTTTAGTAGGCCCTTTGGCTAGGTGTCAGTTGAAGCTGCTCCACCCTGCTTTTATTCCTCTGGAAATAGCCATCATTGGGGTTCCCTTCCTGCCTTGAGAGAAATCTGCATCACAGCATTCTTTTGGTTATATGGGCTATCTTTGTGTGAAGCCAGTTGGATACCTTGGTATCTTCAGAGCTGGAAAAAGGATTTGAATGTATTTGATCTCCTGTGGCAGTACAAAAATATTTGGGTATAGTGTTCAGTTAGAATTCATGTTAACTAGCATATGCTTCTCCTGTCATTGATGATGATCTGATTGATCTCCTTCATCGTTATGCACCCAGAGCATCCAGATTACAATACTAAGGTTGGAATTAAACTGATAGACAAACTGAAGTAAGGAGAAGGGACTTTAAACTCCTTTTGACCTCCTGCAGTTTCTCTTTCAACATCATGCACAAATCTGTTTTTCCACTTTATTTTTAACATTTGGAATAAACAAAAATACTAATGATGCTTTTATGGAGCTTAATGAGAAGAAAATGTTTGAGGAATAAAACCATGACAGAAGTTTAAAAACATATATATGAAAAAGAAAAGACCAGAATAAACTCTGGAATTTTTCCTTGAATTAATCAAAAACAAAAACCAAAATGTTCAGTTCATTGTGTCTTGAAGTTCTCCGTGGTTCTGAAAACATCTCAACAGAAATGCTTTGTATCATGGGATACACTTTTGCATCCACCTCTGAAACAACTAGAAATCCTCATCAGTTAGTCTCCTACCTTTTTCCATCTTCATCTTATATGGAGGACCTCCTCTGTGCCAGGCTGTGTGCCAGCAGGTAGAGATAAAATGGGTAAGACATAGTCTCTCCCCACAAGGAGATTAGCATTCTAGTATGGGGAGATTGGCAAGTGAATGGACAATCAGATATAGTTTAATAAATTCTGTAAAAATGATAATCACCGAGGAGGAGCACATAATAGAATCTATGTGATTAGGGAAGGTTTCCCAGAAAAGGTGCAAGCTGAAAATTGAGAGGCAAATGGGAGTTACTCTTAACTAAACTAGAAGCAAAAGGAGAAGAATGGCCTAGGTCCAGGGAACAAGATTGCTTTGTAAAGTGTGTAGACTCTGACTTGCTCTTGGTTGTTTCTTTGATTTGCTTGTTACCTTTGAAGACTGAACAATGTTGCATCATTTAGGATACTTTCCTTTGCAAGTAGCAGAATATCAAGGGAAAGTGGCTTAAACAATGGGAAATTTATTAAGTCATATAACATGATGTTTGGAGATAGGGCTGTTTCAGGATTGCATCACTATCAAAGAGCCGAGTGTTTTCCATTTTCCCCTTTGCCATTCTAAGATTTTTTGGGCAATATCTTCTTCCTTTTCAGAATGGTTACTGCATCCTCAAACATTATGCTTTCACAGGACAATGTCTAAGGCAGGAAAAGCAGTTTCTTTTCCTGAATGCTTCAGGAAAGAAAACCTTTTCTTGGATCCTCACTGCCAGATTTTCCTTCTCATTGGTGAGATAAGTGTGTCACTGACCACCATATATTAACTGGTCACTCACAAAGAGAATGCAATTACCATGATTGGTTTACAGACTAATTAATATTTATCCTTTGTGGTAGGACAGAAATATCAGAATGAATTGGGACTCTTCCAATAGGAGGAAGAAGAGAATAGTTGTGTAGGCACAACTAATAGGCAACTTACTCATCTTGAAGTAGAAGTTTGTCTCTCTCTCTCTCTTTTTAAACCACTTAGCTTTGTGTTGGGCTTCATATTGCATTAGCTTTTTCTGTTTTCTTTGGGGGTCAGGCCTAATTGTATCGTAGCAAGCAATTAATTTTGATTAAGGCATTTAACTTGCCTGGGCCTCAGTTTCCTTGAGTGTACAATGAGAGCTTTGTCTTCCATCTCTAAGACCTGTTTCAACTAACATTTTGGGGGCCCATGCCACCTGCTTGCTTTCCTTGTTCAAAGAGATAGACTGATGCAGTAGAGAGGACACTTTCTAGCTATGTGAAGTTGGCAAGTTGCTTCATCTTGGGTTACAGGTTTCTCATTTATAAAATGGGAATAATGTCTAATTTATAAGATGCATTGGATTTAAATGAAATAATGCTTATAACATTATTTTTCCTCCTTCTTTGACAAGCAAATTTGAATTAATATAGGCTCTAAGCAAGTGATATAATCCTGTAGTGGTTTGGTACAGGTGAATGGTAAATATTTGTTCAACAGAATTACTCAAGTGCCATTTTATAAATTAAGATCTCTTAATATGCACATGAAATTTAGGTGGGCTATGGATATAGTATCATTATGAAATCTAGAGCTATGCACCAGATAGTTATACGAGGATAAATAATTTACTTTTTGCACAAACCGGTGGTTTATTTGGGGGTTTTTGGAAACCAGACTCCACATGGCAGCATTTATTTAGTTGAGTCAAATTTAGGCTATAAAAAGTTTAGTTAATTTCCATATATTTCTTCTTGTTTGCCTTTTACTAAGTACTATAGTAAAGTATATACTTTACTAAGAATATTATTGAGATTATCACAAATAATTAAACTAGTGGTGCAGTTTATTCCATAGATTGTCTTGTTTAACTGCAACATAACCTGGACATGTCAAAAACCTATGCCTTTGTTCTCAAGATCCTGCTTTCTAATAGTAATGGAAATTTAAACATTAGAGTACCTTACATATCATTTAGTAATCAGCTATAAGTCTCTGACCAACAGGTATTATGGAATATAGTTTTTAGATTTTTAAGCGGTCCTGTTTACTTGTAAGGCCACATCATTTCAAGGAATGTTAGAAAAGGGCCATCACTAGATGGCAGTCTTTCTCTACCTTAAGGTATTAAAAGAAAAAAATGCCACACTTTGTTCGACTGCATTGTTGACTACTGATATTAGATTAGCTTCAGTAGTAAATTTCTGACCTTTTCAGTGTTTAAGTCTTGTTTATTTTTGTTTTTAGCCTTTTATATCTGATGGATATGTTGGTTAGCAAAGTGTTATATTTAAATGTGCTTGAAATGCTGATTCATGGTGAACTGTTAGGTAGTGATCAGTCATAATTGCCTCTTCCTTTGGTAGACAATTTGAAATAAAATCTTTAAATTTGTGGTTTTTAACCTATTTGGTAACCAGATGGAAACTATTGGAAACTTTTTTTCTTAAAAATGCATATATGTACATCTACCTATATATACAAAATCCACCTAGGATCTGGGAATCATGGATTTCCTGAAACATACCTATGGAACACAAAGTCTTTTAAATATAGTCTTTATCCCCTGTTTTAAATATGGGTGTTTTACGTTTTATTCTTTCTTTTTTTTTAATTCTCAAAATACTCTGGCGATCTACTGCAAACCTTTCATGTTATTCTGCATAATAATTAAAGAGAATATTACAATCATAATGGTCCTAAGATAGGAGTAACAGATGGAGAGTAGTGATAAGCAGGTAGAAACTTTATTAACTTGTGTTTTATTTTGTTTTTTAAAGAAATGGGATCTCACTATGTTGACCAGGCTGGTTTCAAGCTCCTGGCCTCAAAGCAATCCCTCTATCTTGGCCTCCCAAAGTGCTGGAATTACAGGTGTGGGCCACCACCCCTGATCCATTAACTTGTTTTGAACTACTGCCTATTTATACTATTCTACAAATGTATGATCTTAGCATTGTTGACTAAACTTGAAAGTGGAGGCGAACTGTAGATACTTAAAGCTAAGCTAGTACTTTTAAGAGAATTGTAATTGATTGCTTCCTATTTTCTAGATGAGAAAGTTGAGGGTCGGAGAGATTAACTGGATTGGCCAAAGACCTATATATAGCAAGCTAATTACAGTGCTAAGATGAAGGCCACATAGTCAGGCAGCTAAAATCCACATTTCCTTTCTTAGGTTTTTGATTTTTTTTTTCTTTAAATAGGAAGATCAGAGAGCCTAGGGAGGCATTATTAATATAAGTTCTGCATTTCTTAACTTTGGAATTTGCTTTTCTGTGAGGTTGTCTTTTGTGACGTTACCGTAGATCTCTGGAGGGAAGAAATGAAAAGAAGTTTTACCCAGTAGAATGAACTATACTTGCCATTTAACTTAGAAGTATATTGAGTCAAGTCAGGGTGTACTGAATTTGAAACCAAGAGATTGTCTACTATTGAATAATATATCAGCTTATGCAATTTATATTGAGGAGTTTTCGGTGATTCTTCACGTTCTCCAAGTGTCAAGGTAAATCAGTATCTTTACATGGAAACCTTTCTTTTCCTTTCCTTTGAAAGGGGGAAAAGTTAAGCTTATTTGAGATTACTTGAAATGTCAACGGTAGATTCTCTTATGTATTCCAAACAGCTTTTTCAGGCAAGTGGTTATTCTACAGTTTTCCTACTTGTCAAAGCAGAGATTGTTTATAATTTATTTGACAATCTCCCTTTATTTCAAAGGAAGGAGAATGAATCCAGATTGCTCTGCCTTTTCTGAAGTAAGTGTTCAGAATCTTGACTGGAAGCCAAACATGTACAGTCATATGTTGCTTAGCAGAGAGGATATGTTCTAAAAAATGTGTCATTAGGTGATTTTGTTGTTGTGTGAACATCATAGAGTATACTTACACAAGCCTAGATGGTATATAGTCTACTACACACCTAGGCTATATGGTATAGCCTATTGCTACTAGGCTGCAAACCTGTACAGTATGTTGCTGTACTTAATACTGTAGGCAGTTATAACATACTGGTAAGTATTTGTATATCTAAATGTAGAAAAGGTAATGTGTTGCACTACAATACAAAGCCTATGACTTCACTAGATAATACAGTGGGACCACCATTATATATGTGGTCCATCGTTAACTAAAACATTATTATGCAGTGCATGACTATTCCTTTCATCTATGGCTACTGCTGAGTTTTGGGTGGTAGAACTGACCTCCTGTGGGGGGTGTGGTTTCTGATCCAGAGGATCAGCATAGTGATCCAGTACCCAGAAAGGATTATAGAACCAGAAAATGTTGGCAATGAGCAAATGAGTATTTCTTGAACAAATGTCAGAAATCAAAGAGTCCTTAGAGATAGTGTTAGTCATTCTTTACTCAGTGAATGTTTACTTATTGTCTACTACCTGTCTGGCACTGTTATAGAGGTACAGTATGACAGACAAAATTCTTGCCCTTGAACTTACAATCTAGTTGAGGTGGGTTGTGGGGAGGCGGAGATAGACAACATATCATGGACGGTGAGGAGGAAGAGATTGTTCAAAGGTATAGGGGATGAGCATTACTAGTATAAGAACTGCAAAAACAAAATTCTTGAGGCGGGAAGAGGCTTTAAAAAAAGCCAGGGTAGCTGGAACTTAGAGGATGGAAGGGAATTTGGGTGGGAACTAGAGAAAGGAGAGAAATGAGGTTAGAGAGGTAATGTGAGGTTACATTATGTAGGGCCTTACAGGCAGCAGTAAAGAATCAAGATTTTAATTCTGATCATTTTTGTTACTGTGTGGAGTGTCTGTTTTGGGGCAGGGGGTGGAGTAGATGGAAAGTGCAGAATGGAGACTGTCAGGAGGCTGTTGCATTGGTCCATTGTGGTGGTAATGTAGATTTAGATCGTGTTTTAGTGGAAATGGTGGAATATGGTAAATGTTAAGACATGTTTCGGAGGTTGAGTTGTCAGGACTTATTAATGTATTGGATAGGGTATGTGATGGAAGGAGATAGATTAGGAGTCATTCCTAGATTTTTGGCTTGGGCAATTGTATAGTGTGCCTTTAGCTGTGATGGGATGGGTAGGCGGTTGGGAAATTTGAGGAGGAACAGGTATGGGAGTGGAGATACATTAGTAATAAATACTTTTTTTTCTACGTTAAATACTGAGATGGCTTTTAAAAACCCAATTGGAATTAAATAGTAGCTGGATATTAGAATCTAGTGCTCAGGGAAATGCTCTGAATTATAGATTAGGAAATCAGCACTACAGAGATGATATTTTAAAGCCATGGAATTAGATGGCTTCGCTTAATGAGAGAGCACAGGTGGAGAAGAGAAGAGATTTTAGGAATACTTCGGAATGTAATAGAGGAGGAGGAGCTGAGAATGGATATTGAGAAGGCACATCAGTGAGAGGTTAAGAAACATGTTAGTATGGTATCATTGAAGTCTACTGGAGAGAGTGTTTAAAGAAGGAGAGAATATAAAACCATATCAAATGCTGCTATTAGGTGGAGTACAATGAATACTTTAGTAAGGCAAAGAAGTGAGGAAGTGGAAGGGAGTTTTGCTGGGAAGGGAAGAGGGATGTGTAGTTAAGGGCAGGATTTAAAAAGACATGTATAGGCTGTGCTTGGTGGCTCATGCCTGTAATCTCAGCACTTTGGGAGGCAAAGGTGTGAGGACTGTCCAAGGCCAGGAGTTCAAGATCAACCTGGCCAACATATTGAGACTTCATCTTTTATTAAAAAAATAAAAACAATTATATTTAAATAAAAGTTATGTTTATATACACATGAGAATCATCTAGTAAAGAGGGAGAAATATATGTTACCAAGGAGGGATAAATGGGAAAACTTGCAGGAATAAAATTCTTGAGACAGCAAGAGGGACTGAATTGTAGATACGAGCTTGGAACACTTATTTTATCGTTACTGGTGGGTGGAGAGTAGGAGCTACAAATGTAAAGTAGACTGGTTGATTTTAATGAGGGAAGAGGAGGTAGTTCTTTGTGCCTGTTTTTTTCTGTAAAGTATATAGTCAGATCAGCAGCTGAGGCTGAAGGTATGAACATTTGAGGAGAGGACAAGGTAAGGTTCCCACACATAAGTACTTTAGAATACAAAGTGATTTTTCTGGGATGTGAGATGGGGGAATGGTTGTAGTAGAATTATCTAGCGATATTGACTGCCTAATTTAGATTTGTAGTTACATGGCTACCCTGAGTCTAGCCAGCACAGCTGTGTGTTTTTTCTCTAGCTGTGTTCAATTTCTTGAATATGCTCATGGAGCAATTGGATAGTTGAATTTAACTAAAATTGAGCTTTTCTAGACTAGTTAAATTGAAAAAGAAAGATACAAGGGAGTTGTAATTCAGTCTTTTAATTTTATGATGAGAATTTTGTGACAAATACTGTCAGGCAGTCAAATATTTTGGAATGAATAAGAAAGCAAAAGTTTCGATTTTCCTTAAAAATACTCATTTAACAATAAGGCATGTTAATATACAGTTGGATTATTTTGTGGCTTATGTGCCCTAAATTTGCTTCTGGATTTATAATTTTGTTTTTCCTTCTTAGAAGTAACCATGGTATAATCTTCGTGCCATTTTTTTTTAAAGGTCTGTTTATGATGGTGAAGAACATGGACGTTTCATGGAGAAGCTTGAAACTCGTATCCGTAATCACGACCGAGAAATTGAGAAAATGTGCAACTTTCATTACCAGGGCTTTGTGGACTCTATAACTGAACTGCTGAAAGTGAGAGGAGAAGCCCAGAAACTCAAAGTAAGAAGGCTCTAAGAGATACTGTTTCTCCGTCCTGTGTTGGGGTTTTGATTAGGATTAAAGGATTAAGGATTATAACATAGAACACATATTTGTAGTGAAGATTTTTGTATAATTAGAAAGGAATTTATACTGAAACGTACATTCTTGAGAGTATGGCTTTTTAGCTAAAAACAATACCCACCCCCCCTTTTTTTTTTGAGGCGGAGTCTCGCTCTGTCGCCCAGGCTGGAGTGCAGTGGTGCGATCTCGGTTCACTGCAAGCTCCGCCTCCTGGGTTCACGCCATTCTCCTGCCTCAGCCTCCCGAATAGCTGGGACTACAGGCGCCCACCACCACGCCCGGCTAATTTTTTTTGTACTTTTAGTAGAGACGGGGTTTCACCGTGTTAGCCAGGATGGTCTCGATCTCCTGACCTCGTGATCTGCCCGCCTCGGCCTCCCAAGGTGCTGGGATTACAGGCGTGAGCCACCACGCCCAGCCAAGATTACCCTTTTAAAGTTATATTTTAATTGGGATAACTACATGTGGACCAGAACCAGTGATCAGTAGCTGGTTCTTTTAAACAGAAACTCAGTTTGACTCTTCATGTTTCTGTTTCCTTGCTGGATAAAAGCTATCATTGTAGAATGATAGAATTTCAAGGCATTGCTATAAAATTCTTTGTAGCATGCCACCTAGGCCAAAAGAAAAAAACCGTTGGTTGTTGTGGAGGGTCTTCTACCAAAGAATGAAGGTTATTTCCTGGTGTGGCTGATTAAGGTCCAGGAAGGAGGCTAGGCACATTTGTCTGGTCCCTGGCATAGCAAAGTCACTTATCTTAGATAACTCATTTTGCTTATTGATCTTAAATCTAACTACTTCAGTAAGCTCTTCTGTTATTTCTAATAATTTATATGTAATTTGAGTTTTCTATGTAAACACTCCTCATATGATCTGTAAGTAATAACAGTTTTATTTTCTTCTTTCAAGTCCTTATGCTTTTAATTCTTTTTTTCTTATTGAAATTTGAATTAGAATCCTAAAAGGATTTTCCTGGGCATGGGGTTAACTTGACAGTGAGTGTAAAATTCGTTTAAAAAATATATTGGTAAGGAAAGCAAAGAAACAGTTTTACTAAGGGGCAAAGTGGGCTGTCAGACATTATATTGTATTCTAAAGCTATAATAATTTAAAAACTCAATTGATTATAGATAGTTTCATGACCTAAATCACATGAAGCTATCAAATTTCTTATTTTATTTAGCATGAATTTTTGTGTTTTGCTGCAGAAATATTAGCATGTTTGATTATATGGTGCTATCCTAGTCCCCATTGGGTGGGGGTATTATGTAATATACAATATTTACCTTAATATCTTTAAAAAATTTCCAAAATGCTTAAGTTTAAACACATTAGGTCCTAAGGTTTTAAAAAAGAATTTATGGACCTGTACAACAGTATCCAGCCATCTTAAGAAATTATATTGCCATCATAATTAAATCTCTCAATAGTACCCCTCTCAGTTGCTTTCTCTACTCTAGAGGTAACAGTCTTTTGATTTATTGTTAATGTTCTTTAATGCTTAACTATTTTCATTTAAAGTAAGTTAGGTCTTTTCCTTATTCAACATATTGAAATTAATTTCAGAGGAACTAAAGAGTTAAATGTAAAAAATAAAACCATGAAAGAACTAGTAGAAAATATAGGTGAATATTTATATTATTTTGAGACATTTCTAAACAAAATTTCTAAACCAGAAAGAAAAAATTGAGAGATGTAACAACATTAAAAGGAAAGAACCTATTCTACCTACAAATTAAAACTTAAAAGGCAAATAATAAAAAATACTTACAAACACATATGGCAAATTGTTGATATCCTTATATATGAAGATTCTTGGTAAATCAATAGGAAAAATGTGAACATTCTAATAGAAAAATGAGAAATACACAATAACGTACAGTTTACATAAGAAGAAATACAAAGGAGCTCTACAATTTGGAAAAAAATTAAAGGAATGCAAATTTAAACAATAAGGTGTCAATACTTAAAACCCCACGTAATTTTAGGATTTATTCTAAGGCTGTAAGTGCATGTACAAGGATGTTCATATGATGTTTTCTTTTAATAGGTAAAACTTGAAAGTGTTCCTAACATCACTTAATAGAGGATTACTAAAAGAAATTGTGGTGCATCTATTTGAAATAATAATAAACTACAGTACAGAGGATATTTGACATGGGAAAGTATTAGAGATGTTTGCTTAATGTATAAAGCTGATTAAAATGTATGAACAGTATGACTATTTTTATAAACTAAATGCACATACTTTACATGTAAATAAATAAGCATTAAAGAAGATTAGAAGACTATATACCAAAATGTTATCAATAATCCCTTGATAATAAATAATTTTAATGTTTTCATTCTTGTGCCTTATGCCTCAGCCTCCCAGGTAGCTAGGACTACAGGTGTGTACCACCATGTCTGGCCAATTTTTGTATTTTTAGTAGAGATGGGGTTTCGCCATATTGGCCAGGCTGGTCTTGAACTCCTGTCCTCAAGTGATCTGACCGTCTCAGCCTCCCAAAGTGTTGCTATTACACACATGAACCACCATGCCTGACCATATTAAAGAATCTCAATAGTGCGTCTTTCTATGTATTGGTCTATACATTTGTAATCCTTAAATTTTGTGGGCTGATGAGCCTCAGCTGGACAAAAGTATCTGAAATGCTTTTCTTTGTATTTTAAGTTTCCTGCAGTTTCAACTGACGATTTTGAATGTTCATCAGAAAACTCAGTTTTGAAGTGTACACATTAATACAAAATTTTCATTCAATATGGGAAAATGATAAGTTGAAATCCATGTTAAAAAATGAGGAAGACTAAAACTAAGGAGATGGTGAAGAAGGGGCAGACTGCAGAGATGCTTATGAGATATGGTATCTCATATATCTGGAATAGAGCCCATGACTCTTAGGTTTCTGGTTTGGGTGACTCAGTAGTTGGTAGTTCTAGTCACTCATATGGGGAATGAAATGGAGAGGGCCAGAATCTCATGAATAGTTTGAATCTTCTCTCTAAAAAATGTATACATGCATGAGAACATGAGAGTGTAAATTGAGAACAATTTCTGATGACTTCATAGAGAAACCCATAGAGTGAGTCCTCTAGGGCATGCTTCCCAACCCTTTTCTTGTCACAGCACACATAGAAAGTCATATTTGAATGGCAGGCACCTAAGAATAAGCTAGAGTGTTTTTGGGGGAACATGAGACTTGTTTTAAAAAAATCTTTACATTTTCTTTATGTATTATAATAAGAAAAATAAAATACAGAGTATTAGGATATATTACAAATATATAGAAATGTTCTAAACATATAGAACTGTTCTAAACATTCTAAAATGTTTCATCATTTTAAAATGAGAAACTTGAACTTGCTACCGTAAAATAACTTTTTTTTTTGAGACAGAGTCTTGCTCTGTTGCCTAGGCTAGAGTGCAGCAGCGTGATCTTGGTTCACTGCAACCTGTGCTTCCCAGGTTCAAGCGATTATCCTTCCTCAGCCTCCCAAATAGCTGGAATTACAGGTGCACCACCATGCCTGGCTAATTTTTGTATTTTTGGTAGAGATGGGGTTTCACCATGTTGACTAGGCTGGTCTGGAACTCCTCAGCCTGGGAGTTCCGCCCACCTCATCCTCTCAAAGTGCTGGGATTACAGGTCTGAGCCACTGCACTCAGCCTGAAATAACTTTTTAAATATTTAGTTTTCTGCTTAAAATGACTATATGCTATGCAAATGTAATCAAGACTTTAAAAATGATAACCTGTTTGAATTTCTCATAGACACTATTCAAGAGAACCTTTTCTCATAAGTAGGTGATACAAAACATTGAATTATTTCTACATCTATTAAAAAAGTGAACCATCTGAAAGTATATTAAAGAACTTTTTTTTTTTTAATTTTTTTTGAGGCAGAGTCTCACTCTGTTGCCCAGGCTGGAGCTCAGTGGCACAATCTTGGCTCACTGCAATGTCTGCCTCCTGGGTTCAAGCGATTCTTGTGCCTCATGCCTCAGCCTCTCAAGTAGCTAGGACTACAGGCATGTACCATCATGCCTGGCCAATTTTTGTATTTTTAGTAGAGAGGAGGTTTTGCCGTGTTGGCCAGGCTGGTCTTGAACTCCTGTCCTCAAGTGATCTGACCGTCTCAGCCTCCCAAAGTGTTGGTATCACAGGCATGAACCACCATGCCTGGCCATATTAAAGAATCTTAGTAGTGCGTCTTTCTATTTATTGGTCCATACATTTGTAATCCTTAAATTTTGTGCGCTGATCAGCCTTAGCTGGACAAAAGTATCTGAAATGCGTGAAAACAGAGATAGGGGGTTTCCTGCCAGGACCTGTGAATGCTATTTGTCCTCACCTAGCCATCCCATCTTCTATACTCATCTTGGGCTGTTCTTTTCTATGCTTCTTAGACACCTCTATCCCACACTTCTCCCATAGCTCCTTGGTGCCCTGGTCCATGATAGTCAGCACAATGTTTTGTCTCTGGTTATCGAAGTAGTCGTGTGGTAGAATACCTCCTTGGCAGGGTAGTACTGAATATAGCTCATAATGCTCCTGAATTGCTGATATCACTTGTTGGTTGGTACTCATCTTCTTTTCCTCTTACTTCCCTTGCCTTCCATCAAATTTCTTCAAGTTGCAAATTCCTTCAACTTGCTGAGGATGCCCCAGCAGGAATACTTGAACTGGAGGCTACTGGTTTAGGGTTTTAGTCTGTTTCAGGCTCCACCCAGTTACTTTGAGGGCAGAGGGGATTAATGTCTAGCAGGACACCTGGGAGACTCTGCTCTAAGGGGATTCATTTGACCTAGGTTCAATGAATGAAAAAAAGTTTCCTGAACTCTAGAAATAGTTTAGACAATGTAAAAAGTATTACAACTGTCAATGCTATTTCAACATACCAATGAAAAGAAATCGTACTCTAAGATGCCCATTATTTCTTTTGATTCTCAGTGTATACATACACACACTTATCTTCTTTGAAATAAATGAAGTAGCATCCTAGACAGCTGGTATAGTTTCTTTTTATTGTTTTGTTTTTTTTTTTTTAATTTTTTGAGACAGAGTGTTGCTCCGTCAACCCAGTCTGGAGTGCAGTGGTGTGATCTCGGCTCACTGCAAACTTTGCCTCCCAAGTTCAAGTGATTCTCCTCAGCCTCAGCCTTCTAAGTAGCTGGGACTACAGGTGCATGCCACTACGCCCAGCTAATTTTTGTATTTTTGTAGAGAGGGGGTTTCACCATGTTGGCCAGGCTGGTCTTGAACTCCTGGTCTCAAATGATCTGCTGCCTCAGCCTCCCAGAATGCTGGGATTACAGGTGTGAGCCACTGCGCCTGGCCTTTTTTTATTGTTACGCATTGAAATAGTTATTGAATGGTATTGACACAGTTATTATCTTTATTTTTTTGAGATGGAGTTTCGCTCTTTTGCCCAGGCTAGAGTGAAGTGGCACGATCTTGGCTCACTGCAATCTCCACCCCTGCAACCCACGTCCCCCCACCCGGTTCAAGCGATTTTCCTGCCTCAGCCTCCCAAGTAGCTGGGATTCTAGGCATGCACCACCATGCCCAGCTAATTTTTGTATTTTTAGTAGAGACTGGGTTTCACCATGTTGGCCAGGCTGGTCTCAAACTCCTGACCTCAGGTTGATCCACCTGACAAGGACTCCCAAAGTGCTAGGCTTACAGGTGTGAGCCACTGCACCTAGCCCACAGTTATTATCTTTCTTACTGGAAGCATTCATTAGGTTCCTAGGGATATGTTTTACGTCCATGGTTTGCATGAAATTAATTTAGTGTGCCTTGATCAGTATTTTTGACAAAAACTGAAATTAAATATAATCGAATTGAATAGAAAACAAGAGAGTGCATTACATGTACTAAGGATAAACATTGTTTCTTGAAAATTGTGTGTGTGTTCCCTATACTTGTGTACTGAGTTGCAATGGAAAATGTATTTTTTACAGTGAGTTTAAGGTGAAAAAAAGTGAGAAATGGTGCCTTCATAAGGCAAACAAGGCTACTCTAGTAGATAATGTTGCTGAATTTAGGAGTATTATGGAGGGTTGTATTTTAGGAGACCTCCAGTTTAGGATAAAAAATATCTAATTTATTATTGAATAACTACTGTAATGGGGATAGCATTATCACCCAAGGAAGCCCGTATGATTTTTATTCACATTGCTTGAACACTTTTTCTTATATTGAGCTGAATACTGTTTTCTAGTAACAAACATTGGTTTGAGTAATAAGCTCCATTTTTACGGAGCCACTTTACTTCTGATAGCTCTTCAGATATTTGAAGGGCAGCCATTGTTTAAGTTTGGTTTATAGTATATAGGGTCCAGGTATGGGGTATAGTGTCTCCAAGTGAATATTTTTCCCCTTTCTTGGCTAAAAATGGCTTCATCTGTTTTTCCTGTGGTTAGCTTTGACTCCCTCTGCAAATGTGTTCACTTCTAACCATGCTTCAGCTTGTAAAGCCTTCTTAAAATGTGGCATCCAATTGTAAATTTCATAGTGTGGTATTACTACCTTACCATCACGTTTATTCTAGACCAGGGGTTAGCAAACTCTGTCTCTTAGGCCAAATCCAGCTTGCCTCCTGTTTGTGTAAATAAAGTTTTATCGGAACACAGCCATGACCTTTCATTTACCTTTATTTTCTTTATGGCTGCATTCCTGCTACAGAGGTAGAGTTGAATAGTTACAACAGAGATTGTATGGCTTGCAAAGCCTAAAATATTTACCATCTAGCCCTTTATGGAAACAGATTGCTGACCCCCTTTTAGACAATGCTTCCATTAACATTGTCTTAGATGTGCATTTTGGACGGCTTTATCACTCTTAATTTGTATTGAGCTCAGTGCAATAAAACCACAAAGTGTTTCACATGTGGTGCCATTAATTAAATAATAAAGAGGGAATTTGCTGATTTCTTGCCTCCCTTTCTGGTACTTTAAAGAGGCTTCCTGGAGGAGTTCAGATTTCATTTTGGCTTTGGATGGAGGTGCATATGGTAATCTGCTTTGAATGATAGTCCAGGTATAGTGTATCGTTCAGAGCAGTGATTTCAAAAGTGTATTCTTTTAAAAAACTAGCTCCTTGAGAAGATCTTCAGTTAAAGGGTATTACGTTAGATAAATTTGGAAAACATCCTATATGATATCCCTTTCTTGGGCATTTACAGTGCATATCATATCGTGTGTATTTGTGTGTGTGTTTATGTCTGTGAGACTGTGTGTGCTCGCATGTGCATGGCTGTGTGCATGTGCAGAGTACCTGCTAAGTAACACTTCTTGATGTCCTAAGGGACATAATAGGAAATGCTAGGTTAGGGGATGCACTAAAAGTATAAGGAGTAGCAATTACTGGTGGAAGGCTAGAAAGCGTTTATTAAACAACATTTTAGAAGTTAGTATTGCTTATGTTTTGATATCACAGATGATGAGGAAATTACTATCCTATATAATTAATTTTTTCCATCATTGAAATGTCAAGAGTGAATATCAAAAAAAGTAGATGCCATTTCCTTTATATAATGAACTCTGGATCATTTAAGGGCTTATTCACAAATTTTTGACTATCTGATGGAGAGATTATATTGGAAAAATGGAAGTATGGAAGTGTTAGGAGCTGTTAAGAATTAATGATCCAAAAAGAATTAAGGTAAAGCATTTTCTAAAAATAAGATAATAAGCAAACAGGGAAACTTTGACTTGAGTTAACAAGTTCAGTGTATACCCAACTTTTCTAGGAATACATTGGTGAAATGAGGAATATCTGTATAAAATTTGTACTTTCTATTTTATTTTTCTCTCCCCTTTTTCCTCTTGTCTCCCCAAAGTTAAAGTGCGATCTTTAGTTATTATGGTAGCTTAGTTTAGAACTGTTCTAAACTCACCATATTTGTTAGCAAATTTTTCTTTTCAAAAGGTCATGCAAACATCCAGTAGAAAAGTTGACATAATTTAAACCCAAGAGAATGCCACTGGACCAATATGTAGTGGAGTACTGAAAATATTTAACTGCCTATTCCTAATCTTTTCATATTAAATTTAGATCTTTTTCAACTATTGTCTAAATGTTTGTTTTTTATGAGTTTAAATTGTCTTCTCTCCACAGAATCAAGTGACGGATACTAATAGAAAACTACAACATGAGGGAAAGGAAGTAAGACCAGTTTACCTTTTGAAGAAATCTTTTCTGTTTCATGCCACTCTCTTTTAATGACTATGTTATTCATTTAGTGGTTAAGACTGTAAGTAGTATGTTGGAAGTACTTGGACATTATTGTTGCTTTTCCTAATGTTTATCTGAATTAAATGAACATAGTCACTGGGAAGTCTAAGGAGACAGGATACAGGCTTCTTAGTTGTGCTTTTAAATCATCGACTTGTCATAATACAGTAATGCTCTTCCTCTGCCTGATATGTTATTTCCTCAATATTCACCTTCTTCAAATCTTTGCTCAAATGTTGCCTTCTTAATGAGGCCTTTCCTAACCACCTTATTTGAAATTGTAGTCTCACTCTCACCCGTGCATTCTTTTGATCCTTTCCCACTTTTTCTTCATTGTGCCTGTCATGCTCTGATATTATATTTAACATATTTTTTACTTATATTTTTTTTTGTATGTCATTCTCCATTGGAAATTAAACTCCATGAGATTAGGAATTTTTGTTTGCTTTATTCATTGCTGTATCCCCTCCATCTACCTAAATAGTGACTGGCACAGTGTGGATGCTCAACAAATATTTATTTAAAAGATTAATCAACCAGGCACAGTGGCTGAGATTATACGCTCTAATCCCAGTGCTTTGGGAGGATGAGGTGGGAGGATCACTTGAGGCCAGGAGTTTGAGACCAGCTTGGGCAACATAGTGAGACCCCATCTCTACCTGCCCCCCAAAACAAAAAAAACAACCATAACCAGGCGTGGAGGTGCATGTCTATAGTCCCAGCTACTTGGGAGACTGAGGTGGGAGGATCTCTTAAGCCCAGGAGTTTGAGGTTGCATTGAGGCATGATTGCGCCACTGCACTCTCAGCCTGGGTGACAAAGGGAGACCCCATCTCTATCCCCCCACCATAAAAAAAATCATTGATTCTATTGATTGACATATTTACCATTTAAACCATCACAGTTTACAATATTTTTATATCTATTTGCTCATTTGATCCTCATGGCCGACAAAATCAGGACAGGTATTATCACTGTTTTATTGATGAGGAAACTAAAACAAATGATTTGCTGTATTTTACATAGTTATTGGCAAGGCTGGGACTAAAACCCAGGTTTTCTGACTTGTAGTACATGACTGTTCTCTGTTATCATGCTTCTTTCTTATCACCTAATACTTTTTTGATGTTTAATTTTAATAACCTTTAAGATTAGCTTTTGATTGTTTTATCAGTGACTTAGGACCATTCTCTTGTTCTTTTCTGCATGGTATCTAAGCAGATAATAACATTTTTAGGTATGGGTATAGGATGAATGCTGCAAGTAGATGTGTAGATTATTACTTTTTGAAGAAGTTTGTCTCACATTCTAAATTCTGTGGAGTACAATTTCTTCTAGTTATATTATGGTATGACTTCTGATAGAAGCCCTTAAAACTGGGGCTAGGGGAATAAAAGTGAATTACTTTTCAACAAACTGTAACTTTTAGAAAGGCCACATCTTTTAAGTGTGTGGGTTTATTTGTTGAAATAGAGATTTAGTTGAAGATAGTTTTTTTCTCCTGGATAACCCTTGTATTTTAGGACTTCATTTTACCTAGCCCTTCCTAGTATTGTATGTATCTTGGGGAGAAAGCGGGAAACTGTGCAGGAATGTTTTACTGGTTAGGAAAGGCAGTTCCTTAGTTCACTTGGCAGGTCTTACTATGAAACTGTCTGGGATTTTCTGATGAATTGAACACAGTGTGGAAAAATGTGACTGAAAGCTTTTTATTTACAGCCATAGGCATAATTCAGTCTTTTTCCCTCTTGCCAAGCTGGTAATAGCAATGGAAGAGCTGAAGCAGTGTCGACTACAACAGAGAAATATTTCTGCCACTGTTGATAAATTAATGCTGTGTCTTCCAGGTGAGGAACTGGAAATGGAGAAGGATTCTTGGTGTAATTTTTTTTTTGCTTTAATTAGGCTTTCTCTAAATCATGTTTGTGTATTCTTTTCTTTCTTTTAAGTCCTAGAGATGTACAGCAAACTGAGGGACCAGATGAAAACTAAAAGGTAAGATTTTTTTTTAATCGAACAGTTTTTACTATCTAAAATTTCTGTTGTTTAGAATACGTTTAGGTCCATATTTAGCATAACTTTTCAAAAAATTAAGTTTCTAACATCTTAACCTTTTGTATATTTATTGATTCATTCTAGATTTATTTATATATATTAGTGGTATGCTAATGTGTTCTGTCATGTATTATGTTTAATAAATAATACTTACAGTTAGATTTTTAAAAGACCCAGTCTTTTAGGGAAAAGCATATACCTATTTTAGTGATAGTTGGTTTGAGATATGTTTTGATTCATTTAATAGTGTCCTTGAAGAAAATAGTACTGGTTTTGGTGCAAGAGTACATTAACTGGGGTTCTTAAGAAAAACAGAACCAATAGCGTGTGTGTGTGTGTGTGTGTGTGTGTGTGTGTGTGTGTGTGTCTCTGTCTGTTTACCTACTGGAGAGGGAAGTACTTATTTTAAGGAATTGGCTCACATGATTGTGGAGTATAGCAAGTATAGCAAAAGCTGCAGTGTAGTCCAGCAAGCTAGAGTCCAGTGAAGAGTTAAGATAATAGCTTGAGTCCAAAGGGACTCTTCTGTAGAATTCCCTCTTCCTTGGGCACAGTCAGCCTTTTTCCTATTAAGGTTTTCACCTGTGGTGGAATGAGGCCTACTCACATTATGGAGGGTAATCATCTTTACTCATAGTCTACTGACTTAAATGTTAATCTCATCTAAAAAATACCATCACAGAAACATCTAGAATAATGTTTGACCAAATATCTGGCTCCTCTGGTCAGCCAAGTTGCCACATAAAATTAACTATTGTAAAGGGGAAGGGTGAGGTTAAATTCAGAGGATTTCTCTTCTGTATGTTGTTTTCTTCTAAAGGAAAATCTACAGTGACTCTATAGTTCTGCTCCCCAAACTAGAATAAGCATCTCCAACCTCTCTGCCCTGAGATGCCCTGTAGTATGATGGGGATATATGAAGCTATAGGATAATCAAAGCATATCTTCCTGGAATGTTAATTTTACCTAGGTTTTGAGGGAAAAAGTATACAATTAAAATATATTTAATATTGAGATAAGAATATAAATATGGATAAAAATTCAAAATTCTCAAGAATTGTGAAGCTGAATCATTAGACATTAAAATAGTAGGACATGCTCTCATAAGAGAACATGGATAGAACACTATGAGAAGTTCTGTCTGAGATATGAAGGTACTATTAGTTCCCTAATATCCTTTTAGTAAAGTTCTAAAATTATAGAGAATTTAAAATCACCCATGAGCCAGGTTCAGTGGCTCACACCTGTAATCCCAGCACTTTGGGAGGCTGAGGCGGGTGGATCACTCGAGGCCAGAAGTTCAAGACCTGCCTGGCCAACATGGAGAAACCCCATCTCTACTAAAAAACAAAAAAAGGAGCTGGGCATGGTGGTACACACCTGTAATCCCAGGTACTTGGGAGGCCAAGGCATGAGAATTGGCTCACATGATAGCTCGAATTTGGGAGGCAGAGGTTGTGATGAGCCAAGATTGCACCACTGAGCTCCAGCCTGGGTGACAGAGTGAATCTGTCTCAAAAAAAAAAAAAAAAAATCACCTGTGTACCAACTTCTCAGAATTAACAGATATTAACAATTTTCTAGTTTTGATTCATATATGTGTAAAGAAAAAAAATATATAGTATATATATAAAACATATATATGGACAGAAAGAGGTATATATATACTTTAAAAAATTACAGTTAAAATTTATGTTCCTTTCTTTGGTCCTATTCCTTTCCTTACTCCCCTGAGGAAACCAGTATCATAAATTTATTGAATGTTCTTCTATTCTGTGCTTTTAATATTTATAAATCATATATTGTTTTGTTTTGTGTCTAAAAAAGTTTATGTAGATGATTCTCAGTCCTCATTTTGAGATCTGTGTATTCGCTCAACAAAGATGAATCGAGTACCTACTATGCGCTAGGCATTACTCTTGGTTCTGGGGATACAGCTGTGAATAAAATAGATAAAAATATCTACCCTCTGGGGCTTGCATACTAGTAGGCAGCTTATTTTCTTTATGTGTATAGATACAGTTTGCTCGTTTTAATCACTCCATGGTAGTCTATTATATGAATAGTTCACATTTCCCCTGCCAGTTCCAGTGATTATCATAAGTGCTGTTCACCAATATTTCTAGCTGCTTCCTTTGGTGCAAGGTAATATTATATTTCCTGGGTTCCCTGTGTATATTTCCTGGGTTCCCAGTTCCATGTGACTTTTTCTGGCTGATAAGATGTGAGCAGAAGTGATATGTATCACTTTTGGGCTTAGCATTTAATTTTGCTCCAGAGTTCTCTTATTTTCCCTTGTTCTTGAAAAATGGCAACTCCAAGATGCTGGTTGAGTCCCTGAGTCACTTCAGGGAGCATAGCATACCTGCCAACCCATTATGAGTATATAACATGAGTAAGTTTTAAATCTTTGTTTTAAGTCACTGAGAGTTTGGGAGTGGTTATTACTATAACTATCCTTACTGATACTATTAGGGACATTTGGTATGTTTCCAGTAGTTATGACAGACAGTGGTACAATGAATATCCTTGTTCTTGTCTCCTTGGACTCACATTCAAAATTTCTTGAGAGTGTTGTTTTTTAGATGTTGCTATGCATGGAAATGATATCATAGGGATTAGTTAAATATAGATTCTGATTGAATAGGTCTGGCTGGGATCATTTCTGAGATTCTGCATTTTCTGCCACGTTCCTAGGTGATGCCAATTCTGTTGGTCTAGGGTCTATATCTAGAAGGAGATCAGCTGGATCAAAGAAAGGGTTTACATTGTCTTTGATCTTATTGTTGTTCTCTATGGTGATTTCCCATTTATCCTACCATTGTTATTTTGTGGGAGGTCCTGTTATTCTACCTCTTGGTAACATCTATATTGTCAAACTTTTTGGTTTTTGCCAGTCTCTCGTGATTGTGAAATGATAGATCACTATTGTGATTTTTATTTTATTTTTATTAGATTATTAGTGAATTTAGGTTTTAGGCATGTGGGTTTTCTCTCATCTACTTCCTGACCACTTTTAGGTTGTTTATTGTTTTCTTTTTCATTTATAGGAATTATATACTTTGGATGCCTTTTCCTGTTATATATTGTCTTCCAATGCATGGCTTACCTATTAACATTATATAATTAGTAGTTTTTGTTGCGTAGAAGTTTTAAGTTTTGGTATAATCAAATTTATTTTGTGGGTTTCAAAAAATTTTAGTTTTAGACCTTCTTAAGTTCAGTATAAATAACGGTGTCTTTTTCTTGAACCAGTTGAAAGTAAGTTGCTAACATGACACACCGTCATCCCCAATTACTTTAATGTGGTTCCTACAGATAAAGACATTCTTCTATGCAACCACAGTGCGATAGAGAATGGACATTAGCTTTGAAATATTTCTAGCACTTAATCGGCATACCCAATTCAAGTTTTGCCAATTGTCTCAATCATGTTCTTTCTAGCAAAAGAATCCAGTTCAAATCACATGTTGCTTTTAGTTGTCATGTCTCTTTAGTCTTTTTCAGTCTGGAACTGTCTTCAGCCTTTCCTTGCCTTTCATGACTTTATTACTTTTGAAGATTACAGGCCAGTTATTCTGTAGAATGATCTTGCTTTCTTTAAAAATCTCTCATCTGGCCATCTCTGTTTTTAAATGAGACTATTTAGATCTTTTACATTTCATACAATTATCAACATACGGGTTTAAATCTACTGTCTTCTAATGTATTTTCCATTTATCCTACCTGTTCTTTGTTCCTTCTGTGTATTCTTATCTTTTTAAAAAATCAATTTCTATATTTCAGGTTGTTGTTTTATATTTAGTAATGCCCTATTATTTATACCTCTTTGTTTTACAATTTTTCCTTGGTATCCTCAGTGTATTGGTTACAGAACCCCTGGGATAGGGGACTAGGTGTAGACGCTTAAGTCCCTTATATAAAATGGCATGGTATTTGCGTACAACCTATACACATCCTCCGAAAACTTTCAGTCATCTCTAGATTACTTAGAATACCTAATACAATGTAAATGCTATGTAAGTAGTTGTTACACTGTTTGGTTTTATTTGTGTTTTTTAAAAAATATTTTTGATCAATATAGTTGATTGAATTCATAGATCTGGAACCTGCAAATATGAAGGGCTGACTGTATTTTATTTTTTTCCTGGTTCCTTCTATCTTTACAATGTATGACTTACAATGAGTCTTTAAATATTACACCAAATCACACACAATGCAAGATTCTTATAATGATATTCTTCCATTTTACCCTCCCTTATGTCATTGTTGTTATGTTATTATTGTTAAGTTATTATGTCATAAGACCTATGACAACAATATAGTGTAGTGCCACACATGTTCATTTTTGCTGTAACTTTTAAAGAAATTTAAAAATTAAAGAGAAAAACTCTCACATTTTACCCACATTATTTTAAATGTAGATCCAAGTTTGTATCTGGTATTATTTTTCCCTTTTGATTAAATGACAACCTTTAATATTTCTTGTTGGATCAGTCTGCTGGCTATGAATTCTCTCAGAAATACAGTATTTCTGAAAAAAGTATTTATTTCACCTTCAGTTTTTAAATTGAATTACAATTCATATATCATAACATTCATCATTTTTAAGTGTACAGTTGAATAGATTTTAGTACATTCACGTGGTTGTAACATCATCATCACTAGCTGATTCTAGGACATTTTCATTACCCCAAAAAGGGTACCCATTCCTCTTTCCTCGCTGCCCTGGCAACCACTAATCTACTTTCTGACCCCATAGATTTGCCTCTTCTGAACATCTCATATAAATGGAATCATACAATATGCAGCCTTTTGTGTCTGACTTTTTCCACTTAGCATAATGGAAGGTTTTCAAAATTCATTCATGTTGTAGCATGTATCACTGTTTCATTCCTTTTTATGGCTGAATACTCTCTCATTGTATATATACTGCTTTAGTTACCTTTTCATCAGTTGATGGACATTTAGGTTATTATCACTTTTTAACTATTACGAATAATGCTGCTACAAATGTTCATTTACAAGCTTTTGTGTGAGCATATGCTTTCAGTTTTCTTGCAAATATACTTAGGAGTAGAATTTCTGGGTCGCATGGTAAACATTTGGTGCACTTTGTCTCTCTGTATGTTTTACCATTTTGAGGAACTGTTAGATTCTTTTCCAAAGCACCTGCACCTTTTTATCTTCCCAACAGCAGCATAGATGTTTCCAATTTCTGCATAGCCTAGCCAATACTTATTATTGTCTACCCAGGCCAGGTGTGGTGGCTTACGCCTGTAATCCCAGCACTTTGGGAGGCCGAGGTGGGCAGATTGCTTGAGCCCAGGAGTTTGAGACCAGCCTGGCTAACATGGTGAAACCCCATCCCTACTAAAGATACAAAAATGAGGCGGGTGTGGTGGTCTGTGTCTGTAACCCCAGCTCCTCAGAGGGGCTGAGGCATCAGGATTGCTTGAACCAGGGAGGCGGAGGTTGCAGTGAGCCGAGATGGCGCACTGCACTCCAGCCTGGGCGACAGAGTGAGAGTCTGTTTAAAAAAAAAAAATCCTTATTATTTGACTTTAATGTAGCCATCCTGGTGGGTGTGAAATAGTATCTCATTGTTTACCTTCATTTAAAAAAAATCCTTGATGGATATAGAATTTGAGGTTTATAGTTTCATTAGTTTATAAGACATGATGATTTCATTGTCTTCTGGCTTCTGAGAGATGTATAAGTAGCCTTACCTTTGTCTCCCTGTAAGTAGTATGTCTTTTCTCTAGCTGCTTTAAAACTTTTGTCTTTATCATTTGTTTTCAGGCAGTTTGATTTTGTGCACTTTGGTGTAAATATGTGCACACATGTGTGTATTTATCCTGCTTGTGGTTTGTTTAGCTTCTTGGATCTGTGGGTTTACAATATTCATAAAATCTGGAAAATGTTGACCTGATTTCTACAAACTCTTTTTTTGTCCTTTTCCCATCACCATTTTGGGACTTTAGTTATATTAATATTTATGTTGGACAGCTTGATTAACCCCACAGGTGACTTGAAGATCTTTTCTCCCCACCCCCTCAGCCCTCTCTGTGCTTTATTTGAGATAGATTTTATGGCTGTGTTCGAGCACATTGATCTCTCTCATTTGCATTGTGTAATGTTTTAGTCCCTTTCAGTGACATTTTCATTGCAGATAATATATTTTTCATGTATAGAAGTTACATTTAGCTTTTTATGTTTTATTTCTTTTATTATTTGTTTTTCTTTACATACATGTACATTGTTCTAATTGCTGTTTTTATGTACTCCTTTGCGAATTCTGCCACTTCTGGTATTTTTTTAGATCTTTCTGCAGATTGATTTTGTTTTTCCTGGTTGTAGGTCAGTTCTTTGCTTCTTTTCATGTCCAGAAATTTTTGATTGATTAATGAACATTATGTTGATGAGTCTCTGGATTTTGGGGTGCTTTTTTTTTCCTTTAGAGAGTGTTGGGCTTTGTTTTAGCGAATGGTGAGTTGATTGCAGATCAGTTTGTTACCTTCAAACCCAATTTTTAAGCTCTGCTTAAAGGCCCACCTTTATTCCAGGGAAGTTCAGCTTTACTAAGTAAGACTTGATCCGTCTATAATCTACTCTGAATAGCTCAGGAGTCCCCAACGACTCTTCATTTTGACTGTTCAGAGTTTGAATGTTTATCTGCCTTGTCTGAGATTGTGGAAGTGTTCATCTTACCTTCCCCTGGCTGGTCTCCCACTCTCTCCCTTCCTTCCTTCTTTTTACCTATCCATGTGGAATTTCACTTTCTCTATGCCTGTCCTAGTACTTAGCAGACTCAAGGGAACCCCTGTGTAAATTTCTGCAGTTCTTTTTCTGCATTGCTCTTTTTTTGGGGAACTCTGCCACACAACTTCAAGCTGAATCAACTTTCCTGAGCTACTATCACTGATTCTTTAAGTCAGCAAGGCTGCTGAGCTCTGTTTTGATTTTTTCTGGCTGTGCCCATGACCTAGAAGTCAACTTTAGGTAGATAATCCTGGTAATTATTAAACTCACCTTGTTTGTTTCTCTTTTTACAGAGATAGCAGTTCTATGTTGCCTGATGTCCAATGTCTGAAAATGGCTGTTTCATATATTTTTGCCAATATTCTACTTGTTTATAAAGTGAGAGATCATGTCTGTTCCTTGTTAGGCTTTCGTAGCTAGAAGTCTTTTTTTTTTTTTTTTTTAAGCTATAAATACTGATTTTTCTACTGCATTTTGTGCTCCCTAGGGAAAGACATCTGAACATCTTTCTATCTCTAGCGCACAGAAGAAATTACGTATTTGTTAATGATGCTCTTTGATTAGGAATGACACTAATATTTTTCTGTGATGAAAGTTTTTATTTCATATTTTATCATACTCTGAATTTTAAAAAATTTCTTATAGATAGTTGCAATTTGCTTTCAAGGATCACTTCCTAGAATTTTAGAAACCATCACTGTGAAAGAATTCCATGGTATGGCAAGAAAGTACCAAAATTTAATTTGCTTGGAATCAATATTCTTCTTCTTGCTTTAGCATTCAACCATGTCTGTTATTCTGATCATGGTTACTCAGTTTGTAGGATTATTTAGAACCTCTTTCCCTGCCTTCCTCCCTTTTATTCTCTGCTTTTATTTTCTTTACTTTAGTTCTGATTGCATCTCTGTTAAGGAGCCTGCATGAGAAGAGGGGAGAGAGTGACCACACATACAAGTGAAACTTAGGAATTTGCCTTTTGATTCAGTTTTAATAATGTTTGGAGATTGTCAAAAGTACATCAAAATCTAATTTTGGATTTCCGTGGTCACTGGACATATTTTTTTTCTTTTGGTGCCTGCTATACAGGTGTTAGTTGGCTATCATTCTTTAACCTGTCACGGATATTGAAATAGACTAGACATTTGAATATTACTGATTTGTTATAGTTAAAATGTGACTATACTGGGAAGGGAAAATGGGGAAATAGGGTGACATTCTTTGTTGCCAGGAATCACTGGGTTTTGTACTAATTAGCCTTGAAAAATGTGGAGCTATTTGACAGACCAGATGTTTTCAGCATGAGCCATGTGTCTCATCAGTGAATGTGCCTTGCGTCTGCAGACAACATTGTTGAATTTTCCTCATTCTATAAACAATGTTCCAAAATATAACTAAACCCCAAAGTGTGTTTATCTTTTTGGCTTAATTTTTGGCTTTCTATCCGTTCTAAAGTTTCTCTCTAGAGGAATTGCATTTTATTGCACATAGCTCTTCATACCTAATTGTAGTATAAACACCATTCTGTTTACACTAAACCATGTGAATTGTATTGTTTTTGAGCCTGTAAAATTTTAATAAGAGCAATGATTTCAGATTTAACTATATTTGTACTTTTATTTCTAAATTTAGGGGGAATAAAACTTTCTTCCCTCCATTTACTTAAACAAAGACTTTGATTTTTGGAACACATGAGGGAAAACATTAAAACAAAACAAAACAAAACAAAAAAACCAAGTAAAACCAGTCTCTAGTCTTTAGCATTTGTGGTACTAAATTCATTAGAGCAAGAAGAGTTTAAGTATCTGCTGTGAAAATCATTCTTAAAGTCCAAAATAGAGCTATAAGTCTTTTTTCTTTTTAAGGATGGAACTGAATTTTTCCTATACCAAATATATCATGGGAAACATGGAAATTAGGAAATTAAAAGTATGAAGGAGAAAATTATCTTGTAATATTGCCATCCAAAGGAAATTAGCTCGTAATATTGCCATCCAAAGGAAAAATATGCCTAACATTTTTGTATTTATTTTTCTCATTTTGCTCTCTACTTTTGTGTGTGTGTGTGTTTCCAGTGATATATATCTCATATATGCATACATGTTCATAATTTATATGTGTAAGTATTTATAATTTTGAAGAATATTATGATTATACTTGTAAGATCTTTTTTTTTTTTTTTTCAATTAGAGCACCATTCCTGGAGGTACTGCAATGCCAGGTTGATGCATGAAGTGGACTAAATAAGTTCCCATTTTATCTCCCTGCTGCAAAAATCCATTTAATAAATATTGTCCTCTGATAAGAGGATGTATCAGATATTAAACTGATAAGATATATCAGATATTAAATTTGATCTTAGCCAAAAGGCCAAGAGGCAATTAGATCTATTTTTTGAAATGATTTTCATTCAACAATATTGTAAACATTTTGCTATTTTATTAGCCTTTTACTACTTCTTATTAGACATCTAGGTTAGTTTTTTTATTTGCTAATATAAATAATTCTATAATTCAAGAGGCTTATACATACTGCTGTGCATCTTTTTTTTGTTTGGAAATGCAATTGCTTAAAATAGTTGTTTTGCTAAAATTCTTCATTGAAAACTTGTGTCATTAATAAAAACCTGTTTGTCAGCTGGCTGTGAATTCCATTATTGAAACCCCTGATGTATTACAAATTATTTTTTAAGAAATATTTGGCAATTTGATTTGCATTTTTTCACATATCAGTTAAACATTTTTTTTTTTTTTTCATATGTTGGCCCTTTTTGGTTCTTTTGTGAATTTTCTTTGTTCATTTTTTTTTTTTTTTTTTTTTTTTACAAAAACAACTCAAGTTTATTAACCTTTTTTCTTTGAGATGGCGTCTTACTCTATCACCCAGGCTGGAGTGCAGTGGTGTGATCTCAGCTCACTGCACCCTCCGTCTCCTAGGGTCAAGCAATTCTCCTGCTTCAGCCTCTTGAGTAGCTGGGATTATAGGCTCCCACCAACATGCCCGACTAATTTTTGTATTTTTAGTAGAGAAGAGGTTTCACCATGTTGCCTAGGCTTGTCTTGAACTCCTGACCGCAAGTGATCTGCCTGCCTCAGACTCCCAAAGTGCTGGAATTACAGGCATGAGCCACCACGCCTGGCCTATTAATCTTTTAGGTACACATTACAAATAAACGTTACCAGTTTTTCTCTTTATTCTTATGTTTTCTTTGCATAACTTATTTCGTTTCTACCTATTCAGCTTTATTAATCTTAATTTTATTTGTCCTTCTATGCTTATAGAAGCTTTCCTATTAGACAAATATCATCCCTTTTTTTTTTATGGAATGTCCCTCTGTGTTACTAGCAATATTTGTTGGCTTAAAGTCTTTTGTATCTCATATTAATACAGCCATTTCAGCTCTTTTGTGTTTCCTTTATTTTTTATTTTTATTTTTTGACGGGTCTCACTCTGTTACCCAGGCTAGAATGCAGTGGGCTGATCTCAGCTCACTGCAACCTCTGCCCACCCGGGTTTAAGTGATCCTCCCACCTCAGCTTCCCAAGTAGTTGGGACTACGGGTGCACGCCACCACACCTGGCTAATTTTTTTGTAATTTTTTTGGTAGAGATGAGGTTTTGCCTTGTTGCCCAGGCAGATCTCAAACTCCTGAGCTCAAGTGATCTGCCCACCTTGACCTCCCAAAGTGTTGGCATTATAGGTATGAGCCACTGTGCCCAGCCTTGTGGTTTCTTTTTTTTATGGCATATCTTCTTTCCTCTTTTACTTTCAACCTATTTGTATCTTTGAATCTAAGTGTGTTTCTTGTAGACAATATGTAGTTGGATCATGCTTTTTAAGTCCTGACAATGTTGGCCTTCCAATTGGAGTGCTTAGTCCATTCACATTTAATGTAATTATTGATATGGTTGGATTTTCTTCTTTGTTTTCTATTTTTCATGTCTTTTTTTGTTTTGTTTTTGTTGCTCCTTTACTGCTTTCTTTTGTGTTATATATTTTTAGTGTACTATTTGAATTCTTTTGTTGATTTTCAAATGATATATATTTTTGGTTTTTTAGAGGTTGTTCTATGGATTATAATATGCATCTTATCACAGTCTACTGGAGGTCACTGCTGCTATAAATTTGGTAAATATATAGCAGTAGTTTTGCTTCCATTAGCTCCATTTCTTTCCTACTCTTTTGTGCTGTTATTGTTAGATATATTACACTTAAATATTTTGTAAACCCAATGATACAGTGTTATAATCATTGCTTTAAAAAATCTTATCTTTTAAAGAAGTTAAGAAAAGAGAAAAAATACTTGTCTTTCATATTTAGCATGTATTTACTATTTCCCATGTTCTTTGTTTCTTTCTGTGAATTCAAGTTACCATCTGCTGTCATTTCCTTTCAGGCTTCCTTTAGTATTTCTTGTAAGGCAGGTCTGCTAGCAAGGAATTTTCTGTCTTTGTTTATCTAGCAAGGTATCATATTTCACTTTGATTTTTAAATAGTCATCAGCTAATGATTGGTTAGAGGTTATGCTCAAACAAACTTGAGTGAGTAAGGTTTCCAGTCTTTGCTAATGAGTTTGTATATGGGTTAGGGACTACATTAAAAGCAGTTTTAAAGTCAGCTTAAACTTTTACCTACCTTCTTAGGTTTCCCACGTGCCTGTCTACAGCCTCCTAGTCAGCCAGGGATGAGTGGATTGCTTAGACCCTTTTAGGTGTCGCCTGCAGGTATGCATAGCCTCTCAGCCGGCTAGCAACTTGCGGAGTTTATCAAGCCCTTCTGTAGGTCTTTTATTTTTATGACTTCCCCGTTAAATTTCTGATTAGTCCTTTGGTCTGTTGTTTGCCCCAACCCAAATTGTAACATTTGACCAGTAGAGCTGGAGACTTTTCTTAATTTATTTATTTATTTTTACTGAGTTTGCTACTTTCACTAACAGCATCTCTCAATATGAGTTTTTTGCCCTCTGCTCCAAATTGTGTCAGCCCCTCATCTCAGGAAAGCTGCTGGTTTTCATGACTAGCCATGGCCAATGACCAGGGGTGGAGGAATTAGAGGGGGAGGGTGTTGGAAGTAGCCCCAGGCAAGAAAGCTACAGAGTCCCACTGTTGAGCAGTTATTATGAATAAACACTTCTTGATTTGTTGTTCTCTTTTGTTTAGTTTCCAGAACCCTGAAATAGTTGTTTTGGATAGTTTACATTTGTTTTCTTTGGATAGAAGATTTGCCAAGCTTTTCTGTGTGCCATAGTTGGAAGTCTAGCCTTGGATACTTCATTTTATAGGATGAATTTTTTTTTGGCATTGAGACAATCATTCTTTATTTCCTTTTATTTCTCTTTTTTTAAGATTGAGTCTCACTTCGTCCTCTAGGCTGGAGTGCACTGGCGTGATCTTGGCTAACTGAAACCTCCGCCTCCGGGGTTCAAATGATTCTCATGCCTCAGCTTTCTGAGGTGGCTTGCGCCACCAGGCCTGGCTAATTTTTGTATTTTTAGTAGAGATGGGGTTTTACTGTGTTGACCCGGCTAGTCTCAAATTCCTGGCCTCAAGTGATCCACCTGTCTTGGCCTCCCAAAGTGCTGGGATTACAAGCATGATCCACCATGCCTGGCCCCTTTTATTTCTCTTATGTCATTAATTTTATTGGTAGCTATTTTAAATCTTATGCATTCTTTGGATAAAATCTTTTTTTGATTATAATTTCCTGGTCTTTTAAAGTATGTATTAGTTTTTAATAATTTGAGATTCTTTTCACTGATGTTCTCATTAAAACTTCATGCTGGATTTGTGTTAATGCACAGTGAAAACCAATTCAGGCTAGACATTTTGCCTAACCCTAAAGAAAACTGAGTGAGCTAAAGGTGATCAATTCCTTTTGTAGGCATTATCCTGCACTGAAAACTCTGGAACATCTAGAGCATACCTACCTGCCTCAAGTAAGCCACTATCGATTCTGCAAGGTGATGGTGGACAACATCCCCAAGCTTCGAGAAGAAATAAAAGATGTTTCTATGTCCGATCTCAAAGACTTTCTGGAGAGCATCCGCAAACATTCAGACAAAATTGGAGAGACTGCCATGAAGCAAGTAGGTCTTGGGTTTATGATAGGTTGGCCAGTGGCTTTATCAGTATTGAGTTAAACACAGGTTTCTCTTTGCCAAGTGTCTAGTCATTATCTTATCCAAGTTTCTTATCATTTTAGGGAAGTCCTTCATATTTATGGAAACATATGATTAAAAATGTTTTCATTTTTTTAACAGAGCAATGGACAATTTGCTCTGTAGATGTTCAGTAAATATTGATCAGTTGTGATGGTTTACATTGAGGTTATGAAGAAATTTTTCTACTGTTTGTATACTTCCCTTGACTTTGCATATAATTTGTAGCTTAAGATATTTTAAAGTTCTCCTTCTAGTTAATGACCTAAATTGTACTGCATGTGTCTTTGGCTGATTATTTACTACGTAAGCAAGATAGCATGTTATATATGCATATTTCTGATATTAATAGGTATCAGTGAAAAAAGGCCTATTAGGAAATGCTTTGAATTATGATCAAAGAAAAGGATTTATTAACAGCTTATATATTAAAAAATATGTTAGCAGTATATACATTTGTTAAAAAAATCTTCATTCCTAAGTCACCAAAGTCACAAGGAACATCTAAATTTCTTTTTTTAAATTATGAATGAAAGGTCAGTAATGTTTTATAATGGCATTTGCTCACTTGAAATTTGTCACATTGATTTTATTAAAAATTTTTAGTATACCTGATGATGTAGCCTACAGCAACAAATACAAGAGTCAGTTGTTTATGGAAAGTACTTTTTGGTTCTGTAAACAATAGTGTTCTTGAATAGATCATTTGTAGTTTTTATCATTCTGTGAGGAATGAGGGAATAGATTATATTTCAAATCATATTTTAGGTCTCGACTAGCCTTGATAATCTATTCAGATGTCTATTTGATCTATAATATCTATTTGATCCTCCAAAAGAGATTCTCCAGTTACCCTTTCCTCAGGGAATGCAGATATTTCCCTTTTCTTCCTTTAAATTTTGTCAGTGTTATACTTCACAAAGTGCAGAGTTTAAAACTAGATGATAAACCTGATAGAAATAATTATATGATTTCATTGCTTATAGTGATGGAGAAATAAAATTAATCAGTGACAATATACCTTAGCATTGCTGGGTACGTATTTTGAATACAGGAATGAAGCTATCTTCTAAGATAAGTCTTTATTGTGATTGGTTCAGTTTTTCCTAAGCTTTTAAAATATAGGAGAGTGTAGTACAAAGCCTCTATGGAAGTTGCCTTTTTAAAAATTGCTTTTTCTAGGCCTCTGCTTGAGAAATTAATTTACTTCCCTTTTGATGAAAGAAAGAGGAAGCCATGAAGAATATTACTTTATTTAACGTGAGGCCAGCTGGTCTCATTCCTTAATTATCTGAAGAAATTAAGACCCAGAGGAGGGAAGTAACTTGCCTCAAGTTCAAATACCTTGTAAAGGTCAGATCCTGCATTAGAATTCAGGTTGGGTTGAAATGAATTTGTCTACTATGGTACTCAATCTGTGTAAACTATTAGCTGTTTGCTATATTTTTGTCATATAAAGAAATGATGAAGAAATCTTTTGTGAATCCAGGACTTTTAATTAACTGAGAAATCTTCATTTCTCCTATAAAATATTTCATCTCAGGATCCTTGAGTAAAGATATGTTATGTTAACACATTAAAAAATCTTTTGTAGTACCGAGAGTGTAAGGAAGATAGGAGAGAGAAAATACCATGTACTTTGTACGTAGTAGGTGTTCAATAAATGTTTGAATTCCCAGATAAGAGGGAGAGGAAGTGGTTTATTTCTCACTGCCTCAAGCCCAAAATAGTGTTTCTGGTTTGTGATGGTTTTCTTTGCAATGGTGATTTAAGTACTTAGAATCCTTCCATTGTATGGCTCTTCCATCTTTAAGATGGCTTTGAAGATTGCTTCAGAAGGGGAAAGACCAAAGAGTGTTGCATGTGGGAGGGTCTTTAAGGGCCAGGCATGGATGCCACACATTACTTCTACCCATATTCTGTTGGTCTGAACTTAATTATATAGCCATACCTAGCTGTAAGAGAGGCTGGAAAATGTAATCTCACTCATTCTCTAACAGGAGGAGCAAATAGGTTTGATGAATAATAGCTAGTATCTGGCACAGTCTACCTTCTGGTCATCAAATATCTTTTCATTCTTTCTCTCATACATAGAACACACTCACTCCTTCCTTAGGGGGCAACAGTCCAATGGCCCATGTAGTCACTACATCCATTTCAAAATCTAGTATCTTCCAGGGATGCTCAACCCTCTCCATAAGATTCAGCCATGGTTCCTCATGAGCTGGTAACTACTCAACTAAAATTGCAAGTTATCTGCACTGGTGTCTCCTCCCACCCCCAATATACAATGAAGAAGCTAGAATAAAATAACTATAACAAAACCTTTCATTTAGAAAAGGGAAGAACCAGAGACAAACAATATTCTCTGCTTCATAACAAATCATATAATCTACTTAGGCAGGCCCCGTGAAGTTCCTCTGCTCTGGTAGTAGGGGAATTTCCTTGCTTAGACCTTGATTCCCTGGAAGGAACTCCTTTGCTCATTGTTCTCTTGAGCTCCTAGCTGCACGCTGGCTTTTCCTTGTTTTCATATATATATTTTATTTTTATATATTATATATATTTATGTACATATTTTATTTTTATATATTATATATATATTTTAAATGTATACTTCTGAAGTAGATGCTGGGAAATATACATTCCTTAGGAGGCATACTTCTCTTTCTCTCTTTATATCTATATATCTATATCTGCAATTGTGTCTACATTTACATTTATATATGTCTTTTACTGCCTGCTTTTTGCTTTTTGCCTGAGGGTTGGTTTAAGGTTCTGAACAAACGTTTATTTTAATTTTTTTAGACGGAGTCTCACTCTGTCACTAGGCTGGAGTGCATTGGTGCAATCTCGGCTCACTGCAAGCTCTGCCTCTCGGGTTCAAGTGATTCTCCTGCCTCAGCCTCCCTAGTTTTCTGTATTTTTAGTAGAGACGGGGCTTCACCATGTTGGCCAGGATGGTCTCGATCTCTTGACCTCGTGATCCACCCGCCTCGGCCTCCCAAAGTGCTAGGATTACAGGCATGAGCCACTGTGCCTGGCACAAACGTTTATTAAAATTTAGTCCACATTTGTGTTTTTTTGACATTATCATTCCCTCAAAATGTAGTAGGCATCTCATCTTTTTCTTTCCAATAGGTTCTGTGCAGACACCATACCCACTGTTCTTCCCTAAATATAATTTTCAAGAATTATTTTATTTTTCTTCTCCTCTCTTTGGGAAAGTAGTGGAGGTTGGGGAGCATAGCCCTTGCTTCATGCTTCTTTCTCAGTTTGATGGCCTTACATTGAGGTGATGTGAAACAGTGGGTGGTAAGATCATGCTTGAATCTGATCTCTGCCTTAGAGTTGAGTCACTTTGTTGAACTAGAAGCCTTCTTGGGACTTCATTGCATAAGCCTTTACTATTTTTTTTTTCTCATATTGTTTAAGATCTGTATGTGTTCACCTTTCTAACTCTGTGAGGCCTAAGTTTCTGGGACTACTTCTTTCCCTATAAATTCAGTCTGCAAATGAGCTAATACTTTTCTGAGCTTATCGTTTTTATGCACTACCTTGCCAAAAGCAGAAAGCGAATACCAGTGTACACTATAACTCTTACTCTTTATTCACTTATAGTGCAACAGGCCCAGTAGGGATGTGGTATGCCTATTCACTTATTATAGGTTCCAATTTTACCAGTTGTTTTGCCACAGTATTATAGGGCTTTTCAGCCTTTTAACTTGTTAAATATATGTTCTTACTGCCCACTGCCTGACCACTAAACCCATGTCTTTTATTTTAGATTTTTTTGTTGGGGGCAACACCATATTTCCAACACCTGTTTCTGTATTCATTAAATAATGTTCCCTGCTATAACAGACAAACTCTAAAATCTAATAATAGAAATTTTATGTTTTGCTTATGTAAATACCAAAGTGCATGTCCCTGGTGGGTGACTCTCAAGAGATCTAGGACTCTTCCACCTTGTGGCTTTCAAGGGTACCACAGAAGGGGAAAGAGAGTAAGTAATGCCTGGAGGTTTTTTAGGGATCAAGCTTATAAGTGGCACATCTCACTTCTGCCAATATTATATTGGCCAGAGGTCAATCACTGCAAAGGAGGCTTGGAAATATACTCTAGCTATGTGATCAGGAGGAAGAAGAAATAGGTTTGATGAATAGCTAAGCTAGTCTCTGCTATAACCTGCTATCATATAGCCTAGAAAGATAAATATCTTCCACGTCTCTTGCTTTTTCTTCACAATCTTATCTTTTCATCATTTTTCCCTGTGTGTTTGCCTTCTAATTTACTAATTCAGTTTTTAGCTTTGTCATTGCTGCTATTTAGAACTTTGTTATTATTTTTAGTCTGACAATCACAGTATTGGCTTTAAAGAATTTGTTCTTCACATGGACACAGGAAGGGGAACATCACACTCTGGGGACTGTTGTGGGGTGGGGGGACGGGGGAGGGATAGCTTTAGGAGATATACCTAATGCTAAATGACGAGTTAATGGGTGCAGCACACCAGCATGGCACATGTATACATATGTAACTAACCTGCACATTGTGCACGTGTACCCTAAAACTTAAAGTATAATAATAATAAAAGAAAAAAAAAAGAATTTGTTCTTGTTCTTATATTCCTCCTGTATCATGGTAACTTCTTTTTCCAAACATTTCTAAGTATGCTTCTTTAGAATTGTACTGAGAAAACAGACTTGAAAGTCTTACTTAATATTGACAGTTGGTCTGGGCTCTTCTAGAAATTATGTAGGTGAGTGCTTTTTCTTGGTGAACATCCCTCTTTTTATTCTTCTACCCAATGTGTCCTGAGTTGCTGCAGTGATCCATGGGTGGACTTTGTCCTTGATAGTGTGGAGCCAGGTTGGTACATAGGCTTCTTTTTGGGATATATCAGCCAAAACATCACTAAAGGGTTCTACCCTAATTAAACTTCAATGAGTAAATTAATCTCTAATAAAGTTATCTGAGATTATAATCTCAAACTGTTTGTTGTTCAATTTTATTAAAAGATAAAACACAAAAAATACTATTTGAGGATCCTCTGAAGCATATGTGGCTTATGCATTCTTTTGTATGCAAGGTTTTATATAGAACTTTATCACTAGGAAGCTCTTTTTCTTTAATTGCATGTGGTTTAAAATCTAAAGGTCTTTAGATAGAACTTTATCACTAGGAAGCTCTTTTTCTTTAATTGCATGTGTTAAACAGAATTCTAAAATGTCCTCCAGGATTCTTGCCACCTTGTATGTACATCCAATAAAATCACTTTTTCTTGAGAGAGTGGGCTTGATCTAATCAGGGGAGATCCTTTAAAAGAGGGCCAGGAGGTCAGAGATAGAAGATGTTAGAAAGATTCAGTGCTCCAGCAGATACTCTACTGTTGGTCTTGAAGAAACAAAGTGCCATTTTTGGAGAAGGCCACATGGCAGGAAACTGTAGGCAGCCTTGAGTTGCTGTAAATGATCCCCACCTGACAGCCAGCAAGAAAATGGGGACTTTGGTCCTACAACCACAAGGAACTGAATTCTGCCAACAACCTTAATAGCTTAAAAGAGGACTCTGAGCTCCAGGTGAGAGAGACCACAGCAATGGTTGACACCATGATTTCAGCCTGGTGAGACTCTGAACAAAGGACCCAGACCCAGTAGTAATACTGGCATTCTGAACTCCTGATCCATGAGTTAACTCTGAGACAGTAATTGTGTGTGGCTTTAAGTTGCTAAATTTATAGCAGTTTGTTACCCAGGAAAAGAAAACTAATACACTCTATTATTTTGGCCTCAAATAGAATTACTTTAAAAAAATTGTACATTGATATATTGCCTTTGGATCTAGGAAACAATTGTATAGTCTTGTTTAAAATGGTGTCTAGCTAGAAGTCTCTCAGTCTTCTGTCTTTCTTCCAATATACCTGGGAAGCTGCAGAAAAATAAGAAAATGTACAAGGTCAATCATTTAGCGAATCTGAGGAGGAGTTTCAAAATTGTCCATTTTACTGTTAGTACTGTACAGTAGTCCACCCTTATTTATGGTTTTACTTTTCATGGTTTCAGTTATCCAGAGTCAACTGCAGTTCAAAAATATTAAATGGAAAATTCCAGAAATAATTCATAAACTTCAAGTTGTTCACTGGAGTAGTGTGATGAAATCTCCTGTTCTGTCCCACCTGACAGAATCACCCCTTGGTCCAGCGTATCCATGCTGTATATACTACCTGCCCTATCCACCTGTTAGTCACTTAGTAACCCTCTTGGTTATCAGATTTACTGTGGGTATTGACTGCTTGTGTTCAAGCAGCCCTTATTTTACTTAATAATGGCTCCAAAGTGCAAGAGTAATGATACTGGCATATGGTTATAATTGTTCTATTTTATCATTTATTATTATTTATTGTGGTTAATCTCTTCCTGTGCTTAGTTTATAAATTAAACTTTGTCATAGGTATATACAGTTATATAGGGCATGGTACTATCCATGGTTTCAGGGATATATGGGGGAACTTGGAACATATCTTCTGTGGATAAGAGGTTGGCGGGCTACTGTAGTGAATTTTAAGTTAAGCAGTCATATTTTTATTTTCAACAAATCTTTTAGGTTCTTACATTGCGTTTGTTGTTGTCATTTTGTTTTTAACATAGAAGTAGATTGAAGCATTTAGTGGACATACATGTAGGTTCTGCCGTGTGAAATAGAGCCATCTTTAGAGCAGTAGAAAACCCCTCCATTTTATCCTATTCCATTTTCTGTGTTGATCTTCTTCCTGTGTGTTTCCAAAATGCTGTGTATATCTTATTTTGGAACAGTGACTTTAGTTTGAAGTGATTTAAAAAAAAAATCCTCAAAAAGTTCTGTTAATTGTCGACTGTTTTCTAGTTTTCCTTTTGAAATTTATTTCTGGATTTCACTTATTATGGAATTGATTTGTACAGGAGAGAAGATCTGTATTTCTTATTTTGATTAGTTTGCTTTAGGCTTTGTGGGACTAAATAACATTTGTAATGTAATCATTCTTGTCTAGGCTGATTTCTGTGTGAGCCTTTTAACAAGGGGAAGGATTTATTTACTTTTACAATTCTAACTTGCCTTTGCCAGATTATATGGGTTATGTAACTGATTTAAGGAAATGAACTAATTGCCTATAAAAGATATTGAAGGCTCCTAGGCATTATTCCTTGAGTAAATGGTTTTAAAAGAACTGACCCTTGGGTAAGATTAGTTGTCATCATGGTCCTTTCAAACCTTTGCTTTCTGTGGTTAAGTCTTCACTACAGCAAAATTTACTCTTTAATGTATGGTGTAGAACATCTTTTGACTTAGATCTGGCACAGTACTATTGACTGAGTTCACATAGACCATGTATTCACCACCACGTAAAAGTATTGTTGAAGCCTCTTGTATGCTAGATATTATGCAAAACATGCACAGAGTGTGGTCTCTGTAGTCAAAGAAGTTGGTCTGGTGTTCCTGGATTTACTTTCTTTTCTCTTTTCTTCTTGATTTTGATATTTGTATATTTGTACCAATTTTTGCTTCTTACTCTTTTGCCTAAATGAATGGTCTGGGGTAAGGTGGGATCTCATTTTTAAACATTTTTTTTTTCTGCTTGCCTTAAAAAATTACTTGTATTACATATGCTTCTGAAATATTTTGAACCTGACTTCAGTGAAAAAGCACACATATATGACCATTAAATTTAAAAGATCAGTGTCTCTTTACTGATATTGAGTTGGGGTGAGAGAAGAGAAATAATTTATTCCTTAAATCTAATTTATTTATTTTTTGTTCATTTAACTTGTTTTTTGGCTCCCCACAGAAAGCAATATTTTTAAAATCTAGTTTAAAGACAGTATGGCAGTTTGGTTCCTGTTCTTTAGGGTAAAAAGTAACTTGGCCAGGTGCGGTGGCTCACACCTGGTGAAACCCCGTCTCTATTAAAAATACAAAAAATTAGCTGGGCACGGTGGTGGTACCAATTGTTCACAACTCCATTTTCTTATTGAACAATTGCAACTACATCTCTCTGTGAGTATTTTTAAATAAACTTATTTTGGACAGTATGAGCTTTGGGAAGGGAATTTATGTATATGACTTTAAAAGATTTTCCTTATTGTTTTCAGATTTCAATGTTAACAAATAGTTTTTTTTTAAAGCTATATTTTCAGTGATGGCTTTAATGTCAGTGAGAAACCAAACCCTATATTGGTTCTCATAAGCAATCTAAACCGTAGAAATTTATGAGACTTAAATGCATCTTTTTATTTTATTCTTAGAAATTTGATTTTGGTCTTGAAGTGGCAGGTCCAAAATACAAAAACAAAGATTAGAAAAAAGAAATTAAAAAAAAGAAATTTAATTTTGGGCTCTTGGCCTTTCTATAGTCTCTTCAAATAATTTCATGAGCCTGGTGATTGTGTTTCTCAGTTACGTGGTTAAGCTATACATTGAGTTCAGTATTTTGTCATCTTCCTCTGTGCTGATACTTACTTCTTGATATGAACAATTGAGTTTACTGGTGGCTGTAGTTTCTTTTCAGCAACCCTCGACCCCTGCCACGTGTGCAGAATGTAGTGAAGCCAAGTTTGAGGTTTGGATCTAGAGCCCTCCAACAATCCCTGCGATGTGCCCTCCAACCTGGGGGATAGATCTTCCTGGCCCTGGAGAAACCCAGTTGAGAATTCATAGGATTGTTGTGCTCTCAGCAAGTGCTTTAGTCTTGTCCTCTGGCAGATGTTTTCTTTACTGGGCGTGAAAACCCCATCAAAATAATGCTAAGGGAACTGAAATATAGAGAAATACAAATAAGCAAAGAAGAAGAAATATTCAAAATGTTCAGGATGGCCAAAGCAATAGACTTAAGGATGATCTAGAAGAGAGAGAAATCTAGCTGACTTGTGTTTTCTCACATCCTTCTACATCTTGAGAAGAAGTTTTAGCAAATAACCCTAAAGTAGTTTTTTTTTTTAAATTTTAATTATAAGCTGTACTTGGTGGCTGATGTCTATAATCCCAGCACTTTGGAGGCTGAGGTGGGAAGATCACTTGAGGCCAGGAATTTGAGATTAGTGTGGGCAACATAGTAAGACTTTGTCTCTACAAAAAAAAAAAAAAAAAAAAAAAAAAAATTAGCTGGATGTGGTGGCACAAGCCTGTAACCCCAGCTACTCAGGAGGCTGAGGAAGGAGGATGGGTTGAGCCCAGGAGTTTGAGGCTGCAGTGAGCTGTGATTGCAGCAGTGTAGTCCAGCCTGGGTGACAGAGCAAGAATCTGTCTGTGAAAATTTTTTAATTTAAATTACGTATAGTAAAGTTCACTTTTCTTTGGTGTATATGAATTTTAAAACATGTATAGACTCATATAACCACTACTGCAAACAGGATGCAGAGAATAATTCTATCACCTTCCAAAATTCCTTTATACTACTCTTTGTAGTTAAACCTTCCTTTCATTTATAACCCCTGGCAATGACTGATCTGTGTTCTCCACCTCCATTGTTTTGGCTTTTCTAGAATATTGTATAAATGGAATATTATGGGTAAATGCAACTGTTTAGTATCTTGATTAGGGTGGTGATTGCACAACTGTATGCATTTGTCAAAACTCGTATAACTGTGTACACAAATGTAAATTTTACTGCATGTAAATTAAGGTTTCCATCAGCTTAAAGTTCTGTTACTAAAAGATCATCCTGGAATATATGAAGGTTTATGAGTGTTTTAATAATATTTTGAACTGTGCAGGATTGTGGTTCCACTATCCTAACATGTCATTGCTATTTTTCCATGTCCTTTCCCTATCTATTGTTTATATGTTTGCCTTTCCTTGTGTGAGTTTCTATCATGTATATTATTGGGAACTTGATTTTTTCCATAAAAGGTTTGAACTCTTTATACAATAGAGACTTTTATTTTGTTTCAGGAGGTTAATATTTCCCTAGTCTGGGTTTTATTTTCTAAATTTTTTTTTTGAAAATTTAATATTTTGTAGAGTCAAGTGTATTGATCCATTGTGAATTCTTTCAGCACATTTCCAAAAGAAAAACACATGCATGTTGTTTGTTTTTATCCTTTCAATATGTTTTTATCCTTTCAATAACTATTTTATTTCTTCCTTTTATCTGCTATATATTTCTTTTCCTCTATAGCATTAATGTCTCTTTCTCACCTAATCTTGATTAGCTCACTCACTCATTCATGAAATATGTATTGAGTATTTATAATATGTAAAATACTATGGTAGGCATTATGGTATTCAAGGCAGAAACACATTGTCCTAAAGGAACTTTGTTTTCTAATGAAAAATGAAAAATAGGCTGGGTGCGGTGGCTCACACCTGTAATCCCAGCACTTTGGGAGGCTGAGGCAGGTGGATCACGAGGTCAGGAGTTCAAGACCATCCTGGCCAAGATGGTGAAACTCAGTCTCTACTAAAAATACAAAAATTAGCTGGGCGTGATGGCTGGCACCTGTAATCCCAGCTACTCGGGAGGCTGAGGCAGGAGAATCGCTTGAACCTGGGAGGCGGAGGTTGCAGTGAGCTGAGATCACACCACTGCACTCTAGCCTGGGTGACAGAGCAAGACTCTGTCTCAAAAAAAAAAAAGAAAAGAAAAATGACAAATATACATGAATAATAGGACTATAAGGTAGAAAATGATAAGTGCCATGGAAGAAATAAAGATAAAATGTTAGGAGAATTTAGAAGGATGAGAAATCTCATATAAAGCTGTGTAAGATATTCCAGGTTTAATAATAAGGTGCATTTGAATTAAATTTGGATATATAATGTTCCAGTTACTATTTCTGCATTACAAATTATCATAAAACTTAGTAGCTAAAAACACCAATGATTTTATTATGCTTGTAAAATCTGTGGGTCAGGAATTTGGTAAGGGCACAGTGAAGATGATTTGACTCTGTCCCCAAGACGTCTGGGGTATCAGCTGGGATGATTTTAAGGCTGAGACGGGCTTAGGCTTGAGAGCTGGAAGGGGGCCCCTTCATTCACAACTCTGGCACCTTTGTTGGGATGGTTTAAAGACTAGATTTGCTGACTTGAGTGCTTACATGTGACTTTTCCTCACAGCATGGAAATATCACTATGGTTGAACTTCTTATGGGCTCCAAGCACAAAGTGGAAGCTTTATCACTTTATTTGACCTAGCCTTGGAAGTCGTGTTATAGTGGTCAAAGCAATTGCAAGACAGCTATACTCAAGGGAAGGGGTCATAGACACCTATCTCTTGATAGGATGAGTGTCAAAGAATTTTGTGGCTGTTTTTAAAAATCCATTCCACGAGGCCATAGTCTGAATGTCGTCCTAGGCTAAAAGTAATGTAATGATAACAAAGTACAGAAAAGTAAAAATCTCTGAGAGATAATCCAAGGCAGAGTTTCAGCTGATGATAGTTACCCAAAAGAAATAAAGCAGGTTAGCCTGGACAACATAGTGAGACCCTGTCTCTAAAAAAAACAAAAAAAATATTATCTGGGTGTAGTGGCACATGCCTGCAGTCCCAGCTACTTGGAAGGCTGAGGCAGGAGGATCGCTTTGAGCCCAGGAGATGGAGACTGCAGTAAGCTATGGTTGCACCCACTGCACTGCCGCTGGGGTGACAGAGTGAGACCTTGTCTTCAAAAAAGAAGGCAAGTTAACCTTTCAACCAGACAATTACATTCCTTATGTCCTCTTGTCCCAGCCTCCTGACCATGACACACACACCTTTCAGCTGGTTTTTTTTGGCGGGGTGAATGACTCTGGGAAAGTATTTCATTGGAAAGTGATTATTCTCCTCCAGAAATCTGTTCACAAGTGTCTTCTTGTGAATATCATGTGTATCTATCTGTCTTGTTTAGTGCTTTGCAAAGAATTATCCAGAAGGGATGCATTCATATAGTATTAATATAAGTGAAGAAGGACTTGACCAAATTTTAAAAAATATCTTGTTAGAACAATAAATATGTAGCATATTTTCTAGGTAACTGATACATTTATTCTTCTATCCCAATGAAGTTTGGTTTATTCTTTTCTCTGGTCATTGATAATGAAGTGGATCAGAAATATAGGCTGGGAAGCACATTCAACAGGTAATGAGGACTGCCATAAAGTTTAATTAATTATTGTTAGGCTACTCAGTGATTGGGAATGAGGCACTTTTTTTATTCCCTCTTGTTTAAGATCTCAACAGAGAAATGAGCGCATAACCCAAAACATAGAAAAGTTAAAATTTTGTAAATGAAAAGAATTGTGTAGGTCTTGTGGCCACCTAAGTTGTTCCTTTTTATTGGGTGTGTGTGTGTGTGTGCGCATGCATGAGTGTGTGTGCAGAGGAGGAAATTATCATCAGATTAGGACAGTTGTGTGAGGGGATAGGAGAGGCTTTGTCAGGTTGTGGTGCTTACTTGCACGTGTGTGTGTATGTATGCACGTGTGTGTATGAAGTTAGCCAGTCATTGAGCTCTCTGTGTGTAGTTAGCCATTAGAACAGAACAGTGATAATGGATCTTTATTTGAACTTTAAAGTATCTGTAAATTTTTGAAAACAGAAAATATCATTTTAGAAATACAAGTGGCTTAGGAGTGGTGAGAGAGGGCATCCCTGTCTTGTGCCAGTTTTCAAAGGGAATGCTTCCAGTTTTTTCCCATTCAGTATGATATTGGCTGTGGGTTTGTCATAGATAGCTCTTATTATTTTGAAATACGTCCCATCAATACCTAATTTATTGAGAGTTTTTAGCATGAAGCGTTGTTGAATTTTGTCAAAGGCTTTTTCTGCATCTATTGAGATAATTGTGGTTTTTGTCTTTGGCTCTGTTTATATGCTGGATTACATTTATTGATTTGCGTATATTGAACCAGCCTTGCATCCCAGGGATGAAGCCCACTTGATCATGGTGGATAAGCTTTTTGATGTGCTGCTGGATTCAGTTTGCCAGTATTTTATTGAGGATTTTTGCATCAATGTTCATCAAGGATATTGGTCTAAAATTCTCTTTTTTTGTTGTGTCTCTGCCTGGCTTTGGTATCAGAATGATACTGGCCTCATAAAATGAGTTAGGGAGGATTCCCTCTTTTTCTATTGATTGGAATAGTTTCAGAAGGAATGGTACCAGTTCCTCCTTGTACCTCTGGTAGAATTCGGCTGTGAATCCATCTGGTCCTGGACTCTTTTTGATTGGTAAGCTATTGATTATTGCCACAATTTCAGCTCCTGTTATTGGTCTATTCAGAGATTCAACTTCTTCCTGGTTTAGTCTTGGGAGAGTGTATGTGTCCAGGAATTTATCCATTTCTTCTAGATTTTCTAGTTTATTTGCGTAGAGGTGTTTGTAGTATTCCCTGATGGTAGTTTGTATTTCTGTGGGATCGTTGGTGATATCCCCTTTATCATTTTTTATTGCGTCTATTTGATTCTTCTCTCTTTTTTTCTTTGTTAGTCTTGCTAGCGGTCTATCAATGTTGTTGATCCTTTCAAAAAACCAGCTCCTGGATTCATTAATTTTTTGAAGGGTTTTTTGTGTCTCTATTTCCTTCAGTTCTGCTCTGATTTTAGTTATTTCTTGCCTTCTGCTAGCTTTTGAATGTGTTTGCTCTTGCTTTTCTAGTTCTTTTAATTGTGATGTTAGGGTGTCAATTTTGGATCTTTCCTGCTTCCTCTTGTGGGCATTTAGTGCTATAAATTTCCCTCTACACACTGCTTTGAATGCATCCCAGAGATTCTGGTATGTTGTGTCTTTGTTCTCGTTGGTTTCAAAGAACATCTTTATTTGTGCCTTCATTTCGTTATGTACCCAGTAGTCATTCAGGAGCAGGTTGTTCAGTTTCCATGTAGTTGAGCGGTTTTGAGTGAGATTCTTAATCCTGAGTTCTAGTTTGATTGCACTGTGGTCTGAGAGATAGTTTGTTATAATTTCTGTTCTTTTACATTTGCTGAGGAGAGCTTTACTTCCCAGTATGTGGTCAATTTTGGAATAGGTGTGGTGTGGTGCTGAAAAAAATGTATATTCTGTTGATTTGGGGTGGAGAGTTCTGTAGATGTCTATTAGGTCCGCTTGGTTTCAACATAGTGTTGGAAGTTCTGGCCAGGGCAATTAGGCAGGAGAAGGAAATAAAGGGTATTCAATTAGGAAAAGAGGGAGTCAAATTGTCCCTGTTTGCAGACGACATGATTGTATATCTAGAAAACCCCATCGTCTCAGCCCAAAATCTCCTTAAGCTGATAAGCAACTTCAGCAAAGTCTCAGGATACAAAATCAATGTACAAAAATCACAAGCATTCTTATACACCAACAACAGACAAACAGAGAGCCAAATCATGAGTGAACTCCCATTCACAATTGCTTCAAAGAGAATAAAATACCTAGGAATCCAACTTACAAGGGATGTGAAGGACCTCTTCAAGGAGAACTACAAACCACTGCTCAAGGAAATAAAAGAGGATACAAACAAATGGAAGAACATTCCATGCTCATGGGTAGGAAGAATCAATATCGTGAAAATGGCCATACTGCCCAAGGTAATTTACAGATTCAATGCCATCCCCATCAAGCTACCAATGACTTTCTTCACAGAATTGGAAAAAACTACTTTAAAGTTCATATGGAACCAAAAAAGAGCCCACATCGCCAAGTCAATCCTAAGCCAAAAGAACAAAGCTGGAGGCATCACACTACCTGACTTCAAACTATACTACAAGGCTACAGTAACCAAAACAGCATGGTACTGGTACCAAAACAGAGATATAGATCAATGGAACAGAACAGAGCCCTCAGAAATAACGCCGCATATCTACAACTATCTGATCTTTGACAGACCTGAGAAAAACAAGCAATGGGGAAAGGATTCCCTATTTAATAAATGGTGCTGGGAAAACTGGCTAGCCATATGTAGAAAGCTGAAACCGGATCCCTTCCTTACACCTTATACAAAAATCAATTCAAGATGGATTAAAGACTTAAACGTTAGACCTAAAACCATAAAAACCCTAGAAGAAAACCTAGGCATTACCATTCAGGACATAGGCATGGGCAAGGACTTCATGTCTAAAACACCAAAGGCAATGGCAACAAAAGACAAAATTGACAAATGGGATCTCATTAAACTAAAGAGCTTCTGCACAGCAAAAGAAACTACCATCAGAGTGAACAGGCAACCTACAAAATGGGAGAAAATTTTCACAACCTACTCATCTGACAAAGGGCTAATATCCAGAATCTACAATGAACTCAAACAAATTTACAAGAAAAAAACAAACAACCCCATCAAAAAGTGGGCGAAGGACATGAACAGACACTTCTCAAAAGAAGACATTTATGCAGCCAAAAAACACATGAAAAAATGCTCATCATCACTGGCCATCAGAGAAATGCAAATCAAAACCACAATGAGATACCATCTCACACCAGTTAGAATGGCAATCATTAAAAAGTCAGGAAACAACAGGTGCTGGAGAGGATGTGGAGAAATAGGAACACTTTTACACTGTTGGTGGGACTGTAAACTAGTTCAACCATTGTGGAAGTCAGTGTGGCGACTCCTCAGGGATCTAGAACTGGAAATACCATTTGACCCAGCCATCCCATTACTGGGTATATACCCAAAGGACTATAAATCATGCTGCTATAAAGACACATGCACACGTATGTTTATTGCGGCATTATTCACAATAGCAAAGACTTGGAACCAACCCAAATGTCCAACAATGATAGACTGGATTAAGAAAATGTGGCACATATACACCATGGAATACTATGTAGCCATAAAAAATGATGAGTTCATGTCCTTTGTAGGGACATGGATGAAATTGGAAATCATCATTCTCAGTAAACTATTGCAAGAACAAAAAACCAAACACCGCATATTCTCACTCATAGGTGGGAACTGAACAATGAGATCACATGGACACAGGAAGGGGAATATCACACTCTGGGGACTGTTGTGGGGTGGTGGGAGGGGGGAGGGTTAGCATCGGGAGATATACCTAATACTAGATGACGAGTTAGTGGGTGCAGCGCACCAGCATGGCACATGTATACATATGTAACTAACCTGCACAATGTGCACATGTACCCTAAAACTTAAAGTATAATTAAAAAAAAAAAAAGAAATACAAGTGGCTTGTCATGGGAGATAATTGCCTTCTGTACCAGTGAGAGGTTAACTGGAAGGGAAGTAGAACATTCGAAAGCCCTTGTTTTTAAAAACAGTTTGCAGTGCTGATGGTTAAGATATGTTCTGGCTATGGCACACCACCATGAAGAATGTGGACTTTAAATTACATAGGACTCACTTGCAGAATACTAGGTGACAAAGTAGCTCTGGGGCAGGTATTTGGAGGAGGGAAACCTGTAGGTAAGATAGACTCCGGGAAGTAGAATTCCTTATGATAATCATTTATTGACAATTTCTTGAGGACATGAATCTGAATTGATTTCATCTTTTTGTTCCCACAGAACCTAGGTGTACTGCCTTGCTTTTCTTTTTTGACATATGCATTTAGGGACAGAGACTCTCCATGGATATTTTAAGAGTTTTAATATTTTCCTGCCTTTCTTAGGTGTTTACTTTGCTGATGAGACCTATGACTATTATATTCAACTTTGATATCTCTAGATACAATTTATCTTTGAAATCCCAGGTGGAATTTTTTCTCTTAGGTACAGCTTTTTTTTTTTTTTTTTTGAAGATGGAGTCTTGCTTTGTCACCAGGCTGGAGTGCAGTGGTACGATCTCGGCTCACTGCATCCTTTGACTTCCTGGTTCAAGTGATTCTCCTGCCTCAGCCTCCAGAGTAGCTGGGATTACAGGCACAACAACCATGCCCAGCTAATTTTTGTATTTTTAGTAGAGATGGGGTTTCACTATGTTGGCCAGGATGGTCTTGATCTCCTTGACCTCATGATCCACCTTCCTCAGCCTCCCAAAATGTTGGGATTACAGGCGTGAGCCACCGCACCTGGCCAGGTACAGTTTTATCTTGATTCTCCTCCAGTGAACACCGCTCTGTACCTACCAGTATATGGATTTTTTATTGTGGTAAAATATATATTACATAAAAGTTACCATTTTAATCTTTTTCTTTTGAGACAGAGTCGCCCAGGCTGGAGTGCAGTGGCACCATCTCGGCTCACTGCAACCTCTGTCTCCCAAGTTCAAGCGATTCTCTTGCCTCAGCCTCCCGAGTAGCTGGGATTACAGGCACCCTCCATCATGCCTGGCTAATTTTTGTATGTTTAGTAGAGATGGGGTTTTGCCATATTGGCAAGGCCTGACCTCAGGTGATCTGCCTGCTTCGGTCTCCCAAAGTGCTGGCATTACAGGTGTGAGCCACTGCGCCTGGCCCCATTTTAATCATTTTTAAGTATACAGTTATGTGGCTTTAAGAACATTCACATGGTTGTGCAGTCGTCAACACTGTCCATTTCCAGAACTTTTTCATTTTCTCAAACTGAAACTCTGTAACCACTGAATTTTAAACATACAATTTCGACCCCATTACTGATTGAACAAATGAAATATTTTATATATGTGTTGAGGAACTCACTGTAACCTCTAAGCAGAGAAGAAAATGAGGCAAATAACAAAACTGGAATTCACGTGACAGCTGTTAGCTTAGTAAGAAGATTGTCTCTAAATGTATAGATTTTTCTGTTCTTCAATTTCCTTAAGAAATTTGGTCAGGATTTAAAAAACTGGGAATAGCCCTTACTCTCTCAAAGTCTTCTAGTCTGGTGGTTGACACGGATAACTTTGTGTGTGTGTGTGTGTGTGTGTGTGTGTGTGTGTTTCTGTGGTCTTTGTATCTAACAGGATGCAGCCATCCCTCCAAATCCACAGATTCAGCCAGTGGCCGATGAAAATATTCGTAGAAAACCAAAACAATAAAAAACAACAATATAACAATAAAAATACTACAAATAAAAGCAATATAGTATAACAACTATTTGCATAGTTTTTACATTGTGTTAGATATTATAGGTAATCTAGAGATGATTTAAAATATAAAGGAGGATGTACATAGGTTATATGCAAATGTTACACCATTTTAGGTAAGGGACTTGAGCATCCACAGATACTGGTATTTGCAGAGAGGTCCTGGAACTAATCTCTTGTGGATACTGAGGGATGACTGTATATAGAAAGCCATATTTTTAGCTTAGATTTTGTGTGTAGTGCCATTAAAAGCTATCTTGAACCATGGTGGTCTTAGCCTACTTTTGCGGGCTATCCTGCCCTTGGATTTGGTAATTTTACCCTGGTGCCAGAGGATTTGAGGGTAATGATTATCTGTTTTTCAGTACTATAACATTGTTTTTTTTAATCAGGCTAAAGTCTGTTATTAATTTGTACCTTTCCTTTACCTCTAAATAAACCATATAAGAAAGCAAACAAATGCCAAAAAATAGTCCAGCCTACTTTCCAACAGAGTGTCTTCAGCTTTTCTTAGTCTACTAAACATATGGCTCTCCCAGCTTCCCTAATGAAGAAGTCTGTGGCCTAATGGGGCATGTATTGTTTGACTTTCTTTCTTTTTTTTTTTTTTTTTGAGACGGAGTCTCACTCTGTCGCCCAGGCTGGGATGCAGTGGCGCGATCTTGGCTCACTGCAACCTCTGCCTCCTGGGTTCAAGTGATTCTCTGCCTCAGCCTCCTGAGTAGCTGGGATTACAGGTACCCATCACCATGCCCAGCTAATTTTTCGTATTTTTAGTAGAGACAGGGTTTCATCATCTCAGCCAGGCTGTTCTTGAACTCCTGACCTCGTGATCCACCCGCCTTGGCTTCCCAAAGTGCTGGGATTACAGGCGTGAGCCACCGCGCCCGGCCATGTTTGACTTTCTTGATACGTCTTCAAGCAGAGTTTCTTCTATTAACTTTGGAGAAGGGAGCTATCTGTAGCAATAGTTCATAAGCATTTTAGGGATGTAAACTTTTTGAGAATGTAGTGAAACTCATGAACCTTCTTTTTTAGAAAAATTACCATGTGCACATAAAATGTCAGGGGATTTAGACACTCTCTGAAATAGATATATGTTCTTGTGAGAGCCCTCTAGATTATTAAGGTCCGTATCAATGTCAGAATCAGTAGTATATTCTGGGATGTTCCTTTTCTAGTTTCTTCATGATTTGTGAAGAGTATGTAGTAGAAAAGATTGAATAAAATTGTAAGCATCTCAGTTTAATTTTATACCATTAGTGAAAATGGGTGCTAACCTCACTAACATATTAACAAATAGGTTCAAGATGTTGGTATACTTTTCTGAGTAGCCAAGTTTAGATAATAGATTGGTGTCAGAGAATAAATTGACCTATATTTCATTTTGCTGTCGGCAGTGGTAAAATTGGATAAGGTTGTATTTTCAGACGTTGGTTTAGCTATAACTTCTCAAGCTTTTGCCACTTATTTTTTTCTTGCTCCTTATTTCTGTTGTACAGTTAGTACACAAGAAATAGAGAAGGGCAAGATAACAATGAAAAATGTTCTAATTTTGACTTGAAATAGTTAGAGATAATATAGTATGAGTAAGCATAAAATTGGTATTCATCTAAATGTTAATATTATTCAGTGTGACATGAAAAGGCATTTTACTTTGGTGAAGAGTTTACCTCCTTCTTTACAGAGATGCTCCCTTTTTCTTTATCGATAACCTTATCTCTTAACCAATGTCATAGAGAAACTGAGGGCTATTAGGCAGAAATTCTCTTGGCTTTCAGCACTCTTGTTCCTTAATTATCTGTCTCCACCATTCTTTATTGCTTTAATTCCATTCTCAGAGGAAGCGGTGATTCCTTCTGGTTAAGGCTATTTCTTCCACCTGTGCTCTGTGTCATTTCCTTGTACTGTCAGTTAATTCCTCTTTCTCCTCCCTTTATTTTTCAATCTTCCCCTCTCCAGTGACTCCACTTTGCACTTGACATGCCCAAGGTTCTCCTTTCATTGGCTGTATCACTGTACTCCCCCTCCCCATCACCAAACCACCACATGCTTTTCTTCTCTTATTTCCTGTCTCTTTGAATGATATTGCCATTGATCTAATATAGAAATATGCCATGCTAAGAAATTCGGTCTTTATATATAGGTCCCTGAGGGTTTTAAGTTAGGGCTAGAAAGGGGCATGATTAGATTTAACACTCTTTGTCATTCTTTCTACCAGTTGGTTGAGATCACTATCTTAGTTGTAGTGATATTAGTGTAGTAAGTAAAATATTGTGGGATGGTGGAGTATGCACAATATTATAAAGTGCAGACGCATTCTATTAGTAAAAGAATATTAGAACTATGGAGACTCTTACTTTCTGGCATAGTTAGGAATTTCTAATTTTTGGAAATAGAGGTGAGACAGGCAGGGTCTGGCTCTGTTGCCCAGGCTAGAGTGCAGTGGTACAATCTTGGCTTACTGCAACCTCTGCCTCCCAGGCTCAAGCCATCCTCCCACCTCAACCTCCTGAGTAGCTGGAACCACAGGCATGCACCACCATGCCCGGCTAATTTTTGTATTTTTTGTAGAGATAGGTCTTTTTTGTTGCCCAGGCTGGTCTTGAACTCCTGAGTTCAAGCGATCTGCCTACCTTGGCTTCCAAAAGTTCTGGGATTACAGGCAGGATCCACCATGCCAAACCTGAAGAGATTCTTTTTTTTCAGCTTTACTACATGACCTAGTGCATGGCAGCTTACTAGGAATATTCAAAAATTTTTAAGAGATTTTCTTAAAAAATTTTGAATTTTCTTCAAAGGAAGTGGGACATTTGTGCCCAATATCTGTATTTATAAATGATATATGTGTACTATTCTCATTAGCTCAGTCAGTGGCTACAAACCTTTTTGATTATGGGCTGCCATCAATAAAATATTTTTGTGTGTGTATACCCCATATCTATATCTATATCTATATCTATATCTATATCTATATCTATATCTGTATATAAAAATCATACACACATGTACTACTCTCATTAGCTAGTATGTTAAGGCAGGATAGACATTTAGAGAGAGGTCCATTGTTAATAATACATTTAAATTCCTTGTACAGATAGCCTTCTTGATAATTTCAAATTTTGTATGTTCTTTTCTGTCATATCTGATCATTATATTTACCACATAATATATTTGACCAGGGGCTCTTAGCAGGTGTATCAGTTATTCATTGCTGTGTAACAAACCACCCCAAACTTAATGGCTTAAAACAATACTGACTTATCATTTTTTTATGATACCATAGATAGCGCTTCAGTCTGGGCACAGCTAGGGAATTTGTCTTCTGGCCTCCCCAGGAATCACTCATGTTCCTGGCTGGCAGTTGGTGTTAGTTGTTGGATAGGTTATCTCAGTTCTCCACATGGTGTCTTATTCCCCAGTAGACTAAACTGCTTCATCATTGCATGGTGGCGTTATGGTTTGGAGAGGGAGAGAAATCAAACTGCTGTGCCTCTTCAAACCCAGTCTCCAGAATCTGACAATGTCCACTACATTGTATTAGCCAAAACAAGTCCCACAGCCAATTTAGAGTCAAGAACATGGAGAAATGGCTCTAATCTCTTGATGAAAGAAGCAGCAGTGTCACATTGCAAAGGCACATGGGCACAGGGAGAGATGATCTACTGGGGACCGTTATTATAATGGTCTTTGCACATCAAGTTGAAGATAGGTATTAACCTTGCTATTTTCTTGTCATTTACATGTGCTACTATTAGCATTATTTACAAACCACAGGAATATTTTAGGAATATTTTAAGGCCATTTGTCCATTTTGTACATGTTTAAAAGTGGATAATCTAGTTTTATTTATCTGAGCACCTATAATCTGCAATATAGCACAATAAACTGAAAGAAAATAACTAAATGAGAATATTACTGTCAATTATTCTGCATTGTCTTTCCCCAGTATAGTATAGTTTGAATTCTGTATGTGATACATGACTGACATATGGAGAGTAAGGAAGGGTATCATTGTTATTTTAAAATCAAATGTTAGTAACTTAGTTTCTTTCTTTTTTTTAAGATGAAAATTATATATATATACACCAGTAGATTGTTTTTGGATAACCTTGAAACTTCGGAGCCATTGGTCTAACTGATGTGGAATAGTTAAGTGCCACAAGTGGTATTGTTATGTCCATTAGTGTCAGCCCTGACAGATGTGATTCAGCATGGCACTCTTCCCACTGCACTGGAGTGAGCCTTAGAGCCCTTTTCAATGCAAAGATCTAGGCTAGCCTTCAGAAATGGTTAGTAAATGACACCTAAGATAATTTTTTTTTATTCTTGTTATGAGAGATGAGTTTTACTTGTGGAAGAGGTACAATATTCATATATTTTAGAATAGGCATTTTAGGAAAGATCTTAACTCTGTCTATGTGGGTGTCTGTGTTTGTGTTTGGGGGTTTGTATCCTGGAGTTAGGGAGATCCTGACTTTCATCTCTGCTTTAGCTATTTGTTTATTTTTGGATACTTATGGAGACACTTCATCTATGCTTTAATAATTTTTCTTTTTTTGAAAAAAGTATCAATGACAACTTTTCTTTGGTTTCTCTGTTCAAAAAAAAACCTTAAAGAATACTTTCATATATTTTTAACTTGTATTTATGATGAAGAAAACAAGTGTTTATTCCTAACATATGAGGTTTGTTTTAATCCTCTTGTCTACGCAGCCCAGTTCACAGTTGCAGTTTCCTGATGTACGTGAATTTGCTGATCTGAGTTCTTTGGCTTTTCATACGTGGTTGTCCTATTGTACTGCAGGAGCTTTGTGCTTTTACTAAGTTTACTACTAGAAAAGCCTTGCTAAAATTCTAGTGTACTCTCAGCTACTTCTCTTATAGCTGTGTCTTGGTGACTAAAGAGAATTCTTCTTCCATGTAGCCAGAGAGATTAACAGATGTCCGAGCTGAACCCCAAAGCATCCAGCCGTCTTTCCCGCTTTGACCCTGTAACCTCTCCCCTGGTTGGCAGTGTGCCTGTGTTGACAGTTCTCCTGGTTCAGCCAAAGGTGAAAGATAATTGCTTGTGGAGTAGCGGCTGGGATGGTATGTGTTTTTGTAGCAAGCATCCCCACCCCCGTCTCCAGGCAAAGCCTTGAATCTGGTGCATATTTCAAAGCATGTGTTAAACTTTATGTGATACTGATTAAAATGGAGGGCTCCAGGGTGAATTGGCAGAGTCCCACAACTGCATCTGCCAAATGACATACAGAGAAAATGTCTTGCTACAAATGGAAGGGCTGAAACCTGTCTATCTTAGCAATATGTAAGCCTGCAAAAGGAAAGGTGACTCCGGCCATGTGTATATACACAGCCTGTGGAACATGCAAGATTCTTTAGCAACTCCTTTGTTCCTATGGCATTTTAATGCAAAAGAAAGTCTTTTTATTTTCCTTCCCCTTCAAACAACAATAACAACAAAACCCATATGGAAATAATAGTATTACATGTCAGTGCTCCATTCCCATTGAACATTTGTTTAAAAATCTAACTTGGACCAAAAATATGGAGGTGGAAGAATTATCTATCTTCTGAAACTAGATTTGTGAGTCACTGAGATAAGATCTGTGAAGTTCACTCTTTTATTTTATTTTTTATTTTTTTGAGACAGAGTCTTGCTCTGTTACCCACGCTGTAGTACAGTGGCACCATCTCAGCTCACTGCAACCTCCGCCTCCCAGGGTCAAGCGATTCTCCTGCCTCAGTTTCCTGAGTAGCTGGGATTACAGGCGCCCACCACCATGTCTGGCTAATTTTAGTATTTTTAGTAGAGATGGGATTCCCATGTTGGCCAGGCTGGTCTCAAGCTCCTGACCTCAAGTGATCTGCCTGTGAATGCCTCTTCCAAAGTGCTGGGATTACAAGTGTGAGCTACCATGCCCCACCAGTTCATTCTTGAAGGAAGAAAGCTCTTTTCAAAGCAGAAAATTTGTATCCAGAGCTTTTAGATTCAAGGTCTCCTTAGGACATTCTTTTAGAAAGAAATATGCATTTATATCATAGGCATAGATCAACACTTCCTCAAAAGCAATGTAGACAACATTAGTATCTCATGTCACATTTCCTCACCCTGCTTTTATGACAAGTTAGGATAGAGAAACCATCAGTTCCTTAAAGGGATTTGGATATATTTTTTTAGGAAAGCAGAAAGGATAAGAAATTTAGAGGAGTAAGGATGAGTGGCACAAGGAAAAAAAAAAAGAAAAAAGGAAGAAAAGTTTGTGGAAAGAGGAAGGTAAGTAGATAAATAGGGAAGTAAACCAGGTTTCTAATTCATGGGTGAATCCGAGAGAATAGGTATCAGATTAGGGATTACAAAATGTAGCATGGGTACTAAATATCAGTACAAAGCAGCCACAATAATATTGATTTATGGATTTAAGTAACCCGACCAAACCTTGATGTATCTCATCATGTTGAATTTCTGCTCCAGATAATAAAGTATTGTTTGATCTTGTGCATTGGCCTTTTATTTTTCAGAATGATTCAAAGGATGGCTTTGGGGATTCACTGTAAGATTTTTTGTCATCTAAATTATACTTGAGGTGGAGAGGCATAATTTAAACAACTTCATAGGCAAAGAAAAGAGCTATACACAGCAGATCCTGGATTAGGAAAATAAATACGTTTTATTATTCAGAACATGCTTTTATGAACTCCTTTTAAAAAATTGCAAGCCTTGCAGTGAGCTGAGATTGCACCACTGCACTCCAGCCTGGATGACAGAGAAAGACTCCGTCTCAAAGAAAAAAAAAAAACCTGCAAACCTTATACATATGGAGATATTCTAGTTTTCCAGGTGAGACCATCTGAGTCTGTTTTGCTTTTAAGTGTTTTCTGAGATGTGTTATATTTTTTTGTTAACTCAGATTGCTTCTTTTCCTTCTTTGGATGTGGGGGCAGGGAATATATAGGGAACTGAAAGAGAAAATGCTAGAGCTGTTTGCCTACCATTTTTGAGCTTTTCTTGAATTTCATACAATTTCTTCAGTTTCCTCTGGTATTAAAGCTCAGTGTTTCAGTCACAAAGATACTTATTTCTAAACCATATTTTTGACTTAATCTTCTTTAAGGATAGTTTAGGGGAGTTGATAATCTGTTTTTCTTTCTCCTAGAGTTTTAGTTGGGTCAAATAGGACTTGCCCAGAGGATATTAGTATTGACTTCATGTAAAAGAAGTTTGAAACCTAAGATTCCACTTAGTTTCCTCTCTTGGGCTTTTGTAGAATATTTTGCACAGAGAGAAATATGCAGCTGGATTGTAGTCAGCCACTAAATCCTAGTGAGTGCCTCTTTCTTCTAAGGACCATCTTAGAGTTTCAAATGGGTCAATTACTAAAAGGAAGCTTCATCTTACGTGAAGCATTCTTAATTGATAAAGAATATAGTGAAAAAGGCCAGGCGCAGCGGCTCACGGCTGTAATTCCAGCACTTTGGGAGGCCAAGGTGGGTGGATCACGAGGTCAGGAGATGGAGACCATCCTGGCTAACATGGTGAAACCCCGTCTCTTCTAAAAATACAAAAAATTAGCCGGGCATGGTGGTGGGCGCCTGTAGTCCCAGCTGCTCAGGAGGCTGAGGCAGGAGAATGGCATGAACCCGGGAGGCAGAGCTTGCAGTGAGCCGACATCGTGCCACTGCACTCCAGCCTAGGCGACAGAGCGAGACTCTGTCTCAAAAAAAAAAAAAAAGAATATGGTGAAAAAGGAAGAGGAAAATTCTATACACTTCTTAGTGTAGTGAAAGTTGTAAAAGAGAAGCAGGAATAATAGAGAAGGAATTAGTAATCATATAGTAATCATATCAGTAATCATACAGTAAGCATATAATAATCATATAGTAAGCATATGCTAATCAATTAGTGATCATATCAGTAATCATCTAGTAAGCATATAATAATTAACACTTTCACCTCATTAACTTATTCTATGTGTGAAAGATTACCTTTGTTCGTTTATTCTTTCAATCAACACATAGCTATTGTGTATATGTTAAAAACAAGTTACTATACAGTATGTCAGATGGTGGTATTTGCTATGGAGAGAATAAAGAGGGGAACAGGGGCTGGGCGCAGTGGCAAACACCTGTAATCCCAGCACTTTGGGAGGCTGAGGCAGACGGATCACCTGAGGTCAGGATTTCAAGACCAGACTGGCCAACATGGTGAAACCCCATCTCTTCTAAAAATAGAAAAAAAAAATCCAGGTGGGGTGGTGGGCACCCGTAATCCCAGCTACTCAGGAGGCTGAGGCAGGAGAATCGTTTGAACTGAGGAGGCCGAGGTTGCAGTGAGCTGAGATTGCACCACAGTACTCCAGCCTGGGCGACAAGGGCGAAACTCCATCTCAAAAAAAAAAAAAAAAATAGATATACAACATTGTATTGATCCCAGAGAAGCCCTGCTAGTTTATAGTTTCTTTTTATAAGCGTTCCTGTTAAATTTTTTTTACCCATATAGTTCTGTTTTCTGAGATATTAATGAGAAATAGAATAAAAGTTATTTATAAAATATTATTGATTAACCTATTCAACTTCATATTCATAATGGTATTTTCTATAAGCTAAACTATGTTGTGTGTTCAGATTTTTTCTTTTAAATTTTGGTCCCTCCGTTAATAGTTCTATTTCTCGGTAGATTTATTAATTTCCTAGGGCTGCTGTAACAAAGTACTACAAACTAGGTGACTTTAAAAAACAACAGAAATTTATTATCTCACAGGTCTGGAGTCTAGAAATCTAAAATCCAGGCTGGATTGGTTCCTTTTTCAGTGCTCACAGAGAATTTGTTTCATGCTTTTCTCCTAGCTTATGGTTGCTGCCAGCAATCCTCTGTGTTCCTTGATTTGTGATAGCATAACTCCAGTCTCTCCCTTTTCATCACACAGCATTTTCCTTGTGTGTCTGTATCTCTTCTTCTTTTTATTGTATTTATTTTATTTTATTTTAAATAATAGAGATGGAGTCTTGCTATGTTTCCCAGGCTGGTCTTGAACTCCAGAGCTCAAACCATCCTCCTGCCTCAGCCTCTCGAAGTATTGGGATTACAGGTGTGAGCCATCATGCCCAGCGTCTTCTTTTAAATATGCCAATCATATTGGATTAAGGCCCACCCTGAAGACCTCATTTAACTTTATTACATCTGCAAAGACCCTAATTCCAAATAAGATCACATTCACAGGTATTAGGAATGAGGACTTGAACAAATATTTTTGGGAGACACAATTTAAGCCACAGAAGAATTTAAGTTAACTGAGTACCTGACATGTCCAGCATCTTTCTCTGTATTGTTGTGCCATGTGGACATGTGGAAATGAGCCCCAAGTACCCCAGAAATCTTTAGTGTAAGAAAGCCTATACTTCATGAAAAACTAAGAAGATATAACAGGCTCTATATTTAGAAACTGAGACTAGTACTGTAAATAAAAAGTTGTTGAATTGCTTAGAATTGCTTAGAAAGACTACTGCATTTGGTAAGTTAGTAAAGTCAGTAGTAGTTAATCAGTGACTTTTTTTGTGTGGCTGTTAATTACAAAGACTTATATTAGATATTGTCAAGGGATTCAAAATAAAGACTCAAATGAGAACCTTTTCAGGAATAGTGAATTGACATGATCAACTGATATTTTAAATATTGAGGGAAATTGAGAATAAAGGAATGATCAGGCTAGTTTACCTTAGAAAGTAAGATATTCTGCTTAATAAAGAATTTTTCTCATGGAAATAAATCATTGGAATATGTATAGGGACATGGGGATATGGGAAAAGAAGGCCAAAGTCATTTTTATGATCTATAGAAAGAGATATTTGTTAATTATAACACTGCTATCCTTAGTTATCATGTACCCAAGATGGTAGTCAAATGATGCAAATATTACTGATGATATGAAACATCTGTTTAGAGGTTTTATGTTATTATTGACATTTTTGGAAGTAGGTCAGTGTTTTTTCCTCATAGCCTCATAGGCAGAAAAATAAGTGCTCTGAACAAAAGCAACTTCTTTGGGCAAGCCAGCTACAGAAACTTGGCAATAAACTGGTTTGAACTAACAGTTTAATTTCTGGGTTTTGATAAACCATCTCTGTCCTCCTGTTGTGAAGAATTCAAACTTGTATAACAAATTGTCTTGGCTTAGTCATAGCTGGAATGAGAAGCTTAGCAATACTCCACTGGATATTTTATGTATGCTTTCGACAGTCTCTTTAATTGTCCCAGAAAACTTAGGGACACTTGAGTATGCACCTAGCTATGTCCCCTGTGCTGCATTATGGACTCATGGGAAAGTTGGCAAACTCTGCCCACAATTGTGCATACTTAAACTGGGACGTGGTGATCAGATTGCAAGGAGAGATAGTAGAATCCCTAGGAGAACAAGCGTGTGAGTAAGGATCCTGGCACAGCAGTCCGGAGTTTGCCACAGGGCCCGAATATCAGAAAGGAGCATTGATTCAACCATTCAGACCTAGTCTTCACCCCTAACCTCACTTCATAGCCAATCAATTATATCCCCTAGGATATGAAACTGAAAGATTATATCATTAGGAATCCCAGTCCTTCTACTGTGGTGTACCTATCTTTAAACAAAGTAGATATTACAAAGGAAGGTATTTTTGTGAAGAAGAGAGAGAGACTGAGAGAGAGAGACTCCTATAGAAATATGAAGTGCGCTGTGAGTGAGAACATGAGTGGAGACTGAGGTTTAACCACTTTGATAAGTGATGTTTTTGAGCCAATGGGTTTAGAGATATAATACTGTTAGAGTAACCTAAAAGGATGCTCTGGTTAATGGGCCTAGGAGACATTCAGGTTGCATTTACCTTTCGGAAATTTCATATTACAGCCAGGTATGATTTTTAGTTTTGGCTACCCAATCATGAAATAAAGTAACGTACATTTCTGCTCAGTTGCTCTGGGCTAAAATTCTTATAGCAGAGAATTGACATAATTATTGTGAACATGGAAGTTAATAAACATTATGTTTTGGAAGTTTAAAATGGTAGTCATAAGTTTAGTTTTTATTTTTACCTCAATTTTCTTTTGGACCTAATGCATCACTTTATTGCTTTAGGCTCGTTTTCTCATTGGTAAAACAGAGATGACTAATATTTAACTATAATACAGAGTGATCGGGTTAGTACCATGAACTAAAATGTTGTACAGTTGTGCATAGATAATTTGGTAAAAGTGCTTGATAATGTTTGGACCCCTGTCATTTACTACTAGGTATTAGCTTTCTTAAACACAAGGAAGAATTCAAGAGTGAACTTATAAGAGTGATTTTTACATTGAATAAGATAGTGACACAGATTAGCTCAGTTATCATGGTGGACGTAGCAGATGCTGTTAATGCCTTGTTCATATCCCTTTAGTTCTTACCTTCAGTGCATGCTGACTGAACCTTCAGTTTGCTAGCACCTGCATCTCTTTGCCAAAGGGCTTTCTCTGGAAGCCAGAAATGGGGAATTAATACCACCTCTTCTCTCCTCCTGCCCCCTGCCCCTGCCCCTGCCCCTGCCCCAGTAGTCCTCAGCTCATAACTCATGGAAGCTGGTGTATAAATACTTCAGCTTCCTTGCCCACCAGGAAGGAGGATGGTGTGGAATACCTCTGAGGCAGGTATTCTATGCCATTTCTGAGTTCCCCATGAAAATAAGTTTTAGTTGACCTAACTTGCTTGATAACATATCCTTTATTGACTTCTTTTCCTGTCTCACTTCCTCATGTCTCTACTTATCCTTTCTGGGGTCCTCTCCTAAGTAAATTTCTTGGACTCAAATCCTTGTTTCAGATTCTCCTTCTGGGGGAACTTAAAATAAGACAGTAGTCAAGAGCATTGAAAAGTCTGGACCCTATTTCTGTACATGCTCAGCAATTAATGTGGGTTTATAGTGGATCCAAGACATAGGATACTTAATGTCAACTCCCATCGAAGTTATTCTCCCATTCCCTCCCTTTAATACTAGGGTGATCTGGGTGGACAGTTACCTTGGTGGGGCTGGGAGTGGGTCCTTTGTCAGTATCTTTTGGTGATTTTTTTTGGAGGGGCTGGTAAAATTACCCCAACAATGAGCTTCTAGAATTTTTCTTGCATGCCAGCATTTTAAGATGTCTGTGTGTGGTGGGGGAGGGAAGATTGGGGATATCAGCATGCACTATGTAAGCTCTCATACTTAATCCCCTGTTTTCAGAATAGTGTCCTTCTCCTCAATTGTGATAGCTGTGCCAGTCAGGAGATGCTTTATTTTACTGTACATAGTATATAAAGAATAAATCTCCAACTTTTTGCTGTGGTGAGAGAGGGACAGTTGTTTGGCAAGATGAAGTGAGAAAGGTGATCTCAGGGTCTAACCTCCTCTTAAGCAGACTTTCAGCTTAACCCCTTTAAGCTTCATTTTCTGCCTTTCCTTCCAGAGATACCCAGTGTTACCAATGTGTTATAATCAAACTGCCTTTTGGATTTCTTCCCTACTTAACGTTGTTTCCTTACCACACTGGACTAACTTCCAAAATTTTTGTTGCTGTTGGTTTTTCTTCTGTACCTGTTGATTTTGTGGGGTTTTGCCTGAAAAAAAAAAGCTATTTAATTTTGTTTTAGTCAAGTTTTGAGGAGGGAGGTGAGCTTAGTGCATGTGTTTGATTGGCCATCTTTAACTTGAAGTCATAGAAGTTAGTGTTCACCAAAGAAAACATAAAAATAAAATACGGCTGTGCAGCCAACAGTATTGAACAAAATGTTAGGTTGCATATAGTGCCCCAGTCATTAACAATTTATATATTTCTGAGCATCTGAAGAAAAATATTTCAAGTAATTATTTCTTACCAGCCTATCCATAAAATACTATAAAGTAAGAAAAACATAAGAATGAAAGTTGGGAAGTTGGGGAAAAAACAAAGGTTTTTTTTTTTTTTTGAGACACAGTCTGGCTCTGTCACCCAGGCTGGAGTGCAGTGGCGTGATCTTGGCTCAGTGCAACCTCTGCCTTCCAGGTTCAAGCAATTCTCCTGCCTCAGCCTCCCGAGTAGCTGGGACTACAGGCGCCCGCCACCACGCCCGGCTAATTTTTTGTCTTTTTAGTAGAGATGGGGTTTCACTGTCTTAGGCAGGATGGTCTCCATCTCCTGACCTCGTGATCTGCCTGCCTCGGCCTCCCAAAGTGCTGGGATTACAGACATGAGCCACCGCCCAGCTGAAGCGAAGGTTTTATGATTTTTAGTATGTATGAGATATGTACTCCCTATTTGTGTAGGACATATTGAATATCATTTGGAATGTTGGTGCTATTTATATGTATTGTACTGGGCTTCTTCTTTTGTAGTCAGAAGGAATAAGACTCATACCAATAATACTTATTATGGCTTGCATGAGAAGTTCAAGTCTTTGAACATAAATAATTTAGAAAGTTTGATTAACTTTATTGACGGGGTAAGTAAAGAATTCAGTATCTTGCTTATGGTTATACAGAAGCCTCAAAACAGAACACTAATTCTTTATCTCTGAAACCCGGACTTTTCACATACTACCTGTTTCAAAAAATCTGTACCTTATTCATAAGTTGTTTTGCTTTTAGGAATATCAGATAATAATTGTACATTCTAAGATATCTATTGAAAATAGTACTTCTTCTCTAAGAGAGTATCTCTCTCTTTCTCTACCCCATGGTACTGTTTGTTTTATTCTATGTTAAACCTTATTAACTCAGTGAATTTTATATGTAGCATGTTTGTTAAGTTACAGAATTCTGTGGGTGGTTTTCCTATCATGCTTCTTTCATTCCTTGGACTTAAAAGACTGAGCCTACCTAAGGAAATCCACTTTACCAAACTTCAGACTTCATATACCATGGAACTTAAAAGAAGAAAAACTCTTGGCTAAGCCTGAATGCTGAGAACCAGCTAAGTGGATTCCTCTGTCCGGAGAAAATTGGGGAAAAAAAAGGGAATTATCAAGCTCAGCAAATGTAGTTGTTGATGGAAATGCTGACAGACTGGTCCTGCTTGGTGCCACTGTCGTGAGAAGTCAGTCAATGGTTGATGTATTGTAAGAGCTGCTACTTATATACAAGTTCTGTCTTGTAGGCTTTGTCACATATAAATAAACCCCTTCAAAAAAATGTTAAGTGATTTCCATAAAAAACATTTATTCTGTTCTCCTTCTTAAGCCAAATTCTTGTTGTTTATGGCTTCCTGTACCCAATAGTTCCTGATTGTCTCAAAAAGCAAAACATGTCCTGCATGGATTAAGCTGCTGAAATGCCTTTTAGGCATTGTTTATGAGTCTGCACTCTTTATTTTCAGAGAGAAAGCGAATACTTTAATGTCTTCCATATTCCATAAATCTGTCCCATGTTACAATTCAAGGCTGTGTGTGTTTTTGTTAGAAGGTACTTCTGGTTGTACTTAGAGTAGAAAAGCTGCCTAAGAATGTTAGTGAGTATTTGGGTGGTAGTGGCAGACTCCCCTAAAGGGGATCTAGTACTGGTTGAAAGTACTGTTGTTTTTTTTGGATCAAAAAAACAGTTACCATAGGTGCTGTTACAGTCAGTAGAAGTGTAGTCACTCTGATTGCTTTGCATCAGTGACTGTCCTTTTCGGCTCATCCTTTGGGACCAATCTTCCCTCTGGACAAACTTGCTAATTTACCACTTTTGACCCCCACTGCTAAGTAGCACACAGAATACGCCTGCCTACTGCTCTAAGTAGAGGGAAATTGACTTTGCTTGCCACAAAATGAGACTATATCTGGAGACTGAGCAAAAAGTAATTTGACTTGGAGATCAAAGTTTACTTTTTTTTTCTTAACATTTCATTTTGAAAAATTTCAAACATACAGAAAAGTTGGGAAAATTGTGTAGTCAACAACCATATTTACTTACCACCTAGATTCTATCAATATGATTAATCTCTTACAACTTGCTTTATTATATATCCATCTATTATCCATCAACCCATCACATCTTATTTATGCATTTTAAAGTGAGTTTGAGACCTAGGTACACTTCACCTCTAAACACTTCAGGATGCATAATATTAGTTAGAGGTCAATATTTGATTTTTTTTCTTTTGAGGTAAATTTTAAATACCTCAAATCTACGCAAATCTGAAGCGAGTTTTTGACAAATGCTTAACCTAAACCCCTATCTTGCCTGCTTAACCTAAACCCCTATCTTAATAGTTATAGAACATTACCATCATCCCAGACTTCTCTCATTTCCCTCTCCACTCAGTCCTCTCCCCTTGCCTCCCCATGGGCAACCATTGTTCTGATTTTTTCCACTATAGATTAGTTTTGCCTATTGTAGAACTTCATATAAATGGAATCATACAGTATGTACTCTTTTATATAAAGCTTCTTTTACTCAGCATGATAATTTTGAGATGCCTCTATGTTGTTACATGTTTCAGTAGTTCATTTCATTAATGAGCTGTATTCTCTTATATGAATTTAACAATTGATTCATTGTCCTATTGATGGATACCTGAGATGTTTCAGTTTGGGGCTATTATGAATAAAGCTATTATGAACATCCTTATACAAGGTTTTTTTGTGGATATATGTTTCATTTCTCTTGGGTAAATATACCTAGCAGTGGAATTCTGGATCAGAATTTTATGAGATACTGCCAAACCTTTTTGTAAAGTAGTTCTACCATATTTTGTTTCCTCAATTGCTGTACTTCCTTGCCAGCATTATTTGTTGTCAGTCTTTTAAATTTTAGTTATTCTGGTGGGTGTGTAGTGTTATCTCATGGTGGTCAACATTTATTTTGGTTTAGTCTGGGATATGAGGAATAAGAGATGAAAGGGATATAAGAATAAATTGCAGTCTGGCACGGTGGCTCATGCCTTTAATCCCAGCGCTTTGAGAGGCCGAGGCGGGTAGATCACTTGAGGTCAGGCGTTCAAGACCAGCCAACATGGTGAAACCCCGTCTGTACTGAAAATACAAAAATTAGCTGGGTGTGCTGATGGGCGCCTGTAATCCCAGCTACTTGGGAGGCTGAGGCAGGAGAATTGCTTGAACCCGGGAAGCGGAGGTTGCAGTGAGCCAAGATTGCGCCATTGCACTCCAGCCTGGGTGACAGAGCAATACTCTGTCTCAAATAAATAAGTAAGTAAGTAAATTGCAGTGGCCTAGATAGAGAATTATCTGCCTTGTTTTGGGACATGGGCGAAGCAATGGGTGAAGAAAGCACAAAGAAAAAAAGGTGGAATGATAAACTAAATGACAGAGGAGCAACAATCTGAGAGATAGCTGGGCTGAAGTCACTTCAGAGAACTGGGGAAAAGAAGAATAGTAATTGGCTTAGAAAGGTCAATTTACTTGACTTCCCCCACATTTGAAAACATCTTTATTGTTTTGATATCTATGGGAGAAACTACTATTCATTACTTAAATTTTTTAAATATTATATAAAGGTGTATATGAACAGGAATGTAAGCATCACTCAAAATCCCACTGCCCACAGATTGCCACTGTTAACATTTTGTTGAAAAAGGTTTAGATTTTTGCTTATGTATAAATGGGAATCATTTATTTATCTATGCAGTCATGTCTATATATATATATTTGGAAAAATGGGCTTGAACTATGCATACAAATTATAGCCATTCCATTCACCCCTTAGACATATTTAATGTCCATAAGTATAGATCTACCAAATCATTTTAAAAATTTTATTATATAAATAACATAATTTAACTCTTCCTCTGTTACTGGACATTGGATTCTTTCTCTTTTTTTTTTAAAAGTCACTTTTTGAGCATCTGCTATGTGTAAAGCTCTGAGCGGGCAGGGTTGAGGAAGGTGGAGAATCCACAATGAAAAACACATAGCTCTGCCTTCTAGGAACTCATAATCCAGTGAAACTGATTCAGATGGTAAAAGCTTTCAAAGTAAATATTTTTCTAAGTAGAGACTGCAGGGAGTACATGGTAGTTTGTGCAAAAACTCTTTAAGTGAGGTTAGTATGACATTATTGCTGTTCCTTTGTCTGTGTACCTGGGTAACAAGATTGTCAAATGTTGATAGAGTTTGATATTCTAAGAAGTATAGCAAATTAGTTGGAGTTAGGAATAGACAACTTTTCCAGTGGCTTTTAAATGTTGTTCCACAGAGCCCTGGAATTACATGAGAACTTTTATAGTGGTTCATTGAAAGAAATAATAATTATAGTGGATATATCTCATCCAGTGTTTACCTGAAACCCCACGATAGGATTTGGAGGTCTAGTATATAAGATAATACCATGGAATAGCTTCTTAACCTTTCTACTTTGTATGTGGAATCAAGAGGGATTTTCTCCTTCTGATTTTCTTTTCGGCTTTGTTTATAAATAGTCAGAGGCAAATCAGTTTAAATATCAATACTCAGTAACTTTGTCACTAGGCAACTTATATCTTTTAAAATTATCAATTGAATGAATAGTTCTGTTTTTCTTCTGTACTTTCTTCTTATCCCTTTATGGTCACTCTGATGGTTTATGTGAGCCCATCATTGCTCCATTCGAAATTCATTTGAAACATGTTCTCTTTCAAGAAGCTTCTTAGTGAGTTTTCTTACAGAAGGGATGGGAATTTAAAAAAAGGTAAAAAGAAGAAAAGGAGGTAGAGAATATAAAAAAGGAAACTGATAAAATATGTCTTAGAGTTTGTGGACTTTTTATGTTACTACTGTCTGCATTTTATCTGGTTTAAATTGTGATCCTCAACTCCTGGGATTTTGTTTCTTGAATGGAAAAAATAATGTCAGTATATCCATTTGTGAAAAAGAAATCTTAAGAAGAATGAGGAAATGGTTGGAGCCATTGTGTTTCCAGCTGGGAAAGATGCTATTTTCAAACATTATTTTCATTGTGTTTAATACAGCTCAAGGGCCTTTTTCTGGCACCTTTTTTATTTGGCCATGTGTTTTGCCCACCTTATGGTGGGGAGGGGAACTCTGGTCAAGACTTTGGTTCTAGGAATTAACCAGCCATTGTAACTGACATGATTTAAAGCCTTCTGAGAGAGAGAGAGAGAGATTGTATTAGTTCTTTTTTTTTTTTTTTAAGAGATTCTGGTTAGAAATAACTTTATGAACTAAAATTAGGCCTTCCTTCTATTTCTTGGCTAGTGGAGAGAAGGGATTTAGTGGAAGAGTTGTCATTTTAAATGACAGCAAAAGCATTTTTAGTGATTTATATTGTTTTTAATAAATCAAGACTACCCTATTGTTGTGGCTATTGTCTATTAGGAAATTCATGAATATGTGTTCAGGGGAATCCCCTTTCTTACCAACTATACTGCCATCTACTTTTTCTGAACTCTTGAGTCATAGAGCTAGTTTTTTTTTTTAAAGATTAAAACGTACACAGCTAATATTTTATATACTTGCTTAAGTATAGAGTTGGCTCAAGTATATAGTCCACTGTATTTGACAAATGCTTTCATCTGTTACCCAATAGATTATCCTATGTGTACACACATACTGGACTTTTAGGACTAATCAGGGTGTGGCTAAGAGCTGCTATAAACTATTGCTTTTTTGTCAAGAGATTCATTCACTTAACAGTAATTGAAAGCCCTTATTATATCAGGTTTTGTGTTGGGATTCAGAGCCTTAAAAGACATTTAAGACTCTTGCCATCTAAGACTTAAAACCTAATAAACATAACAGACTAGTGATTATAGTATGATACCATATTGGAGGCATGCATATAGAGTTTTGGTGTGCTCACAGCGGCACCTGCATCAGACTGAGATAAATTTTGAGGGTGAATATGAGTTGGCTAGATAAATAAGGGTGAAATTCTATTCCAGGCAAAGAGAATATTCTATTTTAGGGCTTGGACAAGTAATTCTCTGAGGTCTGAGTGAAGGGTATATTTATGGATGTGTGTTGAAAGATGAGAGCAAAGGGGTATGTTGCAGCTAGATCATGATAGACTTTATATATTAAATTAAAGAAATTGGAATTTTATCCTTAAAGCTAACATTGAAGGTTTTAAGAAGGCATAAACTTATCAGAGTTGTATGTAAGCGGGTGTGTGTGTGAAGATTGAAGATTCCTTGACAGCATTCAGAGGATAGGTTAAAGGAGGAACAGTCTGGAGGCTGGGAGTCCACACTGAAGAGCGATAAACCTCTAACTAAAGAACCATAACTTTTCCCATTAAGTTTGCTTGCTTCTGTCTTTTTTCCCCTAGAATTGACTTGATCTAAGACAGAGAATGGTGTGGTGAAATGGGGATGGAAAAGGGTTATATAAAAACAAATAATGGTAACAATAATGATGAAGATTGGAGTGCTCCTTTTTTTTCTTTTTTTTTTTGAGATGGAGTCTTGCTCTGTCACCCACGCCGTAGTGCAGTCGCAAGATCTCAGCTCACTGCAACCTCCACCTCCTGGGTCCAAGTGATTCTCCTGGCTCAGCATCCCAAGTAGCAGGGATTACAGGTATGCACCACCACACCCAGCTTATTTTTGTAGTTTTAATAGAGATGGGGTTTCACCATGTTGGCTAGGCTGGTCTCAAACTCCTAACCTCAGGTGATCTACCGTGTTGGGCTCCCAAAGTGCTGGGATTACAGGCGTGAGCCACTGAGCCAGGCCAGATCAAAATGCTTCTTATCTGTTAGGTGCTGTTGTAAATGCTTTAGATGAAGTCTCTGATTATTATTTTATTATTTACAACAACTTGGGCTAATACTTTTATTGTCTCAATTTTACAAATTAGGAAATAGGTAAAGAGAAGTTAAAAAATGTACTTGTCAATTGTTACATAGCTAATAAGTAGCAGAGCCAGGATTTGAAGCTAGGCAGCCATACTTCAGAGCCTATGATTTTTTAGAACCCTTTTCTTGAAATAATAGCAGACTTACAGAAAACTTGCAGAAATAGCACAAACAAGTCCATATACACTTTATCTGGATTCCCCAAATGTTAGCATTTTTTCCATATTTGCTTTCTCCTTTTATTATCCATATATATTTTCCTAAACAACTTTAGAATTCATTATAGAGATAATGACATCTTTAGGAAAAAAGCATTCTCTTATATAATCACATTATGAAAATCAGGAAATTTATATTTATGTTGTATTCTTATTTAATCTATAAATCTCATCCAAATTTTATGAAAGAAAAAAATTTGCTTAGGTCTAGGAGTCAATCCAGGATCATTTGTTCAGAGTCTGTGCTCTTAACCTCTAATCCGTGCAGCCTTCCCTTGACTGGTCACCATTGCTAATACCACCAGAATCATTGTTTCCAGCCAAGCATTGTTTATATTCCATTTCTCTTTTGAAACCTTTTGTTGCCATTTCCATCAGCTTCTAAGATTTAACAATTTTATATTTCCTCTTTTCTGTTTTCTTCGGAGAATATTTTCTCCAATTATGAATGCACACTTTGCTTTTTCTGTTACCTCCTCCCAATTCATTTTACAACTTTATGCCATTGGTGAAATCTCATGGGATTACCAGTTTTTAAATCAGAAATGTTATTCTTTCTGCCAAACTTCCTTCCTTTTCTTAATGAAAATACACTTCCAAAAAACATAATCTTGACAGATTACAACTAAGAAACCCACATTTCTTTGGTTTACCTTTAAATATATTTGTTTTAATCAGGGGTTCCTAATCTGAGGCCCATTCAAAAGGTTCAGGAGGTCTATTAACCCCTTGAAGTTATATGCAAGATAGGCTGGGCATGGTGGCTGACGCCTGTAAATCCTGGCACTTTGGGAGGCTGAGGCGAGTGGATCACTTGAGGTCAGGAGTTCAAGACCAGCTTGGCCAACATGGTGAAACCCTGTCTTTACTAAAAAATACAAAAATTAGCTGGGTGTGGTGGCATGTGCCTGTAATCCCAGCTACTTGGGAAGCCGAGGCAGGAGAATCGCTTGAACCCAGGAGGTAGAGGTTGCAGTGAGCCGAGATCACGCCATTACTATCCAGCCTGAGTGACAGAATCAGACTCTGTTTAAAAAAAAAAAAGAGATTATATGCAAGATGTGTTTATCTGCATGTATTTCTGGGGAGAAGATCCATAACTTTCATTAGGATTTCAAAGTGGTTGATAATGTGGAATAATTTTAAGAGTTATCCTGTTGGTGTGTTTACTTTAGAGGAGAGAGATTGTATCTTGAGGTATTTTTTCTTTGTGTCTTATGAAATCCTAGTAGATTACAAAACAATAGGTCCTCACAAATTTTAATTAGGTGCACGTATTGAGAATTCATATTGCTCACTAATTTGATGTGTGCATGCATACATGTTAGTGTATCTATGTTCTAATTTAAACAGACTGTTGTGGCGTGTGTTTTAGCTATCAGTCTGCTCCATTTCCTTTTTTGTTGTTGTTGGAGACAGAGTCTTGCTCTGTCACCCAGGCTGGAGGGCAGTGGCACGATCTTGGCTCACAGCAACCTCTGCCTCCTGGGCTCAAGCAATTCTTGTGCCTCAGCCTCCCGAGTAGCTGGGACAACAGTTGTGTGCAAGCATACCTGGCTAATTTTTGCATTTTTAGTAAAGGTGGGGTTTCGCCATGTTGGCCAAGAGGCCTCCAACTCCTGGCCTCAAGTGATCCGCTCACCTTGGCTTCCTAAAGTGTTGGGATTGTAAACGTGAACCACAGTGCCCAGCCTGCCCCAGTTCCTTAATAAGCAGACATATCTCCTTCCTGGTGGACCTCTAGCCGCACTGTTTCACTACTGGGCAGTGAAATCAGATTGTACACTAGTGGCAGCAGTATTTATAGGCCTTGAAACACAAATTGGTAACTGTGTTACAAATGTTTAGCGAGCCACATTTCATGACCTGCTTTGCAAGAAAAAATTGAAAGTGTGAACAGCTGTTGGTACATTGCATTTGCATTTCTGAAATTTCAAGTGAAGATAAAACATTAACAGCTGTGATAGATTCCTGCAGTTGACCTAGTGCCTCAGGATGTGCAATACATTGATGTTGTCAGGCTGTCAGGGTCCTGGTGAGAACTGTAGAGAGAGGGAGAATCTGAGAGGGAAAACATGTTTGTTATTCTTTTAAATATTTTTTTTTAATTAAATCTAGAGAGTCCTACTGCAATCTAGCAATCCTCTATTGTCACTAAAAGAGTCTTTGATTTAGGAATTCCAGTGGTTGATTGTCCTTAGACCATGCATGTCTTAAAAATAATGAAGTAGTTAACTTCCTCATGGATTGCTCATCTTTTTATTTTGTATTTTCTGAGTTGTATGTCGTTAAGAGACTTCAATTCTGTTCTAAATGTGCTTGGATTTTCTACATGTCTTCATGTTAGGCACTGTTGAGTACTCTTTTATGAAATCCAAAGACTTGAAGGCAGAATTAAACTTTGTTGATGAAATTACTTTAAGCAAACCCACCTTTGATGATATTTGTGAATAAACTGCATTTTTTCTCTCTCCTAGGAGTTAGGAAGTAAACTGTCAAAGAATGTAGCACTGTTTGACTTCTAGGCCCACTGAAGCTCAACTCAGAGTGTTTTGGACAGGATCCAGATGAAACAGAATTAAAAGTGTGAAGAGTAGACTTGAAGGTGTTTGGTGTCTGAAGCTGTAGAGGAAAGAGTTGGGGAGGGGGAGGAAAGGATCAGTCTTGACTGTTTTGAGCAGATATTTCTTCTAAGTTTGCTGATACTTATTATACCTTTTTCCTTTTTTTGTTTTTTTTTAAATATAAAAATAAAGATAGGGTTTCACCATGTTGCCCAGGCTGGTCTTGAACTCCTGGGCTCAAGGGATCTGCCTGCCTTGGCCTCCTGAAGTGCTGGATTACAGATGCGAGCCATTGCACACTGCTGATACTTACTCTTTGCTATCCTACACTCATTCCCCCATCTGTGTACAACTACAGGAAGGAAGTTCTAGGGTTTATATTACGCTAGCTGAGAATCAGATTAGAGATTTGGGCTGTATGGCTGAATCTTAGGGTAAGATTCTACGCAAATAGACTAAAAGACATTCTGCTACTAAGATTTAGTGGAATTTATTTATGATGAGAATGATAGTCATTTGTGTTTTTCTTCTTTCTGGCTCATTTGGGTCCAAAGCATCACTCTCATGTATCTCTCATAAGGTGGATTAGTCCAGAACGTTTTTGTTCTGGGGGTTTTTGGTAGAATTCCTTTCTTGTTTGAAAGTCAAAACAGTTATGTAGCCAGTGGTAGTATCTTTTAAAAGTTGCCTAGGAGGTATAAAGATCTTGTGATATGAGTCACTTCACAGGAATATAGTTGACATCTGATTAGGTAGGGACGATTTTTCTTGCCCTCTTTGGTTAGAGTTATTGCCTCTGTATAAGAAATGGTGTTCGGTGGTTCCCCCTCCACTTTCAACCACTAGACTCGTTAATCTTATTGAAGATTTCAAATTTTATATGTAGTCTGTGCAGGTAGCCAGATGCCATATGCTGTTAATTTCTGATTCTGTGAAGGCCAGATCATACAGCTGGAAATGATTGAAAAGAAAAGCATGTTCTTTTGTTTAACAAGACAAAGCCTATTGTGTACTCTGCTTCTGATGCTTAAAAGATGTATTTTTTTTTCTTACTGCGTAATATGTAGGGCTAAAAGTTTTGAACTCTTCACTTCAGAAATTACTTTTCCAGACAAAAGAGCAAAACAATGTTTGTTTAAATTGTTCTCTGGAACATGACTGATAGTGTTTACAACATTTCTATGACATTTTGATCCTGTGGGGAGTACTTGGAGAGGTATTTAAAGTGCTTTTCACTAAATCAGATGCTTTGTAGTGTTTGAACCTTTTTAAAAAATAATTTGAAAGGTTGAAGTTCTGAGTTGAGAGACAGAAAATGGCCAGGGCATTCTCTAAAGACTAAGAGTGGCTTATCATAAGTAAAACTGATTTTTTTCCCTTCTCAAAAGTTGAAAACCTTCTTCTTCTTCTTCTTTTTTTTTTTTTTTAAACTAGAATGAATTGTACACATATTAGTTCAGAGCCTGGTCTGTTCATGCCATATGCCTTCATAAGGGTTGTTTTCTGGAGTCTATCTTCTATTCAATGAGAACTTTTTTGGAAAAAGTCAGTGAAGGGGTGTCTGTGTGTTTGTCTTTAAAAAAAAATTTCTACTACAGAGGGAGCTATAGCTTGATTCAAGTGCCAGGGAGGTATTAGTAGAACATAGAGGAAAGCACCACATAAGTATACTGAGCCAAAGATAAAGGATAAATAGAAAACTTTGTGTTTTGTACATTGTCCGCCCCCCCGCCCCCACCAACTTTTTAAAAAAGATTTTTGAGACATGGTCTCACTTTGTCACCCAGGCTAGAGTGCAGTGGTGTGATCTTGGCTCACTGCAGCCGTAACCTCCCAGGCTCAAGTGGTTCTCTCCATCTCAGCCTCTAGAGTAGTTGAGAGCACAGGCACATGCCACCATGCCTGGCTAATTTTTGTATTTTTTGTAGAGACAGGATTTTGCCATGTTTCCCAGGCTGGTCTCAAACTCCTGGGCTCAAGTGATTCACCTGCCTCGGCCTCCCAAAGTGCTGGGATTATAGGCATGTGCCATGGTGCCTGGCCTGTGTTTTCTAATTTTGATGTTTGACCTGCCAGTTTAAGGCATTTAGCTGCTTGAAACTGCGTCAGGGGATCTTATGAGCTGTAAAGATTCCACAAGAAAAAATTCAAATAATTAATCCAGTTTGCACAGTCATTTACAGAGAATCTCAGCTTTTAGGTAGGTTGTTCAGAAGATTCTGTTTAATGCTATCAGACTAATAGAATGTTTAAATGCTATCTTTATACCAGGAGAGATCTCGTTCAGCTTTTCATTTTTTAATCAACTGTGGCAGTTTTGTGTTACAGAGTTCCAAACATGAAAGTCAGTACAAAGTTCAAAGAACCAGTTAGTGATATTCCTTGATCATATAGCATTTATCAGCCTCCTCTGGAGTGTACTGTTTTGGGTGTATACCTGTACAAATCATAGTAGAGCAAGATATTTTAGTAGTGCTTGTTTTGAGTGGTATGTAAAGAACACGTCAACCCGATTTTGTGGAGGGTTTATGCATCAAAGTTTAGTATTAGCCTAAAAATATTAAAAGGAATATATTTAGGAAGCATTTAAATATCATTGTTACACACATGTATTATTGTGCATTGCACAGCTTAGTTACATTGACACTGTGTATTCTTTAGGCCTTTGGAATTTAAACAGATAATCACTATTTATCTGTTTATCTATTTATCATTATTTATGTTTTTCAGTCAGTTGCACAATCTTTTTTTTTTTGAGATGGAGTCTCACACTGTCGCCCAGGCTGGAGTGCAGTGGTGCCATCTCGGCTCACTGCAAGCTCTGCCTCCTGAGTAGCTGGGACTACAGGAGCCTGCCACCACGCCCGGCTAATTTTTTGTATTTTTAGTAGAGACGGGGTTTCACCATGTTAGCCAGGATGGTCTCAATCTCTTGAACTTGTGATCCGCCCGCCTCGGCCTCCCAAAGTGCTTGGATTACAGGCGTGAGCCACCGCGCCCGGCCTGCACAGCCTTTTAAAAGGTATACGATTCATTACCACTCGATAGACATAAATGATTGTAGTAAATGAAAATATGTAGAAATGCATCTTACGTTAATGTTTGTGGACAAATGTGTGAAGGTGAAGAACACTGAATGTTCAGATAGCACTGGTTCCAAGACTATTAATTAACAAAATACTTTCTATAAGAAGATGGGGAGTGTGATCATCTGTAGAAGGTAGGACCTTCTTAATCATAGAGCAACACTTGAGAGAAATCTCAGAAGGATGGTGTCCTTGAAATGAGATTGGGAGTATGCTTGATTGGTGGGAATTGAAAGGACCAAACTGGGGAGAGGTGAAGTGAGATAGCTGAAACTTTCTGGTGAAAGTCACTGATATAAAGAGATTATAGAGTCTCATAAAATCAAAGTGGTGACAGAAACCTTTAAAGTCATAGAATCCATCCTTTCTGCAAAAGCAAATATCCTTCTTCAGTGTTACTTCTAAATGAAGGGAAGTTTTAAATATGAAACCCCCCCCAAATCGTTTCATTGGTAGATGAATATTTCAGTATCTGCCGTTTGTCAGACACTGTACTATTAATGTGATAGATACAAGTGTGAAGAGAATAATTTTTCTGTTATGGGTCTTGCTGTCTAATTGAGGGCTGATGGTGGTAAAAGACTAATCTTAGGAATTTAAAAACTAAGTACATGCTTATAATTGTGATAGGAATTATTTTCTTTCCAGTGATAGAAACCTAACTTAAATTACCTTAGTCAAAAAAAAATAAAAAAATAAAATAAAAAATAATAAAATAAATAAAAAAATAAAATAAAAATAATAATATATATTTTTTGACTAAGGTAAGGTAAAAGAAAGGAATTTACTGGCACCTATAATTGAAAGTTTCAGGACTGGATCTCCCTTTAAACACACATGGGTCTAGTGTGCTAAATAATCTGCTTTTCTTTGTTAAGACTTTATTGTTAAGGAGACTTTAACAATGAAGGGTGACAATGATGGCCTTCAGCAGCTCTGGGCTTACATAATGTTAAACATTAACCATATACTTCACCAGATAACTTCACCAAAAGCCCAGAATATGACTTAGCTTGAATCATATGCTCAATCAAAACAAGACCGGAGGAATGGGATACTCTGGCTAGCCAGAGTTGTAGGCATCCCTGTGTTGGGAACGGCTGGGCAGGTTATTGTCAATCATAGCCTTTCATTCAGTAAATACCAATACCCTACCCTCTAGACCAGTTGAATCTGAATTACTGAGGCTGGAACCTGGGCATTAGTATATTTTAAAAGTATCCTTTATTAGCTGATTCTAATATGTACCCAGGCTTGGTAAATACTAATGTAGGCCTTGAGAGTCAATGTAAAGACTTGTCTTTGAGTGAGAAGGAAACCACTGGAGGATTTAAAAAATATTATTATTTATTGTTTTATTGCTATTTTAATTGTTTTTTCTGAATATTTTCTTTTTTATTGATACATATTATATGCACATATTTTCAGGGTATATGTGATAATTTGATACATTCATATAATCAAATCAGAGTAATTGGGATATCCATCACCTTAAATATGTATCTTTTCTTTATGCTAGGAACATTCCAGTTATTCTCTTCTAGCTATTTTGAAATGTACAATTGATTGTTTAATGTAGTCACACTATTGAACATCAGGTCTTATTTCCTCTAAGTGTATGTTTGTATCAATTAGTACTCTCTTCACCACCATCCCCCAACCTATCCCAGCCTCTGGTAACCATCAATGTACTCTCCATCCTCATGAGACCCACTTTTCAAGCTCTCACATATGAGTGAGAACATGTGATATTTGTCTTTTTGTGCTTGGCTTATTTCACTTAATGTAATGACCTTTGGTTCTATCCATGTAGCTGCATCTGACAGGATTTCATCTCTTATGGATGAGTAGTATTCCATTGTGTATATATACCACGTTTTCTTTTCTTTTCTTTTTCTTTTTCTTTTTTTTTTTTTTTTTTGAGACAGAGTCTCGCTCTGTCCCCCAGGCTGGAGTGCAGTGGCGCGATCTCGACTCACTGCAAGCTCCGCCTCCCGGGTTAGTAGAGGCCGGGTTTCACCGTGTTAGCCAGGATGGTCTCGATGTCCTGACCTCGTGATCCGCCTGCCTCAGCCTCCCAAGGTGCTAGGATTACACGCGTGAGCCACTGCACCTGGCCATATACCGGCTTTTCTTTATCTGTTTATCCATTGATGGATATGTAGGTTGATTCCATATTTTGTCTGTTGTGAGTAGTGCTGCAATAAACATGCGAGTGTAGATATCTCTTTGATATATTGATTTCATCTTTTTTTTTTTTTTTTTTGGATATATACCCAGTAGTCGAATTGCTGGCTCATATGGTAGTTCTGTTCTTAGTTTTTTGAGGAACTTCCATACAGTTCTCTGTAGTGACTGTACTAATTTACATTGCCACCAACAATGTATGAGGGTACCCCGTCCTCCATATCCTTGCCAGCACCCTGCTATTCCCTGTCTTTTTGATAAAAGTAATTCTGATTGGGGTGAGATATCATTGTGGTTTTGATTTGCATTTCTTTGATGATTAGTGATGTTGAGCCTTTTCTTTTTTCTTTCTCTTTCTTTCTTTTCTTTCTTTCTTTCTCTTTCTTTTCCTTCCTTCCTTCCTTCATTCCTTTCTTCCTTCCTTCTTCCTCCCTCCATTCTTTCCTTCTTTCTTTTCTCTTCTTTCTTTCTTTCTTTCTTTCTTTCTTTCTTTCTTTCTTTCTTTCTTTCTTTCTTTCTTTCTTTCTTTCTCTGTCTCTCTCTCTCTTTCTTCCTTTCTTTCCTTCTTTTTCTTTTTCTTTTTTGACGGAGTTTTGCTCTTGTTGCCTAAGCTAGAGTGCAATGGCACCATATTGGCTCACTGCAACCTCCACCTCCCGGGTTCAAGCGATTCTTCTGCCTCAGGCTCCCGAGTAGCTGGGATTACAGGCACCCACCACCACGCCCGGCGAATTACTTATTTTTTTTTAGTAGAGACGGGGTTTCACCATGTTGGCAACTGGTCTCAAACTGTCCTGACCTCAGGTGATCCACCCGCCTCAGCTTCCCAGAGTGCTGGGATTACAGGCTTGAGCCACAGTGCCCAGCCAGAGCCTTTTTCATATACCCAATGTCCATTTGTATGTCTTCTTTTGAAAAATGTCTATTCAGATCTTCTGCCCATTTTTAAATGAGATTTTGTTTTACTATTGAGTTGTTTGAGCTCCTTATATGTTCTGGTTATTAGTCCCTTGTCAGATAGATAGGTTGCAAACATTTTCTTCCATTCTTTGGTTGTCTCTTCACCTTCTTGATTGTTTCTTTTATTGTGCCAAAGCTTTTTAGCTTAATGTAATCCTGTTTGTCTATTTTTGCTTTTGTTGCCTATGTTTTTGAGGTTCTACACAAAAAATCTTTGTCCATCCAGTGTTCTGGAGCATTTCCCCAATGTTTTTTTTCTGGTAGTTTCACAGTTCCAAGTCTTAGAATTTGATTTTGTACATGTTAAGTTTGAGGTAGCTCTAAGACATCCAAGTAGAAATGTTGAGTAGAGTGATTGGATTGAATTTATGAGTCTGAGGTTCATGGGAGGGGCCTAAGCTGCTAGTATAATTCTGGGATTCATCATAGAACTGGATGGAATCACATAGAAAATAAGTGTCAGTAGAGAAGAGAGAACTCCAAGGACTGAGCACAGAAACTCTCCAACATTGAGAGGATGAGGAAAAGAGTAGCCAGCAAAAGAGATTAAGAATAGCATTCAGTAAAGAAGCAGAAGAGCCAGAAGGTAGAGGTGTTCCAGGTTCTTTAATAATAAAGAAAGTTTTCACTGTGAGAAGTAGAGCAATTTCCTGAAAAGAAAGATTGTTGGGCAAATAATATCATCATATCACAGAGTCTTGAATGCCATTTTGAGGATTTGGGGTTTTTACTGTCAGCCCTATCAAATATTTATGAATAGCAGAGGGGCATGATCAAACTTATCTTTTAGGAAGGCTTACTGGTAAGGGTAAGCAGTGTCTAGGCCTGATTAAACAAAGAGAGACCTAATTGAGAAATATTGCAGAATTCCAGGGGAGAAATGATATAGTCTAACTTATTGGTTCAATTCTGTCAAACCTAATACTGCCTTTTTATAAGGAATATTTTATGATGCCCCTTTTACAGTCTTGAAATAATTAAACTTATAGCTATTAATAATATATCTACACAATTCACAAAAATATGATGCCCTAAATGTAGTATAAACAGGAAATAAAATGAAAATAATTTATAACAAAATATTATATATTTTCATCTATAAATGCTTGAAGACATAATGAAATATTGACAGCATAGTGAAGTAGTTGGATACTTGTTTACAGATACCTTGTGTGCTAAAGTACAAACTCATTCCAGCATGCTGTATTTGCAGTTTAAATGCCATAAGCAGCATTACAATTGGTGCTTAATTTTCTGAGTTAGTGAGCAACTTTTGTAGAGTTATGAAAAAACTACAAAATACAATTTCCCCTAATTTATATGGCTGTTACATTTCTGTAAGTTCAGTGCATATTAAAGCTGTGCAAAACATATTTCATGAATACTGCTATTAAGTTGTGGGTTCAGGTAACTAATTCAAGCATTTTCTTTTGACTTACATGAATGTCCACAGGGACATCAGATAGTTGAGAGTGATGTGGGATATTTCTTCATTTTACAGGACTATCCCACATATTTCAGGTTGTCTAGCATCCCTGGCTCTACCTGCTGCCAATAGTGCCTGGCTACCATACTAATTATTGTGATAAAACAACTTCCACGCGTTTCTCAACACATGCTTTCCCGCAACACACAGACTGTATAGAGATCCCTAGTTTAAAGTGCGATAGCATGTTTCATCTCTGTTTCTCCTCTTTAAAAATGGTGGATTATGGCATCATGTTTTAACATTTTATGAATAATTAGGAAAGGATACTGTTTGGTTTGTTGTTTCTGTAATTGTATAGATGTACATTTAAGTAGTTGGTGATATTGATGGTAATGATATGTTTATTTTAGTGTTAATTTCTCACATTTGTTTTTGGAGCGCTGAAGCATGTAAAAAAAAAACTCTGAAAATGGTACCGCCATCCCCCATTTCATAAATCAGAATCACTTCTTGACTTCGTTTTTCCCTTCTGTTTTTTTTTTAAGTGAATCATCTTTCTTAGATTTCTATGACTAATTCGATATTGGGTAAGGAAAGCTTGGCAGTGAACCACCCATTTATGAGCATTGTGAAAATTTCTTCTGCACTTACAGTGATTAGAACTTTTTGCTGCTGTCTTGTTCTTGAGATACTGGTGAACAATGTTGACAGGATTTATGACTATTTTTCCATATTTGAATGTGACTTTCTTTTTTGTTTCTTTAAACTAATAGAATTTATTTTAATAAATAATAATATATTTTTTGATATAAGGTCTTGCTGTGTCACCCAGGCTAGAATGCAATAGTGTGATCAAAACTCACTGTAGACTCAAACGTCTGGGCTCAAGTGATTCACCTGTTTCAGACTCCCAAGTGGCTAGGACCACAGGTGCATGCCACCACACCCAGCAATTTTTTTGTTCAACTTTTATTTTAGAATTAGGGGGTACATGTGGAGGTTTATTACAAACGTATATTGCGTCATTCTGAGATTTGGGGTATAACTGAATATGTCACCCTGGTGGTTAGCATAATACCCAACAGGTAGTTTTTCAGCCCTTGCCCCTATCATTCTCTCTCCCCTCTAGTAGTCCCCAGTGTCTGTTATTCCAATCTTTATGGCTGTGCGTATCCAGTGTTTAGCTCCCACTTATAAGTGAGAACATGTGGTATTTGGTTTTCTGTTTTTGCATTAGTTTACTTAGGATAATGGCTTTTAGCTGTGTCCATGATGCTGCAAAGGATATAATTTTGTTCTTTGTTATGGCTGCATAGCATTCCACGGTGTATATGTACCATATTTTCTTTATCTAGTCTACTGTTGTTGGGCACCTAGGTTGACTCCATTTTTTTGCTGTTGTAACTAGCTCTGCAATGAAGATATGGGTTGCATTTTTTTTTTTTGGTAGAACAATTGATTTTCCTTTGGGTATATACTCAGTAATGGGATTGCTTGGTCAAATGGTAGTTCAACTCTTGCTTCTTTGAGAAATGGCCCATCTGTTCTCCACAGTGGCTAGACTAATTTACATTTCCACCTATAGTGTATAAATGTCCCCTTTTTTCTGCAGACTCACCAACATCTGTTATTTTTTGACTTCTTAACAAGAGCCATTCTGACTAATGTGTCGTGGTATCTCATTGTGTTTTTGATGAGACTGTTTATATTCAAGGTTAGTATTGATATGTGAGATGTTGTGTGATTTGCATTTCTGTAATGATTAGTGGTGGTGACCATTGTTTCATATGTTTGTTGGCCACTTGTAGGCCTTCTTTTGAGAAGTGTCTGTTCATGTCCTTTGCCCACTTTTACTGGGGTTATTGGTTTTTTGGTTGTTGATTTAAGTTCATTATAGATTCTGGATATTAGACCTTTGTTGGATGCATAGTTGGTGAATATTTTCTCCCATTCTGTAGGTTGCCTGTTTATTGATAATTTCTTTTGCTGTGCAGAAGCTCTTTAGTATAACTAGGTCACACTTGTCAATTTTTATCTTTGTTACAATTGCTTTTGAGGACTTAGCCATAAATTCTTCGCCAAGGTCAATATCAAGAAAGGTATTTCCTAGAATTTCTTCTAGAATTTTGTAGTTTGAGGTCTTACATTTAATTCTTTAGTCCATCTTGAGTGAATTTTTGAATCTGATGAAAGGTAGGGGTCCAGTTTCATTCTTCTGCATATGGGTAACCAGTTATCCCAGTACCATTTATTGAACAGGGAGTCTTTTCCCTATTGCTCTTTTTGTTGAGTTTGTCAAAGATCAGATGGTTGTAGGTGTGTAGCTTTATTTCTGGGTTTTCTATTCTGTTCTCTTAGTCTGTGTGTCTGTTTTTGTACCAGTACCATGCTGTTTTGATTACTGTAGTCTTATAGTATAGTTTGAAGTCAGGTAATGTGATTCCTCCAGCTTTGTCCTTTTGCTTATGATTGCTTTGGCTATTTAGGCTCTTTTTTGGTTCCATATGAATTTTAGAATAGGTTTTTATAATTATTTGAAAAATGATGTTAGTAGTTTGATAGGAATAGTGTTGAATCTGTAAATTGCTTTGGACAGTATGGCCATGTTAACAATATTGATTCTTCCAATCTGTTAAATATGAGCATGGAATATTTTTCCATTTGTTTATGTCATCTCTGATTTCTTTCAGCAGTGTTTTGTAGTTCTCTCTATAGAAATCTTTCTGCTTGGTCGGGCATGATGGCTCACGCCTGTAATCCCATCACTTTGGGAGACAAAGGCGGGTGGATCTCGAGGTCAGGAGAAAGTTACCATCCTGGCTAATACGGTGAAACCCCATCTCTACTAAAAATACAAAAAAATTAGCTGGCTGTGGTGGCATGCACCTGTGGTCCCAGCTACTCGGGAGGCTGAGGCAGGAGAATCGCTTGAACCCGGGAGGTGGAGGTTGCAGTGAGCTGAGATGGCGCCATTGCACTCCAGCCTGGGTGACAGAGTGAGACTCCACTGAGAAAAAAAAAGAAAAATCTTTCCTCTCTTTTATCAGATGTATACTTAGGCATTTCTTTGTGTGTGTGTGTGTGTGTGTGTGTGTGTGTGTGTGTGTGTGTCTATTGTAAATGGGATTGCATTCTTGATTTGCTTCTCTGCTATAATGTAATTGGTGTATAGAAATGCTACTGATTTCTGTCCATTGATTTTGTATCCTGAAACTTTACTGAAGTCCTTTATCACTTCCAGGAGCCTTTTGGTGGAGTCTTTAGGGTTTGCTAAGTATATAATCATATAGTCAGTGAAGACAGATGGTTTTACTTCTTTTTTCATTTTTAGATGTCTTTCATTTCTTTTTCTTCCTTGATTTTTCTGGCTAAGACTTCCACCACTATATTGAATAGGAATGGTGAGAGTGGGCATTCTTGTCTTCTTATAGTTCTGTGATCTGAGAGTGTGTGTGGGGTGATTTAATTTTTTTTAAATTAATTGAGTCTTGCCATATGACCAAGCATGTGGTTGATCTTAGAATACATTCCATGTGCGTATGAGAAGAAAGTATATTGTGTGGTTATTGTGTGTTCTGTAGATGTTTGTTAGGTCTAGTGGTTTGAGCATCAAGTTTAAGTCCAGAGTTTCTTTGTCAGTTTTCTGTTCTCAATGATCTGTATAACACTGTCAGTAGGGTGTTCAAGGCTTTCACTAGAACTTGTTTTATGCATCTGGCTGCTTCATTGTGGAGTGTGTATATATTTAGGATAGTTAAGTCTTGTTGAATCAAACCCTTTATCATTATGTAATACCCATCTTTGTCCTTCTTGCTTGTTGTTGGTTTACATCTGGTTTATCTGATATAAAAATAGCAATCCCTGCTCTTTTTTATTTTCCATTTGTATAATAGACTAGACCTTTCTCCATTCCTTTACTTTGAGTCTATGAGTGTTAAATGTGAAATGGGTCTCTTGAAGAGAGCATATAATTGGGTCATCTTTTTATTCACCTTGCCACTCTGTGCCTTTTAAGTGGGGTATTTAGACTGTTTATATTCAAGGTTAGTATTGATATGTGAGATTGTGTTACTGTGTTATTAGCTGGTTGTTTCATAGATTTGATTGCGTAGTTCCTTTATAGAGTCTGTGGGCTACGTATTTAGGTGTGTTTTTGTGGCAGTCAGTATAATTCTTTCATTTCTGTATTTAGTGCTTTGTTAAACACCTCTTTTAAGGCTGGTCTAGTGGTAATGAATTCCTTTAGTGTTTGCTTGTCTGAAAAGGATTTTACTTCTCTGCTTATGAAGCTTAGTTTGGTGGGATGTTAAATTCTTAGTTGGAATTTCTTTTCTTTAAGGACACTGAAAATAGGCCTCCAATCTCTTTTGGCTTATAAGGTTTCTGCTGAGAGGTCTGCTGCTTGCCTAATGCTATTTCCTTTATAAGTGACTTGACCCTTCTTTCTAGCTGCCTTTATATTATTTTCTTTTATATTGACCTTTGCGAATCTGATGACTGTGCCTTGGGCATGGTCATCTTGTATAGCATTACTCAGGGGTTCTCTATATTTCTTGAATTTGCATGTCAACCTCTTGAGTGAGTTGGGGAATTTTTCATGGAATATATCTTCAAATATTTTTTCCAAGTGTGTGTGTGGGAGAGAGATGACTCTTTCACCAGGTCCACTCCTGGGCCTTAGGGGAGCCCCCTTCCATCACTGGCACTGCACCTGTGTTTCATTTGTTGGGTGTTCTGGGCCATGGTGCTCCCTTTGTCAGAGGCTGCGGCTGGCAAACAGGGTGCACTCTTCCCAGACCGGCCCTGCGGAGGGAGGCATGCCCCACTCCTGTGCCAGCCCTCGAACCCACATCCCACCCCTCTTCAGTGTTCTCAGAGTGGGAGCTCCTTCCCTGCTCAAGGATTGGCCACAGATCTTAGCTTCACACTCCCAAGCTGCATGCTGCAACTCTGGAGTGTTGGGACTGGGCCCACAGCTCCATCCTTTGGCCCCTCTGGGATGGGCACTGGCTGTATCAGTGGATCCAAAGTGCTCTCAGGCCATTGGGAAAGCACTCAGGCAGGGCTGCCAGCATAGCACCCAGGCTGCACAATAGAGGCTACGCTGTGCACACACTCCTATGGGAGAAGCCAAACTGGAACCTTTCAAAGGGCTGCTGGGCAGGGGGACTGCAGAATAGATGTACTCCAGTCCCATGGGAAAGACAGTCCTGCTGTCTCTTGGCTTAGTGATCAGCTGGGGCTAGAGCTACTCACAAGAAGATGGATCGCCTTGAAGGGTGAGCGCCTATGGCCACATTTTGCTGCAGCTGCTCTGTGCACAAAACTCCCTGGGCTCTGCTCAGGTTGGAGTTATGCCTCTGCCTATTCTCCAGGGAGATCCCCCTGTTAATTTAACTGTCTGTGGGGGGTCATGGGATCTCTTGTACCTGGGATCCCAGAGTTTCGTGGCAAGAGTGGGCCATCCCACCCTCAATGTCACTCCCCGCTTCCCTAGGAGCCATTCAAGGCTGGGAACTAGTGCTGGCTCTCAGCAACTCCGTGCTGGGATCCTAGCTTCCCCACTCTTCAGCCTCAGTGTCTTCATTGCCTCTCTACTGAGTCTCAGTGTTTTCTCTCTGAAGATCTGTTTGAAGTATGCTGGTTTACTCAATATTTTGGTGTCTCTCAGTGGGAGCAGCACTTCCTTGCTGTGTCTAGTCAGCCATTTTGTTCCTTACTCCTGGCTAATTTAAAAAAATTATTTTGTTGATATGGGGTCTTGCTATGTTGCCCAGGCTGGCCTCAAACTGCTATGTTCAAACCATCTTCCTGCCTCGTCTCCCAGAGTATTGGGATTGCAGCCGTGAACTACCATTCCTGGTTGACTTTATTTTTTAGGATGGTTTTAGGTTTACAGAAAAGTTGAAGGGAAAGTACAGAGTTCTCAAATACCCCTTCACCTTCACCCTGAGGCAGTTTCCCCTGTTATTAACATCATGCATTAGTGTAATACTTTTTTTTATAATTGATGAGCCAATATTGATGCATTATTATTAACTAAAGCTATAGCTTACATTAGGGTTTACCTTTTGCATTGTATATTCTATAGTTCTTAAGAAATATATAATGACATATACCATAGCAATATTATGGAATAGTTTCACTGCCCTAAAAGTCCTATGTATTCCACCTCTTCATCCCTCCCCCTCCCTTTCCCAGTCCCTGACAACCACTAATCTTTTTACTATCTCCATAATTTTGCCTTATCCAAAATGTAATACATTTGGAATCAAACAGCTTTAAATTTCTTTGTAAGCACAGGTTTTACTGCATCCTACAAGTTGTGGTTTCATTTTCATTTAGTTGAAAATATTTTCGAATTTCTCCTGAGACTCCACTTTGACCCGTATATTATTTAGAAGTGTTTTGTAATTTTCAAGCTTCTTCAAGAAAACCTTCATAGCTAAGGCTTTCTAGCTATTTATATATTTTTTATCGATTTCTAAAACTCCCTGTGCTATTCCTTTATAGTCACATGTTTTTCACTACATCCTGAAAATAACTTATCTGTTCTCTGTCACCATAGTTCTGTCTCCTTGAGAATGGGACATATATTATACATATGTACACTTTTGAGACTGGCTTCTTTCATTCAGCAGAATACCTCTGATATCAATCCAAATTATTGTGTGTGTCAATAGTTTATTCCTTTTTATTGTTGAGTATTACTCCATTGTAAGGATGTATTACAAGTTGTTTATAGAATTGGCTGTTGATTGGCATTTGGTTTGTTTCCAGTTAATATGTTTCTATTTATCTATGGTAAATACTGTGGAATGAGATCGCTGGGTCTTAGGGTAGGTGCAGTTTTACTTTTTTAAGAAATGGCTAGGCCGGGTGGGGTGGCTCATGCCTGTAATCCCAGCACTTTGGGAGGCTGAGGTGGGCAGATCACAAGGTCAGGAGATTGAGAACATCCTTGCCAACATGAAACCCTATCTCTACTAAAAATACAAAAATTAGCATGCCTGTGATCCCAGCTACTTGGGAGGCTGAGGCAGGAGAATCACTTGAACTAGGGAGTCGGAGGTTGTGGTGAGCTGAGATCGTGCCACTGCGATTCCAGCCTGGTGAAAGTGAGACTCCGTCTCAAAAAAAAAAAGGCTAAACGGTTTTTCAGAATGGCTGGGCCATTTTGCATTTCCACCAACAATATCTGAGCATTCCAGTTGCTCAGTATCCTCACTTAGCACTTGGTATTGTTGGCTTTTTCCCCTAGGTTTTATATGTGTAGTGATAGGTTATTGTGGTTTTAATTTGCATTTCTTTAATGGCTAAGGATCTTGAGCATCTTTTCATCGTATTTATTTTACATTCAGTTGTACTCTTTGGTGAAGTGTCTATTCAAACATTTTTCCCACTTTTAAATTGGATTGTTTGTTTCTTACTTTAGAATTGTGGGAGTTGTTTATGTATTCTGGATACAAGTCCTTTGCCAGATATGTGATTTGCAGATATCTTTTTCCACTCAGTAGTTTGCTTTTTAACCGTGTCTTTTGTAGAACAAAACATGAAGTTCAATTTATCAGTTTTTAGAAAGTGGATCATGATTTTGGTGTCATGTCTAAGAACTTTTTGTCTTATGCTAGGACATGAAGATTTTCTTCCAAATGCAGGTTTTACAATTGGATCTATGAGCAATTTTCAGTTAATTTTCATGTGAGGTGTAAGATTTAGTTCAAGGTTTCTTCTCTTTCTCTCTTTCCTCAACTTCCTCTCTTCCTTTCCCCCCTCCCCCCTTCTCTCCTTCCCTCCCCCGTCCCTCCCCCTCCCTTTCCTCCCTTCCTTCCTTCTTTCCTTTCTTCTTTCTTTCTCCCCTCCTTCCTTTCCCCAGTTTCTTTCTTTTCCAATTGTTCCAACACCATATAATTAATAAACTATTACTTCTCTATTGAATTGTTTTTCAGTTTTGTCAAAAATCAACTGGCTATATTAGTGTGAATCTATTTTTGCAATGTCAGTTCTGTTCTACTGATGTCGATTAGTATCACTGGTATCTATCCCTTTCCCAGTGGTACAGTGTCTTGATTACTGTAGCTTTAAAATAAATCTTAAAATTTAATAGTGTAATTCCTCTCACTTTATTCTTCTTTTTAATAATTGTTTTTAACATTCTGGTTTCTTTGCTTCTCTATATAAATTCTAGAATCAGCTTGTTTCTATCTATAAAAATTCCTGCTGGGATTTTAATTGCAATTGCATCGAATCTGTAGCTGAATTTGTGTAGTACACAAATTTATTTCTTCAATTAGCATTTCGTAGTTTTTATTATCTAAATCATGTGTATGTTTTGTTAGATTCATATCAATTATTTCATATTTTTTGAGCTGTTATAAATGATTTTAGAATTTTTTGGTTTTAAATTGTTTATTTCCAGTTTATAGAAGTATTGTTGATATTTATGATATTGATATTGACCCTATATTGTACAAGCTTGTCAAACTCACTTATTTGTTGTAGGTTTTTTTTTTTTTTTTTTGAGATTCCTTGGTATATTCAGCATGGATAATTACGTTATCTGTGAGTACGGACAATTTAGTTTTTTTTCTTCGTAATCTTTATGTGCCATTGATTTTCAGTTTCCTGCTGCTTTTCTTTTTTGTCCTCTGGCTAGAAAGGTGGGTCTTTTGTTACTTCACTTTGGTGTGGACTTCTCCAATTGCCCCTTCATCCCAAGGTAAACTCTGGGAGGACAGAGAGAAAGGAAAAATAACTGGGTTTGGATGCACCCTCTTGGCCCTATAGCTCCAGAGTGGGGAGAAAGGTTTTCCTCCCTTAGAGTTTGAGCTCCTGTGGGCTCTCTTTAGTGGCCAGTGCCACTTTTGCCTAGAGATTGCTACTGGGCTATGGTGAGATAGAGAAAAGAAAGAGAAAAAAGGGCATTTCTTTATTTTCTCTGTGCATTAGGTGTTCCTTTTCTGCTCCTTGAGCCAGAACTAGACAACTGGTCTTGGAGTTTCATTGCCTACTTCCAAGTCACTGGTACATTGAGTCCAGGCTAGGAGATACCAGAAGGAAAAAAAAAAAAAAGGTAAACTTAGTGCCAATTGTGTAATACTTCAACTTCTGGTCTTCTTCCTCAATCTACCTACTATGATTTACTTTTTCAGAGTCTTTAAATAGCTGCTCCAATACTTCTGTCATCATTTTATAACTATTTAGAGAAGTTTCAATATACTTACCTCATTTTACCTGAAATTAGACTCCATTAAAGAAAGTTTACAGGAAATGAGCTAAATCACACTCTCTTGTGTGTAGACCAAATAATTACAGAATAAATGTTCTCTTGATGTTGCCATAGTTATAATTGAGAATATTCTCTGATAGGATAATTAATAATCAAATGCATTGGTGGAGACAAAGTTTTGTTAGGAGACATTGAATGAGGATAATTTTTGTATTCTGCTTCTGAGCAAAATTCTGATGACACAACAGGTAATTCTTCTTTATCTGTGCCATTAGAAAGTGTTTTATTTCTATACTGTTCTTATTAATTTAGGAGAATAGAAAAGACTAATTTTCCTAAGGCTGAGAAAGGATAATGCTTTCTTAATACTCTTCTACAGATGTCACTAGAAATATGTACAATAAGTATTTTTTGTTCACTCCATTCAAGATTGTTAAATTACCAATGGCTTTATTTTTTTTTTTCCAGCTTTTTGATGAGGTAAATCATGGTTTTAAAACATTAGGATAGTACTCCCTATTTAGTAGACTGTATTTTAATAGCCAGTCCTTTACACTCACTGTAAAAAAAAAAAGAGGATTGATGTAAGGAGAGAGTAAGGTGGATTAGTACAACAGACGATCATACCAGTTTATGCTGTGATTCCTTATTTTAGATTTTGTCCATACTTGTCTCCATGGGATAGACCTTTTGCTGTTTTTGGATTGCTTGACCCTTTTGTAAGCTAAAGATTTTAAGAGTCTAACATTACAAATACCTTAGGTTCATTGGCATATGCACAACAAATGTGAATCAAACATAAAAATGATTCTTTTAAGAATTGTATTTATTGATGTGGTAGTGAAATACTATACTGTTTACAATACAGAGCTAAGTGGGATTTTGGGTATGCTGAGAAGTTGACAGTTTGTGGTTCCTGAATAAAATATTGTCTTTGCAGGATAAAATAGGGAAAGATGTGTTCTTGAAATGATTATTTATAAATTTTTTGAAATCTTGTTCTGGTTCCAGCTTAGGAGCCATTTTCCAACACTGTGGTCACTGCAATAGTGAAATTTTGGATGCAAAAAACCCCAATCAAAACAAACAACAACAACAAAACCCTCATAGAAGCCTGTCTGCAGTTGTATAGCAAGATACAGATTCCTTATATAGACTTGGGGAAATAAAATATAGCTGTTAACACAGTTCTTCAATTTTCTTAAGATAAAATAATGAGGATTTGGAATAAAAAATTGTAGGAGTTCAGTGTAAAGTGAATCATGAGTAGATGGAAAGGTTTTTGCCTAACATAGAGCAAGAGATTAGGGGTCTTCTTTTTTTGAGGTCAGTTGATTCAACCAAGAGATCCCATGAGAGTTACTTGCAAGAGATCCCATGACAGTTATTTGCTAGAGATCTCATGAGAGTTATTTGCTTCTTGTGTGACTTTATCTTCTTCAGATGGGAGTATAATATCTCATTTTAGGCTGTTTTGTAAATTAAAATGTAGTCAAAAGACTGTATTGTTTTCATATTGTGGATATTCCAGTTTATTAATTCATTGTATGTTTCTACCTACTTCCAAAAATAATTTGAGATACTGTCTGGGAAAAGACAGACTATAAATACTGGAGTTAAATGAACAGTAATATGGTAATGAAAATGATGGTGGATAGGAGGTACGACTAAGCGGAAGAGGAAATAAATACCAGGAAACTGATTTAAGAAATGTACTATATTTCGTGCTTTACTCTGAATTTTCTGTAAAAAGACATCATGGTTTGTATAATTTTTATCATTATCTGATAAAAACAAGTGTGTCTTTTTCATCTGGCCATTTTAAGAGAATGCAGAGGATTTTTGTTTATTTGTTTTTATCTAAAAGTAACTCCTGATTATGGAGTGGGGTCCATTATAATTATGGTATAAAATAATAAAACTATATTTGTGAAAAATGAAAATACTAACTCTCAATAGAAGTATATACGCTTACTAGAAAGTGTTTTTGTAGCTCTCTTCTCTTTCTCAGTTTCTTGTCAATTAGAATGATAACATTCAAATGGCCAGTTGTGTAGGGAAGGCAAGTGGAAGCTCTATGTTGACTCTAGTACTATAGTGTCAGAGTGATTAGTTATATATAATTTATATTTAGAGATGATCACTGATAGAGGAATTAGTTGATTTGCTCTTCCTTGGATCCATTATAATATTTGAAAAACTTAGACTTCAGCCATGACACTAAGAACAATTACAAATTATTTTAACAGAAAGAAAAATGTTTGGTGCACTTAACATTAAGAAAAGTATTTTTGGTCCCTGTAAATTATTGAGCTTTTTTTGGTTGTTACATTGTTAAGTTGATTTTATCCTTTTTTTTTTTTTTTTTTTTTTTTTACTAGTTTTTAGTTTTTTTCCCCTAGTTTTTATATAGTATGTAATTATCTTTGATTTCTTTCCTTTCCTGTTTCTTCTGTCTGCTCCAATTAATTCAGAGTAGATTGATCCTTTTAAGATCAAGGGCATATCTAAATTGGTTCTTTGAAGATGTTTCTCTGTTACCTTCAGTATGGTTTAATGAAGAAAGAACTTAAAGAGCTGGACTGGATATTAACCTGTTCTCTGAACTTTATTTTCCAATATGTAGTGCTTTATTTTAATTATATATATATATATTTCTTCAAATTATGAGAATAATTCTTGCTCAATACAGAACAGCTGGGCAATAAAAATAAAGGAAAATTGTATATAATTAATACTTAGAAGTGACCACTGATATAGTTTCAGTGTGTGTTTTTGTGATTCTTTATGTGATTAGCTTTTAAAGTCAAGTAGTATATTGTGAACATTAAAAAAAGTAAATGCATTTCAGACATAATAATAGCTAATATGTATCGAGTGCTTTATTTTTCTCTTATGTGAATTTCTTATGGTAGATTCTCTAAGTCTAGTGTAATGACTATTCCACAAAATCATCAGAGACCCCAACTTTTTCTTTTTGTCAGTACTACCTCCAGTTCCAAGACGGCTATTTGAGTTTCAGTTGTCCTACCCATATTCCAGCCAGGAGAATTGCTCAAAAGCTCCACAAAAAAAAAAAAAAAAAAAAAAAAAAAGAAAAGGAAAGAGGAAAGACCTAATATTAAATGACAAGCCAGGTGTGGTGGCTCATGCCTATAATCCCAGCACTTTGGGAGACCGAGGCAGACGGATCACCTGAGGTCAGGAGTTGGAGACCAGCCTGGCCAATATGGTGAAACCTCATCTCTACTTAAAAAAAACAAAAATATTAGCTGGGTGTGTGGTGGTGCATACCTGTAATCCCGGCTATTAGGGAGCCTGAGGCAAGAGAATTGCTTGAACCTGAGAGGCAGAGGTTGCAGTGAGCCAAGGTAGCGCCACTGCAGTCCAGCCTGGCCAACAGAGCGAGACTCCATCTCAAAAAAAAAAAAAAAAAAGACAGTTGTGGTAATATGGTTAAGTAGTCAATAAAATAGATATTGATGATCTAGTCTTAAAAAATAAGTTAAGTTGGCCAGGCACGGTGGCTCACACCTGTAATCCCAGCACTTTGGGAGGCCAAGGCGGTCGGATCACCTGAGGTCGGGAGTTCAAGATCAGCCTGACCAACAAGGAGAAACCCTGTCTCTACTAAAAATACAAAATTAGCTGGGCATGGTGGTGCATGCCTGTAATCCCAGCTACTTGGGAGGCTGAGGCAGGAGAATCACTTGAACCTAGGGGGTGGAGGTTGCAGTGAGCCGAGATCACTCCACTGGACTCCAGCCTGGGCAACAAGAGCGAAACTCCGTCTCAAAAATAAAATAAAATAAAATAAGTGAAGTTATAAATATTTAGTGTATGTTTATATTCATATATGTTTGTGTATACACATACACTTACACACCACTAAAAATGACTTAAAGTACATATATCAACTGATAGTAGTAGTCATCTCTGAGCGGCAGTTTTATGGATTTTTAAATTATTTTAAAATCAACTATAATGAATATTCTTCAAAGAAGAATTTTGACTTTCACCCTTACTCAATAAGGGGGGAGCTTTTTATCCAGTCTGTTGGTTAGCTGTGTTTTTCAAATAAACTTTTTCTAAAATAAAAAGGAAACATTTATACCTTACTGTTTCAATTTGCAATTTTTTGACTGTTTTATTTCTTTTTTTGTGAATTACCTTTTTTTATTCCTTGCATAGATGTGAAGCTTTAGTTTTATGTAATCATGTCTTTTAAACTTTTTCTTTGTTTTCTGTTTGAAGTCTTTCTTCATTTTACAATTAGTTATTCTCCTTTATTTTCTTACAATATAGTTTTTAGTATGAGATAGAAATCTGATAATATATGTTTTCACAAAAGATTATCCAGTTTTCTCATTTATTGAACAATTAAACTTTTTCCTACTAATTTGAAATGCTACTTTTATTTACTTCGGCTGTTCGTGGGCTTTGTGTTCTATTAGTTTTTCTCTCCTGTTTATTGCATACTGTTATAACCATCATTGCTTTATAGTATATTTTAACATCAGATATTTTAGTTTCCCTGTCATTATTCTTCAGTTCAAAATGTTTTTGGGCATTTTTAGGCATTTTAGTCTATTTATTTTTTTATTTCCAACATTTCCTTAAAAAGTGTCACATTTCAAAGAAACAGTGATAAAACCTTCAAAGGAATTACATTCTATTTCTAATTTAATTACTGGATTAATTGACATATTTACAATAGAGGCATCCTATCTAGGAACATGGTCTGTAACTTCATTTATTCTGATCTTCTTTAGGTCTATTTAGTTTTATAGATTAAGATATTCTAAAAGAAATTACGGAAGTTTAAATGGGAAGGCTTTGCAAAATATCTCAGGGATGGTTAACTAGCTCAATATGATAAATTTGAAAAGCATTTTCTACTAAAAGTGCAATTTGTAATTTTGGTCATCATGTTTTCAATAATTATTTTGAATTTTTTAAATTAAATATTTTAGTGCTTATTGCCAGGCGTTGGATACTGGAGTTTCTCTATTTTTAGGTTCTTATTTTGATTTGTTTTGTGTTTGACTGGAGTGCATCTTTGAATACATGTACTTTTTCAATACATTTACATTAAATGGAGTTTATGTGAATGGAATTGTTTTGGAACCACCGTAAATCTGAAGACTTCTTTTTCTTTTTTTCCCCTTCTTTTACAGGTAACAACTTTCTTAAATATAGAAATCTTGTGCCACATGTTTTTTTCTCTTCAGAATGTATCTTCCTCCATTGTCTTCTTGCATTTATGGTAGAAGTCTGATGTCTGCCTGATTTTTCTTTTTAGTTTGCCCTTTAAAAAAATCTATAAATTTAAAGAATTAAAAAAATTCTTGACAGTTTTGAATAAGTTAGCATGCAGTTATTAATAGTATGTATGCTTTAATTTTTAAATTGACCTCCATATTCCCCATCTATTGAAGTAAGTAATCATAGGGAGTTTTGCATAAACTTCTTCTAGCATTTTAATAGAGTGATTACTAAAATCTGTTTACTTGTTTGAATAATTGATTCAGTAATTCTGGACACTGAATATGTGTCTCACGTAAGTTGGAAAACCATACTTGTTCTCCTAAGGAAGGGTATTAGCAGAAGTATGGTTAATTTGTGAAAGACTTGCACAGGTAGGATTTAGACTTGGTTCTATATGGGCTACAAATTTTCAAAAGATAAATATGTGTAAATAATGAGAATGAGTTAATTATTTATTACTATTTATGCGTGGTATTACATGTTTTCAATCAGTATTCCTGTCTCTTTATTGGAAAATATTTGACATAGTTCATGTAGAATAAAGCCCAAGAAAACATGCTCAGTTTTTCGCTTTAATTAACCTATAAAATCATAAAGCCTACTAACTTCCTGAGAGATTTTTGTGGATGGAACATTTGTGGCAGTCTTGATGTATGGGTGATAATAGCTGTTGGGCACTGTATTTTTGGACTGAAAATTTACAATAGCTCTGGCATAAAGTTTTATCATCAGGAAAAGAAAGAAAAGATTCCTCATTCTCTTCTCTGTGCTCAGCATCTAAGCATTTCACATACAATCCATAAAGGAAAAAAAGACACTTAGTTGTTTAATTTACATCTCTGGAGGAGCCAAAAATAACAGGACAAAACCAGACTTAAACTCTACACATCAGTTTTGAAACCTAGGTCTCCCTCTCTTCTGCAACACGAAGTGATTGTTGTTTATTTCCTTTGGGTTTGTCTTGTCTAACCCTGCTAATTATAAATTTGAGAGAAATTAGGAAACTAACTTTGGGATTTGATATATACACCTTTTGGGAATAAGACATGTTGGAAGACAGTTGTTAAAGACTTCTATGTAGATTGAAAGCTGGAGAAAAATCTGATCTCTAAAAGCATTCCTTAAAATTCATGACATTGGCTCACGCCTGTAATCCCAGCACTTTGGGAGGCCAAGGCAGGTGGATCACAAGGTCAGGAGATCGAGACCATCCTGGCTAACACGGTGAAACCCCGTCTCTACTAAAAACACAAAAAAATTAGCCGGGCGCGATGGTGGGCGCCTATAGTCCCAGCTACTCGGGAGGCTGAGGCAGGAGAATGGCGCAAACCCAGGAGGTGGAGCTTGCAGTGAGCAGAGATCGCGGCACTGCACTCCAGCCTGGGCGACAGAGTAAGACTCCGTCTCAAAAAAAAAAAAAAAAATAAATAAAATTCATGACATTGTACCATAATACATTATCAAAGGTTATTCCAAACCAGTGTACTTGTACCAGACCTACAACCATTTTGTTGTTATTAATACTTAATATCCATTTAGATTCATTTGTAGCATTGCTGTAATCATAGCTATGGAAGCTTGGTGTATCCCAATGAAGCATATATATGGGAAAAATATATTTGATAAAGCCTTTACTTAGAAGTTAGTTTCAAATGTTAGGTATCAAATCAAGAACTTTGGTCAGTCAATTAATATTGTACCTCTTTTAGAGGTATAATTTAGGGGCAAAATTAGTGATTTTTAGATCTCTTTCAACTCGTCAGTATTTTCTTTCTTTCTTTCTTTTTGGGGGGGGGTTGCTGGCAATATTTTTTATTTTTTTATTTTATTTTATTATTATTATACTTTAAGTTTTAGGGTACATGTGCACAATGTGCAGGTTAGTTACATATGTATTCATGTGCCATGCTGGTGTGCTGCACCCATTAACTCGTCATTTAGCATTAGGTATATCTCCTAATGCTATCCCTCCCCCCTCCCCCCACCCCACAACAGTCCCCAGAGTGTGATGTTCCCCTTCCTGTGTCCATGTGTTCTCATTGTTCAATTCCCACCTATGAGTGAGAATATGCGGTGTTTGGTTTTTTGTTCTTGCGATAGTTTACTGAGAATGATGATTTCCAATTTCATCCATGTCCCTACAAAGGACATGAACTCATCATTTTTTATGGCTGCATAGTATTCCATGGTGTATATGTGCCACATTTTCTTAATCCAGTCTATCATTGTTGGACATTTGGGTTGGTTCCAGGTCTTTGCTATTGCGAATAGAGCCGCAATAAACATACATGTGCATGTGTCTTTATAGCAGCATGATTTATAGTATTTTCCTGCTCTAACATATTGCTTTCTGGAAAATGGCAACAGGATTATAAAAGAGTAATGTTTTCTTTTAAAAATTAAAAAAAATATATATAACTGAGGTCTCACAATGTTGCCCAGGCTGGCCTTGAACTCCTGGGCTCAAGTGATCTTCCCACCTCAGCCTATCAAAATGATGGGACTGCAGGTGTGAGCCACCATGCGTGGTCCTAATTTTTCCTTTTTTCTTTGTGATTATATATTATATATAAAATATATGCCTATTATATATTATCTTATATAATTATATTACGTATATTATATATTACTACATATTTTATATATTAGATATAGAGTATAATTATATATAATTTCATAGAAAAAAGTAAAAATCTCATAATGTATACAATCATTTATATATACATATATTTATATAAGATGCTTTATATATATATATTATTGATGGTGAATAGTTTTCTGACTAGTCTTTAAGTAGCCTCACTAATTTCCTCTCAAGATTTCAGAAATGTTATTCTTCATCTATTGAGAAATAACTAATGTCAGAATCTGAGATGTTAATAATCAATATACAGAGAGCTATTTTTGGTGTAACATGAGCCTAGCAATGTTGACTTGAATGATCGATATGTATCCTATATAATCAGCAGAATGTAAGGTTTAGCTTTCTGTGCAGCTGCAGGAGACATATTTAATTAATACTGAAGCAATTATCTTGACAAGTAAATCAAACTCAATTAGATTTCAATTAGAACACTAACATTTTCTCAAATACTGCATGGTTGCCAGATGGTTACACATTTTTTTGGCCTCCTTTCTCTTTCAAAGGTTGACGTTCCTGCTACTGTGTTTATTAGGTATAATTACTCAGGCTTTTTTTTTTTTCTTATTTGTGGGGAGGAGGGTGGAATTTGAAATTTAATACATTATATGTCGTAATTCTTTTACCTGGCTCTGTATGGTTTTATTTTATAGAAATTTAGGAAAGTAAAAATATTGACTAATTTGTAAAATTAATAAATTTGAAACTAGAGATCACAGATTATTTAGAAAGAGAATTTTAGAAGGCATTTAATTCTTACCCCTAACAGAGGCAGGCCAAATTATTATACTGGATCTGTGTATCATTGTGTCATATATATATCTTCTCTTTCAATCGAATGGATGTCTAAATCTTTTTAGGCTCAGTAAAAAACGTAGGTATTCCAGCCGAGGTGGGCGGATCACAAGGTCAGGAGATCGAGACCACCCTGGATAATGAGACCACCCTGGATAACACAGTGAAACCCCGTCTCTACTAAAAGTACAAAAAATTAGCCAGGCGTGGTGGCAGGTGCCTGTAGTCCCAGCTACTCGGGAGGCTGAGGCAGGAGAATGGCATGAACCTGGGAGGCGGAGCTTGCAGTCCAGCCTGGGCGATAGAGGGAGACTCCATCTCAAAAAACATTCCAGTCACAAAGTGTTACTTAGTGCTCACTAAATAAGAAACTATTGTATTAGGATGGTGTGAAAGTAATTGCAGTTTTGCTGTTTTAATGGCTGAAAACTGCAATTACTTTTGCAACAACCTAATAACATCTTTTACTAATCGATTAGTTATTCTTAGAGCAATTGTGTCTTCAGAGGTTTTCCTTTCAGGTGTCTTTTCAAAGGTCAACTCAATTAATATCAATTCAGTTCTGCCCACCTCACTTGTTTGTAATTTCCTGTATTTTATTTGGTTGTTCCCTCACAAATGAAGGTTGAGGGTAGTTTAGTGGAGGCAGTATTAAATCATGGATTAGAACTACAGGCTTTGTGTTCATACTGCCTGAATTTTGAGTCCTGGCTCTACCATTTCCTAACAGTAAGATTTTTAGCACAGAATTTAACTTTCATAATCCACAGTTTAATTAACCTAGCTCAAAGGGTAGTTGAAAGATTAAAACAGATAAAGCACAGATATTACTTTATGTAATTGCGGGTCCATAGTGAACGCTCAGATTAGGCTGTCTTTATTGCTGTTATTGACTGGTTGATTCACTTTTTCTATGAATACTTGGGTGATACTAGTCTCTTGGTAAACTTAGGGTTCAAGATATCTGTTTTTCTTTTTAAGAGATGGGATCTCACCCTAGCTGGAGTGCAGTGGTGTGATCATAGCTCACTGTAGCCTCAAAATCCTGGGTTTTTTGTTTTTTTGTTTTTTTTTTTTTAGAAACTGCCAAAGCATTTTCCAGAGTGGATGTACTGTTTTACATTCCTATCAGCTATGTCGAAGGATCTGATTTCTCTGCATTCCCTGAAGTATTTGATTTTGCCATTTTTTTTTGTAACAGCCATTCTGATAGGAATTGTAGTGATGTTGAACATCTTTTCATGTGCATATTTACCATTCCTATATCCTCTTCAGTAAATATATTTCTATGTCTTTTACCTCTTTTCTTTTCTTTTTTCTTTTCTCTTTTCTTTTCTTTTTTTTTTCTTTTCTTTTCCTTTCTTTCAGACGGAGTCTACCTCTGTTACCCAGGCTGGAGTGCAGTGGCGCGATCTCGGCTCACTCCACCTCCCGGGTTCAAGTGATTCTCCTGCGTCAGCCTCCCAAGTAGCTGGGAGTATAGGCGTATGCCACCATGCCCGGCTAGTTTTTTGTATTTTTAGTAGAGACGGGGTTTCCCCGTGTTAGCCAGGATGGTCTCGATCTCCTGACCTCGTGATCCGCCTGCCTCTGCCTCCCAAAGTGCTGGGATTACAGGCATGAGCCACCGTGCCCAGCCTCTTTTATCTATTTTCTAAAACAGCAGTCCCCAACTTTCTGGCACAAGGGACTGGTTTCATGAAGACAATTTTTCCACAAACTGATGTAGGGGATGGTTTCGGGATGAAACTATTCCAACTTAGATCATCAGGCATTGGATTCTCATAAGGAGCACACAACCTAGATCCCTCAGATGTGTAATTCACAATAGGGTTCACACCCCTGTGAGAATCTAATGCTGCATTGATCTGACAGGAGGCGGAAGTCAGGTGGTAATGCTCACTGGCCAGCTGCTCATGTCGTGCCCCGCGCCCAGTTCCTAACAGGCTATGGACCGGTACTGGCCCGTGGCCTGTGGGTTGGGGACCCCTGTTCTGAAAGGTTTTCAGGTTTTTGTTTTACATTTATATCTATGATTAATTTATTTTGGCAAATGGTGTGAAGTTTAGATTGAGGTTCATTTTTTTTTTGCTTATGTTTATGAAATTGCTCCAGCAGCACCATTTGTTGAAAAGGCTGTTCTTCCTCCATTGAAAGGCTTTTGTACCTTTGGGAAAAATCAGTTGGCTGTACTGTGGGGCTGTTTCTGGGATCTCTTCTGTTCCATTGAATTATGTGTGTGTCCCTTCACGCAGTCTTGATTACTGTAGCTGTATAAGTCTTGCAATAAGGTAGACTGCTTTCTCCCACTTTCTTCTTTCTTCAAAATTGTTTTTAGCTACTTTAGTTTCTTTACATTTTCATGTAAATTTTATTTATTTAGTTTTTAAAAATTTAATTTTTTTCATTTTTTAGATTTTTTTCTTTTGCTGCTGCACAGATTTTAAAAAATTTAATTTTTGTGGGCATATAGTAGGTGCATATATTTATATGATACGTGAGACATTTTGATCCAGGCATACAATGTGTAATAATAGTCACATCAGGATAATGGGACATTGTCACCTCAAGCATTTGCTTTTTGTGTTACAAGCAATCTAATCATACTCTTTTAGTTATTTTTAAATGTACAATTTGATTGTTATTTACTATACTCACCCTGTTGTGCTATCATAAATACTATATTTTATTCATTCTATCTAGCTGTTTTTTGTGCCCATTAACCATCCCCACTCCCTGCCACCCAATACCATTCCCAGCCTGTGGTAAACATCATTCTATTATCTCCATGAGTTCAATTTTATTTTTTTCTTTAAATAGAGACAGGGTCTCTCCCTGTCACCAAGGTAGGAAAGCAGTGGTGTGATTATAGCTCATGACAGCCTCAAATTCCTGGGCTCAAGTGATCCTCCCACCTCAGCCTCCTGAGTAGCTGGGACTACAGGTGTGCACTACCATGCTTGGCTAATTTTAAATTTTTGTAGAGACAGGGGTCTCACCATCTTGTCAAGGCTGGTCTTGAACTGGAATCAAGTGATCCTCCTGCCTCGGCCTCCCAAAGTGCTGGAATTACAAGCATGAGCCAGCACACCTGGCCTCAGTTATTTTAATTTTTAGCTCCCACAAATCAATGAGAACATTGCAACATTTTTCTTTCTGTGCCTGGTTTATTTCATTTAACATAATGACTTCCGGTTCCATCCATGTTGTAAATGACATTTGCATCTCATTCTTTCTTGTGACTGAATAGTATTCCATTCTGTATATGTACCACATTTTCTTTATCTATTTGTCTGTTAATGGATACTTAGGTTACTTCCAAATGTTGGCTATTGTGGATAGTTCTGCAGTTAACATGGGAGTGCATAGTATTCTGTGGTGTATATGTGCCACATTTTCTTAATCCAGTCTATCATTGATGGACATTTGGGTTGGTTCCAAGATTTTGCTATTGTGAATAGTGCCACAAGAAACATATGTGTACATGTGTCTTTATAGCAGCATGATTTATAATCCTTTGGGTATATACCCAGTAATGGGATGGCTGGGTCAAATGGTATTTTTAGTTCTAGATCCTTGAGGAATCGCCACACTGTCTTCCACAGTGGTTGAACTAATTTATACTCCCACCAACGGTGTAAAAGCGTTCCTATTTATCCACATCCTCTCTAGCATCTGTTGTTTCCTGACTTTTAAATGATCGCCATTCCAACTGGTGTGAGAAAATATTTCATTGTGGTTTTGATTTGCATTTCTCTGATGACCAGTGATGATGAGCATTTTTTCATGTGTCTGTTGGCTGCATAAATGTCTTCTTCTGAGAAGTGGCTGTTCATATCCTTTGCCCACTTTTTGATGGGATTATTTGCTTTTTTCTTGTAAATGTGTTTAAGTACTTTGTAGATTCTGGATATTAGCCCTTTGTCAGATGGATAGATTGCAAAATTTTCTCCCATTCTGTAGGTTTCCTGTTCACTCTGATGGTAGTTTCTTTTGCCGTGCAGAAGCTCTTTAGTTTAATTAGATCCCATTTGTCTATTTTGGTTTTTCTTGCCAGTGCTTTTGGTGTTTTAGTCATGAAGTCCTTATCCATGCCTACGTCCTGAATGGTATTGCCTAGGTTTTCTTCTAGGATTTTTATGGTTTTAGGTCTAACATTTAAGTCTTTAATCCATCTTGAATTAATTTTTGTATAAGGTGTAAGAAAGGGATCCAGTTTCAGCTTTCTATGTATAGCTAGCCAGTTTTCCCAGCACCATTTATTAAATAGGGAATCGTTTCCCCATTTCTTGTTTTTGTCAGGTTTGTCAAAGCTCAGATGGTTGTAGATGTGTGGTGTTATTTCTGAGGCCTCTGTTCTGTTCCATTGGTCTATCTCTGTGTTTTGGTACTAGTACCATGCTGTTTTGGTTACTGTAGCCTTGTAGTATAGTTTGATGTCAGGTAGCATGATGCCTCCAGCTTTGTTCTTTTTGCTTAGGATTGTCTTGGCAATGCAGGCTGTTTTTTTGGTTCCATATGAACTTTAAAGTAGTTGTTTTCCAATTCTGTGAAGAAAGTCATTGGTAGCTTGATGGGGATGGCATTGAATCTGTAAATTACCTTGGGCAGTATGGCCATTTTCATGGTATTGATTCTTCCTATCTATGAGCATTGAATGTTCTTCCATTTGTTTGTGTCTTCTTTTATCTCGTTGAGCAGTGGTTTGTAGTTCTCCTTGAAGAGGTCCTTCACATCCCTTGTAAGTTGGATTCCTAGGTATTTTATTCTCTTTTTAGGAATTGTGAATGGGAGTTCGCTCATGATTTGGCTCTCTGTTATTGGTGTGTAGGATTGCTTGTGATTTTTGCACATTGATTTTGTATCCTGAGACTTTGCTGAAGTTGCTTATCAACCCAAGGAGATGGGGTTTTCTAAATATACAATCATGTCATCTGCAAACAGAGACAACTTGACTTCCTCTTTTCCTAATTGAATACCCTTTAATTCTTTCTCTTGCCTGAATGCCCTGGCCAGAACTTCCAACATTATGTTGAATAGGAGTGGTGAGAGAAGGCATCCCTGTCTTGTGGCAGTTTTCAAAGGGAATGCTTCCAGTTTTTGCCCATTCAGTATGATATTGGCTGTGGGTTTGTCATAAATAGCTCTTATTATTTTGAGATACATTCCATCAATACCTAGTTTATTGAGAGTTTTTATCATAAAGGGCTGTTGAATTTTGTCGAAGGCCTTTTCTGCATCTATTGAGATAATCATGTGGTTTTTGTCATTGGTTCTGTTTATGTGATGGATTACGTTTATTGATTTGCGTATGTTGAACCAGCCTTGCATCCCAGGGATGAAGCCGACTTGATTGTGGTGGATAAGCTTTTTGATGTGCTGCTGGATTGGTTTGCCAGTATTTTATTGAGGATTTTCGCATCGATGTTCATCAGGGATATTGGTCTAAAATTCTCTTTTTTTGTTGTGTCTCTGCCAGGCTTTGGTATCAGGATGATGCTGGCCTCATAAAATGAGTTAGGGAGGATTCCCTCTTTTTTTATTGGTTGGAATAGTTTCAGAAGGAAAGAGGAGATGGTACCATCTCCTCTTTGTACCTCTGGTAGAACCCAGCTGTGAATCTGTCTGGTCCTGGACTTTTTTTGGTTGGTAGGCTATTAATTATTGCCTCAATTTCAGAGCCTGTTATTGGTCTATTCAGAGATTCAACTTCTTCCTGGTTTAGTCTTGGGAGTGTGTATGTGTCGAGGAATTTATCCATTTCTTCTAGATTTTCTAGTTTATCTGCGTAGAGGTGTTTATAGTATTCTCTGATGGTAGTTTGTATTTCTGTAGGATCTGTGGTGGTATCCCCTTTATCATTTTTTATTGCGTCTATTTGATTCTTCTCTCTTTTCTTCTTTATTTGTCTTGCTAATGGTCTATCAATTTTGTTGATCTTTTCAAAAAACCAGCTCCTGGATTCACTGATTTTTTTGAAGGGTTTTTTGTGTCTCTATCTCCTTCAGTTCTGCTCTGATCTTAGTTATTTGTTGCCTTCTGCTAGCTTTTCAGATTGTTTACTCTTGCTTCTCTAGTTCTTTTAATTGTGATGTTAGGGTGTTGATTTTAGATCTTTCCTGCTTTCTTTTGTGGGCATTTAGTGCTATAAATTTCCCTCTACACACTGCTTTAAATGTGTCCCAGAGATTCTGGTATGTTGTGTCTTTGTTCTCATTGGTTTCAAAGAACATCTTTATTTCTGCCTCCATTTTTTTATTTACCCAGTAGTCATTCAGGAGCAGGTTGTTCAGTTTCCATGTAGTTGTGCGGTTTTGAGTGAGTTTCTTAATTCTGAGTTGTAATTTGATTGCGCTGTGGTCTGAAAGACAGTTTTTTTGTGATTTCTGTTCTTTTATATTTGCTGAGGAGTGCTTTAGTTCCAACTGTGTGGTCAATTTTGGAATAAATGCTATGTGGTGCTGAGATGAATGTATATTCTGCTCATTTGGGGTGGAGAGTTCTGTAGGTGTCTATTAGGTCTGCTTGGTGCAGAGCTGAGTTCAATTCCTGGATATCCTTGTTAACCTTCTGTCTCATTTATCTGTCTAATATTGACAGTGGGGTGTTAAAGTCTCCCATTATTATTGTGTGGGAGTCTAAGTCTCTTTGTAGGTCTCTAAGGACTTGCTTTATGAATCTGGGTGCTCCTGTATTGGGTGCATATATATTTAGCATGGTTAGTTCTTCTTGTTGAATTGATCTTTTTGCCATTAGGTAATGGCCTTCTTTGTCTCTTTTGATCTTTGTTGGTTTAAAGTCTGTTTTATTGGAGACTAGGATTGCAACCCCCACTTTTTTTTCTTGCTTTCCATTTGCTTGGTAAATCTTTCTCCATCCTTTTGTTTTGAGCCTGTGTGTGTCTCTGCACGTGAAATGGGTCTCCTGAATACAGCACACTGATGGATCTTGACTCTATCCAATTTGCCAGTCTGTGTCTTTTAAGTGGGGCATTTAGCCCATTTACATTTAAGGTTAATATTGTTATGTGTGAATTTGATCCTGTCATTATGATGTTAGCTGGTTATTTTGCCCATTAGTTGATGGAGTTTCTTCCTAGCATCGATGTTCTTTACAATTTGGCATGTTTTTGCAGTGACTGGTACCGGTCGTTCCTTTCCATGTTTAGTGCTTCCTTCAGGAGCTCTTATCAGGCAGGCCAGGTGGTGACAAAATCTCTCAGCATTTGCTTGTCTGTAAAGGATTTTATTTCTCCTTCACTTATGAAGCTTAGTTTAGCTGAATATGAAATTCTGGGTTGAAAATTATTTTCTTTAAGAATGCTGACTATTGGCCCCCACTCTCTTCTGGCTTATAGAGTTTCTGTCGAGAGATCCGTTGTTAGTCTGATGGGCTTCCCTTTGTGGGTAACCTGACCTTTCTCTCTGGTTGCCGTTAACATTTTTTCCTTCATTTCAACTTTGGTGAATCTGACAATTATGTGTCTTGGGGTTGCTCTTCTCAAGGAGTATCTTTGTGGTGTTCTCTGTATTTTCTGAATTTGAATGTTGGCCTGCCTTGCTAGGTTCTCCTGGATAATATCCTGCAGAGTGTTTTCCAACTTGGTTCCATTCTTCCCATCATTTTCAGGTACACCAATCAAACGTGGATTTGGTCTTTTCACATAGTCCCATATTTCTTGGAGGCTTTGTTCATTTCTTTTTGCTGTTTTTTCTCTAAACTTATCTTCTTGCTTCATTTCATTAATTTGATCTTCAATCACTGATACCCTTTCTTCCACTTGATTGAATTGGCTATTGAGGTTTGTAGATGTGTCACGTAGTTCTCGTGCCATGGTTTTCAGCTCCATCAGTTCATTTAAGGTTTTCTCTACACTGTTTATTCTTGTTAGCCATTCGTCTAACCTTTTTTCAAGGTTTTCAGCTTCCTTGTGATGGGTTTGAACATCCTTCTTTAGCTTGAAGTTTGTTATTACCGACCTTCTGAAGTCTACTTCTGTCAGCTTGTCAAAGTCATTCTCCATCCAGCTTTGTTCTGTTGCTGGCAAGGAACTGTGATCCTTTGGAGGAGAAGAGGCGCTCTGTTTTTTTGAATTTTCAGCTTTTCTGCTCTCATTTCTTTTTTATTTATTTATTTATTTATTTATTTTTTAATTTTTTTTATTGCTTCTTTTTTTTTAAATTTATTTTTTTTAAATTATACTTCAAGTTTTAGGGTACATGTGCACATTGTGCAGGTTAGTTACATACGTATACATGTGCCATGCTGGTGTGCTGCACCCACTAACTCGTCATCTAGCATTAGGTATATCTCCCAATGCTATCCCTCCCCCCTCCCCCCACCCCACAACAGTCCCCAGAGTGTGATGTTCCCCTTCCTGTGTCCATGTGTTCTCATTGTTCACTTCCCACCTATGAGTGAGAATATGCGGTGTTTGGTTTTTTGTTCTTGCGATAGTTTACTGAGAATGATGATTTCCAATTTCATCCATGTCCCTACAAAGGACATGAACTCATCCTTTTTTATGGCTGCATAGTATTCCATGGTGTATATGTGCCACATTTTCTTAATCCAGTCTGTCATTGTTGGACATTTGGGTTGGTTCCAAGTCTTTGCTATTGTGAATAATGCCGCAATAAACATACGTGTGCATGTGTCTTTATAGCAGCATGATTTATAGTCCTTTGGGTATATACCCAGTAATGGGATGGCTGGGTCAAATGGTATTTCCAGTTCTAGATCCCTGAGGAGTCACCACACTGACTTCCACAATGGTTGAACTAGTTTACAGTCCCACCAACAGTGTAAAAGTGTTCCTATTTCTCCACATCCTCTCCAGCACCTGTTGTTTCCTGATTTTTTAATGATTGCCATTCTAACTGGTGTGAGATGGTATCTCATTGTGGTTTTGATTTGCATTTCTCTGGTGGCCAGTGATGGTGAGCATTTTTTCATGTTTTTTGGCTGCATAAATGTCTTCTTTTGAGAAGTGTCTGTTCATGTCCTTTGCCCACTTTTTGATGGGGTTGTTTGTTTTTTTCTTGTAAATTTGTTTGAGTTCATTGTAGATTCTGGATATTAGCCCTTTGTCAGATGAGTAGGTTGTGAAAATTTTCTCCCATTTTGTAGGTTGCCTGTTCACTCTGATGTTAGTTTCTTTTGCTGTGCAGAAGCTCTTTAGTTTAATGAGATCCCATTTGTCAATTTTGTCTTTTGTTGCCATTGCTGTTGGTGTTTTAGACATGAAGTCCTTGCCCATGCCTATGTCCTGAATGGTAATGCCTAGGTTTTCTTCTAGGGTTTTTATGGTTTTAGGTCTAACGTTTAAGTCTTTAATCCATCTTGAATTGATTTTTGTATAAGGTGTAAGGAAGGGATCCGGTTTCAGCTTTCTACATATGGCTAGCCAGTTTTCCCAGCACCATTTATTAAATAGGGAATCCTTTCCCCATTGCTTGTTTTTCTCAGGTCTGTCAAAGATCAGATAGTTGTAGATATGTGGCGTTATTTCTGAGGGCTCTGTTCTGTTCCATTGATCTATATCTCTGTTTTGGTACCAGTACCATGCTGTTTTGGTTACTGTAGCCTTGTAGTATAGTTTGAAGTCAGGTAGTGTGATGCCTCCAGCTTTGTTCTTTTGGCTTAGGATTGACTTGGCGATGCGGGCTCTTTTTTGGTTCCATATGAACTTTAAAGTAGTTTTTTCCAATTCTGTGAAGAAAGTCATTGGTAGCTTGATGGGGATGGCATTGAATCTGTAAATTACCTTGGGCAGTATGGCCATTTTCACGATATTGATTCTTCCTACCCATGCTCTGCTCTCATTTCTCCCCATCTTTGTGGTTTTATCTACCTTTGGTCTTTGATGCTGGTGACCTACAGATGGGGTTTTGGTGTGGATGTCCTTTTTGTTGATGTTGATGCTATTTCTTTCTGTTTGTTAGTTTTCCTTCTAACAGTCAGGACCCTCAGCTGCAGGTTTGTTAGAGTTTGCTGGAGGTCCACTCCGGACCCTTTTTGCCTGGGTATCACCAGCGGAGGCTGCAGAGCAGCAAATACTGCAGAACAGCAAATATTGCTGCCTGATCCTTCCTCTGGAATCTTCGTCCCAGAGGGGTACCCTCCTGTATGAGGTGTCAGTCGGCCGCTACTGGGAGGTGTCTCCCAGTTAGGCTACACAGGGGTCAGGGACCCACTTGAGGAGGCAGTCTGTCTGTTCTCAGGGCTCAGACACTGTGCTTAGAGAACACAGCTCTCTTTAGAGCTGTCAGAGAGGGACGTTTAAGTCTGCAGAAGTTTCTGCTGCCTTTTGTTCAGCTATGCCCTGCTCCCAGAGGTGGGGTCTATACACACAGCAAGCCTTGCAGAGCTGCAGTGGGCTCTGCCCAGTTTGAGCTTCCCTGGCTGCTTTGTTTACCTACTCAAGCCTCAGCAATGGTGGATACCCCTCCCGTTGCCAGGTTGCTGCCTTGCAGGTTGATCTCAGACTGCTGCACTAGCAGTGAGCAAGGCTTCGTGGGTGGGGGACCCACCAATCCAGGCGTGGGATAAAATCTCCTGGTGTGCCGTTTGCTAAGACTGTTGGAAAAGCACAGTATTTGGGTGGGAGTGGCCTGATTTTCCAGGTACAGTCTGTCACGGCTTCCCTTGGCTAGGAAAGGGAAATCCCCTGACCCCTTGTGCCCCAGGTGAGGCGATGCCCCGCCCTGCTTCAGCTCGCCCTCTCTGAGCTGCACCCACTGTCCAACCAGTCCCAATTAGATGAACCAGGTACCTCAGTTGGAAATGCAAAAATCACCGTCTTCTCTGTTGATCACGCTCGGAGCTGCAGACTGGAGCTGCTCCTATTCGGCCATCTTGGAACAGACTTCCTGTCTTTGCTAATTTTCTGTCTTGATAATCTGTCAAATATTGTCAGCGGGATGTTAAAGTCTTCCACTATTATTGTGTGGGAATCTAAGTGTCTTTGAAGGCCTTTAAGCACTTGCTTTATGAATCTGGCTAATCCTGTGTTGGGTGCATATATATTTAGGAGAGTTAGATCTTCTCCTTGAGTTGAAATCTTTGCCATTATGTAATGTCCTTCTTTGTCTTTTTTGATCTTTGTTGGTTTAAAGTCTGTTTTGTCTGAAACTAGGTTTGTAACCCCTGCTTTTTTGTTTTCTATTTGCTTGGCAGATTTTTCTCCATCCCTTTATTTTGAGCCTGAGTGTGTCATTGCATTCAACATTCAATATTGGGGGCCAATATTCAACATTCTTTAAGAAGAATCTCTTCTGGCTTATATGGTTTCTGCTGAGATGTGTGCTGTTAGTCTGATAGGCTTCCCTTTGTAGGTGACCTTTTCTCTCCAGCTGCCTTTATTTTTTCTTTCATTTCAACCTTGGAGAATCTGATGATTATGTGTCTTGGGCATGATCTTCTTGTGAAGTGTCTTACTGAGGTTCTCTGCATTTCCTGAATTTGAATGCTGGCCTCTCCAGCTAGGTTGGGGACGTTCTCATGGATGTATCCTGAAATACGTTTTCTGAGTTGGTTCCTTTCTCCCTATCTCTTTCAGGACACCAAAGAGTTGTAGATTTGGTCTCTTTACATAATCCCGTATTTCTTAGAGGTTTTGTTTATTCCTTTTCATTCTTTTTTCTCTATTCTTGTCTGTCTTATTTCAGAAAGCCAATCTTCAAGCTCTGAGATTCTTTCCTCTGCTTAGTTCATTTTGATATTAATAATTGTGATTGCATTGTGAAATTCTTATAGTGTGTTTTTCAGCTCTATGAGTTCAGTTACCATCTTTTCTATACTGGCTGTTTTGTCTCTTGGCTCCTGCATTCTTTTTTCCATGATTTTTAGCTTCCTTAGATTGAATTTCAACATACTCCTGTAGCTCAATGATCTTCATTCCTATCCATATTCTGAATTCTGTTTTTGTCATTTCAGCCATCTCAGCCCCGATCAGAACCCTCGCTTGAGAGGTGGTGCCATTGTTTGGAGGAAAGAAAGCACGCTGGCTTTTTGAGTTGTCAGGCCTCTTGTGCTGATTCTTTCTCATCCTTGTTGGCTTATCTTCCTTTAATCCTTGAGCTTGCTGACCTTTGGATAGGTTTTTTTCCTTTAATCTATTGATGACTTTGAGAATACGATTGTGGTATAAGGTGGATTCAGCCGACTGGCTTTGTTTCTGGAAGATTTTAGGGGGCCAACACTTAGCTCCCAACTCCTGGACTATGTACTCTAATTCTGGGGGACTTGTATTGGGCTCTAACTTTTTTCTCTGGCTTCTCAAGGTTAGGAATCCACTGTGTTGGTAAGGGGTCCTTATGTGCTCCCAGACTGCTGGTCACTACACTGTGATAAGTGGTGTCAACCATAACGTTTGGTAGTGCAGTGACAGTGGGATTTGTCCTTGTTTGCACATGGATGGCAGCAGCAGCAGTAGTGGAAGCTGTGGCAAACTGCTAGTGGGTGCCAGGGTGTCTGCCTCCATGCCGGCATTCACCACAGTGGCAGAGGCAATGCAGTTTGGGGGTGTACGGGGCCCTTGATGGCAACTTTGTGCAGTCATGCCGGAGGTGGTGTTGGATCAGGGGCAGGGTGCTGGCAGGTGCATTTCTGGGTGCCTTCTCTGTGCCCAGGAAGCAGGAGTGGTCACCCAGCATAGGGAAGGATGTGCCATTCTCTTCGCAGTGTTAGTGTAAGGATGGGGCACTAGTGGGGTCAGGGCTGTCTCACTCTGTCTGCCAAGACTCCATCTGAAACCTGGTTGGCAGGGGGAACACTGTACTCAGGTGTGCTGTTGTGGCAAGGAAAGCAAAACCCGCCTGTGCAGACACCACCAGCAAAGCAATGTGGGGAGCTGCTGTGGGCCCAGAGGAAGCTGCAGTATGGGGAGGGAGACTGTGAGATAGTGCATGGTCACAGGGGCTGCCCTACTCAAGCTCTTCCCTGGTAAGGCACTGTCTGCCAGTGTAGAAGCTATGGTACATGCCCCCAGGGCACCTGAGGTTGCCCTGCAAGGAGGCGTGGCCAGGCTGGAAGAGGGCAGCTGACCAAGGGGTGCTCATGTTGGTCTGGCCCTGTCTGATGGGCAAGACAACCCTGCAGAGTTCAGGACCCCTAGGGCTAAAGTCTCCTATGGAAGCACGTTGAGCCTAGGGGGATGGCTATTCTTGGCCATGCTCCACTACAGACACTCTTGCACCAAACCCTCTAGGCTCCACATGAGCTGGCTTGCTGCCCCTACCACTTCTCTAAGCAGCTCTCGCTGCCAACTCGAGTGTCTGTGGTGGTTGAGGCATCTCCTCCTGCCGGGGTTCCAGAGACCCATGATGAGAACAGGTTGCTCCTTGCCAGTTCAACTCACCCATTCTCCTGGGGCTATTGTGGGCCAGGAACGAGTCCGGGTATGCTGCAGCCTCATGTAGGGTTCCCAGCTTTCTGTCCCTCCAGCCTAGCTTCTGTGTCTTTCCCTCTGTTCACTCTCGGTACCTTCTCTCAGAAGATCTGTTTGGATTATACCAGTTGTCTTGTCCCTCGGTAGGAGCTGTGCCACCTTGTTGCATCTAGTCGGCCATCCTGCACTCCCCTCCAGGACACTTTTTATTACAGCTTCCATCTCATTACTTGTTACTGGTCTGTTCAGGTTTTAGATTTCTTCATTGTTCAACCCTAGTAAGTTGTTTGCATCTAGGAATGTATCCATGTCTTTTAAGTTTTCCCAATTTATCAGCATATAGTTGCTCATAGTAGCCTCTAGTGATCCTTTGAATTTCTGCCGTAATGGTTGTAATGTCTCCTTTTTCTTCTCTGATTTTATCTGTTTGGACCTTCTCTCTGTTTTTCTTAGTCAGGCTAAAGATTTGTTGATTTTATCTTTTCAGAAAACCAAGTTTTCCTTTCACTGATTGTTTGTATTGTTTTCTTTGTTTCAAGTTCATTTATTTCTGCTTTGATTTGATTTTTATTTTTTATTTTCTACTGATTTTGAGTTTTATTCACTCTTGTTTTTCTGGTTAAGATGCATGGTTAGATTTTTTTGTTGGAAGTTTTCCTGCTTTTTTGATATACTACTTTTGCTCTAAACTTTCTGCTTAGTACTACTTTCGCTGTATCCCAGAGGTTTTGGTATGTTATATTTCCATTATCATTTGGTTTCAGTTTTTTTTTTTTTTTGAGACAGAGTCTTGCTGTGTCACCCAGGCTGTACTGCAGTGGTGTGATCTTGGCTGACTGCAACCTCCACCTCCTGGGCTCAAGCTATCCTCATGCCTCAGCCTCCCCAGTAGCTGGGACTAAAGGCGAGTGCCACCATGCCTGGCTAATTTTTGTAATTTTTTGTAGATACAGGGTTTTGCCATGTTGGCCAGGCTGGTTTCAAACTCCTGACCTCAAGTGATCTGCCCACCTCTGCCTCCCAAAGTGCTGGGATTACAGGTGCGAGCCACTGCACCTGGCCAGACTATGAGACCTTTGGATAGGTTCTGTTCATGTCCTTTGCCCACTTTTAAATGGAGTTGTTTGTTTTTTTCTTGTAAATTTGTTTAAGTTCCTCATAAATGCTGTATATTTGACCTTCATTGGTGGATAGTTTGCAAAAATTTTGTCCCATTCTGTAGGTTGTCTCTTCTCTCTGATGATAGTTTCTTTTTGTACAGAAGCTGTTTAGTTTAATTAGATCCCATTTGTCAATTTTTGCTTTTGTTGCAATTGCTTTTGGCGTTTTTTGGAATTGACATATTTATTACTATATTTAGTCTCGCAATTCATGAATGCAATGTTTTTTTCATTTTGGTTTTTGACTTCTTTCATCAGTGTTTTGTTGTTTTTAGCATGTCCATTCTGTACATAACTTGTTAGGTTTATACCTTTGTATATCTTTTTGTTTTAACAATTTTTATAAGTGGTATTGTATTTTTAATTTCAGTGTCCACATGCTCATTGGTATCATGTTCAAATGAAATTGGTCTTTTGCTATCGATGTTATATGCTGTGACTTTGCTGAACTTATTTATTCGTTCTAGTAGTTTTTTTTTTTGTAGATTGCTTGGAATAATCTACATAGGTTATCATATCATTTGTAAATAGAGACAGTTTTATTTTTTCTTTTCTGATATGTGTGCTTTTTCTTTTTTTTGGCCTCATTGCAGTGGCTAGAATTGTACGTACTATATTGAATAGCAGTGGTTAGAATGCATATCTTTTTGTTCCCTGTCTTAGGTGGAAAATATTCAGCCTTTAACCATTTACTATGAAGTTTTTGTAGATTTTATCAAGTTAAGGAAATTCATCTCTATTTCTAGTATTCTGAGAATTTGTATCATGAATGGATGTTGGATTTTGTCAACATTTTTTTCTGCATCAATTGATTTGATCATATGGTGCTTTTTCTTCCTCTTCCTCTTTCTCTAGCACTGTGGCTGCTGCCGCCGCTGCCTCTTCTTCTTCCTTCTTTCTCTCCTCCTCCTCCTCCTCCTTCTCCTCCTTCATCTTTTTCTTCCTCCTCCTCCTTCTTCTTCCTTCTTCCTCCTCCCTCCTCTTCTCGTCCTCCCTCTCCTTCTTCTTCATCTTCCCTCCCTTCCTTGCTTCCTTGCTTCCTTCCTTCCTTCCTTCCTTCCTTCCTTCCTTCCTTCCCTCCTTCCCTCCCTCCCTCCCTGCCTCCCTCCCTGCCTTCTTCCCTCCATTTTTCCTTCCCTTTTTTTCTTCCTCTTCCTCTTCTTGTCTTCTTTATTTTTAAAAGATATTTAATACATGGTTTCACTGTCACCTAGCTGTAATGCAGTGGCATGATGATAGCTCATTACAGCCTCAAACTCCTGAGGTCAAGCCATCCTCCTGCCTCAGCCTCCTGAGTAGCTGGAACTGCAGATGCATGACACTGCACCTGACTAATTTTTTAAAGAAATTTTTTGTTTCTTATAGCCTAAGCCTATGTTGCTTAGGCTTTTCTTGAACTTCTGGCCTCAAGTAATCCTACTGCCTTGGCCTCATTTTTCTTCTTTAGATTTCCTTTCTTCTGTTGTATCTTTAGTCTGTTAATATGATGTATCACATTAATTTATTTTTCAAATAGTCAAGCAACCTTCCATTCCTGGAATAAACCCTACTTGGTCATGGTGTATAATTCCTTTTGTAAATTGCTGAATTCTGTTTACTTGTATTTTGCTAAGGTATTTTTATCTAAATGCATGAAGGATATTGGTTTGTAGTTTTCTATTTTAGTACTGTCTTTGTCTGGTTTTGACATCAGTGCTTCATAAAATGAGTTGGAGAGGTATTCCTTCCTCTTCTGCTTTCTGGAAAAGATTGTGTAGAATTGGTGTTAATTCTTCTTAAAATGTTTGGTGGAATTCTCTATTGAAACCATATGCACCTGGAGATTTTTTAAGGGGAGATTTTTCAGTAAATCCAATTTCCTTCCCAGTTATAGGACTATTCAAATTATCTATTTAATATTGGGGGAAGGTGTGGTACTTTGTAGTTTTTGAGGAATTGGTCTATTTCATCTACTTTGTCAAATTTATATGTGTAGAGTCTTTTCTACCATAGCATTCCCTTATTATTCCTTTCATGTCTGCACAGCCCATGGTGATAGCCATTGTTTCATTCCTGATTTGTATTTTTTCTCTTTTTTTCATTGTCAGTCTTGTTTGAAGTTTGTCAATTTTACTAATATTTTCAAAGAACCACCTTTTTGTTTCATTGATTTTCTCTAACATTTTCCTGTTCTCAATTTAATTGATTTGTGTTTTTGTCCTTATGATTTTCTTCCTTCTGTGTATTTTAGAATTACTTTGCTTTTCTCTTTCTAGTTTTTTGAGGTAGAAGCTTAGATTATTGATTTGAGACTTTTCCTGTTTTCTAATGTATATACATGTAGTGCTAGAAATTTCCTCCTTGCATTAGCTATATCCTACTAATTTTGGTTTGGTTTATTTTCACTTTCATTCAGTTCTATGTATTTTTACTTTTTTTGAGATGTTTTCTTGACCCATATATTATTTAGAAGTTTTTTTTTTTGTTTCCAAGCATGTAGGAGATTCATTATTTTCAGAGATCACACCCTATGATTTCTATTTGTTTAAATTTGTTGAGATGTGTTTTGTGGCCCATAATATGGTCTATCTTTTTATATGTTCTGTTGATACTTGTAAAGAATGGGTATTTTTCTGTTGTTATAAGGACAGCACAAGTTTGAAACTTCAGCAGTTTGATTAAGGAGATGTGAACCTTTTTTGAACCTTATTCTATGAATGTCATTTAGATCTTGTTGCTTGATGGTACTGGTGAATTCTTCTATATCTTTGTTGATTTCCTAATTGTTCTACCAGTTGTTGAGGTGGAGGTGCTGAAGTCCCCATTTATAAGTGTGGATTTGTCTATTTCTGCTTACCATTCTATCACATGTCTGTTGACACCATGTAAGATTTCTTTGTTACTTTCTGTTGGTGTGTAAAATCCAAGCTCCCCACTCTGCCCTTTCTGACACCATCCCTAAGGTGGGGATGTGTTGGAGCACCAAATTATAGCCTGGAGGCATTGGAAGTCTTGGCTTCCTACTTGGTTTTTGGTGGGGTAATGATGGGGCTGCAGTATTTTAGTTGTACTTAGCGGGAAGAGGAGGAAAAGTGCATCTATTCTGTCTTCTTGAAATGAAAGTCTGTTTTTTCATTAGCATTTTTTACAGCTCTTACAAAATGTAAAAAACATTTTTAGCACTAGGATTGTACAAATACAGGCTATAGATTGGCTTTAAGTCATGGGCTGTAGTTTCTCAACATGAAAGCTGCCTGTATCTTACTAGTCTCTTCTTGAGTCTTTCTCCTACTTGCTCAGTTTGCTGCAACCACTGCCTTCTTCTTTTCTTCTTTCTTTTTTTAAGCTACCAATGTTTTGCCTGTCTTTGGACCTTCACGCATGCTCTTTTTTTTTCCCATCTGGATCGTTTTTATTTTCGTTGTCCTACTCTCCTATTTATTTTAAAGATTTTACCTTAAATATGTTTCCAAAGGGAGCTTTCTTGATCCTCAGCAATCTAAGTCAGATCCCTGCTCTACTTCATAACACTGTTAACTTTTACTTCATAGTACATATTGCAATATCTTATGCAAAATTTATTAGTGTGATTACTTGTTTAAAGTTTATTTTTATTCTCAGAAAACTTTAAGTTATTTAATGGGACAGACCCTGTTTTATTTATCAGCTTATACTGTCTTAGACACTTCAGCAGTTTGATTAAGGGGAAGTGAACCTTATTTGAGTCAGCTCCATGGTACTGTTCCAGGTGTTTTACCTGTATTTACATATGTGCCTATGTTTGCTAATTTAATGTTTAGATAAACCTATAAGGCAAATATTATTCTTTCTCTTTTACAGGTGAACATGCTGAAGCTCTAGGAGCTAAAGTAATTTATTGAAGGTTGGAAAGTTAGAATGGACCAGAGTCCATTTTGTTTTAATTACACCAGGGGTTCTCTCTGAGGCATCAAAATCTTGATGGATATAGGGCATGGGGGAAGTGATATTAAAACAGCAGCAGCAGTAGCAACAACAACAACAACAGCATACATTGTATGATCCTGCCTAATTTCTTCCAACAACAACAACAACAACATACATTGTGTGATCCTGGCTAATTTCTTCCAACAACAACAACAACAACATACAGTGTATGATCCTGCCTAATTTATTCCCCCGTTCCTGGGATAGGGGTAGGAGGTTGGAGGTCTCCAGGAATGTGCTTCTCTATTTGGAATCCTCGTGCCTCCACCTGATGGCAGACGGAATACTTTTTGTTAACTTGCTTAATATTTGATCACAAAGGCAGAATTTGTATTTTGCAATGAGTGGTAAAAAGAGTCAGAATGAAATACATGCTATAATATAAAGTAGAAAAAACAAAAATGTTAATGAGTATACCAGAAAGTGTACAAGTTCATTCTAGTTTCAGGAAGTTTGTTCACAAGGTATAGATTAAGAAAACTGGTGTCTGGTGGGTGCAGTGGCTCATGCCTGTAAATCCAACAATTAGAGAGGCTGAGGTGGGACGATCGCTTGAGGCCTTGAAGTTGAGACCAGCCTGAAGTTGAGACTCAAACTCTATCAAATATTAACAAATTAGCTGGGAATGGTGACACAAACCTGTAGTCCCAGCTATTTGGGAGGCTGAGGTTTGGGGATTGCCTGAGCCCAGGAGGTCAAGACTGCACTGAGCCATGATTGTGCCACTGTACTCCAGCCTGGGAGACTGTCTCAAAAAATAAAAAAATAAAAAAAAATTGAGAGAAGCTAGTGTTTGAGACTTACTTATAAGTATTTTTCATGTTGCTATCTATCCCATGCAAACATTACTTTTATTGAATGTTTGTTATTATCTAGAGAGTCATTATGGTATGTATCAGTAAATTATTTTTACTAAATGCTGGATGTTATATTATTTCCAGGTTTTAAAAAATATTAAAATACCAACTATATAACCATAACCATTTCCATATTTAAGATAATTTCTTTAGGATAGATTCTGAGAGATGGAGTTATTGGATTAAAGAATATAGACACATCTAAGGTTCTTCCTACACATTAAAAAGGAGTTTTCCAAATTGATATTTTACATTTACATTTTTACTGATTCTTTCAGAGAGCTTCTTTCATTGTACTCTTGCCAACAGATATTATTCTTTTCTTCAGTCTTTTAAAATTTCATAGGTTTTTAAAATTTTGCATTTCTAATCATTAGTAAGTCTAAATGTTTTAACACATGTTTATCCACTAGGTCTATTCCTCCTTTGTGAATTGTGTATTCATTTCCCATGTTCATACTTCTATTCTGTTGGGAAGTTGTGCTTAGCTTTTTTTTCTTTTTAAATCATCAGTTATATCCATTTTCATGTAGCATCACCTATTCATCTTTCTGACTTTTTTGATTTTCTATTTGTATATTTATATTTGATACTTTAAAAAATGGTTTGTATGTGTTTTCCTTCTTTATATAACTCTTTAATTCATTGGGAATTTACTTTAAATTGCTTTTCATGTTGGCATCACCATGCATTTGATAATCCTTGTATTCTGTTATGAATATGTAACCCCTGCAAAGTACATGTGTTTGTGCATTTTCTTTTACAGGTTTGGTGTCAGCTAAGCGTTATGATTGGATGGGGTGGGCCAGGCGTGGTGGCTCATGCTTGTAATCTCAGCATTTTGGGAGGCCAAGGCGGGTGGATTGCTTGAGCTTAGGAGTTCGAGAAAGCCTGGACAACATGGCGAAACCCCATTTCTATCAAAAATACATATATTAGCTAGGCATGGTGGTGCATGCCTGTAGTCCCAGCTACTTGGAAGGCTGAGGTAGGCGGAGCACTGGAGCCCAGGAAGTCAAGGCTTCAGTAAGCAGTGATCGTGCCATTGTACTCCAGCCTGGGTGACAGAGCAAGACCTTGTCTTTCTCTCTCTCTCTCTCTCTCTCTCTCTCTCTCTCTCTCTCTCTCTCTCTCTCTCTCTCTCTATATATATATATATATATATATATATATATATATACACACACACACACACACACATATACACACACTACTATATCACTCCATATATATATGTAGGATGGAGTGATAGAGTAAAGCCATAGAGGTCCTATATATTAACAGTGATATGGGATTATGGATAATTTATCTTTGACTCATTTAAATGTTACATTATTTTATAAACAGTGATGTATATATACACATATACATATATGTACACACACATATATACACATATGCATATATATATATATGCACACTTGCATACATCTACAAACACACACATTCCTATACTTTAGAACTATCAGTGAGCGTTAACTGTGCTCTAATTGCCTGTTCACACATTGTCATTTATTCTCTTCTATAACTATTTTGTTTTTTGTAGGATGTTCTGATTAGTGGTGGTAATGCAAAGTCATGATGAATGCACTGTTATGTAGTTTGCTATGTTGGGACATCACTTTGGGATTATTTAGTTTAGTTTGGTGATTTGATATAGTGCCAATGTTTCTCCTTTAGAGTTGACTACCGTGTCACTACATGATTACTCATATTGCTACTTCCTCCTGAGATTGGCACTTGGGCTTTAGAAATTTTTTTTCCATGGCACAAATACAGTTAGTATGATTTAGGATTGCTATTAATATTTCTACTATTTAATTGTTTAATTAACTAGCTCAAGAGTTCTTTTATGTTTTATTTTGACCTAGCAGTCACCCTGTATTTCCTAACTTTTGGCAGAATTATTGTTTTTAAAAATGTAGAAAGTTTTTTTTTCTTTTTGGAATGAAAATAAATATTTATTGTATCATGTGGAAGGGTATATAGAAGTTTGATGATCTCAGAATGAGATTCCAGAGGTCCTAGTGGAAGAGATGGGAGAAGAAGTCATGATCATGGGTAGAAATGGTTTTATTAGGACAGGTTTTGCATATTCAGTTAACTCCGGGAATTTAACAGGTATGAGAATGAGTGTAGAGAGGATAATGCAGGTCTAAGGGGAGTTAGTTACTGTTAATCTCTAGATGTTTATTTCCATGGGCAGTATAGGCCTGATCTTACCAAACCATAATTGTTTTTTTAAGAGATATTGACAACCTGGATGTTTGTGTGAATTCTCCTAATTTCTAAATATTGGTAGACCACACATTTGTGATCTCACACTTAGGAGATCCAGAGAGCATGTGGGGATGACTGGCTAGAGGATGATGCATGTTAGAGGGTTAGGCTTCAGTCACTGAGGTAAATGGATATGAGGCATGATGGAATTAGTCCCCAAAGCTTATGAAATGGTGGGTAACCAAACCTTTTGCTCCAGTCCTGAATGTTTACCTCTGGATTGGTTGGCTGCTTGAGGCTTGGCCTATATAATGCTACTCATGGCAAGCTGCCTAAGGCTTGCAATTTGTTGAGTATTAAGGACAAGAAGAAATTATAATAATGAGTATTATAATAGAGAAAGCATAATGTATTTCTGAATCTCAGAAGAGGAATATCTAACCCAGGTTTGAGTGATCAAAGGTTTCCTATAAAAAGTGGTGTATTAGCTGAGAGAAAGGAGTTTGATGAAGGTCAGGGCTCTGGGGATGGCATGTTGTGGGTAGAAGACAGAGTTTACAAAGCCTGAAGGCAAAAGTGGATGGTGCATTTACAAATTGGAAGGTAATTCACTTCTTGTAACTATTCTTCATTTTTAACATTGTTTTATACATCATTGCCATCCTAGTCAGTGTATTTATACAAGGTGAAGAAATAGGAATTGAATAAAAAGACCGATCAACAGACAACTGGTTGATTATAAGGCACAATGATAGATGAGTCTGTGAGAACAGAAGATTGCTGCTATTGTGTGGTAGGGTCCTTTGTGCTGAATACTGGCTTTTCCATCAGAATCAAAATGTTAAAGAGTATGCTCACTATATTTCCATTCATAGCAAATGAATATGATAAATAACAGAAACAAGATTCTGAGGGATCTTTACAGAATTTTGAATCTGGCTTCATCTAATAGAATTAAATTTTATCTTGAGTTATTGTGAAATTTCTATTCTTATATCTTAAATAACTAATTGTAAGTAGAGGTTGGAACAGTTTACAAGCAGTGCATGTGGGGAGGTGGAGGAGGCACTGCAATGTGGTTATTCAAAAAAGCCAAGGCTGTATGAATAGTACTGCTCTAGTTTCTGGATGAGCGAGGTGATAGGCCTGTTCTGTTCTGTTTGGAATACATCTGGAATGTTATATTTAGCTTTGTGTGTCACAGTTCAAGGGAATATAAGTGAAGCAGAATATCTTTGGGGACAGAAAATAGAATAGCATTCTAACAAGATACTACTGCATATGAAGGACTAAAGATGTTTTTAACCTAGAACACAGAAAACTTTTGTGGCCATCAAAATGGCTTCATATTTTAAAAGGGTTAAACATGGAAAATTGATTAGACTTGTATTGTTTTGACACCAAGAGGGTAATATTATATTACATGGATAGAGGAAGCTTTGCCATTGGAGAAAGATTAGGGCACAGGCAGAAAGTAAAGGGATTAGATTTTTGAGTGCCTTAAGTATATATATGTACTTTATATACATTTCTGCCTTAGTCATTTCTGGCTCTTGTAACAACGTACTGTATGTAGTCTCAATGGCTTATAAACAACAGAAATGTATTGCTCACAGTTCTGGAGGCTTAAAGTCCAAGATCAGAGTGCCAGCATGGTTGGGTTCTGGTGAGGGCCCTCTTCTGGGTTGCAGACTACCATCTTCTCATATCCTCATGTGGCTGAAAGACAGAGAGAGAGGTCTCTGGGGTTTCTTTTATAAAGGCATTAATCCTATTCATGAAAGCTCCACCCTCCTAAACCTCATCGCTGCCACAGACTCCACCTCCTAATACCATCATATTGTGGGTTAGGATTTCAACATATGAATTTTAGGGGTCACAAACAGCCTTTAACTGTTATGTTATATAATCCTATAAGACTCAATACATTGAAGATTAATTTAAAAATAATTTTCTAGGGCCAGGCATGGGAGCTCACACCTGTAATCCCAGTGATTTGGGAGGTTGAGACAGGAGGATCACTTGAGCCCAGGAGTTCGAGACCAGTATGAGCAACACAGTGAGACTCTGTCTCTACAAAAAATTAAAAGAAAAAATTAGGCAGCAGTGGTGGTGCATGCCTGTTGTCCTAGCTACTTGGGAGGCTGAGGTGGGAGGATTGTTGAGCCCAGGAGTTTGAGGCAGTAGTGAGCTATGATTGTGCTTCTGTACTCCAGCCTGGGGGACAGAGCAAGATCCTGTCTCAAAAAATAATAACAATAATAATTTTCTACAAAATCATTTTCTCCAAAAGCATCTCTATAAAAACTTCTTATAAAATATTATTTTATAAAATACTGTTTAAAATTTGGAAATTCCATGTTTGCTTAAAACTGCATTTAAAAAGTGATTTCTCCACTTCAAATGGCTTCTAAATCCTACCCCTATAAAAGTAAGAACAACAAATGTATTCACAAAAATTCATACATCACAAAAATAACACAACAAAAATGGGAGCTGTGTGCAGTGGTGCATGTTTATAGTTCCAGCTACCTGGCAGGGTGAGGTGAGAGGATTGTTTGAGCCCAGGAGTTTGAGTCCTGCCTGGGCAACATAACTAAAAATGAGAAATAGAGGAATTTCTTGCGAGTTAATTTCCTAACCTTGACCTAATGCACCAGGGACACACAGATCATCTTCTCTCCAAAAAGAGAGATTGCATGGAAAAAAAATAGCCTTCTGCTAGGGCTCCATAAAGTGAATACATCCAAGGTGGCCAAATTATGCATGGAAACTGATAACACTCTTCATTACCAACTCATGTAAGAACTTTTATTATTAACTTTATTGATTTTTTCTTTGAATATAAAAATATAATACTTTTTACTTGAAACTAACTGTATCCAAAAAACTTACCTATCACAGGAATGATTTATATGGATGGAATACTGGTTGCATAAGAATCTGTGCAGCATAGTTTGTCAAATTACAAAGATTCTGCTGTATTATCGGCAATTCATTGTACAGTCAGGCAATGGTCTCTGATGTGGCACCAGTAAAGGGAACACTGTTGAAATGCAGAGTGTTTTTAATATGTACATTTGCAAAGTCTTAGACTCAACTAGAGAAGGAATTTGGTTTGACTTTCAGTAATCTGAGAAGCAGAGATGAAGAGAGGAAAAATTTTGCATGCAGAATAGCAGTCAGAACAGCTAAAGAAAAACAAGACACTGATTTTTCATTTTGCTTACTAAAAGTCTGTGTAGGAATTCTGCCCTCCATCCTCTATCTTCATAACAGCTCAGAAATTGACTTCTCCTTCCCTAACTACAAAACATATGTTATTTATCTGATACATTGTCTTCCTCCATAAATCTTCAACCCACCCACCCTCTGCAATAGAATACTCATTTAGGCTCATTAAAAAGAAATTAAAGTTTCTTCTGAATACTATTATCTGTCTAATAAGGCATAGACCAGAATCCTCTTAATTAAAATCATTGTGCAGCAGGGATCAATCTTTAGCCCACAGCATAAGACTGAATATATATTAGGTGGCTAACAAATATATTAAAAAACAATATAAAAACAAAAAAGGGGTTTTCTCCCATTTAAGTAGATTCTGGCATAGTGGGGAGGGAAAACGCTCTTCCTTCTCATACTTGGCAGTGTTTAATGGTATGTAGAAATTATGCCAGTTAGATACCAAAAAGTGTTAAAAGGTCATAATTTTGTCTTTGTCGTTATTATCTACTTGAGAAGACAAAACTATTACACATAGAAACTAACATGATGGTATATAAATAGCAAATAAACACAAACATCCTAGGCAGTTCCTAGTGAAGGTGATCAGAAAAGGGAGCGGCTACTGTTGATGGAATGGTCAAGGAAAGCTAAATAAGAGAATTCATAGCATCTCACAGTTTGAAAGGACTCCAAAATCATCTTGTCTGATAACCCATTTAAATCTAGAGAAGATACCTCTAAAAATTAGAACCTAACATCTTTGGATGAGGCTAAATCATAAAATATTTCTTAATTTAGATTTGAGATCTATTATGCCAGCTATTTATTATTTTCAGATGAACTCCAAATACAATTAGGAGTTGCTGAAATCTTGTTAGACAGTGTTTTTTCTCTTCTTGATTAAATACAGCTAGATGAATGCTGAAAGAGCCTTTCACTTCTATTGTTGAATGTGAGTTCATCTACAAGAATGAATTGAGGATTATCTTTATTTCACTTTTTCATATTCTTTATGTGAAAAAATAAGTTTTGAAAATTTTTTATTATTTTTCTGGGTTTGGTGAGGTTTCTGGGAGATTGGGAAAAACATAGCTTTAGATTGCTTGACTTATGTATATAGTCCTGATGTGGAAAAGGAAGGGCTGCTGTTAAATTCTGAATGAGGGTAAATTCAAAAGGAAGGAATAGATTAGTAGGAACTTCGAAGGATAGCCAGAACATATAAGTTTAGTCTCTTTGAAACCATGTAAAAGTAATAGTTTTGTAAAAAACCACAGTAAATTCAGTTGAAAACCATTGTTTAGTGTAAATGATGACCACATGTGAATTGGAGGTGAGGATATTCCTGAACATAGGTTTGTAATAATCCGCTGTGGTGGTCTTGTAGCACTAGAAGGAAAATAGGAATATCCTCTGATATTTATACAATTCAGTAAAAGACCAGCAGTCTCAAGAGAATACATTACATTTGGGATCTTGGACAAAAGTGTAGGAATTTGGAGGTAATTGGTATGGCCTGGAGCCTTTCTTGGCATATGCTAGCAAATTTGGGAGGAAAAAGTTCTCTTTCCAGATGTGTTACTTGTGAGTTTCTCATTATCTGCTGGAATGAGGACAATAGGGGAAACTAGAAACTGACGTTTCCTTGTCCTCTTTATGGACAGGAAAGGGGGCCAATCCCTCTCCAGAGTCTGGCAATCAATTTTGTGTGAGAGAGAACAGTAAGCAGTGAAAGTAGCAGAGCTGTTTTGAGGGTTCTGGACATGTGTTTAACTATGTAATTATAGGCAAATATGAAAAGACTATTTCAGTTTCATTTAGAATTTGATAAATGAATAAATGTTAAACAGTACTGAAAGTCTTTTTTAGGTATATATATATATTTTTAGGTATATATATACACATATACATATATATTCATATATATATGTATTTTAAACTCTCTAGGCTAGGTGTGGTGGCTCATGCCTGTAATCCCAGCAGTTTGGGAGGCTGATGTGGGAGGATTACCTGACGCTAGGAGACCAGCCTGAACAATATAGCGAGATTCTGCCTCTGCAAACAAAAAACAAAACAAAACAACCCACCCCCCCCCCAAAAAAAAACTTCTATATGTTCTTGCATAAATAAAGGTTTGGAAAGACAGGTTGCTAGGCTGTTATCATTGATTAGGAGGTAGAAGAGTATAAAATGCTGTGTGGACTCTATAGGCAGACAGTCCATTTCAAATCTGAACTTTGTTACTTGAAATTTATGTGACCTTGTAACACCTAACCTACTGGTGTCTGTTTCTTCTTTTATAGGTTTGATATAAAAATTAAATAAGATAACATGTGTAATCTACTTAGAATGGTACCTGGCTAGTGGTAGGTACTATATAAATGCTTTTTGTTGTTGTTGTTGTTATCGTTTTTAAGAAACAGGGTCTTGCTCTGTCATCTACGCTGGAGTGCAGTGGTGCAATCATAGCTCACTGCAGCTTTGAAGTTGTGGGCTCAAGTGATTTTTCTGCCTCAGTCTCCTGAGTAGCTAGTACTATAGATATGTGCCACTATGCCTGGCTAAATTTTTAAAAATTCTTTTGTAGTGGTGATCTTGCTATGTTGTTGCCCAGGGTGATCTTGAATTCCTGGTCTCAAATGATCCTCTTGTCTTGGCCTCCCAAATTGGCAGGATTACAGGAGTGAGACACTGCACCCGGTCAAAATCAGAGCATCTTATTTTTATAAGTAAGATCATTGTATTTTATTTTAGAAGCACTTATGCCAGGTGCAGTGGCTCACGCTTATAATCCCAACACTTTGGGAGGCCCAGGAAGGAGGATACCTTGATGCCAGGGGTTTGAGACCAGCCTGGGCAATATAGCAAAACCCCTGTCTCTACAAAAAATAAAAAAGAAAATTAGGCAGGGATGGTGGTGCATGCTAGTTGATGGGCGGATCACTTGAGCCCAGGAGTGTGTGCCACTGCATTCCATCCTGGGTGACAGGGCAAGACCCTGTCTCAAAAAAGGAAAAAAAAAAGATGATCTGATTTTGATCTGAGGGGAGAAAATATAGAGTTGCTCTTCATATCTTCATCCTTTATTTTAGCTTCATTTCAGAGGACTAAAAACAGTAAATAGATTAATTGTCTTTCGGCATTTAGTTTTTTGTTATCTGCTATAGAAGTATAACCAGAGGTAGCTCACTCATTATGTGTACTGCTACGAACTGCAGGTACAGTATCAAAGTTGACTTCTAGGTGCCTGTCTGGAGTTGGCTAGCAGGATTGTGCATTTATCATAGAAGGAGTTTATGGGAAGGTTACAGCAAGAATAGGAATAGAAGTACTTACTTTCAAAGTTGTGTTGCTTTTTGGCAGTATGGGGATGTGGAGGCTGTAAGAGTAAAACTTTTTGAACCTTTTGAATAGGAGATATTTAATCTGAGGTTATGGAACAGATGAATAACTCAGTGGTTGAGTCTAATTAAGGTGCTGGTCAGCTGGGTCATTGACAGGGCACTGAAACATTATGGGAGCAGATATACTTGAATAAATCTGTGGAGTTGGGGGGTAGTGACTAATAATAAAGGGAATGTTAAAATAATAGATTACTTTGGCAGTTTTCTCTAAGGAAGTTAGAATTGGTTAGTTGAAGGGCATTGTTTCTGTATTCTGTTTTTCAGTTTGGGGCCTAAACTCAATAGAGGTAATAGAGAAGATGCTAAGCTCTATTTCTGTTGTCCTTTTCTGTACTTACTCATATAGCATTTACCCTGGTGTCTAAATAAATGTTGAGCAAATACTTAAAGTATATCTGTTTGAACAAGTGTCAATTCTGATTTTGCCAATGTATCTCTAGCCCTCTAAAAGAGTTCTAGGTTAGAGGTATAGATATGTAAATCTATAGGGTGCATATATGATAGATGAAGATATGACCTTGGAAGAGAACACCCCACTGTAGACTGAGAAGAGGAGAATACTCAGGATAATTTTTTTAATGGATTTTTTTATTTCTATATAAACTTTTCAGAAAAGTATTATATCCATACATCAAAGCTATACATAAGTGATAGCTTAAATGTATTTTCACAAAGTGAACATACCCATTTGACCAGCACCCAGATCAAGATACCGAATATTATTAGTGTCCCAGCAGCTCCTCTCTTGCCCCCTTCCAGTTCAGTCCCTATAACCTTTATCTTGATTGGATCCTAGGGTATGCATATGTTCGGCTGTAGTAGATACTACCAATCAGTTTCTCAAAGTAGTTGTACTAATCTATAGTTCTACCAACAGAATATGAGAATTCTGGTTGTTTCACATTCTAACTACACTTGGTATTTTCATATTAATTTTAACCTTTCTTATGACATTATGTTATTTATTTGTATATTTCCCTAATAACTAATGATGTTTTCATATATTTATTGGCCATGTGGATATCCTCTTTTTTTAATTTTTACTTTGAAACAGGGTCTGGGCTCTGTCACCCAGGCTGGAGTGCAGTGGCAAGATCACAGCTCACTGCAACCTCTGCCTCCTGGGCTCAAGTGATCCTCCCACCTCAGCCTCCAAACTAGCTGGGACCACAGGCATACGCCACCACACCTGGCTAATTTTTGTTTTGTAGAGATGGGGTTTTGCCATGTTGCCCAGGCTGGTCTCAAACTCCTGAGCCCAAGCTGTCCACCCTCCTTGACCTTCCAAAGTGCTGGGATTATAGTCGTGAGCCACCGTGCCCAGCCTGGATAGCTTCTTTTACAGAATGTTCACTTTCTTTTACTTCATATAGAAACATTTTGGTTGTTTGTCTTTTTCTTAATAATTTATGAGTTCTTCATATATTCTAAATTTTGAGTAGCTTTTAAAACATTTGTGGATCTTACTGTGTGCAGATTCTAATTAAGTTGATCTGGGGTGGGGCTGAGAAGAGTTTTTTTTTTTTGTACTTCATCAGTTTTTTAAAATGTTATTTATAAGATATAAACTTATATAAACTTCATGTGTGTAATATGAAAATAATCTTTTCCCATTCTAATCCTATAATATTACAGGTAGTCATTGTAATGATTTAACATATATTCTTATAAACTTTTTTCTATACCAATATAATTTTTTTCTTTCTTTTTTTAAAAATGAAAGTTATTTCTTTCCTCACTTATTGTGGCATGGACATCTTTTTAAGTTAATGTATAAACATCTTAATTAAAAATTTAGTTTTAATTGACAAGTAATACCTCATTTTTTTGAAGTATGCTGAAGAAGTTGTCTTTCCTAGTGTTTATTGGTCCACATTAAAATATCCGACAATGCTTTTCCAGGATGCCAAGCTCTTCCTTTGATGAGATGGGGTTAAATTTCAGTAATATCATCATACATGATTTTATTGATTATTCTATATGTATCTGATTCATCTGTATTAATGTACATGTGAGACAAAGAATTCTAAATTGGTTTCATTTTGAAGTGTAAACATTTGGTTGTCCAGCTACCTCATCTGTCCTCCTTTTTATAAAAGGAAAAAATATATATATTTCCTTTCAAATTTCAACTTTTATTTTAGATACAGGGGATACGTATAGATTTGTTACATAGGTATATTTTACCCAGGTAGTGAGCATAGTACCCAATAGGTAGGTTTTCAACCCACATCCCCCTCCCTAATTTCCCCCATAGTAGTCCACAGTGTTTATTTTTCCCATGTTTATGTCCATATATGCTCAGTGTTTGGCTACCACTTATGAGTTAGAACATGCAGTATTTGGTTTTCTGTTCCTGCATCAGTTTGCTTAGGATTATGGCCTCCAGCTCCATCCATGTTGCTGTAAAGGTAGTAATTTCATTCTTTTTTATGGCTTCATAGTATTCCATGATATATATATACCACATTTTCTTTATCCAGTCCACAAGTGATGGGCACTTAGATTGATTCCATGTCTTTACTATTGTGAATAGTGCTGGGATGAACATAATGGGTGCATGTGTCTTTTGGCATAGTGATCAAAATATTTTTCTTTGGGCATATACCCAGTAATGGAATTGATGTGTCCAGTGGTAACTCTACTTTAAGTTATTTGAGAACCCCAAACCGCTTTTCACAGTGGCTCAACTAATTTACATATCCACCAACAGTGTATAAGCGTTCCCTTTTCTCCATAGCTTTGCCATATCTGTTGCTTCTTGACTTTTAAATAATAGCCATTCTGACTGGTATAAGATGGTATCTCATTGTGGTTTTGATTTGCGTTTCTCGGATGATCAGTGATGATGAGCATTTTTTTCATATTTTTGTTGGTTGCTTATATTTCTTCTTTTGAGAAGTGTCTGTTCATATCCTTCACCCATTTTTAATCGGGTTATTTGTCTTTTGCTTGTTGATTTGAGTTCCTTATAGATTCTGGATTTTAGACATTTGTCAAATGCATAGTTTATGAATATTTTCTTCCATTCTGTAGGTTTTCTGTTTATTTTGTTGATAGTTTCTTTTGCTGTATGGAAGCTCTTTAGTTTAACTTGCTTCCGGTTTTCAATTTATATTTTTTGTTGTAATTGCTTTTGTGGACTTTGCCAAAAATTCTTTGCCAAGGCGGATATTGAGCAAGGTATTAACTAGGTTTTCTTGTAGCATTTTAATAGTTTGAGGTCTTTTAAATTTAAATTTAAAATTTAAATTTAAAATTATTTAAATTTCTTTTATTTAAATTTCTTATTTAAATTTCTTTTATTTTTATTTTAAGTTCAGGGTTACAAGTGCAGGATGTGCAGGTTTGTTACATAGGTAAATGTGTGCATGGTGGTTTGCTGCATAGATCATCCCATCACCTAGGTATTAAGCCCAGCATCTATTAGCCATTCTTCCTGATGCTCTTCCCTGCCCCCCACCACCCACAACATCCCCACTGCATCCTGTGGCTTGAAGTCGGGTTCCAGCTGGGCTGGAGGATCTGTTGTGGCTCCTGGGTCACTGGGAAATTACTTAGACATAGCAACACACTCAGCCTGGGCTGCAGAGGCTGCCCATATCCCTTTGGGAGGCACTGACCTCTGACCCAGAAGATAGTGAGGCCAGCTTCCTCGAAGGACTGGGAGGAATAGATGCACCTCAGTCTGGCTTGGGTTAGTGAGCAGGAGGACTTGCAGAATGGATGCACCCCAGTCCTGCGGGGAAGCCGTCCTTTCTCTGTTCTTCATCAGAGGTCAGTTGGGGCAGTGCCTGCCAGAGGGATATGGGAAGTCCTAGGGGATGGGTATCTATGGCCACTCTCCACCAGAGCTGCCCAGCACACAGAAGCTCCCAGGCTCTGTGTCATCTGAAAGCCTGTCTCTGCCTGCTCCCTGGGGAGATCCCCCTGCTAGCTCACACATCAATCAGGGATGCAGAGTCTCCTGTTGCTAGGATCCCAGAAGTCTGTTGTGAGAGTGAGCTGTCCCTCAGTTCCCTCACTTACCCTTTTCATAGGAGCCATTAGAGGTATTCAGGTATCATTCAGGGCTTCCAGATTTCCCCCTCTTCAATCTCGACTTTGGTGCTGACTCTCTCACTATTCTTGATGTTTTCTCTTCAAAGATCTGCCCAAATTATGGTGGTTTATTCCATACTTTGGTCTGTCTTCTTGGTAGTGGTGTTTCCTGGCTGCCTTTTATCTGCCATCCTGTTCTCCCTCCTCCTCATTCTTTTTAAAATACACTTAATTTTCTACTGTATTATAAGTTACTCATATGTTATCCTGTCTATGAATGTCTCAAATTTTTTTCTCTTTTTCCATTTTTTTAATGGATGGACAATCCATGGGAAATGCTGCCATGAACAATCTTTATTTTTGTAATTAGGTATAATGCTTTTGCCAGTAAAACAATATAAGAAAACCCAACTCGACTCTTTTAATCAAAAAAGGAAATGATTGGGTCATTGTTTCATACAGGAAGATGTGATCTATGTTGGTTTGATCCAGTGGGTCCAACTTAATCTCTCTCTCTCTCTCTCTCTCTCTCTCTCTGGCTGTGTATTTCTCTGTCTTTGTTCTTAGGCTGGCTTTCCATGTGGTAGGAGAATGGCTGTAACATTTCCAGGTCTCGTAGCTGCAACCTCAAGAAGAGCTTTTCTGTTGTTCAACAGCTTTTCTGTTGGCTTTCCTTTAAGAGCAACAAAGCTTCTCTTCCAGTTGTTCATTAGCAACACTATTTTACTCGGTTGGCCTAGATTAAGTCACATGCTAATTCCTAAATCAGTTCCTGTTATCAAGGGAATTTCAGTTGCTAATTGGCTGAGACTTGGGTCTCAGAACCAATGAGTATGGTAAGGAGTTGGGATTACCTTTGTACTTAGCAGGGTGCTGAGAGTAGGGTTAGTTTCCAGAATTACCCTGGTTGAATGGAAGAGGATGAAATCTTAATTGAGAATTTCAGGTTAAGAAGGGGATGAGTGTAGAGGAATGGATGTAGGTTAAGCAAGCAGCAACATGTACCACATCCATCTTTTTTTCCATTCATGTTAATATTTCCTTGATAGACATGGTATTGCAGGCTCATAAGGAATGCTTTAATAGGCACTAACGAATTGCTGTGAAAGACAAATACATTAGACAGATGATTTTATTCAGGCTATTACAATAGGGAGAATGTTCATTAATGAAGAATATCTCAAGAAGGGAAATCTTGGGGTGCTATATGAAAAAAGGAGTCATTGAAGAAGGGTATAGGTGGGTCTTATTTTGGAATATGTGAAGATGTCATTGTCCTTTGTGGTTAGCTTTTTCTCAGAACACAATAATATGAAGGGATTTCTTTTCTTTTCTTTTCTTTTTTTTGAGATGGAGTTTCACTCTCGTCACCCAGGCTGGAGTGCAATGGTGCGATTTCGGCTTACTGCAACCTCCGCCTCCTGGGTTCAAACGATTCTCCTGTCTCAGCCTCCCAAGTGGCTGAGATTACAGGCATCTGCCACCAAGTCCAGCTAATTTTTGTATTTTTAGTAGAGACAGGGTTTCACCATGTTGGCCAGACTGGTCTTGAACTCCTGACCTCAGGTGATCCACCCCCCTCTATCTCCCAAAGTGCTGGGATTACAGGTGTGAGCCATTGGACCTGGCCGAAGGGATTTCTTAATCTTTCCTCTTTTCTAGGAGTGGAGGGCTCAGGTAAATTTCAACATTATCAGTCCCCACTTTTAGTCAAGATGAACTTACTGAACAACTAAGATGTCTTACTGAACAACTAAGAGGCAATCATAGACCTCCCGAATGGGGTGAAACAGGGTCTAAAAAAATAGTCTCTCATGAATTGTTTTTTTGTATTATTCCTGTAAAACTTGTTGAACCATCTGTTGAGAGTCTGTAGCAAAGATTAGAACTCTACAGGGTCTTGGCCGGGCGCGGTGGCTCAAGCCTGTAATCCTAGCACTTTGGGCGGCTGAGGCAGGCTGATCACTTGAGGTTGGGAATTTGAGACCACTGTGGCCAACCTGCTGAAACCCCATCTCTACAAAAAATACAAAAATTAGCAGGGCATGGTGTGGTGGGCACCTGTAATCTGGAGGTGGAGGCAGGAGAATTGCTTGAACCTGGGCAGTGGAGGTTTCAGTGAGCTGAGATCGCGCCTTTGCACTCCAGCCTGGGTGACAGAGCAAGACTCCTGCCTCAAAAAAAAAAAAAAAAAAAAAAGAAAAAAGATTTGAGCTTTGGGGACCCTCTGCCTAGATTTCAGAGAAAGTATGAAAATACCTGGATGCCCAGGCAGAAGTTTGCTGCAGGGGTGGGTCCCTCATGGAGAACCTCTGCTAAGGCAGTGTGGAAGGGAAATGTGGGGTCAGAGCCCCCACACAGAGTCCCTACTGGGACACCACCTAGTGGAGCTGTGAGAAAAGGGCCACCATCCTCCAGACCCCAGAATTGTGGATCCACCCACAGCTTGCACCATGCTCCTAGAAAAGCCACAGACACTCAACACCAGCCTGTGAAAGCAGCCAGGAGGGGGGCTATACCCTGCAAAGCCACAGAGGTGGAGCTGCCCAAGGCCGTGGGAGCCCACTTCTGGCATTAGAGTGACCTGGATGCGAGACATGGAGTCAAAGGAGATCATTTTGGAGCTTTAAGATTTGACTGCCCCACTGGATTTTGTGTTTGCATGGAGTCTGTAGCCTCTTTGTTTTGGCCAATTTCTCTCATTTGGAATGGCTGTATTCACCCAATGCCTGTATCCCCACTGTATCTAGGAAGTAACTAACTTGCTTTTGATTTTATGGGCTCATAGGCAGGAGGGACTTGCCTTGTCTCAGATGAGATTTTGGCCAGTGGACTTTTGAGTTAATGCTGAAATGAGTAAAGACTTTGGGAGACTGTTGGGAAGGCATGATTGGTTTTGAAATGTGAAGACATGAAATTTGGGAGGGGCTGGATTGGAATGATATGGTTTGGCTCTGTGTCCCCACCCAGATCTCATCTTGTAGCCTCCATAATTCCCATGTGTTGTGGGAGGGACTCGGTGGGGGATAATTGAATCATGGAGGCGGGTCTTTCCCATGCTGTTCTCTTGATAGTGAGTAAGTCTCACAAGATCTGATGGTTTTAAAAACTAGAGCTTCCCTGCACAAGCTCTCTCTTTGCCTGCTGCCATCCATGTAAGACGTGACTTGTTCCTTCTTGCCTTCAGCAATGAATGTGAAGCCTCCCCAGCCATGGAAACAGACTAATACACTGTAGTTATGTGAATTTATTTCTGAGTTCTCTGTTCTGTTCCAGTAGTCTGTGTATTTGTTTTTATGCACATACCCTGCTCACTTGGTTACTATAGCTTAGTAGTATATTTTGAAGTTAGGTAGTGTCATGTCTCCAGCTTTTGTTCTTTTTGCTCAGGTTTGCTTTGACTATTAAGGTCTTTTTTTTGCTCTTATATGAATTTCAGAATTTTTTTTTCTATTTTTGTGAAGAATGTCATTGGTATTTTGATACAGACTGCATTAAATCTCTAGGTCACTTTGGGTAGTACGTCCATTTTAACAATATTAATCCATGAACATGGGATATCTTTTATTTGTATCTTCTTCATCTTCTTTCATTGGTGTCTTCTAGTTTTCAACATATAGATTTTGACTCTTTTCTAATAATACTTAAACATTTTGTATAGCTGTATAAAGGTATTTTTATATGCTTATTTTATAAGCTTTTTTCTATTTTTAAAATTTGTGTTTATTTTGGTTTACATTGAAAAATTTTAAAAACCTAAGACACAAACATGTATATTAGTATGGGCCTACATAGGGTCAGGATCATCAAGATTGCTGTTTTCCACCTTCACATTTTGTTTCACTGGAAGGTCTTTGAGGAAATAACATGTATGATGTCTTCTATAATAACCATGCCTTCTTCTGGAATACCTCCTGAAGGACTTGCCTGAGGCTGCTTTACAGTTAACTGATTTTTTAAAATAAGTAGGACTATACTCTAAAATAATGATAAAAAGTATAGTATAGTACATCCATTAACCAGTAATGTGGTTCTTTATTATCATTATTAAACATTACATACTATACATAATTGTTTGTGCTTTACTTTTATGTGCCTGGCCACACAGTGGTTTTTTTTTTTTTTTTTAATATCAGCATTACCGCAAACGTGATTAATGTGTTAGAGTCACTTCTATTTTCTGTATGTTACTTTCTTTTTTTGACCATAAATGTTACTTGACCATGTGACAGCCCTGGAGTAGCTCTGAACCTATTCTGGTTTGGGGGTTAGGCCGATAATGCAATTTGTTCTTTGCTCAGTTGAACTCTGTTAATTTTAATTCGTCTAAAATTTTCCTTCTAACAAACTGAAGTTGGACTTTTGAAGATGGCATAGTCCTAGAAATGAGAAATAGTAATGTAAGATTCATGACCTGAAAGTTGCATAGTATGATTTCATATATAAAATTATTTATATAATAGTTGATATGTATATTATATCAGTGTGTTTACTTTCACTTTTTGTTTTATTTATATTGAAGCTTTGTTATTAGATGTCTGAATCTTAATATTAGATGGTCTTTATCTCTAGTACAACCTTATGAAGTCTTAGATATGAGCACAGCTTTTCCAGCATCTTGTTTTTGTTTTTCTTTCCTTACCTCCTCCCTCCCCCATTTAAATATTTTGTTCTGCTCTGCACCAAGGGAAGCTTCCTTGCATTCCTCTCTAGTTGGAGATTTAGTTATGGTATATTCTTACTTCTATGGTGTAGTCTGTTGGAGCTCTGTGTGGCAGGGAATTTCTTATAAGACTCCTGAGGATCATCTTGGATGGAGTTTTCACTTCTGCCCTCCTCTTTTCAAGCTCCAAAGTGAACCCCTCTTTCTGGATTGTAATTGGCAAATGCCCTCAGTTCAGGATTGTCTTTAGTGTTTTAGTATTCTCCCTACTTCTTTGGGTATGAGCTTTCTCCTAGAATTTGTCCTTGTAGTTCTGCAGTAGTTTATTAGCATTTCAGTGCTTTTGACTTTATGTTTTGAATATTTTAGCTAACGTTTTTACTTGTTTTAAGCAGAAGTGCTGGTTTGAGTAACCTAGCTCTCCATTACTAGAAATATAATTAATTACTCTTATGATTTGTTGTTGTTATTATTTGGAAGTTCCAAAGTTTATTTGGAAGTTTATTTGTTGATGCTATGGTCCTTCTGAGAAAATTTGTATTAGCGTCAGTCAGGTGATTGGGAGGTGGGGACCACTGATTACTTGAGTCCAATTTAAATTAAATTCTTAAGTTAGTGTTTCTTGAGCTCCAGATCCATATACAGGCTGTTCAGTGTCCATAAATGCTTAAGGAAATTCCCCTCTTTATCTCCTGGTTCCCTGCCCTGCCCCTGTTTCATGAAGAGTCATTGTCAAAGCAGTCATGTGTCTGTACACTATGATTTTGTGGGATATATATTCTCTACTTCATTTTTTATTAAATGTCTAGTCCTTTTGTTGTTAGTGCCTTTCTAACAGCATTTCCAGTTTGATCCCTTGCCTTGCATAAGCCAGAGGCGCTAATTCCTATTCCCTTTGTGTATTCATTAAAAATGAAGCTCTAGGCCAAGAGTTGACAAACCGTTTTTCCATAAACGGCCAGATAGAGAATGTTTTAGACTTTACAGATCATATAGTCTCTGTTACCACTATCCAACTGTGCTTTTGTGGTTTGTGGAAAGCAGCTGTAGATAATACTAACATGAATGAACATGGCTGTGTTGCAAAAAAAATTTATTTTTATACACTGAAATTTGAATTTCATAGAATTTTCATTTGTCAAGACAACTTTTTTATTTTCAATCATTTAAGGATTTAAAAACTAAGCTTACTGACTATAGGCCAGATTTGGCTTGTGGGCCATAGTTTCCTGACCCCAGCTATAGGCCACTAAGATATTTTTTCTCCACGATCCTCTAATTTTGGACCTTTTAGATTTTTTTTTTTTTGCTTCCATGCATGCTTACATATGAAATTCAAGTGTCTTTCTGTTTATCCAGTACTTTGTGTATTTTGCAGTGGGAAGATTTCAATATATATGTTGCTAGTTTCATAATCTGTTTTATCATTTGATATTAAGTAATATTTGGTGAAATATGAAGAAAAAATGGCAAACCATTCCTTATTTTAGATTTTATGACCCTGTCTGATTTATACTTTGTTTTTGTATAACTATAAGAGTCTATGCATATTATTTTTGTTCTGTATTTTTGTTTAAAGTTTTTGGGCTTTTTATTGCATTTTCACAGTCTCCATATTATTTTAATGAATATATAATATTTTTCATTAATTCAATTAACTTCCTTATCTGGGCATTGGAGTTTTCCCCCCAGTTTTTTATTGTTGTTGTTTATTATAACTGACTATAGGCTTAAAAAAAGTGAAAATAGTTTTTGTTTCCTTTCTTGTTTCATTTTGTTAAGATAGTTTACAAACATTTAAAGGATGATTATGACCCTGTTTGAAGACAAGATCTTGTTTTATTACTTTTTTCACTCCAAATGAACTCCACCCAGCAAATGCCTGCTTAATAAAATGTTTTGTTATATGAACACTGATCATTAAGTCAAAAAATACATCGAAATATTTAACTCTGATTTTATCATCATTAAAATATCTTCAGTTGTTTATCCTTAGACTTTTTACGCCCTTATAATGATGCAATGATTCCTCTCTCACCCATCCCAGAAAATTGAAGCTGACATTTGTTGTAGCTTAAAAAAACCCCAAATGCTACTGAGCTAGCTGCATGATTTTCTTAAAAATGTATTTTGTTCTTTAAAGACATCCAATAAGAAACTTTTTTGAGTACAGACATCAGTTCTGTAATGTTTGGAATGCATACATGTGCTTACAAGAGAAAACTTGAAACAGTGGGGCTTAAACAAATACGGAGTTTATTTTGTCTTGTAAGGAAGTATAGGGAGGTAGGCAGTCATCTAGGGCTGATGAAGCAGTAGTATGATGCTAGTTGGGTCCCAGGCCTCTTCTGTCTTTCTGCTCAGGCACGCAAATCCAGTTGTAGCTTTTAACCTGATGCTTTATCCTCCCATAATTTTAAGATGGTGGTTCTATCTCTAGCAAGAAGAAAAGGAGAAAACAGGAAGCAAAAGCTGAGTTGTCTTTCCCCTTTTGAAGAGCATTCGTAGAAACCTCACCTGATGACTTTTGTATACATCTCAAAATGTGATTTTTTTTTTTACTTAAGCGCACTGCCACTTCTAGCAAGATTGGAATTCTGTTATTATGGGAGAAGGAGGGAATTGATAATGGATAGGCAAAGACCAGCATCTGCCTCACTTAGGATACTACCTTTATACAAACTTTAAAGGAGAATCATAGAATTGAAGTTTTTGCTGCTAAGGCACAGTAGTGTTTATCATACTTGGTGCACCAAGATGATTTTTTCTTTTTTTTTTTGAGACAGAGTCTCGCTCTGTTGCCCAGGCTGGAGTGCAGTGGTGTGATCTCAGCTCACTGCAACCTCTGCCTCCTGAGCTCAAACCATTCTCGTGCCTCAGCCTTCCGAGTAGCTGGGACTACAGGTGTGCTCCTCCACGCCTGGCTAATTTTTAAATTTTTAGTAGAGACAGTTTTTGCCATGTTGCCCAGGCTAGTCTACGGCCTCAAGTGATCCACCCGCCTCAGGCTTCCAAAGTGCTGGGATTACAGGCGTGGGCCACCACGCCTGGCCCCAAGATGATAATTTTTAATGTGAAATATTTATTGTTTAATTTATAGTCTTCTTTCTATGCTTTTTTGTCAGTATAGTTGTGTATGTACGTTTTATAAGATTTAGATCATACTATGTATATGGTTTTTAATTCTGATTTTTACATTTAAACTGTTATATAAAATAAACTTTTATCATATAATTTCTTTATTTCTGACAGCTTCAGAACTATGTCCCATGATGTAGTTGTACCTTAGTTTGTTTACCAACTCTCCTACTGTTAAACATTTAGCTAGACTATTTATTTATTTATTTATTTATGCAACTATGATTTGGGGGAAGAAATTTTAGATTCACAGAAAAATTTCAAAGATAATATGAAGTGTTCCTATATCCTCCTCAACCAGTTCCCATATTGTTAACATCTTACATTTACATTTGTCAAAACTGAGAAATTAGTACTGGCACATCACTACTAACTAAAGTCTAGATTCATTTGTATTTCACCAGTTTTTCTACTAATACTCTCTTTTTGTTTCAGGATCCAGTCCAGGGTAGCACATTATTTAGTTATCATGTCTTGTCAGTCTCTTTAGGTCTGTAATGGTTTCTAAATCTTTCCTTGTTTTTCATGACCTTGACAAGCCTTTTTTTGTTTTTTTTTTTGAGACAGTCTTGCTCTTTTCCTGGGACTGGAGTGCAGTGGCACGATCTCGGCTCGCTGCCGCCTCCTGGGTTCAAGTGATTCTCGTGCCTCAGCCTCATGAGTAGCTGGGATTATAGGCATGTGCCACCATGCCCGGCTAATTTTTTGTATTTTTTAGTAGAGACGCGGTTTTGCTATTTGGCCAGGCTGGTCTTGAACTCCTGTCCTCATGTGATCCACCTGCCTTGGCTTTCCAAAGTGCTGGGATTACAGGTGTGAGCCACCACACCTGGCCACCTTAACAAGTCTTGGGAGGTACTGGTGCATGTCTCCCACTCTGGGTTTATCTGGTGCTTTTCTTATTATTAGAGTGGGATATGGATTTTTGAAAAGGATACCACAGAAATGAAGTGCCCTTTTAATCATATCACATCAGGGAATTCATGATATCTACATGACATCACTCACTGGTGATGTGAACTTTCATCACAAGGAAGGTGGTGTTTGTCAGGTTTCTTCACTGCGGAGTTTTCCGTTTTTGGCTTTATTCCTTGAAAGTGGACCGCTAAATGCAGCCCATGCTTAAGGTGGTGGCATGGGGCATGGTGGTGGAGGGTATTAAATTTCACCTCTTGGCTGTGGTATCTATGTAAACTATTTGGCATTCCTCTGTAAGGAAGATTTGTCTCTTCTCTCCCCACCTTACCCCACCTCTTATTAATTTATTGATTTGCTCCTTTGTTTATATCAGTATGGACCCACTAATATCTTATACTTTGAGTTTTAATACAATACTATGTTATTTATTTTGTTGCTCAGATTGGGAGTTCTTTCAGGCTACCTTCTATGTCCCTTAATGTACCCCCATATTTTTATATTTTCAGCAATTACTTAATCCCTGTCCCAGTCCAAGAATCATCCATTTTCTTTTCCATGTAGCACTAAACACTGCGTTAATGGAGAATGGTATTTAGAAACCAAGATCTGGTTGCTGGGAGTACTTGGTTCTACTGAGGTGTCACTGCTTCTGTTAGATTGGTGCAAAAGTAATTGTGGTTTTGCTATTTTAATAGTTCTCTTCAATGGATAGCGCAAAGTAATTTATGTTATGCCAACCTATGTATACACACTATGTATATACTTTTAGTTTTTTATATCTTTTAAATGGTTTGACTGTTTATATTTCTGATAATATGCTTTGTTCTGAGATTGATTTGCTTAATATTAAGATAGCCATACCCACTTGAAGCACTTACTTTAATATTTAATATAGTACCCATAGTATTATAGACCTCTGCCAGCAACAGTTTCTCTGTGTTCGTTCACCTAAGGATGTGTTTATTCCATCTTTATTTTCAAAGGCTATCTTCACCAGATCAAGATTCTGTTAATTTTTTTCTTCAGCACTTTAAACATGTCATTTTATTGTCTACTGATTTCATTGTTTCTGATGTTAGTTGTATTCAAATTGTTTTTTCCCTAAATATAATGTGTCTAATTTTTCTTGCTGTTCTTAATGTTTTCCCTTTATTACTTGCACAGAGTTGACTAAGTATGAGGCTTTTTCTATGTGTGTGTGCATGTGCATTAGTTTTTATATTTCTTGTTGTTTATTGATCTTCTTGGACCTCTAGTTTGAAATCTTTTATCAGTTTTGGAAAACTTTTGGCCAGTATCTCCTCAAATATTTTTTTCTACTTTATCTTTTGTTCTTTTCCTTCTGGGAATCCAATTATACTTTTATCATACTCCTAGATATTAATGAAGGGGCTCCTGATCCTTTTTTCTGCACTTCAATAGTTTGGACTTACTAATGCTTTCTTCTGGTTTGTTTAGTCTACTTTTTTTTTTTTAATTATTTTTATTTTTTATTGATCATTCTTGGGTGTTTCTCGCAGAGGGGGATTTGGCAGAACATCCAGTAAGTTCCTTATTTCAGATATTACGTTTTTCAGTACTAGAGTTTCTATTTGGTTCATTTTTGAGTTTTTATTTCTCTGCTGAAATGGTCTACCTTTTCCCTCTTGTTTGATCCAGTCTTTTCTCTACATTCTTTACACATTTACAGTAGTTATTTAAGTTTTTGTCAGCTAATTTGAATATCTAGGTTACTTATGGGTCTGACTCTATTGCTGTTTGTTCTCCTGATTATGAGTCACATTCTTCTGCTTTTTCCCATGTCTCATAATTTTTGATTGTTTGCTCTTCCAACAGGGTATTGTGATCTGAACACTATATCTCCCTGTATTTTCTGGTACCATCTCGATCTTCCTACATAGTGCTTACTCAATTATAAACCTGTGGGTAGAGTTGGGAAGTGAGGTGGTAATTGGAAGGTGAGAATAAGTGGCTTTGTGTTTGGGACTCATCTAGATTCCAGTCCCCTACACTAGCCTAAGTGTCAGTATTAAAAATTTGTTGTCTCTTGGTTACAATAATGTTCCTCATCCATGGTAGATTTATTTCTTTTTCTGCTTGTGACCTAGATTTGATATCTGTCCCTAGTGATAAAAATGGTTGCCAGTCTCTGCTAACATAGGGAGGGCTCATCTCTTTGTGATACTTTGTTCTTTATTTTTCCCCATCCACATCTCTTCTGCTTTTTTAAATAATTTTTTTTCACTTTTTGGTATTATTTTTATTGAGGAAATAGTTTTGTAGCCATCTACAGCATAACTGGTGTTGAAACTCCTTTTTTTAACATTTAGTTTTAAGAAATTTCTTTCAGCTTTGACGTGAGTTGCTGAAACACTAACATGAATGGAAAGTAGCCCTAAATTTTATAGCTGCTGACTGTGTGTAAACAATAAAAGAAATTGTAAAGAATCTTTGGTTTAATAATGATTGTGTGCATATTTGACTATTTTGGGGAGGAGATGTGAAGTTGAGTTTTAGCAGGAAGAATTAGGCTACTGATGATCATTAAAACTGAGAAATAAATGGTCTTTAGCTTATAAACTACTCTTAATGGTCTGTGAGATAAAGGACTTTTCACCACTTAGAAAAAGGCTATTCTAGAAATTAACTGTTTTTAGTATCTGGAAATCTTGCTGAACTTTTATTGTTTGTTCCTTATTTTCTGCTTTTGAAACTTGCCTCTGTTTACTGTATTCCTTTGTGATAGTAGAGTACTATATGAACTTCTTACGGCTTTTCCAAATTCCTTAAAGCTTTGGGCTTTTGTGTACCAAATATTAATGCTCCATTCTCATATGCATAAATTTCAAGAGTTCAGGGAAGGAATTGTTAGAATCTTGTATGTTGTGTTCTGTTTTTATTTATTAGCAGTGTCTATTCAGGTCTAAATAGCATCATTTAGTTCCTTTAAACTTGTTATTTTGATTATTGCCTTCTTTCATATTTGCTGAATTTATGTAAAACAATCCTACCTTCAAATAATATCCCATTTGTTTTTTGTCCTTTCTGATAATTTCTTTAATGTCATTTGTTTACTGTGAATTGGAATTCTTTTCCTTTCCATTGAGCATCAGTTTCATACTTACTCCTTTCATTTTGTCACTTAAATGATTATGAAAATTTCAGTACTACGCCTCTGACCACCCACTTGAAAACCCTACTGAAGTCATATCTGTTTAACTGACCCAATATGTTTTACAGAATATTAGAAAATTTCTTTGTTTGTAAAGTTTGCTTAACTTACAAGAATTATAATATTATTAATTGTTCAATTACCATGTAAACCCCATTAAAAAGGAAGGCTGATTTTTTTCTGTGTATAGATCAGTGAATGACTGACTCTACTCTGGACTATGCCCTGGACTCTAAGATATAAAATATTCACCTAAAGACTTGGACTAAGTATTATACAGCATTTGTAAAAAATTTATTTTTTGAGAGAGAGATTTTCCAAAACTTAGATGATTTAAAAAAATTGAGTAGGTATTTTAGTCCATTTTCTACTGATTTAGCAGAATACCACAGACTGTATAATGTATAAAGAAAAGAGGTTTATTTGGCTCACAGTTCTAGAGTCTGGGACATCCAAAAGCATGGCGCTGGCATCTGGGTCATTCCATGGGCAGAAGGGTGGAAGGCAGAAGAGAGTGCACGAGATAGAGAGAAGAAATCAGGCTGAGCTAATCCTTTATGTCAGGAACTTATTCTCTTGTAAGTGATGAGAGAAAGACTTTGTTAATAATCTGGAGAAATAGCTTGAGATTTAGAATTGGAGTTAGTTCAAATCTAACCTTATTTGGGGAGCTTAAAAAAATTGTCTTTGTTTTCCTTTTCTTTTCTTCTGTGTTCTCCACCCATCCTATTCCATAATCTTAATTAATACTGTTCTGAGAATGGCAATATGTTTAAAATATCATGAGTTTAATAAGGAGAAAATGATTCCCCTGAAATAAATTTGTTTTGTCATGTTGTATTGCATTAGTCATGAGGGTGATTTTTGGAAAGTTTGGTAGATCAAATCTTGATAACATTAGGTTCAAAGAAAGTTGGCTGGGCATGGTGGCTCATGCCTGTAATCCCAGCACTTTGGGAGGCCGAGGTGGGTAGATCACTTGAGGTCGGGAGTTCAAGACCAGCCTGGTCAACACGGTGAAACCCTGTCCCTACTAAAAATACAAAAATTAGCAGAGCATGGTGGGCTACTCGAGAGGCTGAAGCAGGAAAACCTCTTGAACCTGGGAGGTGGAGGTTGCAGTGAACCGAGAGTGGGCCACTGCACTCCAGTCTGGGAGACAAAACAAGACCCTGTCTAAAAAAAAAAAAGAAAGAAAGAAAGTGAATATACTGCATTTATATTTCTGGAAAGTGATTATCTTCTAAACTTTATTTATTTGTAGAGAAAGGGTCTTACTGTTTTGCTTAGGCTGGTCTCCAACTCCTGTCCTCAAGTGATTCTTCTGCCTTAGACTAAATTTTGTATAGAACCATCACTAATATCTGGATTTTTTTCAAGTAGAGATGGATGGAAGTTTGTACTAATATAAATGAAGAGTATAATTTTTAATGTTTACTGTTTACTTCATAGGCCTGTTTAATATTGTATGTGTGTGTGTACTTGTTAACTTATGGCATATGTATATATATATATGCAGTGGTGGTATATAAAAATCCGTTTATCTTAACAGTACATTGAATATAAATAAGCTGGGTAAATGACGATTTGGGCCCTTGAAAGACTTCATTTAAAGAATTGAAAGAATGTGGAAAATTTTGTTTGAAATTTATGTAGATTAGAAATGAGACTAATTCCTATTGGCCTATGTAGAAAATAAATTATGTTAGTGCATAATAACTAAGTCTCTGAGAAATCTGTATTTAGTTCTGTCTCTCTGATTCATTCCACTGATGGCCTGTAGAGGGCATTACATGTATAGTAAATATAGCTTTGTATTTTTGGTTTTTATCTAAAGTCATTTAGTCATTTTATCTAAAGTCATATAAAGTAAATAGGTACTGAGTTATTCACATATTATATGATATGTCACACATATCGAGAGTGTTATCTTTATGATACTAGATTGAGGTAAAGGTGGTTATGAGACTATACAATTAATTCAGTTACAAAGAAGGTTTGTTTTAGTTACATTTTCTTTACGTGTCTTTTCATATTTTCTGAGGATTAAATGGAGAAAATAGGCTTATAGGGATTTCAAGAAGAAATAAATAAACCTTCCTGAAAGTTGTTTGCCTGGAATGGATTAGTTAATGACGCAGTCCTTAGTATATACATGTGCTAGTGTTATTTTTCCTGGAATGCCACTGGGGTGATTCTTCCTACCAAACAAACAGAAAAAGAATAAAGGTTTCTTCTTATTACAATGATTTTGTGAACTTAAAATGCAAAGATAATAATTTGGTTACTTTTATGTTTGAGACAAGTTAATATGATATAGTGATAACTAGTATAAACTTATAAAATGCTTTTCCTCTGGGCTGAGAGGACAATTATATAATCAAGATGAGACTGGGAAGAGATTATTAGCTGGGACTTGGGGTTGTGAAGCCCTCCCCATGGTAAACTGTTTAAGTGACATACGTTCTCATCCTGGGACTTTAGTATTCCACTCTGTAAGTTGGAGATTCTTTTTCTTTTTTTTTTCCTTTTTTTTTTTTGGGAGACAGAGTCTTGCTCTGTCGCCTAGGCTGGAGTGCAGTGGTGCCATCTCGGCTCACTGCAACCTCTACCTCCCAGGTTCAAGCAATTCTTCTGCCTCAGCCCTCCCGAGTAGCTGGGATTACAAGCACCCGCCATCACACCCTGCTAATTTTTGTATTTTTAGTAGAGACAGGGTTTCACCATCTTGGCCAGGCTGATCTTGAACTCCCGACCTCATAATCCACCCTCCCAAAGTGCTGGGATTACAGGCGTGAGCCACTGTGCCTGGCCAAGTTGGAGATTCTTAATTGTAATCTTTATAGGCTGTGTTTTGCTTTCAGATTTTATGGGATTCCTAAGTGATAGGAGATGCTTTTATTTTTACACACATGTACCATTGAATTATTACATAATAGGCTATTACTACTTTAAATGTTGTTTAATTGTCAGTAATGGGGAAGAAATAATTTGTGTAAAAGCTGGTCTTCACAGAAGACTTTATTAACTAGGAAGTGTTTTTCTCTCCCCCAAGAATGTTGTAATAATTTCTCTAACTCTATCATAGTATGGACCAGACTCAGAAATAAATTATTTTAATATAAGCTGGTTTGGATGTGATCAGTAATAGAAGTACAGTTATGTACATGAGTTATGCACATGGGGTACACCCAGTCTCATTGGTTTGCCTTCAAATCTTGTTTCTATCACTCTCTGGGATTTATAACTTGTAATCACTTAAAGCACTTCTTTAAACTTTAGTTTCCTCTTCTATAAAGTGGAAATAATGAAAGTATCTATGTTGTAGAGTTTTTGAATTTAAATAAAATAATCCAGATTTTCTGCTTACTATAGTGCCTGGTGCATAAAGAACACTCACAAACGTTATTATTGAATTCTTTTTTGTTTTCTTTTTAAGAATCAAAAGGATGGTAGGAATTTTCTCATTTTAAGGGTAAAGTAAAAATTTCAAAGTTATCTTTGACGAATCTGAAACCAGAGTTTACTCACAGGGTTTTTTTATTTAAGTGGGTTTAAGATTGTGAATAATGCTAGCTCTCAGGGGGAAGTCTCTAGGCATGTATGAGATTTATTTCAGTAACACCGACTTTGGGTTTTGTATTATACTTCTTCCTAAGTTTGTTAGAGTCACTAAATTGTTAAGGGAATCTAGAAGATCAGTGTGACAGAAACTTCCGTCAGTGTCAAATGACCAGGGACTAATAAATCTAAGATGATTTTTTTTTTCTGGCACAGTTAATAATCATTTAGAAATGATCTTTATGGAACATATAAATGAAAAAACATTCTAGCATATCAGGATTCCAGTTCTGATATTAAGGGGGAATAAAAGAGCCATAAGGGAAAAGTGTAGTGGGTGGGGGAAGTCCTTGAAAAGTTGTTAACTTGGGTAAGGGAAATACCAGTATCTCTGTGGTCTTTCAGGAACAAAAAACATCTTTTGCAGAGGGCCTAGTGTTTGAGCCAAGATATAAAGTGCCCTTCATGGCTGACTGGCTCAACCTCCAGTTTTCCTAGGGAGAAGTAGTCAGCATTGCTTCAGTATTGACAGTGGGCCGCAAAGCACTTACCAGTGGGAAGCAAGGAAATGATGGCTGAAGCAAGGAATGAATGCTGTTATTTCTTACCAGCAGATAGGTACACACCACTTGCTGGAATGATTCAGCAATTTAAAGTTAAGAGCTTTGAGACTTCATGAGTTACACACGGGGAGCATAGGAACCAGGAGGGTCAGCTCTGTTGGAATACTTCTGGGATTGCTCTGTTCCCTCCTGCTTTGAATCACAAGCTGATGTGCAGTTGTAGGCTTTTTCTTCTTTTTCTCCTCACTCCTAATCTTATCCCCAAGGATCCTTGACTATTTATAATAGAGTATTCTAGACAGCAGCAGGTAAAAATTCTCAGGTGCTGGGGGGCCAGGGGAGGGGAAGGGAGGGTAAAGAAGGTGTTTCATCTATCCCTTCAGTGTTTACGGTACTTCCATCTTTTAAAAGTGACATTATTCTATTCCACCTTGTCTCCCTGGAAAAAAGCAGGCCTCTTGTCTGGATCTTTTCGTTTTAATGATTTCCATGAAAAGGCTTTTACCCAGGCTCTGACATGACTGTCAGAACACACATTTAAATGTGAAACTGCTTAAAAGGCCATTGATATTCCCTGGTGGTAAAGAAAGTGCTCTTAAAAAAAAAAACAACCAAAAAAAAAAAAAAACCATCTGTCCGTACACAAGTTAACCCTGACTATTTTCTTTCCCTCCCACCCACTCCTCTTCTACCTAGTGTTGCTTCTCATCCTCCTCTTATTTTTTATGGGGGAGAGAGGGGCTGATGACTCAGGTTAAAGCCAGGCCCTTGTTCCAACAAAATTTGTGTGTCACCATCTCCTAGAAGCTGTCATTTTTAGACATTGATGGCTGTGATTAATTTCATTCAGATCCAAGTATACTGAGTGGGGAGGAGGAATGCTTAATTTTGATCTAAGGCTGATGTTCGATCTCAACAGACTGCTCGTTTTGAATTTGGGGCTCATCTTTCTTTATGTGTCTTGGATATGTTAGCAGAAGTCAATAACCTGTGTGACAGAATGATGCTATTAATATATACAACAGGAATTGTATGTATGTAGTATTTATAATCAAAAGCATATTTTGACATGAACTCACAAATTGTTAGTAGGAATTAAAATTTATATCAGATTGCTGTTCTATATAAGCCATCTATTATAGCAGATGGATTCTAAAGTAACAGTCAGATATTTGAAAGATTTTAATTAATTGATAGGCATGTGAATATGGAGCTGTCAACTTGGTTGGTCTATTCTATTGGTGAGAGAATATTATGTCTTAACCATTAATCACTATGTTCATTATTCTGTCTCTTTCTCACGTGGAGTATGTTGGTTTTAATGAAGAAGGAAGAGACTTAAGCATAAAATCCATAACAAGAAAAACATTATGGCTACTGAGAATTATATTCATTCATGGAAACAGTAATATAATTATCCTGATTTTATCTACTATAATCATGCACTTAAGCTGACCAAGACATTCATGGCTACTTATAAATTCTTATGATCATCTCTTAAGTCTTGCTTTCTTTTTCTGAGGTGACTATTTCAAACTTCTCATGTTGCTCAATCCTCCAAATTTACCTGAACCTACATTTCAGCAGATGATCTTTTACTGAGAAAAGGGAAATAATTAGGTAGAGGTTTATAAGAGACCTAGACCACTTAGAAGAACATTCTCTCTCATTCATTCCTCCTCCTTTCTCCCACCAATCCCCTGGCAACTAATGATCTTTCAATTGCCTCTGTAGTTTTGCTTATTTCAGAATGTCACATAATTGGAATCATACAGTATCTAGCCTTCAAACTGGCTCCTTTCACTTAGCAGTATGCATTTTTAGTGTTCCTCTCTGCTTTTTCATGGTGTATATCATTTTATTTCCAAATAATATTCCATTGTATGAATATACCACAGTTTATTTATCCATTTGCTTACCAAAAGACATCTTTGGTGCTTCTAAGGTTTGGCCATTATGAATACAGCTGCTATAAACATTTGTTTGCAGGTTTTTTTGTGGACATAAATTTTCAACTTATTTGTGTAAATAACTAGGAACATGATTGGTGGATCATATGGTAAGATGGATCCATTGGTTGATCATTTAGTTTTGTTCTTTGAAACTGCCAAAGTGTCTGTACTATTTTGCATTCCCACCAGCAATGAATGAGGTTCCTGTTGCTCCACACCCTCATCAGCATTTGTTATTGTTGCTTTTAAAAATTTTAGCCATACAGGCTGGGCGCGGTGGCTCACACATATAATCCCAGCACTTTGGGAGGCCAAGGCAGGTGGATCACGAGGTCAGGAGATTGAGACCATCCTGGCTAACACATGGTGAAACCCCGTCTCTACTAAAAGTACAAAAAAATTAGCTGGGCATGGTGGTGGGTGCCTGTAGTCCCAGCTACTTGGGAGGCTGAGGCAGGAGAATGGTGTGAACCCGGGAGGTGGAGCTTGCAGTGAGCTGAGATCACGCCACTGCACTCCAGCCTGGGTGACAGAGTGAGTCTCCGTCTCAGGAAAAAAAGAAAAAAAGATATACACACACACACACACACACACACACACACACACACACACACACACACACACATACACACACACATATATATATATGTAGCCATACAAGTCTATAATGGTGTCTACTTGTTATTTTAATTAGAAATCTTCTCATAACAGATGACGTTAAACATCTTTATATGTGATTATTTGCTATCTGTATATCTTTGATGAGGTATTCGTTGAATCCTTTCCCTTTTTTTTTAAATAGGGTTGTTCATTTTCTTACTGTGTTCTAACCCAGTTTGTGATTGTGTTTCTTTTTCTTAACATTGTTTTTACAGAGATGTTTTAAATTGTAATGAATTCCAGTTTATTACTTTTTCCTTTCATAGGTCATGCTTTTGGTGTTGTATCTAAAAGTTGTAACTGAACCCAAGGTTACCTAGATTTTCTCTTGTTATTGTCCAGAAGTTTTATATTTTTGTGTTTTACATTTAGGTCTATGGTCTAAGTCAAGTTTTTTGAACCATGTTAGGGTCTGTGTCTACATTCATTTTATTGCATGAGGCTTTCCGGCTGTTCCATCATCTATTTGTTGAAATGACTCTCCTTTCCATTGGATTTTCTTCATTTTCTAGTCAAAGATCAGTTGACTCTGTTTGTGTGGGTCCATTTCTAGACTCAGTATTCTGTTCTTTTGATTTATTTTTCTGTTCTTTTGCCAATATCACACAATCTTAGTTATTGTAGTTTTTTTTTTTTTTTTTTTTTTTTGAGATAAGGTCTCACTCCATTGCCCAGGCTGGAGTGCAGTGGCACAATCTTGGCTCAGTGCAACCTATGCCTCCCAGGCTCAAGGGAAACGCCCACCTCATCCTCCCCAGTAGCTGGGACTAACAGGTGTATGCCACCACACTGGGCTAATTTTTGTATTTTTTGTAGAGACAGGGTCTCACTATATTGCCCAAGTTGGTCTCGAACTCCTGGGCTCAAGCAGTCTGCCTGCCTCGGCCTCCCAAAGTGCTGGGATTACTCGTGTGAGCCACTGTGCCTGGCCAGTTTTACCTTTTATAGTAAGTCTTAAAGTTGGACACTGTCCTCTGATCTTCTTCCTCTTCGTTAGTATTATGTTGGCTATTCTGTGTCTTTTGCCTTTCCATACAAACTTTAGAATCAGTTTGTCAATAGTCACAAAATAACTTACTAGAATTTTCTATTGGAATTGTGTTGAATCTTTAGATCATTTGGGAGAAATTGATATTCTAATATTGAGTTTTCTTATTAATGAACATGGAATACCTCTTCATTTATTTCTGTTTTTTTTTTGGTCTTTTTAATAACAGTTTTGTAGTTTTCCTCGTATAGGTTTTGTACAAATTTTTTAGATTTATACGTAATTGTTTCTTTGGGGTGCTAATGTAAATGGCACTGGGTTTTGAATTTCAAGTTCCAGTTGTTCATTGCTAGAATTTAGTAAAGCAACTGACTTTTGTATATTCACCTCTATCCTGCAGCCTTGCTATAATCACTTAGTTTTAGGAGGGCTTTTTTTTTTCCCCTTGTGATTCATTGGAATTTTCTAAAATAGACAATCATGTGGTTGGCAAACAAAGACAGTTATATTCCCAATTTATGTACATTTTGTTTCCTTTTCTTGCTTTATTGCATTAGCTAGGACATCCAATATGATGTTGGATAGTAGTGGTGAGAAGTGACATCCTTGTATTGTTCCTGATCTTAGGAGGAAAGCATCTAGTTTCTCACTGTCAAATATGATGTGATATAGGTTTTTTATGGATGTTCTTCATCAAGTTTCAGAAATTTCCTTCTATTAGCAGTTTGCTGAGAGTTATTATGATGAATGGTGTTGGTTTTTGTCAAATGCTTATTTTTTGTTTTTTGATATGATCTTTTTTGTCTTTTTTAACCTATGGATGTGATGGATTATATTAATTGATTTCTTAATGTCAAACCAGCCTTACACACCTATAACAAGCCTTACTTGTTGTGATGTTTAATTCTTTTTATACATTGTTGGATTTGCATTACTATATTTTGTTGAGGGTGTTTACATCAGTGTTCATTAGAGATATTGACCTGTACTTTTCCTTTCTTGTAAGTTTTTAAATCTGGCTTTGATACTATGGACTATGGTAATGCTGATTTAATAGAATGAGTTAGGAAGCATCTTTCTGCTTCTATTTTTTGGAAGAGATTGTAGAGAATTCAATAATTTCTTTCATAAATGGTAGAGTTCACCAGCTAACCTATTTGGATTTGCTGCTTTCTGTCTTGAAAGGTTATTAATTATTAATTCAATTTGTTTAACAGATATGGGATACAGATATATTTAAATTACATATTTTTCAGTAAACTAATTTTGGTAGATTGTCTTTCAAGGAATTGCTCTGTTTCATCAAAGTTATCAAATTCATGAGTATAGATTTGTTCATAATATTCTTTTGTTATCCTTTTAATGTCCATGGGATTAGTAGTGATAGTCTCACTTATGTTTGTGCTATTTGTAATATATGGCTTCTGTTTATCTCCCTTTTTGCAGTTAGCCTGGCTAGACATTTATCAACTTTACCAGTCTTTTCAAAGAACCAGCTTTTCATTTCATTGTCTCTGTTGTTCTCTTATTTTCAATTTCATCGTTTCCTACTCCAATGTTAATTATTCTTTTCTTTTGCTTGCTTAGGTTTATATTGCTACACTTTCTCTTGTTTCCTTAGGTGGAATTTAGATCTTTCTTCTTTACTGGTTTATGCATTCAATGCTATAAATTCCCCTGTAAGCACTGTTTCTGCTCTATACCACAAATTTTTATTAGTTGTTTTTTAGGTTTTATTTAGTTTACATTTTTAAAAAGTTTCTCTTGAGACTTCTTTGGCTCATGTATTATTTAGAAGTATGTTGTTTAATCTCAAAATATTTTGGAATTTTCTGTTATTGATTTCTTGTTCCATTCTGTTGTGGTCTGAGTGGGTACTTCTTTTGATTTCTATTCTTTAAAATTTTTTGAGTGTGTTTTATGGCCATCAGTGTGCTATGCCTTGGTGAATTTTCCATGTAAGCTTGAGAGAAGTGTGTATTCTGCTGTTATTGAATGAAGTATTCTACAAATGTCAAGTAGATCCAGTTGTTCAGTTTAGCTATTACTGCTTTTCTGCCTGCTGGATCTTTCAATTATTGATAGATGTGTGTTGAATTCTCCCATTATAATAATAATAATAATTTTGTTGTTTTCTCTTGAAGTTCTGTCAGTTTTTGCCTTATGCATATTGGTGCTCTGTTGTTAGGTGCATACCCACTAAGGACTGTTGTGTCTTCTTGGAGAATTGACTCCTTTATCATTATGTAATACCTCTCTATATCCCTGATAATTTTATTTGTTCTGAAATGTGCTTTGTCTGAAAATGATATAGTGACTCCAGCTTTCTTTTTGTTACTGTTCGTGTGGTATATGTTTCCCCATCTCTTTATTTTTAATCTATCTGTGGTTTTATACTTAAAGTGGGTTTCTTATAGGCAACATATAGCTGAGTCTTTCTTTTTATCCACTCTTTCCATCTCTTTTAGTTACTATATTTGGACAATTCACATTTAAGGTGATTATTGATTTAGTTGGATTAATAGCTACTATATTTATTACTTTTATATTCTTATTATACTTGTCCTTTGTTCCTTTAAAAAAATCTTTTTTTCCTGCCTTTTATGGTTTTTAATTGAGTATTTTATAGAATTCCATTTTCCCTCTCAGCATATAATTATACTTTCTTTAAAAATTTTTACCAGTTGTTCTTGGGTTTGCAATATCCATTTATAATTAATCTAAGTCCACTTTCAAATAACAGTGTAATGCTTCATAGTAGGGCAGATACATTGTAACAGAGTATTCCCAGTTCCTCCCTCTAGTTCCTTATAACATTGCTGTCATTAATTTCCTTTATCCATAAACTATAATAACCTAATCCATTATTGGTATTATTTTTAAGAATTAAAAATTTTAAATTGAGGTAAGATTTACATAATATAAAATTAACCATTTTTAAGTGAACAATTTAGTGGCATTTAGTATATTCAGTTTTGTATATCTATCTCTATTTACTCCTAAAACATTTCCATTATCCCAGAAAGAAACCTTAAGGGTATTGGATATAGGGTTTCTTTTTGGGATAATGGAAATGTTTTAGGAGTAAATAGAGATAGCTGTACAATAATTATTCCCCATTCCACCCTCTCTGATAGACATGATGCATTAGATATTAAGATCTGAGATAAATAGGATTTTAATATGAGTATTTATGTTTATCTAGGTAGGAGTTAGTCTGTATTTAATGTTTACTGTAATTTTTGGTGTCAGAGCCTTCAATTTCCTCTTGTGTCCTTGTTTTTCTCTCCCTTGTCTTTAGCTTTCCCTAGTAGCTCCTTTTTAAACAGTGTTTTATAGCTCTTTCTGTTGTAATTCACTGTTATTAATGTGGTGGTAAGGTTTTTGGGGTTGGAGGTAGGAAGCTTTCTGTAGCCTTATGATTAAATCTCTCTCTCTTTGTTAAAAAATATTGAACCAACATTCCTGGACTGTGACCTTCAGAGTTTCTTGACCTTTCTTTTTCTTCTTTTTTCTTCCTTTATGTTTTTCTTCCTTTATGTAAGAAAGGAAGACTAGAGGGAGCATATTTCAAAATGGTTACGTTTCTCCTTTCTCTGCTGGAAGCAGGAGGGGATTTTTTTGGATGTTCTCCATGAGAACCTTGGAAAGCTCCTAAAGGTAAAACTCAGGAGCCCCCCTAAGACTGGGCCTCTTAAAGAGTTTTAACTTTTAACACTGTTCCAGTAATTATGTATCATTTAAGTTTTCCTACCTGTTACTGGGTAGGCACCAGGGGATTCTGCTCATGATAGTTGTGATTTCTCTGTATTCACCTGTCTCTCTAATTTTCTGGGAAGCATCTTGTCTTGGGACCTCAATTCTCTGATGGATCTGAGAAGAGTTTTCTAGTTTTTCATCTTTTTTCTTGTTGTGAATATGGGAGTCACAGCTTCTAAGCTTTTCACACTTTGGAGCTGAAACCAGAAGTCTGTTCCACCTTGGCTTTTTATACTATTTTTAGAACTCATTCTTCCTGGGCTGTCTCACCAGACCTCTTGTCTTTTGACATCTATTATTACTGAGGAGAAGCCAGAGGCCTTCCTTTTCTTTTTTCCACCACTTGTGGTGCGGTATGCTTCTTTTGACTTGGTGATAAGATTTTTAGACTTCAAGTTCAGGAATCTTTCTAGGCTATATTTTGGTATTGATTATTTCTTTTGGAACATGGTAGTCTTATTTGTGCAAATTGAGAACTTGAAACATTTTTTAGCCTTCAGCATTTTTATATTCTGCTTGTTCTTTTCTCTTAATCTGAAAGTAATTACAGTATGTTGGCATTCCATTGTCAGTCTTCCATATTTATCATCATTTCTCTAATTTCTTTCATATTTTTGTCTGTCTTCTTATTGTGTATCTATGTCTTTTAAAAAAATTTGTGTCACTTCTCTCCTTTATGACCCTAATTTGGTATTGCTTCTGGCTTCTAATGGGTTTTCAGTTCTGTATTGCTTTTAAGTTTTTTCTGTTTCTTCCATTAACTCTCATCACTCTTTAAAAGAATATTCTTCTGACATATTACTTTATAAAAGCATGTTGTGTCTCTTCTTTGATAACTTTTTCTGTAGTATTCATATTTTCTTAACTTCTTGATATTATAGAAAAGTTTTTGTTTTTTCTTTTACTACACAAAATTATTTTTTCAAAATTTTTTATTTTAATACAATTATTTTTATTTTTAAAATTATATTATTAGCCTATCTTTACATATCTTTCCTTTTTGTTCATTTTCTTCTCCATGCTTATTAATTGTCATATATATATATAGATATATATATCTATATATCTATATATATATATTTGAGACAGAATCTTGCTCTGTTGCCCAGGCTGGAGTGTAGTGGCACCATCTCGGCTCACTGCAATCTCTGCCTCCTGAGTTCAAGTGATTCTCCTGCCTCAGCCTCCCAAGTTGCTGGGATTACAAGCATTTGCCACCACGCCTGGCTAATTTTTGTGTATTTTTAGTAGAGATGAGGTTTCACCATGTTGGTCAGGTTGGTCTTGAACTCCTGACCTCAAGTGATCTGCCCACCTCTGCCTCCCAAAGTGCTGGGATTACAGGCATGAGCCACTGCGTCCGGCGTCACCATGCTTATTAATTGTCTTTGAATGGGAATGTTAATTTCTAGATGTGTATTTTCTAAAGACTATATTGTGCATAGATTTTCTTTGGTATCTTTTTTTCTTTAATTATATACTATTTGAATCATCCTTTTGAAAATGAGCTAGAGAGCTGGAAAACTTTGGTTTTAAATTTTTGTGTAGAAATCCATTTATTTTAACCATTTGTTACTGTTTCTAAATGCCAGGTTTTGTTGCAAATATTTAGGTACATTAGTCAACCAAACAAATGGAAATCTTTTTTCTCATAGAAAATACATTATAGTGGTCATTTAGCTTCTTGTTATGATCAGGGTAATGAATAAGTTGGCAGTAATAGGAAGACAGCAGAAACAAGTTGGGTTGTTTGTATCAAAACACTTTCTCCAAACATATATAATTGTCTTTCTTTGGAGGTACATCTTACTCAAAGTATGGAGGTGGCTGGGCAGCATCCATCATCTCCTGGGTGTTCAGGCATTTCCCTACTTAAATTTAGATAGGTCATTGTAAAGCACTGTGCTCATTTGCCTTTTTGTTTGCTAGGTTGACTCTAGTCTTTAGTATTAGGGTAGTATTGGCCTTGTAAAATGAGTTTGGATATATCCTGTTCTCCTCCATTTTCTGAAGTTGCTGTGTGGCATTGATATGTATTTCTTCCTTAAATGTTTAATACAGAGTGGTTGTGGTGGCTCATGCCTGTAATCCCAACATTTTGGGAAGCCAGGGTGGGAAGATTGCTTGAGGCTAAGAGTTTGAGAGCAGCCCGGGCAACATAGTAACACCCTGTCTCTGTAAAAAATTTAAAAAAATTAGCCAGGCGTGCGTGCATGCCCCTGTGGTCCCAACTATTTGGGAAGCTGAGTTTGGAGGATCAGTTGAGACCAGGAGGTCAAGGCTGCAATGAGCTGTGTTCATGTCACTGCACTCCAGCCTGGACAACGCAGTAAAAGCCTGTCTTAACAACAGCAACAACAACAATAACAACAACCAGAATGTTTGATAGAATTTACTAGGGAACGAACAGTCCCTGTGTTTTACTTGTTGGAAGGTTTTTATCTACATGTTCCATTTCTTTAATATATACAAGGCTATTCAGTTTATCATTTTCTTTTTGAGTTAGCTTTAGTAGTTTACATCCTGGTTTCAACTAAGTTGTTGAATATATAGGCATAAAGTTGTTTGTAATATTCTATTTTTATCCATTGAATGTTGGGTTTGTAGTGCTGTTTTGCCTTTGATTCCTTAAAGTCTGTATCTAATAATTACAAATTTGAGGGCTCTGTTATATCTCCTTCCTCTTTTTTTTTTTTTTTAAGATCCCTATTGGTTTTTGTTCATCTTGTCTTATCTCCTTTGAGCTTGGTTACTTTTGATTGCATCCCCGGCATTTGAAGGGAAAAAATTGTTTTTCTATTCTGCTAACACTTCTGACAGCAAATGGTTTTCTACAAAAAGCAATTCTATAATTCGCTCTGAACATCAACTGAATGTCCTCCAATTTAACGCAATTGTGATACTATCTAACAAGGTATAGCAGACCCCAAAGGTTAAGGACTCAGTCCTACAATACTGCTGATAACAATCCCAAGAAGTAAGTCCCCTGTTTACCCATCCTTCTGTTTAGCTTGGCTACAAATTGGGGGTTCTGATGACTCCCTCCTCAGGTTTTATTATGTGCTGTAATGGTTTACAGAACTCAGAGAAATACTTTACTTACTAATAAACATAGTTTATTAGAAAGCGTACAACTTAAGAATAGCCAAATGGAAGATATGCATAGGACAAGGTATGGAGGAAGGGCATGGAGATTCCATGGCCTCTTCAAGCGTGCTACCCTTTCAGCATCTTGATGTGTTCCCCATCTTGGAAGCTCTCCAACCCTGTTGTTTACGGTTTTTTTGGAGGTTCCATTGCATATACATGATTAATTAAATCATTGGCCACTGATGATTGAACTAATTTCCACCTCTTCTTTTCTTCTTTGATGTCAAGGGGTGGGGCTGAAAATTTGAACCCTTTAATCCTGTGGTTGATTCCTCTAGTAACCAGCCCCTATCTGCGAAGAGTCATGTTATTAGCACAAACTCAGGTATGGTTGAAAGGGGCTTATGAATAAAAAGGACACTCCTCTTACACTCAGAAATTCCAAGGGTGTTCAGGTGCTCTGTGCCAGAAACCAGGGACAAAACCAAATATTATAACTAAAGATGCTCGCATCACCTCTGTCACTTAGGAAGTTACAAGGGTTTTAGAAGCTCTGTGCTGGGCAGTGGGGATGAAGACCAAATATATATTTCTTATTATATCACAGCACCACAGCACTGTCGTGTCAAAATTGTTTGTAGAAACCACTGAAAGTCTGGGATGATGGTATCTTTTTTTGGAGAGGATTCACGTTTGCTTTGATCAGACACCAGTGGACAGTATTATTCTAGGATCCTGGGGGACACTAATACTTTGTAATTACCTTAATCCAGTTTCATGCTTAGTATGGGTTCCTGCAAGGGACAGTCAGTCTAATCCTGGTGTACCCTTGTCATAGAGTTCAAGTTTTCAGGGCTCCAACCCAAAGTGAGGGATATATCAAGGCCATTCCTACCTGTTGGAACTTGACTTTTGTGTCTATTTTCTAATCCTTTGGCATTGTCAAAAGTGCCACTTAGTCACTCTGTCACCCCTCCAATATTGGCAAATGCCCTCAAAGGAAGAATGGCTACAAATATTGGTCTCTCTTCCCCACTTTCCTTTCCTGGATGCTGGCCCAAAAGGTTTTTGCCATCTTTTTAGCTCTCTGATGCCTTTAAACAGTCGGCTTTTATACTTTGTTGTTCTTTTTCTTATCTAAATTATCTAGTTCACCATTGCCAGAAGTGGATATTCTTTACAATTATTTATATTCACATTTGTATTATAAAATTTTGATAATATTGTATATATAAATATCTTTTTTAAAACAACATAATATTAAGAACATTTCTCCATGTAACTATTCTTTCAATACATGGTTTTTAAAAATTAATTGAGCAATATTTCTTCATATTTATGTTGTATAAATTTCTTATTCTTTTTCGTGATATGATTCCCTATTAGCAGACATTTATATTTCCTCCTTTAGTTTGCCCTTTTTATTTGCTACATAATGATATTTCTAGATTCAAAATTATTTACAGACTCTCTGATTTACACATTAATGACTGTAAACTTGATTATTTTTACTGGACTAAATACCTGCTGTGATAACAAGGTTAAATTTCATTAGGAGGATGTATAGGAACCTTTAATATCTTGAGAAACACCTGGCTTTTAAGTTAAAACTGGAAACAGAAGTTTGTGTGAGTGTATAGTTTTATACCTAGCAATAAGAGAACACATGTCCATCTGATTTTAGGAAGATTTTAAAAGTTTCAAATGGGTCTCTAGCCTTGAGCCGTTTTGCTGTCATTTTTTGTTAACTTTGTACTCTTTTTCTTCTTATAGAAAGGCTGCTTTTGGTAATATTGTTTCTTAGGAATATGATGCCATTCAAAGGGTTATTATAAATGGTTTCTTAATATTGTGTGTCTCAGTCTCTTAAAAGGACTCATAAAATATCAGACAAAATGAGCAGTAACTATTCTGAACCTGAGGTAACAGTAGCTGTCTTTCAGCTTTGTAATAATCAGCTCCAGTGACAATCACAGAACAATTTAGTTTGCATTTATTTTTGAAACAAACATCACTAGCTTCATTGGTGGATAAAGATAAGACATTTAAAAATCACATATGTAGACAGATGGTCCAAATTAGAAGTTTTAATAACTTCATTTTGATTAACTCTGATAGCCTACTCCTCAATTTTTGTGACACATTTGTACTAGTCTTTTAATTTATTTTCATAAACTAGATCTTAATTTACAATGTTTGGTCTTTCATAGATTGGGTACATTGCAATTTTTGCTATTCTTTTTTCTATGGCACTTTTTACAGAACAGGTAATAGAGATGTTCTCTGTATTCTCTGACACACTTCTTAGCTCTCTACTATGGTTCATCAAAACTCAATTTTTGTAAGAAATTGGGATCAACTTTTTAATTCATTGTTATAAGCTAGATTATGGTTCTTTTGTTTGGTCTTTCATAGGTTGACTAAATGGCAATTATGCTATCCATTTTCCTATGACACTTCTTAAAGGAATAGGTAGTAGAGATATGATCTATCTCCCTGTAATGATACTGATCATACCTGTCTAGTGTGGTCCATAAAAATATACCTTCTATGTTAGCAGAAGTTATTGATAAAGAAACATTAGATTATGGAAGGAAGAAAGAAACTCATTTAAAAACTATCTGTTCTGTGCTAGTTACAGTGCTAGGCAGTTGTACGTAAAGTGAAGTGAATGATTTTAATTTTAAGCTTTTGAATCTTTAACAAAAACCCTCAATGTGGACAAAGCTAGGCTTTAGATCCTTAGTTTTTTGCCATTTTTTGTTGTTATATGTAGAATTTCTGGGGAATATGAATCAAGCATAGCATAGTAACATATTGTTTTCTTGTTAATATTTCTATTATGTATTGATTGGGTCTCTTGATAGCTTTTCTTAAAATACTCTTGGAGTGTGAACATAGATTTTCATTTTTATAACTTTTCTACTTATGTTTATAAACTACAATGTTATTCATATTATTTTTCTAGATTTGCTTTGTTACCAGTAGCTTATACTACTGGTATAATATGAATGGATCATAATCAAAATTTCTTTGTATGGAGTTTTTGTCTATGATAAGTTGTCTTATATGCGTTTGAATCACCCATCCTTCATCTCATTAGCAACTTATATAGCCAGTGACTTCTATCCACAACATTACCAAAATCCTAAGATTATGCCCAATTGTCAAGGTAATTTACAGGATAGGAGACGTTATGTCCTGGCTTTTCTAGTAAACCACACTAAAGGTACATGTTTCCTCTGCTAAAAATTGGCTTCCTTCATCATTCTCCCCTCTTTGGAGGGCAGCTTGGAGTACTGCCCTTCACTTTGATGTGGTCTTTGAATTTCTTCTTTTCATTGAACTTCTTACAGAAGCCTTTATTTGAAACAGAATGTTTAAATCCAAATGTGGCTTTCTAACACATCATTTTTTTTTTCCATTCAATGCCATGTCAACTAAGTTATATCAGATCTGTTATATCATTTTTTTTTGGTGCAAACATATGAGGAGAAAAAAAGAGAGTAAGTAGACATGGGGAGATAATTTTAGTGACCCACTGTGCACACTCACAACAACCTTTTAGATTCCCCTTAGTTTTGCTAGGTGAAAACTAATTTTCATGTAGACACTACCTCACAGCAGATCACTTGGAGCCAAATTACCAGATAGACCTGCATATCCCGTTCATTGCCAAAATTTAAAACATTACTCTTTTAACAAAAAATACTTTTTTTTTTCCTGGAATGTGTTCTTAATTTAAGTATTCTGAATACTCAGTACATACTACTGACTGTTTTGCATTTTGATAATGTTTCAGAAATTCAGAGCACTTCGTAATACTTTGTTGAAGATGGTAGAAGGAAATGAAATAAATTAATTTTTCCCTTTGAATTAGTTATTTCAACTCAAATATGCGTATTAATTATTAAAGAGTTACTAAGTTTGTGTCAACTGTCTTATCAGAAAGTGTTGTGGTTTTAAAAAATTTATCTCTTTTTTCATTTTTGAAGTAAGATAAATGTTATATTCTACTTTTTTTGCACTGAATTTATATTGTTTCAAGTGTCAAAATAATGAATATATAGAATTTAGGGCTAAATCTATTTTAAGAGGCTCAAATTTTTTTATTTTTTAAGTGAGTAAAATGACACAAGATTACACAAATAGTCGCATTTAGAACAAATTAGGTATCGTGACTCTTTTCTGGTGTTTTTTTCTTCTTGGCGTCACTGCCTTTTGTTTCTTCATAGTAATTCTTTTAATTTTTTACTTTCCTATGAAGAAATCTATCAAGTAAGTGCAATTAACCCATGTTGGTGTGAGTGCGTATATGTCTATGTAAAGGAAAAAGGTAATATTTAAAAAGAGCTGGGAATTACTCAAATTCACTAAAGAATTCTGTAAAAATTTCATTATTGCTTCACACAAATTGTAATGTCCTCTATGTGTCCATCATTAAAATGAGTTCTAATAGTACAAATACCTCCTCATCCACCAATGAAATAAATATTTAATTATAATCTGGAGTCAAACCTTTCAATTTTCAAAGGGCTAAGGATATCAATTATAATTAAAAAAATTAAAATTATTAATTGATTTTTTTTCCAGTGTGGTCAAGCTGTAATTGTACAGTTCAGTAGTGTTAAGTATATTCACAATGTTGTACAGCCAATCTCTAGAACTTTTTAATATTGCAAAATTGAAACTGTATACTCACTGAACATTAACGCCCCATATTCCCTTGCTCCCAGCCCTAGCAACCACCATTCTACTTTCTATTTCTATTAGTCTGACTACTTGAGATACCCCATATGAGTGGTTTCATACAGTTTTGTTTTTAATTTTTATGACTAGCTTACTTAGCATAATGTCCTTAAGGTTTATACATGCTGTAAAATGTGACAGAATTTTCTTATTTCAGACCACATAATATTTCATTGTATGTATATGCCACATTTTCTTTATCCATTCATCCTTTGATGAATGTTTGGTTTGCTTTCACCTCTTGGCTGTTGTTAATAATGCTGCAACGGACATGTGCTTGCAGGTATTTCTTTGATTTCGTGCTTTAAATTCTTTGGATATTTAACCAGACATGGGATTTCTGGATAATGTTTTAATTTCATTTTAAATATTTTTGAGGAACCTACATACTGTTTTCTGTAGTGGAAAATATTATACATTTCCACCAACAATGCACAAGGTTTCCAGTTTATCCCCATCCTTGCTAAAACTTGTCATTTTATTTGTTTTTAATGGTGACCCTCCTAATGGGTGTGAGGATATCTCCTTGTGGTTTTAACTTGTATTCTCTAATGATTGGTGATGTTGACATCTGTTCATATTTTTGTTGGACATTTGTATGTATTCTTTCAAGAAATGTCTATTCAACTATTTTGCCCATTAAAAAGATTGGGTTAGTTGTTTTTTTTTTGTTGTTGTTGTTGCATTTAAGGAATTCTTCATATACTATGGGTATTAATCCCTTATCAGATACATGATTAGTGAATATTTTCTCCCACTTTCTAGGCTGCCTTTTTACTCTGTTGATGATTCTCTTTGACGCCCAATGATTATAATTTTATTTATTTGTTTATTTTTATCAACAAAACCAACACAATTATTTTACATATGTATTTTTTGTTAAAGATAAGGTGGCCCTAACATATTATTATCATCATCACTTTAAAAAATAATTTCTAATTTTATTTTAGTTTCATGTGGCCACGTGCAGGTTTGTTACACGTGTGATTCTAAGGTTTGGGATGTGAATGATCCTGTCACTCAGATAGTGAGCATAGTATCCAACAGTTAATTTTTCAACCCTTTTCTTTCCTTTCTCTCCCCCTTTATTAGTCAGTCCCCAGTGTCTATTGTTGCCATCTTTATGTCCATGATTACCCAATGCTTAGTTCTGACTTATAAGTGAGAACATGCAGTATATGATTTTCCGTTCCTGCATTAGTTTGCTTAGGATAGTGGTCTCTAGCTGCATCCATGCTGCTGCAAAGGACATGATTTCATTACTTTTTATGGCTACCTAGTATTCCATGATGTATATGTACCACATTTTTTTTTTATCCAGTCCACCATTGATGGGCACCTAGGTTGATTCCACATCTTTGCTATTGTGAATAGTGCTGCAATGAACATGTGAGTTCATATGTATTTTTGGTAGAATGATTTGTTTTCTTTTGGATATATACCCAATAATGGGATTGCTAGGTCAAATGGTAGTTCTGTTTTAAGTTATTTGAGAAATCTCCAAACTGCTTTCCACAGTGGCTGAATTAATTTACATTCCCACCAACAATGTATAAGCATTCCCTTTTCTCTGCAGCCTCACCAGCATCTGTTGTTTTTTGACTTTTTAATAGTAGCCATTCTGACTGGTGTGAGATGGTACCTCATTGTGGTTTTGATTTGCATTTCCTTGATGATTAGTAATGGTGAGCATTTTTTCGTATTTTTGTTTGTTGATGAATGTCTTCTTTTTTTTTTATTTTTTTATTTTTTTGAGACGGAGTCTTGCTCTGCCGCCAGGCTAGCGTGCAGTGGCGCGATCTCAGCTCACTGCAACCTCTGCCTCCCAGGTTCAAGCCATTCTCCTGCCTCAGCCTTCCAAGTAGCTGGGATTACAGGCATGTGCCACCACGCCCAGCAAATTTTTGTATTTTTTTATAGAGACGGGGTTTCACCATGTTGACCAGGATGGTCTCGACCTCTTGACCTTGTGATCTGCCCACCTCGGCCTCCCAAAGTGCTGGAATTACAGGCTTGAGCCACCGCGCCTGGCCAAGTTTGCGGTGTGTCTTTTTTTGAGAAGTGCCTGTTCATGTATTTTGCCGACTTTTTAATGGGGTTATTTGTTTTTGCTTGTTGAATTGTTCAAGTTCCTTATAGATTCTGGATATCAGATGCATAGTTTGCAAATATTTTCTCCCATTCTGTATGTAGGTTGTCTGTTTTCTCTGTTGATAGTTTCTTCTGTTGTGTAGCTCTTTAGTTTAATTAGGTCCTATTTATCAATTTTTGTTTTTGTTGCAATTGCTTTTGTAGACTTAGACATAAATTATTTCCCAAGGCTGATGTCTGGAATGACATTTCCTAGGTTTTCTTCTAGCATTTTAATAGTTTGAGGTTTTCCATTGAAATCTTTAATCCATCATAGTTAATTTTTGTATATGTGAAAGACAGGGGTCCAGCTTCATTCTTTGGTATATACCTACACAGTTATCCCAGCACCATTTATTGAATTAGGAACTCCTTTTCCCATTGCTTATTTTTGTCGACTGTTGAAGATCAGATGGTTGTAGGTGTGTGGCTTTATTTCTGGGTTCTCTATTGTGTTGTTTGGTCTGTATGTCAGTTGAATTGGTACCAGTGGTTGTTCTTTGCACATCTTGTAGAATTTGGGTATGAATACATCTAGTCCAGGGCTTTTTTTAGGTTGGTAGGTTTTTTTCATTACTTATACAATTTTGGAACTCGATATTGGTCTAGCAGGGTTTCACTATCTTCCTGATTTAATCTTTAGAGGTTGTGTTACCCAGGAATTTATTCATTTCCTCTAGATTTTCCACTTTGTGTGCATAGTGGTGTTCATACTAGGCCCTGAGGATCTTTTATATTTCTGTGGTATCTCTTGTAATATCACCTTTGTCATTTCTTTTTTTTTTTTTGCACTCAGTTGCCCAGGCTGGAGTGCAATGGCGTGATCTCGGATCACTGCACCCTCTGCCTCCTGGGTTCAAGTGATTCTCCTGCCTCAGCCTCCCTAGTAGCTAGAACTACAGGTGTGTGCCACCATGCCTGGCAGATTTTGTATTTTTAGTAGAGATGGGGTTTCACCGTGTTGGCCAGGCTGGTCTCAAACTCCTGACCTCAGGTGATCCACCTGCCTTGGCCTCCCAAAATGCTGGGATTACAGGCATGAGCCACTGCACCTGGCCATCTTTGTCATTTCTGATAGTGCTATTTTGGATTTTCTCTCTTTTTTATTTGTTAATCTAGCTCATAATCTATTAATCTAGTTTTTTCTTTAGAACAACCCATTTTTAATTTCATTGATCTTTTGTATGCATTTTTGCATCTCAGTATTGTTCAATTCTTCTCTGATGGTTTTTTCTTCTAGTAGTTTTGGGGTTGGTTTGTTCTTGTTTTTCTCATTTCTCTAGGTATGATGTTAGATCATTAATTTGAGATCTTTCTAACTTTTTTAGGTAGATGTTTAGGGCTATAAACTTTCCTCTTAACACTGCTTTTGTTGCATCCCAGATATCTTGGTATGTTGTGTCTCTGTTTTCATTTATTTCAAAGAATATTTTGATTTCTGTCTTGGTTTGTTGTTTACTCAAAAGTAATTCAGGAACAAGTTGTTTAATTTCTATGTAATTGTGTGGTTTGGGGAGATCTTCTTGGTATTGATTTCTGTTTTTATTCCACTGTGCTCTGAGAGTGTGGTTGGTATGATTTCAATTTTTTTTCTTTTAATTTGAGACTTTCCTTATGGCCAACAATGTGATCAATCTTGGAGTATGTTCCTTGTATAAATGAGAAGAATGTATATTCATGGTTGATGGGTGAAGTGTTCTGTAGATGTCTGTTAGGTCCAATTGGTCCACTGTTGAATTTAGGTCCAGAATGTCTGTTAGTTTTCTGCCTCTGTGATCTGTCTGTTACCAGTGGGGTACTGAAGTCCTTCACTATTTTTGTGTGGTTGTCTGAGTCTTTTCTTAGGTCAAGAAGAACTTGTTTTATGAATCTGTGTTCTCCAATGTTAGGTGCATACATATTTACGATAGTTAAGTTTTCTTGTTGAATTGAACTTTTCGTCATTATATAATGCCCTACTTTGTCCTTTTTTATAGTTGTTGGCTTAAAGTGTGATTTATCAGATATAAGAATGGTAGCCTGTGCTTTTTTTTGTTTTGTTTTCTATTTGTGCCTATGAGTAGGCCCAAATCCCTTGAGCCAATGGGTGTCATTACATGTGAGATGGGTCTCTTAAAGACAGGATGGAAGGGTCTTGTTTTCTTTTTTTTTTTTAACCCTACTTGCATATCAGTGCCTTTTAAGTAGGGAATTTAGACTTCATATTCAAAGTTAATATTGAAATTGTTAGCTGGTTGCTTTGTAGTTTCTATTGTTATTGCTTTATAGGGTCTTGTGGGCAATGTACTTAAGTATACTTTTGTGGTAGCAGGTATTGTTCTTTTGTTTCCATGTTTAGAACTCCCTTAAGGGGCCGGGTGCGGATGGTTCATGCCTGCAAGCCCAGCACTTTGGGAGGCCAAGGGAGGCAGATCACTTGAGGTCAGGAGTTTGAGTCCAGCCTGGCCAACATGGTGAAACCCCATCTCTATTAAAAACACAAAAAATTAGCTGGGTATGGTAGCGTGCGCCTGTAGTCCCAGCTACTCAGGAGGCTGAGGCATGAGAATAGCTTGAACCCAGGAGGTGGTGGTTGCAGTGAGCTGAGATCATGCCACTGCACTCCAGCCTGGGTGACAGAGTAAGACTCCATCAAAAAAAACAAAAACAAAAACAAAAAAAACCAGAGAACTTTAAGGGTCTTTTTTAAGGTAGGCCTAGTGGTAACAACTTCCCTTAGTGCTTGCTTGTTTGGACAAGATTTTATTTCTCCTTTGCTTATGAAGTTTAATTGGCTGGATATCAAATTCTTGGTTCGAGTTTCTCTTCTGTAACAATACTGAAAATATTTTCCTAATCTCTCCTGTCTTGTGAAATTTCTACTGAGAAGTTCACTGTTAGCCCCATGGGTATCCTTTTGTATGTGATTTGACCTTTTTCTCTAGCTACTATCAAGATTTTTCTTTCAGAGTTGACCTTGGATAGTGTGTTGACTATATGCCTTGATGATGTTCATGTTGTGTAGTATCTTGCAGGTGTTCTTTGGATTTTTAATATCTGTATGTTTACCTCTCCAGTGAGATTAGGGAGGTTACCTATAATTATTCCCTGAAATATGTTTCCCAGGTTGTTGACTTTTTCTTCTTCACTCTTAGGAATGCCAGTAATTCATAGGTTTGGTTGTTTTACATAATCTCATAGTTCTTGAAGACTTTGCTCATTTTTAAAAATTATTTTTTCTTTATTTTTGTCTGGCTGGGTTAGGTTAAAGACTGGTCTTTAAGGTCTGAAATTCTTTCTTCCACTTTGTCCAGCCTGTTGCTAAAACCTTCTGTTGTATTTTGAAATTCCCTAAGTGAGTTTGTCAATTCCAGAAGCTCTAATTAATTTCTTTTAATGTATTTATCTTTCTCTTCATTTCCTTGATTAATTTAGAAGTTTCTTTGTGTTGATTTTCAACCTTTTCTTAGATGTCATTGAGCTTCTTTGCAATCCATTTTGAATTCTTTATTTGTTAAAGAAGAGATCAGCCTGGCCAATTGGGGGACCTGTAGGTGGGCCTGCTGACCCCTCCCATCTTACCCATCACTCCCCAACCCTAAATTTTAAATTTCCGTTTTGGTTAGGAACCATTGCTGGAGAGCCTGTGTGATCCTGTGGTGGTGTCACTACATTCAGATTTTTCATGGTGCCAGAATATTTGTACTGCTTCCTTCTCAGCTGGAGACATTGAGACTTCTAATTTCTGTAATTCTTTGCTTGAACCCGGGAGGTGGAGGTTGCAATGAGCCAAGATTGTGCCATTTCACTCCAGCCTGGGCAACAAGAGCGAAACTCCATCTCAAAAAAAAAAAATTCTGTACTTCTTTTCTATTTTGGAGACAAGGACTCACTTTATCACCCAGGCTAGAGTGTAGTGGTATGATCTCATCTTACTGCAACCTCCGCCTCCTGAAATTAAGTGATCCTCCCACCCCAGCCTCCAGAATAGCTGGGATCACAGCCACAGGTGCCCAGCCTTTTTTTATTTTTTTGTTTTTTTATGGTTAGAGATGGAGTTTCTCCATGTTGCCCAGGCTGGTCTGGAACTCCTGAGCTCAAGCAGTCAGCCCATCTTGGCCTCCCAAAGTGCTGGGATTACAGCCAGGCATAAGCCACTGCTCCTGGCCTGTAATCATTTTTGTGTGGATAGAATTTTTAAATTTTTATTTTTTGCCCATATATATATATTTCCCCTTCTCTTTCACCTTCCCTAAGGCCTATAACTACCGAGAATGTTGGGCAGGGTCTTTTGGCTTTTCTTCTATGGCCTATGAACTTCTGTCCGCAGATTTTATATTGAGTTTGTGATTGAACTTGGAAGCCAGTAGGTGGTGCATATGGGTCAGTGCTGATTGTGCCCAATGTGGTTGGGTATATATCTGACCCTTGTTTATTGGGAGAAGCTCTCTGTTGCCTCAGGCAATGGTCTGATCTGTGGAGTGCACCCTGGTCTCAGCTCCCAGCTTTGCCCTGGGGGTTAGGGGAGTGATGGGTAAGATGGGAGGGGTCAGACCCAGCAGGCCCACCTACAGGTCTGCCAGTGGAAGGCACAAGCACTAGTGCTGAAGGAGAATCCAGTGGGGGGCCACCAAGTGCCCAGAGGTATGCCTAGGTGTGGAGCAGGGAAATCTTGGTCCCAAGTTCTCTGCCTTGGCCAGCAGGGGCAGGGTGCGGGAGGTGGAGGCAACCCAAACTCCTTGTCCAGGAGATGAGTGCTTGAGGAACTTGGAGATCTGCTTGGGCCTCGGGTAACTATGAGAACTTTAAAGATGGTATAGTGACCACCTTCCTCGATTTAAATAAAAAAGGTCCTAAGTATAATAACCTTATTGATGGAAATCCTTTGGGTCATGATGAAGGTGTAAGAAAACTATTTGTCTATTTATTTGTTTTAAAATATCACATGAAACACACATGCATGTGTTCACATAAACACATTCCTACGGACAATAACATACAAATAACTTTTTTGAGATTATCTGAAGATGGTCTTTTTCCTTCATTTTAAATCACTTTTTTGTTTTGTTTTCATTTTGTTTGTTCGAATCTGATACTGGAGTGGGTTGCCAAAGAAAGATGTAGTCCAGAGCCAGTCCTGATAAGTGTGAAAAAACCCTGGTTTGAAACTACAGCTTTTTTACAGTTAATTTTGTTTGGTGAGACTTGAAGTGGCATCTTTGGATTCTTCCTATCTTGATTTTGACATTTATTTTCATGGTTATCCTTTGGGCTTCAGACACTAAACAAGGGATCACAATTCCACTTTACTGTATTGTTGATGGGATGTTATTGTAGCTTTGGTTTCTCTTAGCCTGCGGAGTTGATATGTGACTGGTTTATTCAATTGTATGATCTCATGGAACAGAAGTAAGAGTTAGGAGGAATGAAAAGAGAAGGTGGGAGAGTCAGTACAATGGTATAATGCTAGGGCAGTCTGGTTGCTTAATCCATGGGACTCTCTGAGAGGACTTTTGGAACTGACTATGGAAGGAACAAAGCAAAGAAACATTTCTGTCAGCTCCTTTTCAAGGGTTGTTTTACTTCCAGATTGTGCTGCAGGAGTGCTGAGTACTTCTTGTGGGGTTCCACATTCTGGTATTAGAAAAGTCCTAGGGCAGGCAGCAAGAAGTGTACTGTAAGTATCCAAGTATCCAAGTAACCTGATGTCAGGTTATATTATGTGATGCTTCCAGGCCTGTTCAGAACTGGTTGCTGATGGTAGCTGGAATAAGAGGTGAAACAGAGGATTTAAGTGGAGCACCAATGGTGTCCATTACAGAAACATAACACTTGAAATGTATGTAAATGCAAAATTTGTTATACAGTGATATTAGATGTCATTAATTATTATGTATAGAAATATTGCTGGGTTTCAGATGTTTCCATAGTAGATAGTGAAACAAGATTCCTGGCCGGGTGTGGTGGCTCACACCTGTAATCCCAGGACTTTGGGAGGCCGAGTTGGGTGGATCATTTGAGGTCAGGAGTTCGAGACCAGCCTGGCCAACATGGTGAAACCATGTCTCTACTAAAAATACAAAAACAGAGCCGAGCATGGTGGCACGTGCCTGTAATCCTAGCTACTTGGGAGGCTGAGGCATGAGAATCGCTTGAACCCAGGAGGCAGAGGTTGCAGTGAGCCGATATCGCGCCACTGCACTCTAGCCTGGATGACAGTGAGACCCTGTCTCCAAAAAAAAAAAAAAAAAAAAAAAAATTCTTATTTCTTTTTCAGAGGCAAGATAGGTAAAGCTTGCTTTTTTTTGTTTTTCGTTGTTGTTGTTGTTTGTTTGTTTTAATTCAAGAGACTTCACATGTATTTTCTCATTTAAGCCTTGTGGCAGCTTTGAGGTAGGTTTGATTAATTTTTTTTTATATATATAGATAAGGATATTGCAGAGAGAAGTAACCTGCCCAATTAATAAGTTGCAGAGTAAGACCTATCTTTCTCCAAGAAGCTTTGTTTCTCCCCTGTTATTGAAGCCTATATAATTATATTTGGCCTCTAAGGCCTAAATCTTCTTTTCAACTAGTTTCTTATTCTAAAGGTCATTTGTTTGTATGCCTCTAATCCACTAGAGGTCAGTATTGGATTGAGAAAGTCAGGAGCCTTTAGCTTTTGATTCTTATTATTTTTAACTCTCTGAGTCTTATTGCTAGGTAGCCCTGGAAGCTGCATTCCACAATAAATGTTTATTTAATGGCCTGTGTAAGATGCCTCATAGACACACTTTGACAGTTTTAGAAGTGTTAATAGTGAATTAGTTTGACAGTCCAGGTTAGGTCATGCTTGTGGGCTCTCCTCTAACTTCTAATGGGTAGAAAAGCACTCAAGTCAAGTCTTTTATAAGTTTTTATTGGGCCAAATCTCATTTTCACATGAATTCCCTTTTGTTACCTGTTGCCTTTATATAATAAATATCTAAATTTACTATGTGTATGCCACTTTCTGGACTTGGGGCAGTCTAAGAATGGTAAAGTGTTTTTCTTATCCTGAAAGAGTTGTATACACTGAGGTGCTTTACTGTCATTTTCACCTGGATACCCAACAGGTTTAGGGAACTCATCTTTTTTTATCCTGCATTCAACTTACTATTTTCATGGTTCCTATTGCTTGGAATGGCCCCACTGTTTAGTCATCACGGCCAGAATACTTGTAGTTATTCTTATTTCCTTCTTCTCTTCCATGTACCACATTTAAGTCAGTTAATTCTGTTACTTTTGCTTCTTGTAATCTGTTGCTACCTTTATTCAAGTTCTCATAATGTTATTTGGACTGTTTTAGTGATGTATATTAGATTTTCTATTTCCAGTCTTTGTCTTCTCTCAGTTGACCACTCCTTGACTCCTAGAGGGTTTGTCTGAATTGTAAAGCTGATCCATTATTCCCCTGCTTACATTCTTTCATTGTTTCTCTAACATTGAAACTGCTTTATATAGCATCTTTATCTCCTGTTATTCCTTTATAACCTATACTCTAATTATACAAAGTTACTTGCCGTTTCCTGAGTGGATAATATTTTTTTCATACATAGTCCTTCTCCTGCTGCTTCATTCTTCTGGAATGGTTACTTTTTTCATTTATCTCTGAAAAATCATATTTATTTTTTATCATATTTATCCTTTATTTGTTGATTTGCTTCCTGTAATAGTATGATGTGAGATTCAGGGGTCAGGGTCTCCATCTTATTTCTTTGTATCACCAGTGTGCAACACAATGCTTGGTACCATGTAGACTTTTAACACGTGTTTGACTGAAGGTAGGAGTACAGAGAGGAAGCATCATGAGTTAGAGCAGTGAGAAATTGCTTCCTAAAGGAAGAAGAATTGTACTTGGGTTTTGTAGGAAGGGTTAGATTGAGGCAAGGAAAGGTAATCAGGTAAAGAAATGGCGTAACTAAGGATATAGAAGTGGAAATTTACCCAGCGTATTAGGAGGTAGAGCCTCATCCAATTGGAAGATTCATCTTGGAGGGTATTGGGTAAGTACATTGGAAAATTAGGTTTAGCTTCTATTATGGTGGAATCTAAGTGTTAGATTATGAAGTTTAGACTTGTTTAAATCCCTCTCCCCACCTGCCCAATTTCCCTTATATCTAATTGACATGATGAACAAATGTGGTTTAAGAAGAGCCTGGCTGTATTAGGTAGGGGGATTGTAATTGGAAGGTGATGAGTTCCATTTTAGGTGTGATGGAAATGAGGTGATGGTGGAACACACATTAGTAATAGGAAACAAGACCTGTGCTACTGGGTTTTGGGAGAGTAGAAAGAGTGATTTGAGAGATAAGTGTTTGAGGAATAAACCTTGCTCAATTTCTCTATATTAGGAAATCAGAGAAGAATATATATGAAGTACTCTTGAGAAAGAGGTGGTTAAGTGTGTAAAAATTACTTACAAATAGAATGAACAACTAAGAAAATGAAAACACCTAGATGCTTTCTAAGATCTAGCTGCTGTTTGTATTCCTTGTACCCCTCTCCCTCTATTCCATCCCAGTCAGCAGAAGTCAGTCAGCTGCTTCTTTGACACATTATTATAATGATGGTCTCTGAAGGGATAGAATCAGTGATCTTGATGAAACAGCATAGCATGTTAGAAAAGATCTCTGAAGGGCTTTTTCTTTTTTTGATTTTCATGGACTTCAATGTCACATTTTCATTTTAATATATATTATATGTATTTATATATTTATATCAGTATTTAGTCTTCACCACCTCCTGCCAGTACCATAACATACATTTTGAATAGATGATAACTTTCATTTGTTCATTGCTTTTGAAACACTGACAATATTTTATTGATTGTGAAGGAAATATAATTAACTTGGGATTCAATAAAATACGACTTATGAAATCGTTTGGTTTTGCTGTACTGCAAGAGGATAGAGTTAAGGGAGCAAATGATCACTCTCTAGTTGAAAGCTTGCTTTTTAAAAATATGAAAGTTTTAAAGGAAGTTCTACCTTCCTTTGTGCCCCGGAGTCCTTGATCCCTTTTTGTATATTTTGCATTGGAAGTAAGTGGGGAAGAACATCTTACTTTTGAGAACAATAGAATATTCTATTTAACTTGGTTTCTGAAAGGCTTGGAGGATATTGTGTCTTATGTACAAACCTAAATTAAATGATTTGGGGTACTTCTCTATCTCAGTTTGTTACTGAAGCCATGTATTTATGTAAATCTAACCAAAATATCAATGGCTGATATGCAGAGAAACAAGTATGTCCATTGATTCAAATCTCTGGAATGTAGATTCTTTTCATTTTCTTGGCAGAAACTAGTTCACATAGTTGAAGTTTTTCTCTGCCTTGTTATAATTGTCTCATTTCACCATTCCTGGACTAACTTTTTATACTTTATATTTATCTTCATTTCATTAACCTTATGCAGAAGATTTGGAGACTGATTTTTTCCCTGAACTAATTTCTATTTGCCACTGAGGAGAAATATCTTATATTGATTAAGAAATGTATACTTTCAGAGGTCACATTCTCAAGCTTTGTTATCTTGGGGTAATACCAAATATTACATTAAAAGAAAGCAAAAAGGAAAGTTCTCTTGGGAAATGTTTTTGGAACATGCTGGGTTAAACCAGATTAAACAAGTTTCTTTAAAATAGGACTTCTCCCAGCTTTTATTCTGTTAGTGTGCCTTGCATATCTATAAGAAGGCTTCATGGGACGCAGTATTTCCTGTTGATTTGACCACAACTCATTTTTGGGAAACATTTTGGTCACGCTTTGAGGGACTGTTGATGTAGTGGAAATGTCACTGATTTGAAATTTAGGAGACCATACTTTGAGCTTCTGATTTACCACTCACTTGCCTTGTGACTTCAAGCAAATCCTTTGTTTTCTAGCCTCAGTTTCCTGAGTGGCAATTAAGGTACCTTCTAGCTCTAATAATGTGTGGTTTAATGCTTCTGTTGTTGACTCTGGATAGTCCCACTTTCTACTTCTCTGTATCTATTGAAACCATGCCACCATGTCAGTCTATTTTTTTTTAAGCTGAAGGGATTATACTACCTTTTCTAGGGTTCAGAAGAAAAAACCCTTTAAAACCCTTTATAACCCTGCTTTCCACAGATCACAGTCATGGAATCCTATTGGATTACTTAGTTCAAATCACTTACTGAAGATAATTCATTCTCCTGATTTTATTTCATTGGTCTCTTATATCCACATAACTGTTTTTAACAGTCTCTTAAGCCTAAATGTATTAAAATTAATTCTAAGCCCCCACCCTTTTTCCTCCAAGCATTATGGTCTCAATGTGGTATTTTCTTGTAAGAGATAAATGCTAGGCGTTTGCACTAATCTCCTGGCCTACTAAGGCAAAACTGGATAGATTTCTTTTTGTGATGATTTAATGGATATTTTTGAAAAGCCTTATGATGATATTGACTGATTATCTGTTTTCTGTGTTAACTTGGAAAATGAGTTAAAATACGATGGCTCCAGGGTTAAAAAGGTATACATTAATGTGATGGTTTTATATCTGATACTAAAACTTTATGTACTAAGGCCTTTTGTTGTAGTATTTTCGTTAAGATATCAATTTGTTCAAAATTAGAAGTTTGTTGAAAGCTTAATTAAGTTTTGTTTCTTTTCTTTTTTTCTTTCTTTCTCTCTCCCTAACCCCACCTTTTTGGTGTGTTTGTGTGTGTTCTTCTCTATCCTAGGCCCAGCAGCAAAGAAACCTGGATAACATCGTCTTGCAACAACCCAGAATAGGTAGCAAGAGGAAATCTAAGAAAGATGCATATATAATCTTTGATACAGAGATAGAAAGTACTAGTCCGAAGTCTGAACAGGATTCAGGAATTCTGGATGTTGAAGACGAGGAAGATGATGAAGAGGTAAGTAACATTTGATGTTGGGAAGTGAGACTATTTTTAAGCTTAAATAGTATGGTTGAGATGTGATGAAGAGTTTATCCATATAATGTAGTTTGTGTGATCTTCTGAATATCAAATACCATTTTGAATACAAATAAGGCTCAATTTAAGGAAATTGAAGATATACTAAGATAATTTAGATCCTGATTCTTTTTTGAGAATTCAAATTTTAAATTCACTCCTCTATTTTGAAAAGTTTCAGGGTTTTTAAATTCTGTACTGGCTGGGAACTACATTAAAGGAAGAGTAGAGTTTACCTACCTAGAGACAGGAGGTCTAGGTGACCTCGGCTGAAACTGCAACGGTTAGTCCAGAAAAACAAAAAAATGTTACTTCGAAAGCTGAAGAGTGAACAAATAGATTATTTACCTTGAGAAATGGCTCAGATGGAAAATACACAAAGATTCCAGAAAGTTGAGTTTGCATTTCTGGAGGAAATAAATATATGAGTGATTACAGGGTAACTGGGAATTTTGTGACATATTCATAACCTCATAGATTAGTTCTGTGTCACTGTCAGGGAAGAATAAGATTAAGTGCCTTAACTAGTACATATTTTTCTATCTTTCTTTGTTGTTAGAAGTATGTTTAATGTGTTTTTAAAAATAAAACTATTATGACCTTTGAGACTTCCTGTTAAAATGTTTTTTCTAAATATTTATCATTTGCATTAACTGGATGTCTCTTTGTGAGTGTGGTGTTTAGGAGCATGAGCTTTAGAGTCTGACTGTATTCAAATTCTGGCTCTGCCATTTAAGTTTTAAAAAATTATTAATAATCATATCATTTACTTTTAAAATGGCCACTGACATGTAAGGAATCATTTACTCTTGTACTCAGTAGCCTTTTTTTTGTAAGTGCTTGTTTCCTTTCTCCAGATAAAACTGGATTCACTATTTCTTCCCCATACTTGTCTCCTGTTATACCCTTACTACTCTCGTGCTTTTCTCTCTTCCCCAAAACTTGTCCTAATTTTGTAGTCTTGGATAAATTGTTTAATCGTTAAACTGAGTGTCTTCACCTATTAAGTAGAGGCAGTAGTCTCTACCCCATAGGATTTCACAAATCCCTGCTCCTTAAAGGGTGGTGAGAAAACATTGGTTTCTGTTCTATCTTCATTACTCTTCCTTGCTGACTTCTGTTATGTATCTCTATTGTCATTATGCCTGCCTCTATTATTATTCCTCTTTGACTTCAAAAGTTGAATTGGCAATGTTTAAACTATTTGAGCTGAAAAACAAATAAAGATGTTATTTTTATGTCTACAACCTTAGCATTTAAGTTTGATAGAACAGGAGCTATCATAAGAATGTAAACTACTACTTTTTTTTTTTTTTTTTTGCGATGGAGTCTCTGTCGCCCAGGCTGGAGTGCAGTGGTGCGATCTCGGCTCACTGCAAGCTCCGCCTCCTGGGTTCACGCCATTCTCCTGCCTCAGCCTACCCAGAAACTGGGACTACAGGCGCCCGCCACCATGCCTGGTGAATTTTTTGTATTTTTTAGTAGAGATGGGGTTTCACCATGTTAGCCAGGATGGTCTGGATCACCCGACGTCGTGATCCACCCGACTCGGACTCCTAAATTGCTGGGATTATAGGCGTGAGCCACCGCACCCAGCCGTAAACTACTACATTCTTTTATATACGTTTCATTATTGAGGGGACACACTTCTGCTATTTAAGTGAATAATTTTATTTATCATTTTTAAAGTTTATATTGTACTAGGATATGTTTATTATGTAAATGAAGTACATTAATAGTTAATAATGCTTGAAAGTTTCATCCTATCCCTATTGCACATGGATTGCAAGAACTCTTAATAGCTCTTAATAGAGCTAAGAAAAGTCTTTTGAGTGTTATCTATTGGGCCACTTTAAAGTAAAATGAACCAACTATTGGCCTAATGACTCATGGAGATAGAAAGAGATAGAGGGGACTTCATTCCCCTGAATGTTTTCTAGCATTCTCCCTTCTTGCCTGGAATGACTGGCTTATTAAGATGTGGATCCACCCTGGAGGACAAACTTTCAGATATTAGATTCCATCACAGATGATCAGTCACAGTAGTTGCACAATAACGCATCAGTCTCAAGAAGGACCAACTAACTCCTTTAATCTACATTTTGAGTACCCATGAACAAGATGGAATTCTGTCAGATACTGTGGCTTATGGGCTAGACATAGTCTGTGCCCTTGGATAATACAGTACCTGAAGAGATGGTTAGATGATAAGATGAAAAATAAAATATATACACAGTTCTTATATATCATTGAAACCATGATATATGAAAGGAAACCATTCTTTATCATTGACCTATTGAAGATCCTGGGTAAGTTCCTTTTAATTTTTGTGCCATGCTCCTTCTTTGCCTTGTCCTGTGAGGTCCAGAGAAGATGAGGAAAGTGAGACTAGTAAAATGTGTTGGAGGTTTCTCATAAAAGTAGTACTGTAAGAATGTACTTGGAAGTTAATATTTTTAAATGGTTCCATATCTCAAATCAAGCAATTCATATTAAAGATTTGCTGATTGAGCTCTTAAAACAAAAATTTGGCACTTCACTGTCATCTAATGGCATTCTATCTTAAAAAAAATTCTACCTTATATTTATTTACTTCTCAGTTTGAATCTTCTTCAAGTGCACATTCTTAATCTCAAACCTCATGTAGAGAATTATTTATTTAGATGTTTCCAAACTGGTTTCTTGGCATAGTTCTTGCATGGTGTGAATAAATTCTTCAGATAAGGTCTTTCGTGACCCACTGTGACGTTCTGACCTTCATTCTTGTCATTCTTCAACAGACCTCATTGAGAACTGCATAGTTTTTGGAATATTGTGACTTTTAATCTGTAAGCATGGTAACTGTGGCATAGAATCCCTGTATGGCAGTCATTCTTAATCTGTTTGGGGTTATGTATTACTTTGAAAGATTGATAAAAATATATGGAGTCATTTCCCAGTAAAACGTACATATATTCTGTCACAAAATGTTTTGCATGAAATTTCAGGGGGTTTGTGGAATTCATTTTACCCCTAGGACCCAACTTAAGAACTGTTTTGTCCAACAATGTTTCTTGACATTTAATGTGCATGGGAATCACCTGGGAAGCATATTATAATGCAGATTGTGATTATACAGGTTGAGAATGAGTCTGAGTCTGCATTTTTTAACAAGGTCCCTGGTGAGGATGGAGCTCCTGGTCCCTGGAGCACACTTGGAGTTACAAGACGATATGGAAACATGACAAAGCTTTTTTAGTATATACATAAAACAAACAAATGAATGTTTGGGTCTTCTATTGTTTTTTTTAAATATGATTTAAACTTTTTTCTGGCAATAAATACAGTACTTGAAGAGAAAGTTAAGTTTGCTTTCTAAAATCTGTTGCTTATGTATTACCAGCATTTTAAATAAAATTTTATAATTCTAGTTTAACAAGTTTAGGTACTTTCTTTACTCTGTGAAGAACTTTTTACCCTTTCCTGTGCTTTCAATGCAAATATACTTAATACATTTTTTTCATTGAATAACATTTTAAGGCTATTACTGTGTCTTTAGCTTAATGATGCATAAGAGGAGATCATGGAATAAGGTGGGTAGGAAAAGCTAAACACCTAGAACATGGATCTACACATGGTAAATAGACAGTTAATACATTGTTAACCTGAAATAAAGTTTGTACTAGAAATGGGAAAAGCTTAACAGCCTGGGGAACTGAGGATGAAGTCTCAAAAGTAAATTGTCATTTTGAATGAAAAAACAACTTACATGTTGAACCATCTGAAGGAATCAGTCTTTCTTTTTTTCTCTTCCCCACCCTCAGCTTATTGAAGTTTAAGAGTCAGTCTCTTAATGATTGCTGAAGGGTGTTATAAAGAAACGTATTTCTAGTAAAGTTCTCTATTTTTATTTTATTATTGGCTAAGCTAATAAAAGAGTCACAAGATGAGGTTTTTTTTGTTTTAAAAAAACTAATCATATATTAAGGTTGGACTATATGAAGCTGCTGATATTTAACCATTTCTGATCAACAGCTTAATTCAATTGATTAAAAAAAAAAGAGGGAGTGATGAGGCTTCACTATGTTGCCCAGGCTGGTCTCAAACTCCTGAGCTTTCAAGTGATCCTCCTGCCTTGGCTTCCCAAAATGCTGGGATTACAGGCATGAGCCACCATACCCAGCCAATTCAATTGATTTTTAATGGAAATATGATTTAGGAAATTGGGATTGAAATCACCCTGTGGGCATATGCAGGTGTTAATGTTCTTCTCTAAATATCTAGATAGAACTTAAAAAAAATCAGAAGTAGTTAACATTTTAGATTGAGAATGTATTTATGGATCTAGACTCATCAGGAATATCAATTTTGAGATATTTGAAGATAAAATGCAAGGAAGCCCTCAAGATAACATATTAGTTTTGAGAAGGAGGGTGATAATATCTACTGAGAATAGGCTTGTTGTGAGGATTGAATGAAATAATGTATATAATGCCTTTGTCACAGTCCTTGTACATACAGGACTATCAGTATATAATAGTTACTGTTGTGGCATTATGACCATGTGCTTTTTTGAATAAAGGTGAACTATAAGTTGATCTAATTTTTGACAATGTATATTTGCATGGACTGATGAACATCATCTACTATAAACAAAAAAAATCTGCTGAAATAAAGCAGTATTAAGAAATAGTTTGAAAAAGCAGGGCGTATTTTTTCTACTTTGTTTCTAGGTTACTTCAGAGCTTCTGCATTCTTAGAATACTTCATTGATACCACATTTATGACATGTCACATATTCTAGTGTGTACCTCTCTTAATTTATTTACCAACTGTTAAGGAACAGTGGTAACCATGTCATCCACACCACTTGTCATAGAGTATGGGTCACATAAATATTTGTTGACCAAATGATTCATGTCAGATTTATCTCTCTAGATTTTGGTGTCTCTTTTGAAGTATAGAATCAACAGGAGGGAATTGTTAATTTAAATACAAATGCCATGTAATAGAAAGCCTTCTGGGATGTCTTGATTATTGTTGTGCTGTAGTAATTTTGAAGTAATGAGATGTATTAATTTGCTAGGGCTACCATAACAAAATGCTGGAGAATGGGTGATTTAAACAAAAATCTGTTTTCTCACATTTCTGGAGGCTGGCTGTCCAAGATCAAGGTTCCACCAGGGTTAGTTTCTCCTAAGGCCTCTCTCCTTGGCTTGCAGATAGTTGCCTTCTAGCCGTATCCTCATACAGTTTTTTTCTTTGCTTACATCCTCTTTTTATAATGTGTGTCTTCCTCTTTTTATAAGGATACCAGTCCTATTGAATTAGAACCCCATTCTTATGATTTCATTTAATTTTAATTACCTCTTTAAAGGCCCAGTCTCCAAATACAGTCACATTGGGACTAAGGACTTCAACATAGGAATTTGCGGGGGAGCACAATTATAGTCATAACACAATTTAGTCATAACACAGGGTGTTTGGAAAGTATACAAAAAAGATTTATTTTAGAATGTACAAGCTTTTTTCTTTGTGGTATTGGGACAAATTATGTAATTTCTCTCAGCATCCCTTTTCTTACCTATGAAATAGTGACAATAATTATGTCAAATTGCTTGTAAAAAAATAGTGGTTGTGATATTTGACCCAAATTTCAAAATATTGATTGTAAAACTTTCTATTGACAGTAAGGTAACAGAAAATGAAGATGATTCCTTGATAAGTTAAAGGCTACTTTAGAAGTTTAGAGTTTAAACTTAAACTTAAATAAAGGCTGCCTTTAGAAGTTTAGAGTTTAAACCAGAGGTTGCAGATTGGCAACCGATGGGCCAGAAACAGCTTGCATACTGGTTGTTGGCCTACACAATGCTTAAAAATTTTTAAATTAGTTGCCAACTTCTGCAGGTCAATTAGATTCACATAAAAATCTAGATTTCTAATTTAGTTTTTTCTAAGCATGGTAGTAATAGACTGGCCTTGAGTAGCAGTGTTGCCGTCAGGGATATGGTTTAAATGTGATGACAAAAATATAATACTGCTTATATTGGGTGTCTATCCAAAAAAATGGCAAAATAAAAAACAGACTGACGGGGCCACACTGATGTGAAAAAAAAATAATGTTGTGCTTTGTAAAAATAAGTAATAGTCCTTGATATTTCATATACAAAGTATGTCTATTAAGAGAATATGATTTAAAATTGCCAGCATCCATCACTTAATCCCAATACCCATTGACACCTGTAGGCTTTGAATTTTAACTTCTTAATGAAAGCTGGCCTATTAAGGACATATGCAGTCAAAAGTAGGTGCCCATATATATAATGAAATACCAAAAGGACAATTTAGAAGGTTGAATGGAAACATTATGGCATGCTTTAGACGTTCTGTTTTGGTTTTCTTATTCCCAGTCTTTGATCTTTTAGGTCTATCCATTGGTAAAGATATATTAGGACTCACATCAACTCAAGGTTTTTTTCTTTTTTTTTTTTTTGTGGTGATAGTGTAAGTGCCCTGTTATTTTGAAATCATTTGCCTCAGTTATAAACTTCTACCTCTCTTTTCAGGTCTTGTAGAATTTCTCTTTTATATTCTCATTGATTATTCAAAAAACTTCACCTTGCACTAAGTTGCTAGTAACTGCAACTGTGGAATATAATCCTTTACCCCCTTCTTCTTGCCAAGAATGCCTTATTCTACTTTTATCTGAAGGACCCCTCAATTTTACCTCTTCTGTAATAGCGTCTTTTAAAAATTTTCTTTTACTTTTGAAGAAGTTTACATCTTCAGAAAAGTTACACATATGGTATCCATATACGCTTCACTTAAATAGTCCACTTATTAAAACTTGACGCTTCCTCTCTCTGAAAAATTTGATTTTGAAAGAATAGGTGTGTGCGTGCGTGCGTGTGTGTGTATGTGTATGTTTCTTTTCTCTCCCAAAACTGAGCCATTTGGAAGAAAGTGGCATGCATCATTCATAATATTTGGAACTCCAAATACTGTAATCTGTGTTTCCTGACAATGACATTCTTCTACATAAGTATAATACAGTGATTACATCAGGAAATTTCACATTGATGGTGACACTGCCACTTAATATACAACCTTTATACAACTATCTCTAGTTGTTCCAATAATGTTCTTTCTAGCAGATTTTTTTCCTTCGTTTTTTTCCTTGCAGCCACATCAAGACAAATTTTACACATTGATTTTTATGTCTGTTTAGTCTCCCTTAATATCCATCTGTTCAGGTACATCTCGTTGTATCCTCATGACTAGAGTCAGGTTAATCATTTTTGGCAGGAATATTACAAAGGTAATATTAAGTTCATTTCATTGCATCACATCTGGAGGCATACATTGGTTAAGATGGTGTTCACTAGATTTCTTCACCATAAAGGTACCCGTCCCACTTTGTAATTAGTAATACATTAGACCATGTGACTATCCTGTTCCCTAACAGCTTGTTACCCACTGGTTTTAGAACTCATTGATGCCACTTTCTGGAATCATATGTTACTATAGTTGTTATAAGATGCTGTGATTTTCTATTTTTATCATTTCTTTCACATTTATGAGTCAGCATTCTTCTATAAAAAACTTTCCTTTTCTCCCCTTATTTTTTGTAGTGTTAGTATGGGCACATGGATAATCATTTTATATACAATGAGTTATATTCCATCTTGTCTTTCATTTTCATTTTCCACTTGTTCCAAATTATCCATCCAGTTTTTGAGCTCTGCTCTTTTCTTTAATTTCTCTTCTTTTCCACAAGAAACTCCAGGTTCTGCCCTAGCCCTGGCATCAGCCGTTTCTTCAGAGAGTTCTAATTTCTTTTACTGGAGAATGATATTTAGAAACTAACATGGGCATTAGGTATACCCCTTTTGTGGACAGAGCTAAGAAATACACCTGCTACATTAATGTGTAGACTTAAAAAAAATAAATCACGAGTTAAAGCTAGTACTTCTAATTCCAATCTAATGTAGTAAGTCTTTTCTGTCATTCTGTATTTGTATTTGCAAATATTCTGGTTTCCAGAGTATCAGCATATTTAATCTTTTGGATAATTATATAATACCCAGAAAATAGTTGCAGAATTATGCAAATGTCACTAAAAGCAATAAAGTTATTAAGTTCAAGATTTCTTCACAGTTCTTTTGATCCTACAGTGTATCCCACTAAATCTGTATAGTTCAGAGTACTATGTTCAAACGCTTTTGGCTAATTTTTTTTTCTTCTGTTTGATTGTTACCAAATTGATATATAATTAGGTTCGTTTGTTTCTTTTTGTATTATTTTTTAGGGTTCAACTATCCTTATTTAACTTTTTGACTATTTAAAATATGAACATGATTCAAAGGCAAAACTATATAAGAAGATATATTCAGTGAAATCCCATTCTCATCCTTATCCTTTCCACACTGCTCCTACCCACCTTTTGTAAGTAATGAGTGTTGTTAGTTTTTGTGTGTATCCCCTTCATTTTACCTCAAGCAACGTAATTATTAATAGCATAATACATATATATTTTTGTACTTTGTTTATTTGAAATATATTTTGAAAATTATTCCATATCAGTTCATAGAAATCTTTCTCATTCTATTTTTACTGCTAAATAGTACTCCATTGTTTGGATGTACCATGGTTTATTCAGCTAATCTATACATGGACACTAAATGATTTCCAATGTTTTCTTATTAAAAAGTAGTGTTTTAACTGTACAGCTATTAGAATACCTAAAATAAAAAAAACTGACATTACCATGTACTGTCAAGGATATAGAGCAAATGGAACTCATATATTTCTGTGAAAATGTGAAATGATAGAGTCGCTTTGGAAAACAGTTTAGCAGTTTATTATAATGTTGAACATACAGCCAGGAGTGGTCATATATATGACCTAGCAATCCCACTCCTGGGTATTGAACCAGCATATTCACTCAGAAGCTTGAAGCTTAATATTTATAGCAGCTTTGTGCATATAGTACCAAAACTAGAAACACCCCAAATGTCCTTCAATGCATGAAGGGATAAATGAACTGTGGTATATCCATAATTGAAGTACCACTCTGAAATAAAAAGGAATAAACGGCAGATGCATGAAACAATACAGATGAATCTCAAATGCATTATGTTCAATGGAAGAAGCCAGGTTCAAAAGGCTACATGCTATATGAGTCTATCAATATGACAATCCTAAAAAGTCAAAACTCTAGAGATAGAAAATGATCAGTGTTTGCCAAGGGCTAGGCATCAGGAAACAATTTTACTACAAAGGGGCATAGGGAATTTTGGGAAGTGCTGGAACTGTTTCTTCTTATCTTGATTATGATGATGATTACAGGTCTATATGCATTTGTCAGAACTTACAGAATTGTTTACTAGAAAGAGTGAATTTTACCATACGCAAAACACTTTAAAACTTAAAAAAAAAAACAAAACAAAACCTGAGAACTATTTTTTCCGTGTGGTTGGAGCTATATCCTCAGGGTAGTTTCCCAGAAGCAGGATGGTTGAGTCAAGGGGTAAATGCACGTATAATTTTGTTAGATAATGTCAAATTCTCCTCCATAGGGGTTGTACTATTTTCTATACCCCACCACCCACCCCAGCAATGCATGAGTTGCCTATTTTCTTACAGCTTCTTTAAGAGAGTATTTATTTTAAGCTTTTGAATTTCTGCCATTCTCATAGATAAGAAACATATCTCTTTGTAGTTTTAATTTTCATTCCTATCACTGTGGGTAAAGTTGAGTATCTTAATAAGGTTCAGGGCTAGTTGTATATCTTTTTCATAAACTGCTTATGTCTTTTGCCTATTTTTTGAATGATTTTGGTTTTTTTCTTCATTATTGGTTCTCTATATATTAGGGATATTTGTTCTTTACCTATAATAATGTAGCGATTTTAACCTACTTTTCCTCATCTTAATTTTTTATCCTCCCAGACCTTTTACGTTTAATACCAAGTAGTGCAAAATTGCCTCTTTTGCCTAAAGGTTTAGAGTTTCATAGCATATAGTGGACCCTTGTTAAATAAAGACCACTTGAATTTTTGTTTCACCAGTGTTCAGCTTTTTTTTTTTTTTTTTTTTTTTTTAGACAGGGTCTCACTCTGTCACTCAGGCTAGAGTACAGTGGCATGATCTCAGCTCACTGCAGCCTCGTCCTCCCAGGCTCAAGCGATCCTCCCACTTCAGCCTCCTGAGTAGCTGGGAGTACAGGCATGTGCCATCACACCTGGCTAAGTTTTGCAATTTTTTGTAGAGATGGGTTTCGTCATGTTGCACAGGCTGGTCTTGAACTCCTGGGCTCAAGCGATCCACCTGCTTCGGCCTCCCAAAGTGCTGGGATTACAGGTGTAAGCCGCCATGCCTGGCCCTCAGTGTTCAGCTTTAAGCAGAGAATTCTTGAGGGACTATCCTTTGACTTTGGGCACAGGTTTTTTGCAGTGCCTCAGTAAGGAGAAATGGTGGTTTTTCCTGATTTTGTTCTGCTTAGTGCAAACACTTGAGTAATTAATAAGTGGTAATCTGCTTAGGGATTTTTCAGAAAGAATCCTAATAATTTGTGAGAAGCTCCTTGGCATAATTTTGTGCTTTTTTAGGATAGGGTTCTGGCCACAGTATTCTTATATGCTCAAAGGTTTAGAAAATTCTTTATGCTTTTGCTAATTCTAGTCACTTAAAATTATAGGCCTTCCAGTTTGTTGGTGTTTCTGTGGTGTTTAGTCTAGCTGCATAAAAGCTCATATCCAAATGAATTCTACCCTTCTTTTCTCTGAATTTTGGGAAGCAACATAGTTCTGAAATGCACACTGGTGAAAAATGTTTGCCAGACATTTCCTGGCTTATAGACATAATATGGGCTGTCAAAATTGATCCTCTGAATGCAAAGTCAGTGCTCCTTCAGCTAATCATTTGTTGTCTTCTCTTTGCAGAAAAATGCCTGGTACATTTTAATGACTTGAGATCTAAGTAATGCTCAGAAATGGGCACCAAGTCCCTGCATTCATTTACCGATACGGAGAAACTATTTTGTACTCAAATAATTAGTGAGAAAGATATCTAAATTCCTTGCAAATCTCTGTCAAACTCTTTTTGGATGATCCATCTACTTTGAAAGCCTTCTTAAGAGAAAAATAAATGCCGTGTAGGTGTATGAGGGAGAGAGTGTGTGTGTCTGTGTATTTGTGTATCTTCTGGTGCAGCTGTGGGAACAATAGGGCTGGAGTGTACTAATGCATTTCTATTTTAATGTGCTGTCTTTATCAGCAGTAGAGGTAAATCTGTCATAGTATATCGCTCCTCTTCTTGAGCAGAGGGAGGCAAGCAATCTTTTCTTATAGTGTATTCCCCTTTTCTAAGGGTATGCTTACCCAGCAGTAAAGCTGGTAGAGTTATCATATTTTTACCTGCAGATAATTTTTCTTTCCTGCCTTCCTTCACTAGTGAGTCTTTTAAAATAGTAGAAAATATTTATGAACTCTGAATCCTTTTGGGGGAAGGGTTAGAAAAATATTAAATGAATATATCTGTTAAAACTTGAATGGCATCATGCATTTTAAAAATCAAAATATCCTTTTTTTAATATGTAAAGGCGTTTTCCTCATGTGCCATGAGAGGAACTTAACCATTTACTTTTCCGTTCTTAGAGACTTTCTTTTACCTGAACTAAGATGTACTAGAGAAGAAGAAAAAGATATCCTAAAAGTCACATCCTGGCGTTTTGTAAAAATTTTTGTAATCAGAAATGTTGATGTTTCTTTTCACCTCATCATCTAATATTCCCATATCTATGCTAAATCTGTATATCTTCTGTAGTAAATATTATCTGTGGGGCTCATAATATTTTTTCAGGGGGCCTTTGATTAATCCCATTTTAAAGTTTATATTTATTTTGTAACATCCTCTATTTTCAGACTCTTTTTTGTCATCTATACATTGGTCCCATGTGTTAGGTGCCATATTTATAGAATATAAATGCTATTTAACAACAAATATATTCCACAAACAAAAACTAGGAACTATTGCTTTGATTGAAGCTGTTAATTGGTATTATAAAAATGTAAGAATCATGTATTGAAACGAACAGATTAGCCATATGTATTGGTATCTAGTGGATACCAAACGTGGATGCCAGTAGGATCCATTAGATACCAATTCATGTGCCTAATCTATCAATGATCTCTAATTGTGAATGTGTATTTATAGAAGAATGTAATAGTTGCTTCCATTATATCTACCTCTGGATACTGAAGTTCAGGCATCCTCAAATTCTTTTACTAGCTCGTTATTTATCCGTTATTAAAAAATGTATCCTAGTTCTCTTAGTTTATGTAATATTATAATATGCTCTGAGGCACAGATATCTTAGTTATAGAATGTAAAATCTTACCTACTATTTGATCCTCTGGAAAAAGGTTTGAACTGGCAAAAGGCACTAATGCTCTCCATTCAGAAACTATTAGGGAATTAGGCAGCTGCTGTCCTTGGTGATGAAACTATTTCACGTGAATTCTTAAGGAAAACAACTAGTTAAAAAAGCAGGATAATCTTGAATATACTATTTGTGGCTACTATTTGTATCTTCATAGATGTATTTGAACTTCTAGAAAAATACAGACTCCAGTATCTTAAAGTCTTGAGTTCCTGACTGCCAGGCAGAGGAAATGTTTAACTATTCTAATCATGTTTCTGTATCTCAGAAAGAAAGCCCTTATGAGAGGAAATGACAACGTCCTACCACAAAGTTATCTCTTATCAGTTATAGTTGCAGTCGATAATGATTTGTCAAATTTGGACATGTGTAAAATGCAAGGGCTGTGTTATTTTCTTTGGAAAGGAAAAATTAGATGAAGCTGATAAAGAAGGAGTCATGGCTTTTGTTAGGAGACAGAAACCATTAGAAAGTTATTGTTAGCTTAGGAAAGTGTCCTTGGACCCCTCCCTCTGCCCCAGCTGAAACCTAAACCTGCTTGAATCATTCTTTGCAACTTGAGGGGAGACAGGGTCAAAGAAAAGGAAGAAGTATGAATATAGCTTTGACAGAGAGTTAGTATTTTAAATGGAGATCAAGATGTGGACCTTAAAACAACCCATTTCTGTGAGTAGGGAAAAACTACATTTTCTTCTGATACTCTTCCCCACCCCTTTTTATTTAGATTTTTGAAAGTTCACTTCTTATTCTTCCAAACCTGTAGCATTCCTTCACATCCAATGTATGTTGCTCTTCTCCTTTTGCCTTTCTGTAGTTGTGATTTTTTTTCATTAGTGGCAGCAGAGAAAACACATCTCGCACTAAGCAACATGAGTCAGTGCATACTTTACATAGCTTTATCCTCACAGCACTCTTCTTGGTTCCTCACAGTGTTCATTCCTAGTGTTCTTCACAGAGGGGAGCATAGAGGAAAAATGATTTCTAAATATTAGGCTATTTTGGGAGTAGAGGTAAAGGTTGTGAACGGAAGCCCCATTTTACTCCCTTCTCTTTTTGTCTAGATTTCTGTGTACTGCTTTCAAAGCAGGCAGTCTTATGCTTAGGAAGACTTAACTGGATGGTGGTTCCAGTGGCTAAGAAATAAGAGACAATACTTACAAGTGAGAGCACTTTAGCCAGTTTGAAGCTGATAGAATGATGTCACAACAGCCTCAGAGAGAATAGATTTGGTTGTAAATATTCGTTGGAGATGACAAAAAGTGGCCTTTGTCTCCTTTCTAAATATATCCATTTTTTTAAATAGTATGCCCAGATAAACCAGTCTTAGCCCATTAGTAACAAAACGTCTTTGTTATGTGGCTGTGTTAGCTTATTTATCACAGATTTCTAGGGAAATTCTCCCTTAATTTAGATGTTCATTCTACAAGGATGGGTCTGACATATAAAAGGGCTAAGGCCTTGTCTGAGGAATGGCTACAAGCAGTTTCCTTTTGAGTGAAACTATGGTTCTGAGATGAAGTTAAACAAAATAAGCTACATGAAGAAGAACATATAAACAAAATTATGATTGAATTTGCTACTCAAAATTATGTAAGAAAAATTCTTTAAACTTTTTGTAAATATGTAACAAAGAATTTAAAAATCATTAATTCTAAATAAAAGAAAAACGTGTCATTTCCTATACAGATCAAACTTTTAAATATTTTTTTCATATGCATGTGTAGTTTTTATATAGTTTAAATACTATTGTGAATATCATGTTTGATGTTTTAAAATTTTTCTTCTTTTGAGAATGTGTTTTGCTTAGCTGTAGGCTCTGGTTTTTTGGCAAGATAAAAGAAATTTTCCTCATATTTTGGCAAGATAAAATAGACTCTGGTTTTCTGTCAAGATAAAATAAATTTCCTTTGGGTCTCTACTTTGCAGTCCGAAAGAGGAGACTGTAAAGATGTTTTAGTGTTGTGATCATTTCAAATAAGGGTGCCTAAAATGATCACCTGTGGACTCTTTGTGTTATTAAGATGAAAATGAGTGTCCATTTGCACTCATACAATTTTTATATGCTATTTAATCCTATTGTTTTTAAACTGCATGCTGCACATCTCTCCATATTTTTTTTCAGTAATTTGCAATGCTCATTACCTCTTCTTAAACTTTTTTTTTTTTTTAAAGTAAAGTTATTCTTGGACCATGGTATAGGATATTGACCATCTTACTATCAGTTTTTAGATTCACTTAAAAGTTTGTTGTGTGCTTACAGAGTATACAGTGCTATCAAGGAACTTAAATATAGAGATTTAATCTTTGCTCTCATGGGTGCGAAGCAGATGAACAGAATAGTCAATAAGTTTGAACCCATAAATATAAAGGTGTGATGGTTCCAGAAGGAAAACAACATAGGTGTTGTGCTGTTGAATTTTAGAATTAGTAGATTTCATTAAGAAAAGTATCTTGGTAAAGAAGCTATGCCCCAAAAGAAGAAATGAGGTTTACTTTATGAAATAAGGGAAAATGACCTTGTAATTATGAATCAGCCCTACCCAATTTAGATGTGCCTACTGCTTATATTCTGATGAATTATATAGTTACCAGTGTTATAGTAAAAACTGGTAGGTCTTTATTTTGAATGTTTCTTTATGTAATTTTTTCATTTTCTTTTTATTTTGTTTTGTTCAACATTTAGTTTCAATATTTCCTTTTATTATTAAATCCCTATAAATCAGCTGATTTTTTTTTCAACTTAGGTAGTCGAGACCAAATTATGAATTACTCTTGTCAGATCACATAGCAAATCAATTTTGGCATTGAAACTAGACTCCAGTTCTTACCTGATGTTTTTTTCTTTTACTTTCTCTTTTGATGTCTAGGTTTAATTAACATACACTATTCACATTAAAATACGTTGGTATTACTTCTTGGTTTGACTTTTCCATTCTTTGTCTTATTTTTCACATAATCTCCCCTCTTTTCATAGCATATTTCTGTATTTTGATTGCATGTTGACTTAAGTATTGACGAATTCTTGTGTTCTTCAGAAGTTGGCTGGCAGGCCGTGATTCATATTGTGTGGCAAGTTTTGTTTTTGACTACTAAAACTTAGTTTTTTATGTACACTATCATGTCTTTTAGAAATCAAAGTCGTCATGAAAGGTGTATTCTCACATTGTTCTTATTTTCCCTTTAGAGTCCCATGGTCAAAGATATATCTCTAAAGGCAAATGCAGGATTGGTGCCACCTGTTTCTCTTTGCTACCCATCCTTGTGGGCTTTGTGCCAGCCTTGGTGTATATCTTCACGGTTTATTAATTCTATGGCTAAAACATAAGAACTAGGTCTTTGGAAACCTATTTTTTTGTTTGTTTTGTATTTCTCACTTACAAGCTAGAACTGGCCTTTATAAAAAGAACCAAACACTTGAGTAGTAACAATTAATGTAGTTGCTTTTAATAGCTTTGTTTGAATTTTTTTGTTATAATCTTGTGTTTGCAGGTACCTGGGGCCCAAGATTTGGTGGATTTCTCTCCAGTTTATCGATGTCTACATATATATTCTGTCCTGGTGAGTCTTTATCTGGCTCTGCCTAATAAAGATGTCCATTGAGTTCAAAACTTTGCTCTCTCAACTTTTGGTAGTTTTTCTGTTTATTATTAAGAGTGAAAAATGAGAAAACTCTTGTTGTTTAAGGACTGTTAATTATAAAAAACAATTTTGAATCTCATGTTTTTATGTAATATGCTATGGCTAGTGACATTTCTTAGTCATCAATAAATCAGTAGCTTATGACTAGAAATAGTCATACATCCAGATTTCTGTTTTTAGTTTAATAATGTAGTTATTTAAATAACAATATTCTGTCTTTACACATTAAAATAGTATTTGTGAAAATGTTTACTTTTTTATTCCTAATGACAATTACTCCTTTTGTCATATAAAGCATATGGAAAAGGGAACCTCTCTGTGTGGGGGATATTATAGATGTTAATAATATTCTAAGAAATGATCCCTTTCTCCATTTTGGTAGTACACTCACATGCAGACACATAGATACACAGAAAGTAAGTCAAAAATTAAACTCTAGCAACCAAGACAAATTGGTGAGAGAAGCCTATTATCGATTTTTTTTACAGAAACTTTCAGTGATGCTTATATCAGGTTGTTTTTAATATGTTCAAGTATGTCTTATTGCCCAGTCTCTTATCAATTTTTATTTGTGTATATATATATCTTTTTTTTTTCTTTTTGAGACAGAGTTTTGCTCTTGTTGCCTAGGCTGGAGTGCAATGGCATGATCTTGGCTCACCACAACCTCCGCCTCCCGGGTTCAAGCGATTCTCCTGCCTCAGCCTCTCGAGTAGCTGGGATTACAGGCATGTGCCACCACGCTCAGCTAATTTTGTGTTTTTAGTAGAGATGGGGTTTTTCTATGTTGGTCAGGCTGGTCTTGAACTCCTGACCTCAGGTCATCCACCGTCTGGGTCTCCTAAAGTGCTGGGATTACAGGCGTGAGCCACCGTGCCTGGTCTCTCTTTGTTCACATATTTAACATAGTACCACTTTGTCATTACTCCTGACAATTTGGGATACTGAGCTATGGACTTTATGGTCTGAAATATTTTGTGGTAGTTTTATTGGTTAGATTAAAAATCAGGTAGTTTCCTCTTCTCTCCCTCTCTTGCCCACTTCTTCATCTTCCTCTTTTCTTCTCTCTTTCTCCTCTGTCTTCCCTCCCTTTACACTCCCTCTCTCTCAATCTACAATTCCTTGCTGTTTTTTTTTAAATAGGTGGTTAAAATAGTGAATACTAAAAATAATGTGTAGCCTTATAATGTGATTTTTGTATTTACATTTGAATATAAGTATGTCTCACAGGTTTAAATGTCCATACTAGAATCATGTAACAGTGGAGAGGCATTAGAATTGAATTTAATATTGCAGTAGCAGCAATTTCTCAGAAGACATTCTTTTTTTTTTTTGGTTTTATAAAGAAGCTCTGAATATCTTACTACTAAAGTAACATATACTCATTTAGAAATTTTAAAGTTACAAAAATGAAATAAAACATAATACATGAAAATAAAATTATAATTGCCTACGATTTCACACCTAGAGCCCACCATTATTTATGTTCTGTGTATTTTCGGACACTTTTAACAAAAATAAAATTAATATTGTCTGATATATGTACAATTCTTTTTTTAAAAAAAATTTAGGTTTGGGGATACATGTGAAGGTTTGTTACATAGGTAAACTCATGTCACGGGGGTTTGTTGTATAGATTATTTCATTACCCAGCAATTAAGCCCAGTACCCAAAAATTATCTTTTCTGCTTCTCTCTCTCCTCCCATCCTCCACCCTCCACCCTCAAGTAGACCTTACTGTCTATTGTTTCCTTCTTTGTGTTCATAAGTTCTTGTCATTTAGCCCCCACTTATAAGTGAGAACATGGGATATTTGTTTTTCTGTTCCTGCATTAGTTTGCTGAGGATAACAGTCTCCTGCTCCATCCATGTTCCTGCAAAAGACATGATCTCATTCTTTTTTATGGCTGCACATGTACCATTCATGTTATATAAAGGTGAAGCCAAATGTAGATTGAATTGTATCAAGGCATCTAAAACAATTTGACAATCTTTTTCAATCACAGGTATAGATAAGAAATCATATACATCTTAGACTGTGACACTCTATTATCAGTTCATAAAGGCCCCCCCCCCCCCCCGGATTTTATTTTGTTTCATTATATTTTTTTCCATTCATTCATTGTTTACAAGCCCAGTTGTCTCTCATCTCCAAGAATAATAACACTAATATATGTAATATATGGTCATAGATGTGTAAATATCCTTGAAAAATATATAGTGATTTGTATATGTATGTGCTTTTAATTTACTCAGATGATGTTGCGCTATGGATCTAGTTTGCATTTCTCTGGTTATTAGTAAAAATTGTGCTTTTCTTTATAGACTAGTGGATCTTTTTAGATTTTTATTCTATAAAGTGCTTATTTTTAACCTTTGTTCATTTTTTTTAATCGGGTTTCTTGTTTTTTTCCCTCCTTTCTGAAAGAGAAATTTCAGAAATTCCTCATATATTGTAGATACTGACAGTTTAGAATGTTTAAAATGTCCTTTTTTCACAATTTGTCACCAGACTCTAAACTATGTCTATGTTATGTTCAATGAAACAGAAATATTTAGTTTCCATGTAATCACATCCATCAATTTTAGCCATATAAGTTTAAACTTTTGAGTTTTTTTTTAAAATACCTCTTTATCCTGCTGTCACAGAGTATTTACTTTATACTACATTTAATATTTTACCATTTAGATTTTCATCTTAACCCATCTTAGGTTCATCATTGTATATAAGGGGACTTTAGGAAGTTCATGGAAAAAAGAAACTAAAACATAAAAATAAAAAATATAAACTTTGTTTTTCAACAGAAGCTCCATCAAGTTTAAGACACTTTTGTAAGCAATTATACTAGCCATTTAGCCCATCTCTAAAGAACTGAGGGTCCTAGAAATTTAACCATGTCAACGTAGTCTTTTGTACATTACTAACTGAAGAAAGATAGTTGCTCTTTAAAGGCTTTTTAAAAATAGGAAACAAAAAGAAGTCAGAAGAAGCTAAATCAGGACTATAAAGTGAATGTCTAATGATTTCCCATTGAAACTCTGGCAAAATTGCCCTCATTTGATAAGGGGAATGAGCAGAAGCATTGCTGTAGTGGAGAAGGACTGTATAGTGAAGCTTTCCCAGGCATAGCTCTTCTAGAGCTTTGGCTAAAAGTCTCATAACAAGCAGGTGTCATTGTTCTTTGGCCTTCCAGAAAGTCAACAAGAAAAATGCCTTTAGCATTTCAAAAATCTGTTGCCTCGACCTTTGCTCTTGACTGGTCTGCTTTTGCTTTGACTGGACTACTTTCATCTTTTAGTAGCCATTGCTTTGATTGTGCCTTGTCTTCAGGATTGTACTGGGAAAGCCATGTTTCTCTTCTGCTATAGTTCTTCAAGGAAACTGTATTAGTCTGTTGTCACACTGCTATAAAGAACACTGCCTGAGGCCGGGTGCAGTGGCTCATGCCTGTAATCCCAGCAGTTTGGGAGGCTGAGACAGGTGGATTGCTTGAGGTCAGGAGTTTGAGACCAGCCTGGCAACATGGTGAAACTCTGTCTCTACTAAAAATACAAAAATTAGCCAGGCGTGGTGCTGGGTGCCTGTAATCCCAGCTACTCAGGAGGCTGAGGCAGGAAAATTGTTTGAATCTGGGATGTGGAGGTTGTAGTGAGCCGAGATCATGCTACTGCACTCCAGCCTGGGCAACAAAGCTGGGGACTCACTCTGTCCCTTGAAAGTTGTGTGGAACTCCAGCAAAAGAAACTAAATTTATAAGAAAAAAACAGACAACCCCATAAAAAGTGGGCAAAGGATATGAACAGACACTTCTGAAAAGAAGACATTTATGCAGCCAACAGACATATGAAAAAATGCTCATCATCACTGGTCATCAGAGAAATGCAAATCAAAACCACAATGAGATACCATCTCACACCAGTTAGAATGGTGATCATTAAAAAGTCAGGAAACAACAGATGCTGGAGAGAATGTGGAGAAATAGGAATGCTTTTACACTGTTGGTGGAAGTGTAAATTAGTTCAACCATTGGGGAAGACAGTGTGGCAATTCCTTAAGGATCTAGAACTAGAAATACCATTTGACCCAGCCATCCCATTACTGGGTATATACCCAAAGGATTATAAATCATGCTACTATAAAGACATATGCACAAGTATGTTTATTGTGGCACTGTTCACAATAGCAAAAACTTGGAAACAACCCAAATGTCCATCAATGATAGACTGGGTTAAGAAAATGTGGCACATATACACCATGGAATACTATGCAGCCATAAAAAAGCATGAGTTCATGTCCTTTGCAGGGACATGGATGAAGCTGGAAACTGTCATTCTAAGCAAACTATCACAAGGACAGAAAACCAAACACCACATGTTCTCACTCATAGGTGGGAGTTGAACAATGAGAACACATGGACACAGGGCGGGGAACATCACACACTGGGGCCTGTCAGGGGTTGGGGGTCTGGGGGAGGGATAGCATTAGGAGAAATACCTAATGTAAATGACGAGTTGATGGGTGCAGCAAACCAACATGGCACGTGTATAGCTATGTAACAAACCTGCATGTTGTGCACATGTACCCTGGAACTTAGAGTATAATAAAAAAATAAAAAATAAAAACAAAGAAAGTTGTGTAGAACTTACATATGCAATGTGAACTCACTCAAGAAAAGAACACTACCTGAGACTGGGTAATTATAAAGAAAAGAGGTTTAATTGACTCACAGTGCTGCAGGCCTAACAGGAAGCATGGCTAGGCAGCCTCAGGAAACTTATAATTGTGGTGAAAGGTGAAGGGGAAGCAGGCAACTTCTTCACAAGGTGGCAGGAAAGAGAATGAATGTGAGGACAGGAAAAATTGCCATTTTAAAACCATCAGATCTTGTGAGACTCACTCACTATCATGAGAACAGCATGGGGGAAACTGCCCCCATAATCTAATCACTTCCCTCCCTTGACACATAGGGATTACAATTTGAGGTGAGATTTGGTTGGGGACACAGAGCCAAACCATATCATAAATGGTTCAGGATCTTGATCCCCCACTTTTTAAAAATTTCCATTGAAAGTTCTCTGCTCTTTTCTGCAGCGGATCTGAGTGCAGTGGTTTTGCATTGAGTGGAAAGTCTGCTTGACTTCCATTTTTCAGGGAGAATTGTGTAATCTAAAGCTATTGAGATGTCTATGGTGTTGGCTATTGTTTGTACTGTTAATTATCAGTCCTCTTTAATTAGGGCACAAACAAGATTGTTTTCTCAAAAATTGATGTGAATGGTCTGTCACTGCAGGCTTCATTTTCAAAATTGTCTCATCCCTTCTTAAAACAAATATCCACTTATAAGCTGCTGATTTCTTTGGGGCATTGTCTTTATAAACTTTTTGTAAAGCTTCAATGATTTCACCATTCTTCTACCCAAGTTTTACCATAAATTTGATATTTGTGCTTGCTTCAATTTTAGCAGAATTCATGTTGCTCCAATAGAGGCTCTTTTCAAATTGATGTCTTATACTTTTTAGTGCCTCAAACTAGATCCTGTTCAGACATATTATAACAAGTTAGTACAAGCTTATTTTGGTGTAAAATATTTTGAAATTCCTGCATAGTGTTTTTATAATATGCATTTTCCATGAACTTTTTAAGACCTCTTGTATAATATGAGGCTTTATTTTTTTCCATATGATGAATTCAGTTTTATCAATTCCATCTACTACATAATCTGTATGTCACTTAGTGATTTCTGGTAGTACCTCTGGCATATACTAAATTTCAATATTTACATTGTTCTGTTTCTGAGCTCATTTTTTGTTATATTTTATAATATATCAAAATATAGATGGTATAAAATAAGTCCCTTCTCATGTCTCTTCTTTAAAATTGCATTAGCTATTTATAGATCTTTATTTTTCCATATATATGTTATAGTAAGTTTGAGATTATTCAAAAAGTCCTTCTAGAATTTTGATTTGAATTGATTGAATTTGTAGTTACATTTTGGAAGAATTAACAGTTTCATAATGCTAAGTCATCCCAGTCATGGAAGAGGAAGATCTTTTAAATTATTTAATTGAGCTTTCCCCCAACCTCATGTTAATAGTTTTGGGCATTCTTTGTTAGATAAATAGCAAAATACTTAGTTTTTGTTGTGGTTTTCTACTTTATTTTCTAATTAGTTATTGCTGATATTGAGGAAAACTATTGATTTTTATAGGTTGATCTCACATCTAGAAACCTTGCTCAACTCTTTTATTGGTTCTAATAGTCATTTGGGTTCCTAAGTTTTCTGTGTAGTCAATCATATTGTCTGTAGATAGTGACTTTTTTTTCCTATATCTCATTATTCTTTTTATTGTCTTACTGTATTGACTGGAATCATCATTGCTTTGTTGTTCAGTAAGGTGATAGTAAGACTCTTTGTCTGATTTCTAATCTTAAAGAGAATATATCTGACTTTTTTCATTGATTAATCATTATATAGCTTTTTGGTAAATAATTTTTATTTAGTTATTCCTAGACTCTTGATAATCTTTTAAGAAAACATAAATGTCTGTTGAATTTTATTGAATTAGTTTTCTATACATATTAATATATTTATTCTTTAGTTTATGAATATGGTGAATTTCATTGATAGATTTTTTTTGATATTAATATCCTTGTGTTTATTAGATAAACTCAATTTGATGAGCATGTGTTACTACTTTTATAACATCCTGTAGAATTTAACTCCTTTTTGTTGTTGCTTTATTTTTTATTTTTGTGTTTGTGGTTTGGCCATATGTAATACAGCCCTGAAATTTTCATTTTTGGTGTGTTGTCCTTAGATGATTTGTAAGTCAGTGTTGTTTTAGCCTCATTAAAATTAGTTGGACATCTCCCCCTTTTTTCTATTTTATGAAACAACTTATATAAGAGTTATCTGTTCCTTGAAAGTTGTGTAGAACTCACACATGCAATAATATGCATTTTTCCTTTGCCACACACTGACTCCTTTCTTCCTTAACATTTTGTTTCTGTGCTTCATTATTTTGTTTACTCTCTTCAATCGTATGTTTGGATAAGGGAGTTCACAGTTGTAATTAAGCCAATAGTCTATAGAAAAATAATCATGTTTATTCACATCAAGTTTTAAGGTTAAGAGTAAGCCTCATAATTAAAAATTTAATGAATTTTTTTCCCTCAAATAACATAAGGTCTGTGAAATGGCTAGTTTATTTTGTTTAATGTTATATCCGCCAGTACCAACATTACTTGGCATGTGGTAAGTACTCAGTAAATATTATTAAATAGTTGAATGAATAAATAAGTGGTAACTAAAGAATCTAGTACATTTGTTTGAACATATGTTAACTCAAATCTTATTATTTGTTTCCTTGTTTAAAAAAACACTTACTGAATTTCTCTTCTTCATGAAATCAATTTGGAGAAGCAAGGATGTATAAAAGTTAATGCCTTATGCTTTAATATGATTACATTACACCAGGAGAGAAGTTACATTCTTTGAATGATTATAGTATGACCGCATTGTATCTCATCACTGTGTGTATGCTAGTTTTTATAAGCTATTAAGATTTTAATGGCCGGGCGCGGTGGCTCACGCCTGTAATCCCAGCACTTTGGGAGGCCGAGGCGGGCGGATCACTAGGTCAGGAGATCGAGACCATGGTGAAACCCCATCTCTACTAAAAATACAAAAAAAAAATTAGCCGGGCGTGGTGGCGGGCGCCTGTAGTCCCAGCTACTCGTGAGGCTGAGGCAGGAGAATGGCGTGAACCCGGGAGGCGGAGCTTGCAGTGAGCCGAGATCGCGCCACTGCACTCCAGCCTGGGGGACAGAGCGAGACTCCGTCTCAAAAAAAAAAAAAGATTTTATTATGTTTGCCAGGTGCGGTGGCTCACGCCTGTAATCCTAGCACTTTAGGAGGCCGAGGCAGGTGGATCACAAGGTCAAGAGATCGAGACCATCCTGGCCAACATGGTGAAACCCTGTCTCTACTAAAAATACAAAAATTAGCTGGGTGTGGTGGCACACACCTGTAATCCCAACTACTTGGGAGGCTGAGGCAGGAGAATCGCTTGAACCCGGGATGCGGAGGTTGCAGTGAGCCGAGATCGCGCCACTGCACTGCAGCCTGGGTGACAGAGCGAGACTCCGGATTTTATGATATTAAAATATGACAGATTTTGCTCAAGTGAACTCCAGTGGTGACTCATGAGTATTGAAATAATTTAATCACACATTTACTAGTTGTATGTTGTTAGGCTACCTTTCTCATACATGAAATAGGATAATAATTACCTACATAGTACAATTAATAAATTGAATAAATAGTGCCTAACTCAGTCACTTGCATGCATAATTGTCATTTAATAAATGGCAGTTATCCAAGATCGCGCCATTGCACTTCAGCCTGGGCAACAGGGTGAGACTCCGTCTCAAAAAAAAAAAAAAAAATAAAAAAAAAATAAATGGCAGTTATCTCGTAATTGTTATGTATCTCTGATGCTAATGGTTAGACACAGTATTGGTATTTTTAAAAGTGTTTGGCATAAACTATAGACATGTAGATAGGGGTTCTGGTCTCTGTCGTCAATATACAAATTTTTAAAAATTTACATATTCTTAATTGTACGATGACCATATGTAGTCCTAAGCTATGTAGAAACTAAGGCATACTGGTTATTATTTAGAGATGATAAAGCTCTAGAAAAGCAGGAAGACCTTAAACTGCCCATTTAAAAGTAAATTATACACAGTAATATTCCCTACTGTTGAAGTATTTTATATTCATAAATTTTCTATAGCAATTAATAAGGCATTGATTATATGGCAGAAACAGGTCTCTTCTCCCATTCACAGTAGTTCCTAGTTTTGAAAAGGTACAGTTAGTGGTAGAAACTCAGTTCTATTTTCTGGAGAATGTATGTTTATTTTCTGGACATTGATTTTCTAGGTCTATAGGGACTTTAAATAAATACTCAGATATCTCCATTAGAAAAGGAAGGACCAAAGCATGTATAACTTCTAGTGCTGACTCTTCATAGCCTTTTTGGGGCTGTAATTTGTTACCTCTCTTTCTTTGTTATCCCATTCTCAAGTCACAAATTGGCATTACTGCATGGTAAAGGATAGTTCCTCATAATATTAATTACAAAGACTTTTAAAAAATGGATTACTTAATATAAATGTTTGTAATTTTTTTTTCTTATTTTGTAATATAATTAATATTACTGTTGGAACTTAAGAAAAAGGATTTAGGAATAGAGAAACGGGGATTGAGGAGAAAATAAACCATATCTCTCGCATTCCTTTACATTCTAATGCTTGTCTCTACTTCTTCCCTTTTCATTCTCTCATCAACCCTGTATATTTATCTTCTGTTCTTAGCACTATCCTGAAACTGTATTTTCCTGGACCTTTTGGCTCCAACTTTGTTGATCATTTTTGCCTTATAATTCTTAATCTCTGTCTTCTTTTACAGTATGTTTTTCTAATTCTCTACCAGCCTTTCTGATACTTGTTGCCTGTTTTGGTCTTTGTGAGCTTTTCTTCTTCTTAGTGTCCTTCATTGTTCCCAGGGTTTTACCCTTGTCCCACTTTTCTTTGTGTCTTGCCTTTCTTGAATGATATACTCTATTCTCATGATTTGGAACCCTAATGACTTCCAAACCTATATCTTTAGTCCTCAGCTTTCCCTTGAGCTTTGGACTTATATGTATTGCCTAGTGAACAGAACCTTTCGGATATTCACAGGCAGCATAAACTCTGTATCTCCCTGTGTTTTAAAATGAAGGCATTATGTCTTGCCCCTCCTGCCCATCTGCATTTTTAGTTATGTCAGATAATAGTATCATCTATGTAGTCACCAGCCAGAAACATAAACTCTTGGGTTTTTCTGAATACCATCCAATCTCCAAATGTTATTTCCTAAATACAGTTTTACTCCATCTCATCTTTTCCTATCCTAAAATTATTGCCCTAGTTCAGATTCTCATCAGAATTATTGAAAATCGTCTCCTTATCTGGTCTCCCTACCATTATCTTAAGCCCTTAACTCAGTTCTCATTATAGTCATAATAATCTATTCAACATACAAATCTGATATATATGTTAGCTGCTTACAATTCTGTGATTGGTTATCTGTGGAGTAAAATGTAGAAGTATAGAATACAATATAGTATATAAAAGTATAGACGGTCTTCCATGTCTTATCATCCATATTTTCTTACTTTACTTTAATGATACTAAAATGCTTCCAGTTCTTTGAATGTATGCCTCTCATTCTTTCCCTTCTACCTGAATTACTATTCTCATTTATCTTACTAGTTCTTATTTATTTAAATTTTTTTATTTTTATTTTTTGAGACAGCGTCTCACTCTGTCGCCCAGGTTGGAGTGCAGTGGCGCGATCTTGGCTCACTGCAAGCTCCGCCTCCCGGGTTCACACACTTATTTATTTTTTACTTGTGTCATCCAGCAGTTTTTTCTAATGTTTCAGCTTGAACTCAGTGGACCCCCTACTCCTTCACATAGGATTCAGTGTATATTTATATTACTGCTTAACTTTATTATATCATCATATTCTAAATATGTTGTTTTTCCTCAATAGATTGTAAGCTCTTTTAGGGCAGGTATTATATTTATTCACCTCTTTTTAGTCCCAGTACTTAGCACTTAGTATTAGTAGTATGTAATAATCAGTAAATGTTTGTTTTTGATTTTGAACGATAATTACTCTCCTTTTGACCTGCAGATGAATTCAGTATTCTAGTCACGGGGACTGTTACACAATATCAGGGCTGGGACCTATATGAGGGAAAACAGTTCTATTGGTGTCCAACGGAAGGATCATAACATAAGTAACAAAAAGTTCTAATATTTTGTCATTTACAATAGTGTTTATCTGAACTTTTGGCCTGGAGGATAACAAGGCACTCTTTGAATAAACATGGCAATATTTATTATTTTTAGTGAAACCGACCTTCCACTCACCCCCCTTTTATGGCTTTGCTGCTTATAAATTCCCAAAGGATTATTTGAAAAATCCTACTTATATCTGCCAGCCTTATCAGTAGGTCAGGAGTTCATGTATTGTAACAGGAGGTCAGATTTCGGTCATGGTCTTATAGATGGGGCCAAGCACCTGCAAATTCTTCCTTTGGTGACTAAAGTGAAGTACAATATCAAACAGGCAGTGAGACTTTTCTAGGAAGTGCTGAACTTTGGCAGGAAGGGCAAACTTTGGCAGGGGGAGGGGAGGGAAGAAAGTGAACAAGGGTCAGATAGTGGTTAATTGAGACATGGTCTTTGATAAAATAATGCAGTGGGAGTGTGCAGGGCAAAGGTAGAAGTATTTTATGGAATCATTTAAAAAATTTTATATGGTTTAAATCTTCACATTCACGTACAGTTTAGATTTGGGCAGGTAAGGGGCAGGATATAAAATATCATTTTATAGTAATTGAAAAATATGTTTTTAAAAGGGAAAACTAAAAATTTTACTGTTAAGCAAATGATGAATAATAATAATTTGAGGTTCTTGTATGTAGTGAACTGGTAGTTATAAAGACGGGTGGGCTATGTGTCTGATGAAGACAAACTATTCTGTCTTGTAGATATTTATGAACTTTATTGATTCAGTCGGCCCTAATCCTCAAACCCAGCTCAATTTGGACAAAGATCTGCATGTACTTTAAGCTCCTTTATACAATGAAACATCTTTCTGAATCTGCTTTCAGTTCACTCCTCACCCTTCTATCACTGGAAGGGTGTATGTACATCCCATAACAAGTAGCTTAGGTGTCATTAGGAGAGACTAGAGGGGCAAACCTATAAATGTATCCATAAGCTTAGTTTGTGAGTCTTGTATGTGATCTTCTTGTGGTTTCTTGATCTCAGCTATGTACATCATCTTCTCATGAGCAGTTTAAATTCCTAGATTTAAAAAATGTTGACAAAATGTTCACCTTTGATTAATGTTCTTTTCTGCGTATGTGTTATACTATAATAAAAAGTTTAAAGATTTCTGACATCTTGGGTCCAGCGATAGCAATTAAAATACATGGACATTTTTAGCAATCCCCCAGTATTATATGAATCATAAGAACTTCATTTTTATTGAATTCTGCTCCATTCACTACAGGAGACTATAAAATACCCTAAGATATAAGGGAATTGAGAATATCATTGTGCAGTGAATTCATTATTACAAAGGCTCTATCAAGTACAGTATTTCTCTTAAATTTTCTTAATCAAGGGGCCTCTGAGATTTTACAAAAGCTCTGAATGCTTTCACCAGGCAAAATGCACATATGTGCATGCATGTGACATTTGGCTTAAAATTTCAGAGGCTTCGCCAATTCCCTGAATCTCATCCATAGACCCAGAAAGAATCCCTCCTCTAAAGGGAAGTACAGAGTTAGGTTTCAGGTATCTATTGACTACAGACCTTTGCCCCAGAATGGCTTTCCCCAATTCCATTTGAGTATCTCCTTGTATAAGCCTCATAAGAACTCTCTACCACCTTGTCTTTTTCTTAAATTTGGAAGCCTTGCCAAAATCTAAATCTAAAAGCATATTTCAAAGTGACCTTATTTCTGTGTCATAAATCTTTATTCCCTGAGCAGCCATTATGCATGGCAAGCTGATGACCTGTTTTTCTGTTAGGGGTAAGTTAGCCTCACCAGTTAAACTAATAGTTTTGTCTCCTGAATTCTTCTGCTTAAAGGGATGCAGAGCAGAGATTTAGAAACAATTATGAGAAGTGTTATTAATTGATCTCCCTGAGCATAGTAATTGTGTTACATTTCAGAATATGTTTCTACTAATTTGCTTTTAATATATTTTTTGAGGACTTGGCTATAATTAGAAGAAGTGAATCAGCAGCAGAGCTAGAATTTACTCATAATCTCTCTCTCTCTCTCTTTTTTTTGGAGATGGAGTCTCGCTCTGTCGCCCAGGCTGGAGTGCAATGGCGCCATCTTGGCTCACTCTGCCTCCTGATTTCAAGCGATTCTCCTGCCTCAGCCTCCCTAGTAGCTAGAATTACAGGCACGTGCCACCACGTCTGGCTAGTTTTTGTATATTTAGTAGAGATGGGGTTTTGCCATGCTGGCCAGGCTGGTCTCCAACTCTTGATTTCAGGTGATCCGCCCACCTCGGCCTCCCAAAGTGCTGGGATTACAGATGAGAGCCACCATGCCTGGCCATAATCTCTTTATAGTCCCTTATGGCCATTGCAGGGATATAGGGTAGAATGGTGTAAGATGGTCAATAATCTTCCTAGAACATGGTTCTCCCACTCTAATCTGAAGATTTCTACTGGTATAGTCTATACTGGAAGCTGGGAGAAACTACGGAAACCATAGTCATGTAACCAAAGATAATAGCAAGGAAAGGATTAGGAGAGTGGAAAAAGGAACAGACAGACATAAGCAGTTCTAAGTGATATGTTTCCTGAGGTGTTAAGATAATTTCTTAATGAAATTGTTTAAAGAACTTTAGTTGCTATTGAACATTACAGTAAAGCACTTGGGAAATAAATAACTCAAGAGTCTAAAATGCTACTGAAGTTTTCATTAAAAATCATTAGTTTTAATATTCTCAAAGTTAGACTTAAGATACTTTTGTAGTAGTATTTGAAGGGTTGTTGTTTATATATATTAACATAATAGCATCTTGGATTTTATATAACACTTTGCTGTGCAATTTCATAGTGCTTCATAAACTTGACTACATTAAATAAATGATGTGGTAAATATGGGGAAAACACCTCGTTATGTAGAGACTACCTCACTCTGAATTGTGTTATGAAATAGTTCCTTTTTGGCACCAGAGTGAAGATTTTAGGGTTCTTGTTCTTGCATTTTTACCAGAAGCACTGTTGCTATTTAATAACAAACAAATTTAGTGTAATTATTTAATAACCCATAAATTTAGTGTTAAGAATTGGAACATACACTTAAAGTTAATCTGAAGGATTGGGTGTATTTTCGATAGTCGATTTGATTTTTTTTTAAATGAAATACTTCAAAAAATGTAGTCAAACATTTTTGGTATATCTTGATATGAAGAAAATTGATTGGCAAATGAAAAAAAGATACACATCAGCCTCATATCATTTTTGCCAGTGCATCTCACCAACCATTGATCTGGCAGTGAAAGGTAATAAACAAATAGATCTGTTACTGGCATTTTAGCTTTTATTAAAATTGATAGTGCTTCCCATAGCCTAGTATTTTTTTAAAGAGGTGTCTTGATTCTATTTTAAATCTTGGAAATTTTAAAAATTAATTTTATGTAACTGTAGTAAATATCTGTTATTTGAATTCTCAATTTCTCACAAAGATACTTGAATTAACATCTAAATTGGTTTTTATATAAACACAAGTGGGGTCATTTACTATTCCTTTACTAGAAATTAAGGCAAATGGGAAATGCCTGTAAAAATGCAAAATTCTAGGTGCTTAGGGTTTGTGAATAAGTTTCTTTCTTTGTAAATATTTACAAAGATGACATTACAAAGATAGGGAACCAATACTTTATTTTACCAGTGATGAGAAATGGGAAATGGTGTATTTAGAAGTCTAGCATTGCCAGAGATACAATTTGATGATTCAGATCTTTGTAAAGTCATTTCTGGAGCTGTATTTGTAGGAAACACTAGTATCATCAATTTATCTGTTAAAAAATATAAAAGAGGGCACCCTCTCTTTCAAATGTCATTGAAACTTGGTGTGCTGTATTGCTGTCTTGGGCTTTTTACAGTTAATATTAGTATATTTAAGTATATTCTGAGAAGATCTACCAAAAAAAGAAAAGTTAAACTTTATTGAAGCAAGCACGTCCTAATACACTGAAAGATACAGAGATGGCAAGGACACTTTCTGCTCTCAAAAAGTTTCTAATTTAGTAGATCTAAAGAAAAGCTGCTTTGTAAGAGACCTGATGAGGACTCAGTTTTAAAAAAAATCCGTCATGTTTATTTGAAACATATACGTTTTTCTTGGGAAATAAGAAAAAAAAACATGGAGCTTTTAGTGGAAAAGCTTTCCTGAGAATAGTAATTTGAAATGAATAGGTGTCATTTTCAAATCTTTTGGGATATCATTGGTTTTAGAGAGGAATTCTGATGTTTCTGCCTTGAAATTTAGTTTTAAGAAATTCAGGTGACTGTTTAATGTTTCAGGAGTGGATATTTAGACACTATTCCTCTTGATCTGTCTGTAATTGTTTTATTTTCATTTTAAATGGACTTTATTTTCCATCTCAAAATATTCATCTGCTATTTCACAACATCTAAAACAAATGCAAGTTACACCTTTGAGGACCCAATTTATACTATTGGAAAAGAGCTGGAAGCTTTCTGATTTGTCTCCATGGTAATCTTGAGTATTCCTGAACAATAAGAATGTATTTTAAGTAGTTTCTTTAGAGATATTTTTTAATGTGGAAAGTTTGCCCTGAAATATTTGGTAACTCCTAGTCCGTCTCTGACACTTAACAGGTTGTCTGATCAGTCTCCTGCCATATCTTACTGCCTCCTAGTTTCACTGACCCACTAGTGCCTGGTGAGGTTAGATAGGCATAAACACTACATAGATCTTAGAGAAAAAACTAAGGGTGAGATACTTTGTGCACTGCATTGATAAGGACACAGGAAAAGCCAGTTACAGTGATAACTTTCCTGCACTATGGGCTAATGGGCTCCGGTTTGTAGTAGCTGTGATCTAACATTTCATAATTGTCATATTGCTCTTTTAACCTGGTGACCTTATTACCCATGGGCATACATATCATTTAGCCTTGAATAAAACAAGGCGGGGGAAAAAGAGAGAGTGTGTGTTTGTTTTGATCTCTAGACATGCTTGCATTCATTTTTCCAAAATGCTTACTTTGGGAAGGTTAAACTTCTCAAGTGTGCTTACCTTCTTTTTAATAATAATATCTCATGTAAATAGTTTTAGACACCACAATAATCTGATAACTCCTTTTCAAGCTCTGACAAAGAAGAAACAATTCATTTTCCATGTAACACCCAGTAATCCTTCTAAATACAATTTTAACCTTATCAAGACAGTGCTTAAAATATTTGTTTCCCATTTTTCTCAGAATAAATTAAGTTTTTTTATATAGTCTGTACAGTGTTCCATATTCTGTCCTTAGCCTAACTCTCTCACCTCATTTCTGGTTGTTCTTTTCCTCCTGCTTACTCACAGTTTATGCGCCAGATACACCATACTCCATGTGCTCTCACAATGATGCCTTGGCACAGGCAGTTCTCTTTCCTGAAACATACTTCTCATTTTCTTTCTTCCTTTTGGTGACTCTTCCAAATAATACCAAATTTCTTCCATTACTGAGATCTCTGGATTTTTATTTACAACCTTTTCTCCCTTAACTCAGATGTCCAATCAGATCTCTTACACATTTTGCTTCCTTTCCCTATTTCTACATTTTTTCCCTACAACCTAATTTGGTTGTAACTGCCAGATTTGTTTGTTCATTTTTAAATTTTCAAAATTTCAGAGGTTTTTGTGGCTTGCTCAAGATGCCCTTTATTACCTGGTTTAATATTTGTCCCAATAGTTTTGAATGTCATGATGGGGATACATAAATAACTACAGCCAGAGCCTCATGATCTAAACAGTGAAAGATCATATAAGGGAGAAAAGGAGTTTCTTTTTCTTTTATAGATGATTTTGGTCATTCAGCAGCATATACCAAAATGATCTTCTTACCAGAAACAAATACCATAGCTGGAGCTCATATTTATTTACAGTTGGTTATAGCAGGTGTAATGAAGGATTTGCTTTTTAACCAATGAATAGAATTGATTTATTTTAAATTGTGAAAGTTTGAAAAAGCTGAGTTTGGAACTGTAATAGATTCTTTACTTTTTCAGATTCTTATAACTCAAACCAACAATCTAGAGGTGAAATGCTAGAAACTCCAGAGGTGAAACTGAAACCAGCAATCTGGAGGTGAAATAGTTTAGGGGCTTAATACTGGACTAGAAGCTCAGTCTCTTCGCCTGTCCCTATTCAAGACTTTCTCAGGGAATGTAAGCAAGATCCATCTCATTTTTTTTTTACTTCAGAATCTTTAACTAGAGTTTCTGAAAATCTAGAATTCTGGGTTATTCTCACCACATAGAAGGAGCTGAATAAATAATTGTGAAATGAATGAATGAATGCAGTACTTCAGAAAAGTACTATGTGAAAAATTAAGAGACCTGTAAAAGGCTATGAAGTATGCTAAGAAGATGTAGTTATTTTGACTGAGGTTAGTATAGTTTGTTGTTCTATTAAATGGAGTGTTAATAACTAAGGTTAGAGATTTCTCATTGCCCTGAAATTATAAGAAATGTTGATATACTTTTTACAGTGTGAAAATGAGGTCAGCTGGGTGTGGTGGCTCACACCTGTAATCTCAGCACTTTAGGAGGCCAAGGCAGGCAGACTGCTTGAGCCCAGGAATTTGAGACCAGCCTGGGCAACATGACGAAACACTGTAAATAATAGTATTTATCTCACAGTGTCTCTACGAGAATGAAATGAAAAAAGTCTATGTAAAAACACCTGGTGTAATAGCTGGGAATATTACTAAATCATAAAGAAACATTTCTTTTCACAACCTGAACACACTCCACCTACACCTGCCTCCTCACCACATATTCATATTATAAAAAGGACTTTTAAAGAATGCAATGAGAAAGGAAAAAGACTAGGAACTAGACTAATATGTGTGTTGACATAGATCCACAGATAAGCAAGAAAACCTGTACATTTCCATAACCCATCCACATTTAATGTTACCTTTATAAAAATTATAATCTAGAGATTAAAAAACCATGCAATGTTAGGAGGAGAAGGGCTTTTGTATAACCTCTATGAATGCACTTAATTACCAAGAGACTATAGTCTAGGGGCCAGAAAGAGAAAGAAGGAAGGAAGAAAGGGAGGAAGAAAGGAAATAAAGGAAAAAGGAAATAAGGGGAGGAAGAAAGGAATGTTTTTCACATATTCTGTATTAGTCCTTTTTCACATTGCTGATAAAGACATAACCCAAGACTGGGAAGAAAAAGAAGTTTAATTGGACTTAACAGTTCCATATGTCCGGGGAAGCCTCAGAATCATGGCAGGAGGTGAAAGGCACTTCTTACATGGCAGTGGCAAGAGTAAATGAGAAAGAAGCAAAAGTGGAAACCCTTGATAAACCCATCAGATTTTGTGAGACTTATTCACTATCATGAGAATAGCATGGGAAAGACCAGCCTCCATGATTCAATTACCTCCCCCTGGGTCCCTCCCACAAAAGGTGGGAATTCTGGAAGATACAATTCAAGTTGAGATTTTGGTGGGGACACAACCAAACCATATCAAATGCCAGTCACAAAAGATAAAGAAAAGCTGAGGAATTTTTCAGATTAAAAGAAGCCAAGGAGATAAGACAACGAAATGCAACACATTGTCATAAACCTAGGATTTACAAACTTTTTCTGCAAAGGTTGTGATAGTAAATATTTTAGGCCATTGTGTCTCTCTCATAGCCACTTAATATTACTGTTACAGTGCAAAACATCCAGACATACTATGTTAATTAATTAAGTGGTTGTACTCCAATAAAACTTTATTTACCTAACGGGTAATGGAATGGGTTTGATCCATGGGCCATGGTTTGCTTATCCCTGTTCTAGAGTGAATCCTCTACCTTTGGGAAAATACGCTATAAAGGATATTTTTGGGTCCATTGACAAAATTGAAATGTGGGCAGTAGATTAGAAAAATGTTAACTTTTCAGAAATTTTATTCTGTGGTTATGTAAGCAATTATCCTATTCTCGGGAATGCACAATGCAGTGTTTAGGAATAAATAGATATGATACATATAACATAATTTCAAATGGTTAAGAAAATATATATATGTAGAAAATGATTTGTATGGAGCAAATGATACAGCATATGGGGCAAAATATTAACAACGTGAATCTGGATAAAGGCTACATGAGTTTTTTTGGTACTCTCCTTATAATTTTTCTGTAAGTTGAAATTTCTAAATAAAAAATTAAAGTACCCAAAGGACTATAAATCATGCTGCTATAAAGACACATGCACACGTATGTTTATTGCGGCACTGTTCACAATAGCAAAGACTTGGAACCAACCCAAATGTCCAACAATGATAGACTGGATTAAGAAAAGTTGGCACATATACACCATGGAATACTATGCAGCCATAAAAAATGATGAGTTCATGTCCTTTGTAGGGACATGGATGAAATTGGAAATCATCATTCTCAGTAAACTATCGCAAGAACAAAAAACCAAACACCGCATATTCTCTCATAGGTGGGAATTGAACAATGAGAACACGTGGACACAGGAAGGGGAACATCACACTCTGGGGACTGTTGTGGGGTGGGGGGAGGGGGGAGGGATAGCATTAGGAGATATACCTAATGCTAAATGACGAGTTAATGGGTGCAGCACACCAGCATGGCACATGTATACATATGTAACTAACCTGCACATTGTGCGCATGTAACCTAAAACTTAAAGTATAATAATAATAAAAAAATTATATTTAGTCATATATGCAGACTACACACACGCGCGCGCGCGCGCACACACACACACACACGCATAGCCCACAGGAAAGGAAAAGATATAAGAAATTTTGAAGCTCTTTTATACTCTCTTGATAAGATACCTATAAAAAAGAGAAAAGTTAACCAAAATATGAGTTGAAATGAGAATCTGGTGATTAATGTAACAAGGAAAGCCAGCAAACATCATCCTTGGCCTAATCTGAATGCACTTAGTTACCAAGAGGCTGTAGTCTAGGGGCAAGAGGTTTTAGTGCAGTCTAAAAGTGATGTTGGGAGCCACATTTTCCAGACTGCAAAACACAGGGTACCTTGTTTAGTCAGCACAGTTTAGGTCAAATGTGGTTATGAAAAACAGATGAATTCTGGTGATCAAGTTGTACTTTGACAAATATCCCATTGTTTGAACATGTAGTAATTTCTGAAAAATGTGAAGCAGCTTGGACTGCAGAGATTGAGTTCTCTCTTCTCAACTCCCTTGCCTGCTCACAAAGGTCTTGTCATCGTGGGGAGTAGAAATAACAGGGCAGAAGAAGTATGTTAGATGCTCCCCTCCCCCTTCTTTTTTCCTTTTCTTTGCTCTACTGGCAAATCAAGCGTTCTGGGTAGGCTGTTTTGTCAGCTGGAGGTCTTGCACTACTCTGGGGTTTTGGGGCAGCTTTTGTGCTTCAGTTTTGTGGATACTGCTGTGTTCTAGTGAGTTAGATACTTTGAACTTATCCCATTGATCAAAAAATGGTACTTGAGGTTAGTGAGGCATTGTTATATGTATTTCACTGGCTCCTCTGGCTGTGATCTGAGAGTCGTTATTTCTGCCAATGCCTATTCCCAGCTCAAGCGGCTCATCCATAGAGTTCTGTCCTACAACTTGAGAACTACAGTAGTAACATAGCAGGCCAGAGATGTTTGGTGCAGAGAACTATACATAGAGTGAAATCCTCTCTGTTTGATTTGTCTATTTATATATATGTTTGCATTGTACTGTATTGTTGCTTCAGGATGTCTCACTTCATTTACTTTGTTCATTCATTTATTCAATAAATATTTATTGCGTACTTCTAGTATGCACAACACATGGTTTATTGTTATGGCTTTGGACAGAGTTTCTCTTCTGTGTGGTTTAGACTGGTGCTGTGCTATCTAATGTGGTAGGAACTAGCCACTTGTGGCTTTTGATTACTTGCAGCATGAATATTCTGAATCAAGATGTGCTGTTAAGTGTAAGATACACACCAAAGACTCATCGCCAAAAAAGGAATGTAAAATATTAATAATTTTGATTTGCATACTGAAATAAGATTTTTGATATATTAGGCTAGATAAAATATATTATTAAATTTAGCATCACCTGTTTTTTACTGTGGTTACCAGAAGATTTTAAATTATATATTGTGTTCATATTTGTGTCTTACATTATATTTCTGTTGAACATCGCTGCTTATCAGATATCAATGAATATATAATGAACCCTTAGCATTTTATCCCATCTCTCTTATAGTGAAGAAATTTCTTGGGCAGTGGCTCACACTTGTAATCCCAGCACTTTGGGAGGCAAAGGCAGGAGGCTTGCTTGAGGCCAGGAGTTTGAGACCAGCCTGGGCAACATAGCGACACCTCATTTCTACTAAAAATTAAAAACAAAAATTAGCCGGCTGTGGTTGTACGTACCTGCAGTCCTAGTTACTTTGGGAGGTGAGGTGGGAGGATTGCTTGAGCCCAGGAGTTTGAGGTAACTAATGGTGAGCTATGAGAATGCCACTGTACTCTAGCTCCTGTCTCAAAAAAAAAAAAAAAAGTCTTAGTCATTTCTAGTGCTATTATATTTAACATTTTCGTAAAAGAATGTCAGCCATGATTTTATTGAGCCCTCTTTTAATCTTCTTTGAATTTTGATGATGGTCAATACATCTCAAAAATAACATCAATTTTTGTCAACTTGATATACCGTATCTGAATAAATTTAAAACCTTGGTGAGTGTCTCTGGACAACCTGATTCATTAATAAGAACCTGATGTTTATAAAAGTAATCAATATGACCCAGAAATCTTCGTGCTTATATCTCCATCAATTCCGCTAGAATTTTTATATAAGCTACTCAGAACTGTAAGGAAAATCTCCATATATATGTATTTTTTGAGAAAGGGTCTCACTCTGTTGCCCAGGCTGGGAGTGTAGTGGCATGATCTCAGCTTGCTACAGCCTTGAACCTCCTGGGCTCAAGCAGTTTTCCCAACTCAGCCTCCAGAGTAGTTGGGACTATAGGCACGTGCCACCATGCCTGGCCAGGTGTTTGTGGGGTTTTTTTTTTTTTTTTGTATTTTTTGTAGAGACAGGGGTTTTGCCATCTTGCCCAGGCTGGTCTTGAACTCCTGGGTTAAAGTAATACGATCCACCTGCCTCAGCCTCCCAGTGCTGGGATTACAGGTGTGAGCCAGCCCGCCTGGCCTGTTTTGTGTTTTTAACTGTTCTAGCTACAGAGAAATTAGGGCATCTGTGAAAAATCTACAAGAAAGATCTTACTGGATAACTAAACTTTAGAGGGATTCCCAGTAAAGTCAGGAAGAAGATAAAGACAAATGCTAGGACAAAGATGCACACTACTACCCACCATGTACATTATTTCCAAAGTCTTAGGATGAGGGAAAAAAAAAGGAAAGAAGATAGATGGGTTTAAAAATCAGCAAAACATACACAGTAGCATTTCTCTACGTTAATTATATCCATGAAGAAACTTCTAAGAGGTTACATAGAAATTAACCTAAAATATGTACAAGACCTTTATGATGAAAATTTCAAAATTCTTTAAAAGGACATAAATGAAGTGCTGAATAAATGGAGAGTGCTAACTCTTCATAGATAGGTTCTTCATACAATGCAAAGTTGTTAATTTCTCCTCAATTTAATTTGTAAAATCAATGATCTCAAATAATAGTGTTAATAGGAAGTTTGTAGTGACTTGGGAGACTTTTTTCTGATTCATCCAAAGTTGCTGTGGTGTATAGGCTAGTAGTGGCTGGCTGTCAAGACTTGAGGCCACATTGTGATGGCCCATATCTCAAAGAAGCTCTCTTATATTTCTACAAGGAAAAGTTTATGAGGATATTTATTTTGACAGTTATTTTGGTACTTATTTTTTCTGGTAGCCAAGAGGAGAGGCAATTAATTGAGGTATTCATTACTGGAGGAATGGGTTAGTGAAATTGGTATTTACAACCCCAAAAATATGTACATCTAATTTGTATCAACAAAAACCTTTACAATTTTAAAAAAGTGATGGTAAGATATTTAAAAATTGGTATTTACATATGATTGAATGCAATATGCAACATATAGCAAACAATTATAAATAACAAACAATATTCAAATATGGTAATATATACATATAGATTTCAGAAATATGATGCTGGGGGGATCAAAGTAAGAAATAATACAGTTGACAGTACAATCTCATTTATATAAATTAAAACAAACTCAATAATACTATACATGTTTATTTTAAAAGCATATTTTAATAGAAATAAATATAAAATGTTGACTTGAATGACGTATCTTATATTCTCAAATGGGTGGCTGTACTAATGAGGGGAATGGGATTGGAAATGGGACATGAATGAGAACAAATTTAAAAATAGCAAGACTGCATGCATCAGCAATGTATCTTGAACTGAGGGAACATTTTAAAATCAATCCTTTATATGTGACTCCCTATAAAAAGTTAATAAAATGCTTTAAACTGTTTCTGCTTGAGTGTCATATTATCAGAGATATCCCATTAGTATTTGTCAAAAGGCTGTCACTGGGATTTTCCTATAACACTACTTTTAGCCTGAACATCTTGACAGAATTTCCATAAAACACTGGTGGAAGATTTTGTATATAATTTTTTTTTTTTTTTTTGAGACAGAATTTTGCTCTCGTTGCCCAGGCTGGAGTGCAATGGCGCAATCTTGGCTCACCACAACTTCCGCCTCCCCAGTGCAAGTGATTGTCCTGCCTCAGCCTCCCTAGTAGCTAGGATTACAGACATGCGTCACCATACCCGGCCAATTTTGTATAAGTAGAGATGGGGGTTTCTCTATGTTGGTCAGGCTGGTCTTGAACTCTCGACCTCAGGTGATCCGCCTGCCTCAGCCTCCCAAAGTGCTTGAATTACAGGCGTGAGCCACCACACCTGGCCTGATTTTGTATATTTCTTATCTTCCTTCTGTGCAACTTGAAAACCAGCAATTCTTTTTAAGGCCTTTAATGCACACGTCAGGCCACACAAAAAGTGGTTTTCCTTACCCATTTTAGAGAACCAATATGAAAAGACTTTGGTGCTTACAGCATGGAGTATGTACCCCTCTAATATCCCTAATATGAATTCTTAGTCACCACACATTCTTTGAAGTTCAGTCTTTCCACAGAAAACAACAAAAACAACAACAACAAAAAACTAAGTAACTAGTGCTTTAATAGAACTATACTTTATTCATTTCGCAAATATTTGTTGCAGGTACATTTTATTCTGTACCTGTGGGTTTCAAACCAAGTAGCACAATAGACTCTGAAGAGGTACATCTAGGGATTCCTTTCTTAAAAAAAGAGGTCCTTGCTAAAAACTTGAATGGTATTGAGGAGTTTCTTGTTCTTAAAGAGTATGTGTTAAAATAGGCAAAGAGATGTATATGATCTGTTTACCAAGTTTAGTATTTGCATTTTAGGCTTTTTATCTCTAGTTAATGGGAAACACATTCCTTCTTTGAAATAGTTTTGATGGAGGTTTCCTGAAACCACTTTAGGCCTGAAGTGTGACTTAGTCTTAAAAGTGTGATTTGAGGGAGGGGAGAGTTTTAGAAGGAAACCTTCATCCATTCCTGGAAAAAAGAAACCAAAAGCTACACTTGTCTGGAAGTGGAGACTATGGGACTAAGCAGAAAAAACTGCATAGAAAAGAATAGTATAGTAGAAATAACATGAGATAATATCAGAAAACAATTGCATTGTTCTCAGTGATCTTTGTAACTTTGGCTTTCAGTTTTCTTATAGTGACAGCAATTGCAACATAAAGAGTTGTAGAGAAGAATAAATGAGATAATTAGATTGTTTTTTATAAACTCTTAGCTATCACTATGCCTACCTAGTACATACTAGGTATGACGAATCTTTAATGTATATTAATTCTTTATAATAAGAATTTCTTCTTAAGCGTACGTAAAGTTGCCTCTTCTACTTCCTCAAACCTTAAATCCAACCCTTACCTCAATCAAGCCTCTTAGGTAAAATTTATTTTTATGAAGTATAAAGTTAAAGTATATCATCTTAAGTTTTAACTGTATGCCTTTTAAACCTGAAACATAGATTATTTCACTCTTCTTCTGTTTTTTCAATATAAATTCAAAGTACTTATCCCCTGTGGCCTTTGTGAAATATTCTTTATGAGCATGGCACGCCCTGAGGATGTAGTTTAATTTTTAGTGCTATATCTATCTCCTCCTCAAGCAGTTCTTGAAAGTACAAAACTAGAAAATAACCAAAGTTATAACATGCTCATTAGAAGGAAGAATAATTTTTGTCATTTTTTTTTTGGTTTGACCCTACATAGTTATAGCCGTAAGCTATTTTATAGTCAACATCCCACACTGCTGAATCCTTTCAAATTTAGGAGCTTTGTATTTTCCCACAGCACTTTCATACATACTTTATCTCATTGAGTCTCACTATGCCAATCTGACATACACAGGTTTTATAGTGAATATCTAATATTCACTTGATGGTTTAGGGAATTGAGGTTCAGTGAGATTAATTTATCTGCTCAGTGGATCACAGAGATAGTGACTGGCAAAACTTGGATCAAAGCCTGTTCTTATGAGTCATATTCGAAACCTCCTTTTACTTTATAGTATCATTGATGTTTCTGTTACAGGGGCAAATACTGTGCAGTTAAGACAAAGACTTTTTCTAAAATGATACATTCTGAAGGTACTATTAAAAAATAAATACATTGGCATTATTTTTCATTAATTTTGGTATTTGAAGTGTGAGGAGAAAGAGCTGTTTATACAATATTTAATGAAATAATGTTCTTGGTAGTTTCTGGAAAAACTACACTAAAAATTATAGTCATGCCCTACCTTCTAATATTGGCAAGAACTTGGAAATCAGATACAAGGACCTGGAGAAAGACAGTCATATAAACCACATTGGTTTTGGCTTAGAAAAATGACTGGGTAGTGAGAGATGATGGGCAAATATGTTTAACAGTTTGCTTCAAAGATTGGGAGTGTTGCCTTATGAGAAACTCTAATAATGTGTTAGTGTCATCATACAAGGTCTCTTTGGGCCTGTCAGAATTCTGCAACTGTGATGTAAAATTTCAGCCTTGCTGAGACAGTTCTCTAAAGTTCATCCTAAGGATTTATTTTTAATGAGAAATTATCCTGTGCTCTCTGCTCTTCAATGTAGACCTGACTTGCTTGGGAAAATCAGGAGGGGAGGGGCAGGTGCTAATACTGCTGTTTTGAAAGGATCACTGCCAGATTTAAGTTAGGCACAGCCAAGCTCATTCTGGACTAGTCTTAGAGTAGATCATCCTTCACTGAATTGCCAAATAGCCCTCATAATGCCAGGTTATTGTGCAGTTTGTTCCAGGATCAGGCTGCATTTGGGTCCTCCCATTCAGAAAAGAGCAAAAATTTCCCCTCTTTCCAGGCATTGCTTTAGTACCCTCTTAAGGGAGACCTTCAGATATTTGACTATTTCAAAATAACTTTTGTTGAAATTTAGGAATAATTTTAGGGAAAGTTATTATAGGTAAATTTATTTCTACTGTGTAGGATGTCTTCTGATGCCTGAAGTCATCCCACATAGTTATCCCAGAGTTGTGTTACTTGATAGCTACTATGTCTGTAGTCACAAATGGTAGATGCCAGAGTCAAAAGCATTGTTTTTTTTTTGTTTTGTTTTTTGTCGTTGTTGTTTGAGATGGAGTCTCGCTCTGTCACCCAGGCTGGAGCACAGTGGCGCAATATCGGCTCACTGCAACCTCCGCCTCCTGGGTCCAAGCAATTCTCCTGCCTCAGCCTCCAGAGTAGCTGTGATTACAGGCGCGCGCCACCACACCTGGCTACTTTTTGTATTTTTAGTAGAGACGGGGTTTCCCCATGTTGGTCAGGCTGGTCTCGAACTCCTGACCTGGTGATCCGCCCGCCTCGGCCTCCCAAAGTGCTGGGATTACAGGTGTGAGCCACCGTGCCTGGCCTTAAATACTTTTGTCCTCACTTATCTGATTATCATTTTAGGTAAAATTATTAAATTGAATTAAAGGAAATATTCATTTAAAGTTTTCTGATACCTACTAGCCACTCAGAAAAGTCAAAACTTTGCATTCCTTAGAAAAAGAATTTTGGTGTATGGTTTTACCATACTCTCAACAATACTGGGTATTGTATTGTTTTCTTTTGCTAATTTGGTAGGGAAAAAATGGTACATTGTTAATTTCACTTGCATTTTTGAAATGACTATTCACTGTGGACATTTTTCTAGTGTTTAGAGGCCATTCATTTCCTTTTTGTATATGCATAGAACGTTTATGTTTTATTTATTAAGATAAATACTTTTTTGTCTGATACGTATGTTTTGAAATTCATGCATGTTGTTGCATTTATCAGTATTTTCCCTTTTGATCCTGGGGTGATATTTCATTTTATAAATATTGAAGAACATTGGGCTGTTTCCGCTTTGGAGCTTATAGCAAATCAAGCTGCTATGGCATTCTTTTTTATTTTTATTTTTATTTTTTTTGAGAAGGAGTCTCGCTCTTGTCACCCAGGCTGGAGTGCAATGGCACAATCTTGGCTCACTGCAACCTCCACCTCCTGGGTTCAAGCGATTCTCCTGCCTCAGCCCTCCCGAGTAGCTGGGATTACAGGAGTCTGCCACCACACCTGGCTAATTTTTGTATTTTTAGTAGAGACAGGGTTTCACCATGTTGGCCAGGCTTGTCTTGAACTCCTGACCTCGTGATCTAACCACCTTGGCCTCCCAAAGTGCTGGGATTACAGGTGTGAGTCACCGTGCCTGGCCTGCTATGGCATTCTTACACAAGTCTTTTAAATGGACCTAGATACTCTTCTGTCTTGGGAAATTACCTACTCGCTATCATTTTGTTGAGGATTTCTAGATTTCCACTGAAGTCAGATAAAATACCCTGCATATTTTAACACTTTGAAACTTAAGGAGATTTTCTTAATGGTCTAGCATACAGTATAATTTGGTAAATGTTCAGTATGCGCTTGAAAAGAATGTATATTTTACAGTTGTTAAGAGTGTTCTATAAATGACATTTTGATTTGCCGGTACTTTCTGATTTGGTGCTGACAGTATGTAGAGAAAATATTTCAGACAATTGTATTATAAATGGAGGAGGATAGAGATGTAAAGGGAAGTAAGGTTTCTACTCTTCCCTGGAACTGGTAAAATGGAAACACCAGTATCCTATGGTAAATTATGTCTATATAATGTAATATCTACATTAACCACAAACAAATGTATAAATAGATACACTTGAAAACACTACAAATAAATAAAAATGGAATTCTAAAAAATGGTTATTTAGGGAACCCATAGGAAGGCAAGAAAAAGGAAGCAAACTAAAAGCAAAGAGAATGAACATAAAACAACACAAAAAAACCTGACAGATGTAAGCCCTAACATGTGAATAATTGTATTGAATGTAAATTATCTAAATATATCAATAAAAAGGCAGATATTGATAAAATGGATTAAGACATATTGTCTATAGAAAAATCACTTTAAGTATAATGATATAGGCAGGTTGAAAGTGAAAAGGAAGGGAAAAATACAACATGCAAATGTTGATCAAAGAAAAGCAGAATAATCTCTATTAATATAAAATGAAGTAGACATCAGAGGAAAGAAAATTACCAGAGACCGAGGTTTATTATATAATGGTAAAAGGGTCAATCCATCAAGAAGTTGTATAACCCTAAATGATAATGATTATGCCCCAAACAACAAAACTGCAAAATATGTGAAGTAAAAACTAATAAAACGGAAAGGGTAAATGGATGAATCACTGTTATAGTTGAAGACTTCAAAACTCCTAAAAATTGATAAAATGACTGGTCAGGATTTCAGTAAGAATATAGAAGAAATAACATCATCAACCAATAAGATGATAAACTGGCATTTATAGAACACTGTACATAACATCAGTAGAATACTCATCCTTTTCAAGCACTCATAAAACATACTAAGTCAGAGCATATCCCGGCCAAACAGACCTCAACAAATTTTGAAATCACACATAGACCTCAATGGAATCAGACTAGAAATTAGTAACACAACGATAACAAGAAAATCTCCAAAACTGAAACTAGATAATACACTTACATATAATGCCTGGGTCTAAGAGGAAGTCTCAAAGGAAATAAAATTGTATATTGAACTGAATGAAAATGAAGATTTGTGGCACACAGTGTTTGAAATGAAATTTATAGCACTAAACTGTTTACACTGGAAAAGAGTAAAAGTCTTAAACGAATAATGTAAGCTGACATCTCTAAAACCTAGGAAAAGAAAGGCAAAATAATCCCAAGGCAAGTAGAATGAATGGAAGAATAATAAGAGCCAAAATCATTGACATTGAAAGCAGGAAACAGTAGAGAAAATCAGTGAAATAAAGAGATTTTTCCCTCTAAAAGATTTATAAAATGGACAGACCTCCAACATGACTGACAAAGAAAAGGAAAGAATAAACAGATTATTGATATTAGACATAAAACTAAAACAGGGAATATCAATAGAGACACTATTGATATGGAAAGGATAATAAGAGAACACTGTGAACAACTCTACATACATAAATTTGACAGTGTAAAAGACATTGGTTAATTCTCTGAAAAACACAAACTATCACAATTCACCCAATATGAAATGGATAATTTGAATAACCCTATGGCTATGAAGGAAATTGAATTAAATAATTTAAAAACTTCCCTCTAGGACTGGGCACAGTGGCTCACAACTATAATCCCAGAACTTTGGGAGGCCGAGGGAGGAGGATCATTTGAGCCCAGGAGTTTGAGACCAGCCTTGGCAACATAGTGAGATCCCATCTCTAAAAACAAACAAACAAACAATCCAAAGAAACAGAAACTTCTTTCTGAAATCTTCAGGCTCAGATGGGTTCCCTGGAGAATGCTACCAAACATTTATAGAAGAATTAACACCAGTTCTATAGAATCTCTTACAGAAATCAGAAATGGAGGGTACACTTTCCAATTCATTTTATGAAGTTAATACCCTTAAGGTAAAGCCAGGTAAAATTAATATAGAAAAGGAAACTACAGATTAATATTCCTTGTAAATATAGATGCAAAATTTTTAAAACAAAATGTTAAGTAGATTACAGTAATGTATAAAATGAATATATGACCAAGTCAGGTTTATTTCAGGGATGTGTAAAGAAGAAAAATCACATGATCATATCATTTGATGCAGAAAAAGCATTTGACAAAATCCGAAACACATTCATGATTTAAAAACAACAAAACTTCTTCAGCTGGATAAAAAACATGCCAAAACCCCGTAGCTAGCTTTATATTTAGGGGTGAAAGTCCAAATGGTTTCCCCCTAAAATTAGGAGCAAAGCAAAAGTATCTGCTCTCACAACTTTTATTCAATATAGTGCTGGAAGTTTTATCCAGTGCATTAGAGCAAGGAAAGGAGATAAAGGGCATGCAGAATGGAAAGGAAGAAATACAACTGTGTTATTTGCAAATAACCTGCTGATTGTCTATATTGAAAATCCTCAAGAATCCAGTACTAGGACTAAGAAGTAAACTTCCTAGTACTAATAAGTGAGTGCAGCAAGATGGCAGGATATAGGATAACATACATCAATCAATTGTTCTTCTGTATACTCACAATGAATATGTAGATACCAAAATTTAAAATATAATATTATTTATGATTGTTTAACAAAAAGAAATACTTAGTTTCAATCTAAGAAAAATCTCCAGAATTTGTATGCTGAAAACTACTAAATGCTGATCGATAAAATCATATATGTAAATAGATGGAGGGACATACTGTGTTTGTGGATTGGAAGACTTAACACAGTAAAGATACCAATTTTTCCTAGGTTTTTACAAAGATTTAATGAAATTCCTATAAAGTTCCAGCAAGCTTTTTGTAGATACAAACAAGATTATTCTAAAATTTGTATTGAAAGGCAAAATAGCTAGAATAGCTAAGACAAATTTTAAAAAAAGAAGAATAAATTGGAGAAATTAACTCATATAATTTCAAGACTTATTATGTAGCTATAGCAATCAAGATGGCATGGTATTGGCAGAGTCTAGACTGTTAGATGAGTGGGACAGAATAGAGAACCCAGGAATAGATTCACAAAAATATTAGACAAAAATAATTCAACACATAGTGTCAGAAGAATTGAACAGCCATAGACCAAAGAGAGAGCGAGAATGAGCGTGATAGAACTTTGAGCTAACCTCCCATTTTATGCAGAAATTATTATTACATTTTATACAAAATGGATTATGAACTTAAATGCAAAACTATACAAACTTCAAACCATTTAGAAAAAAATAGGGGAAAATCTTCAGAATCTAAGGGTAGGCAGAGTTCTTAAATTTCCCTCTAAAAGTACTAACTTTCTTTCAGTGTAAAAGAAAAAAATTGGATAGCTGAACCTCATCAAAATTAAACACTTTTACTCTACAGAAGACTCTGCTGAGGGTAAAAGATACAGTGGAGTGGGAGAAAATATTTGCAAATCATATATCCAGGAAATGAGTCCTTATGTATCTAGAATATATAAATACTTTGAAGAACTCATCAGTAAAACAAATAAACAAAAAACAAAAGAAACAATGCAAGTAGGAAAATGAGCAAAAGACATGAAGAAACAATTCACCGAGGCAGATATACTGATAGCATATAAGCACATGAGAAGATACTCAACATCCTTAGTTGTTAGAGGAATTAAAATTAAAGTCACTACACTGCTATAAGAATAGTGACATCAAATGCTCGTGAGGTTGCTGGTAAGAATATAAAATAGTATAATGTAAAATGGCATAGTCACTCTGGAAAACAATTTGGCAATTTCTTGAAAAATTAAGCAACAACTTCCATATGACCTTGCAGTTGCACTCCTAGGCATTTGTCCCAGAGAAATAAAAATAAATGATATGAAAATAAGTAGATTTCAGGCAGTAAACTACACAGGAGTGTTTATAATAGCTTCATTTATAATAGCCCCAAACTGGAAAACAACCTAGATGTTCTTTAACAGGTGAATTGTTAAATACCTGTGGTACATTGATATAATAGAATACTACACAGCAATATAAAGGAAAGAACTATTGATATATGTAACAAACTGGATGAATCTCTAGAGATTTATGCTGAGTGAAATAAGCTAATCAAAAGAGGTTACATACTCCTTTCCGTACTCCTAAAAACTTAACTGTATGTTTTAAAATAACTTAAAAAGTGTAACTGGATTTTTTGCAACTCAATGAATAAATGCTTGAAAGGATGGATACCCCATTAATTTCATTTTTGTAACATTCTTAAAATGACAAAATTATATGTTACATAGAAATGAATATGGAAATGATATAGAAATTGAGAAGAGGTTAGTGGTTCTTAGCAGTGAATTAGGAAGTAGAGATGGAGAGCAGTCGATATGGCTATAAAAAGACAACTTGAGGATCCTTGTAGTCTGGAAATGTGCGTCTTGATTTTATCAATATCAGTTTCCTGGATGTGAATATTGTGCACAATATAGTTTCCTAAGATGTTTAAATTTGGGGGACTGGATAGAGTGCACATGGGGTCTGTCTCTGTTATTTCCTATAACTATATGTGAATCTATAATTAATTATAATGAAAAATCTGAATAAAAATTGCTGATGAAGCAAATTTTATTCAGCTTTTAGTTTGCTTTTTTCTCTTCACCTGTATTCTTACATTATTTACCAGATATAGATCTAATATTTATCCACTTTCTCTGTTTTTACATATTCTGTCTCATTTTCTGAACAGCTGAAGTTCAGTATGACAGATTTATTTATTCTTAGATTCTAAATTGGTCAGTTTCTGTACAGTTTCTGTTAATGAGGGGAGTGAAGGAATAGATTATTTATACGAGATTTCCCCAACCCTCACTTAACTATACAAAAGGCTATTTTTGTGTGTGTATGTGTAGCAAATGTGATTTTGAGATGCTGGGAGAAGCCATGTGTCTTTAATAAAATATCCATTACATACATTTATATATCATAAAAATAACATGTATAGCTCTCAGTTTATAAAGTACTTTGAGCCTCAGATTTTGTGCTTTTCCTGGCATTGACTTCCTTATGTACATGGGAAGTCACTTAGAAGCTATATGCCTAGTTTTTTTTTTGTATAAAATCTTATACTGTACCTTCTGTTTAAGCCAGTACTTTCCATTATGAGGACTATTAACAATCTCTCACTGCCTTCATCTGTAACATGTTGGTATTATTTTAATTTACATTTTTAAATGCCACATTTTCCTATTGGCCCTTTAGAAATTGTTCAGAGCCTCTATTCCTTTTGGCAACGTGAAACAGATTAAGTTATTTGTCTGGAAAATTTTAAACTTCCAAACTGTGAATTACCTTAGCAGTTTAGAAGATTGACAAGTGTAAGTTAGGTCAGAAAAGACTTAAAAATTGGCAAGTGTGAAATTGGGTATATGAATAATAACTTTAGAAAACTACCAACTTTTGGAATAGTTCTTTGGAGAAAATATAGAAAAGCCTCATTTTGTTCATGGTAATAAAAGCAATGACTCTCCTTTCTCATCATATGCAGACACTCAGTTAAGAATTTTTGGTGTCCTATTTCTGGGCAAATAATTTGGTTTATTTCTGTTCTCACATACCCTTAGTTGTAACTGGTATGTTATGGACCGCTGAAGAAAATGATGGGATTTGGGGGTGGTGGGGAGATGTAATTTTAGTCTTAATGATTTTTTTAAATAGTAAAATAACTTGCACCTTATTTGTTTTATATTAAAAATGTTCTTGTCTACAAATTGATTAAATCATATTCTTTGAATAATTAGGTAATTAAGGTGCACAGTTATATGCAGATAATTCAGGTTAGGGTTTCCCTAACAAAAGGGATACTTATCTTAAAAGTGAAATCCAAATTTTTTTTCTAATGAATTAACCTTCATCATTGAGGAAGTCTGCCTTTGTTGTTGTTGTTGTTCTAGCCAGGTAGGTAAGTTGTAATTTTAAGCAGTTTGGTTTGCTAAGTATGATTAAGAACCATTCCCTTTGAGGTTTACCCTTTCGCTTCTAAGTTACAACTGTTTATCATCTTGGGTCAAAGGTTATAAAAAGTAGTCATCAATTAAAGCTTTATTGGTTGTAATTGGTAATGCTATGAAAGGAGCCAGCCAAACTGAATCTGATAATAAAAGACTCTTTGTTAAAATATTTAATAAATTAACACTCTGTCTTGGAAAGGGGAAGCTAATTACAAAGGCCAAGATTGTTAATCATAATGTTTACTTTCTTCAAAAGCACAGACTCAACTACTCCATAATCATCAAACATCAGATTTCTTTCTTTTCTTTTTTTAAAATTCTGCAGACTCTGTCGGTCCCCGGAGGGGATGCTCTCCTATGGCTCATGCTTGGGATATAGCAGCAGGAGGAAATGCCAAGACAAACAGGTTATAAGGGAACCTTAAAAATAAACAGGGCTCTGTTAGAACATCAGACTGCCTCTACTCTCTTCAAATAAGGGTCACTAGTTTATGTAGATTAGTTCTGTAGGCTAATTGAGTGATAACAAGAATTGGGGCCTTTGGAAGTAATGATATTTTTAATGATAAATTATCTATCAAAGCAAGTATCCTTTCTCCATATACAGTTTTTTTGTGAGGTGTTTTGACAATGTTGTGGCTCTTGAAGTTTAGACATTTTTCTTTTTAATTTTTGTGGGTACATACTAGGTGTATATATTTGTGGGGTACATGAGATGTTTTGGTATAGGTGTGCCATGTGAAATAAGCACATTATGAAGAATGGGGTATCCATCCTTTCAAGCATTTATTCATTGAGTTGCAAACAATCCAGTTACATTTTTTAAGTTATTTTAAAACATACAGTTAAGTTTTTTTAAACTTTTATTTTAAGGTCTGGGGTACACATGCAGGTTTATTATATAGGTAAACTTGTGGTTTAGACATTTTTCAAAGCCCTAATACATAGAAATGGAGCTGTGACACATACCATCATGACTCTTGAATGACCTTGTCATGGGAACACTGTGAATTGGATTTTACATCTGGGAATTCAGTGTTCCTAGATTTAAGCAATAGGGGGCATCTTGGGTTTGTTCTTTTCACATATTTTTGTAGTCTAATCTTTAGGGCAGTTCTAATGAAAGAAAATTCTGCTTTGAGCCTGCTGTGCAAATTAGCCATATGGTGAAGTGTAATATCCCGCTGAACATCATTATGGGGCTGTATGAAAAGTACTCCCCTTTTCACATGGAAGCAAATTAAAATGGCCCTTTCAGTTTTTTTTTTTTTTTTTTTTTAAACTCTGTATAAACCTGTCTTCACTTGGATGCCGTGACAGTTAAAAGGGAGTTCCAGCTGCAGTCAGGGTGGTGAAATTACAGGCTTTCCCCAAGACCTAGTGGAAATATTGCTTCCTGTAGGCAGAAGCGGAAGAATAATGGTGTGTGCTTCCCTTCTTCCTTTCCCTTCCCTTGTTCTTTGTATGGTTGTCCTTAGTTGCTTCTCAATCCAAGAGTTAATTTTCTGTTATTGTGACAGATGTGAAGAACTCAGCCCACTCTCCAATAGACCCCATACCAATGTCTACCAGGAAATAGCCAGTAGATAAGGAGCTGTTTAGCCAAATAATGGCATAGTAAATCTTTTTTTTTTTTTTTTTTTTTTTTTGAGATGGAGTCTCGCTCTGTCGCCCAGGCTGGAGTGCAGTGGCGTGATCTCGGCTCATGGCAAGCTCCGCCTCCCGGGTTCACGCCATTCTCCTGCCTCAGCCTCCCGAGTAGCTGGGACTGCAGGCGCCTGCCACCACGCCCGGCTGATTTCTTTTTGTATTTGTAGTACAGACGGGGTTTCACCGTGTTAGCCAGGATGGCTACGATCTCCTGACCTCGTGATCTGCCCGCCTCGGCCTCCCAAAGTGCTGGGATTACAGGCGTGAGCCACCGCGCCCAGCCGTAAATCTTAATGAAGAGAATATAAGGTCTGTCCCTTTCTGCCTGCTGTGTAGATATATTGCCCATATGAAGTAGTATTTCTCAGTATAAATTTTTTTTCCCTGCAAAAATAAGGATGTAAGATGCCACTAATGTTTAGAGGCATGGAGCTCAATAATGGTTTGAAATGTTCTGGATGTCTGTGTATATGATGAACATTGTCACATTTCATGAAGAAAAGGAAATCCTTGGAAAGGTGTTTCATCTGGCCGTTTCTTTCTCTCCCAAGAATGGGATCATGTGATTCTGACTTATTTGATTACTGGTGTACATTTGTAACCTACAGCAGCTAAAATTCAGCTTTGAGTTTTATTAGTAGTAAATTTTACTACTTTTATATGCAAAAACAAGCCTCATTCATTTGCCCATATTGAGTGGCCTGTGTTTTTATCCAGACAAGTGTCTGGACACATGGAGAAGAATTCAAAGTTGTCACTTGTGTTTTTATTTTTATTTTTAAGCATTCATTCAGAGCCCATGTTAGTTCTAGCATTTGTATGGTGACAGTTTGTAGCAATGTGTTGGAAGAAAAGGAGTTGGAACACTGTTGTGGAGTGAAAGTGGATCATGCTAAATTATGATGCTGGAGAACAGATTTTTGTATGCAAAGTTCAATGAAAAGAGTATATAGAATATGACCTTATTTATATGCGTGTATATGTACATTACATGTGAAATAGCTATCTATTTAGAAAAGGGGAAAGTCTGTAAGGATATTAGATCTTGGTGAATGGGCTAAATGCAAACCACAAACAAAGCCTGAAAGAAAGTATGATCTAGAAAGATGTCATCTTGCTTAAAATAGAGTTGGGAAAACAGAACAGTATAAAACAAAACGAGATCTGAGAAAATATATCGAATAGGGAGTACATCAAAAAGTAAGCATTATGAGATCATGAATGGCTTTCATTTTTTCTTTTTGCCCAATTTGTGTTATCTAGTTTTTCTACAAGTCACATATTTTACTTTTGTAATAAATGACTTAAAAAGATAAACAACGTAGAAAACACAGCTATAAACAAAAGGTTAAAAAAAAAGAAACTATTTCCAATGTTGCCTGAGAAGTGTGTTATTTTTTGATAAAACCCAGTGATAGGATTAATTATTAGACTTCGGGAACAGCAATGGCTTTTGGAGCATTTGACCATTTGCGCCCTTCCCCAGGTAGTACATAGGGTGTGATATAATATTAAATATTTAAATTAAATATGAATTTAGTAAATCAAGTAGCCAGTGAATTGAAGAAGAGCTTAACAGGGCTTGGAGAATATTTTTTCTCTTGTTTGGCCACTAAGGAAATATAGGATATGTGCTGTGGTTATTTAGCCCTTCTTATATCATTTCTTTTTAACTAAATGATAAAAAAAATTGTTGTGGAGATTTCTTTATAATAATACAGTCTTTAGTATTTAGGTTAAATTCCAGATGGTATATATGGATTCAATATAAAAAACTTTAAACTGGCCGGGTGCAGTGGCTCATGCCTGTAATCCCAGCACTTTGGGAGGCCAAGGCAGGTGGATCACAAGGTCACGAGATTGAGACCATCCTGGCTAAGATGGTGAAACCTTGTCTCTACTGAAAATACAAAAAATTAGCCGGGCGTGGTGGCATGCACCTATAGTCCCAGCTACTCAGGAGGCTGAGGCAGGAGAATCGCTTGAACCCGGGAGGCGGAGGTTGCAGTGAGCTGAGATCCCACCACTGCACTCCAGCCTGAGTGACAGAGCGAGACTCCATCTCAAAAAAAAAGTTAAACAAAGCCTTGCTTGCCTTCTATGTCTGTCTTTCTTAACTCTTACCAAAATACTTTAGATGCATAAAAATCTGAAAAGTTACACCATTAATAAGTAAGGCTGATAATTAACATTTTGTCTGAATTTAAGTAAAATTTTCTCTGTTGGGCCAATTGACTGGATTGAGAAATCTAGCTGTTAGGTGATGTGTTTTGCTGTTATAAACAGAGCAAATTGTAAGTCAGAAGATATTTTTTACCTTTCCCACTGTATGCCTTCTAGCTTGAAAATAGGATCCTGAATTTATGAATACATTAGCCAGTGTCTTAGTCCATTTGTGCTGGTATAACAAAATACCACAGATTGGGTAATTTATAAACAATAGAGACTTATTTCTTAGGATTCTGGAGGCTGAGAAGTCCAAGATCAAGGCAATAACAGGTTCTTTTGTCTAGTGAAGGCTGCTCTTTTCTTCTAGATGACAACTTATTGCCTTATCCTCCAGAGGGAGGAATGGAGGGGAGGAACTCTTCTGCCCACATGGCAGAAGAGATGGGAGGGTGCAAACCCACTCCCTCAAACTGTTTTATAGGGTCCCAATTCCATTCATGAGGGCCCTACCCTCATCACTTAATCACCTCTTAAAGGCCGCATCTCTTACTACTATGTTGGTGGTTAAGTTTTAACATGTTAATTTTGGGGGACACATTCAGACCATAGCAGTTGGCAACCCTTGTGGTGTGTGGAGTTTCCATTTTAAGCTCTCAGAGTATGGGATAAGGGGAATTGGGGAATTGGGGAATTGGGGTACTGCTGGTGGCTGTACAGTTCATCCTGTGCTGGAGAATATTCAAAATAATAGTGCCATACAAGAGCACATATAGGAAGATCCTGTATTAACTCTGGTTTTTATTCAGTTTAAGAAGTTCAGATTATTAAACACTGGCAACTGTGTGGCAGGAGAATATTTGCTCATATTTTATAGGCCAATTGCTTGCTGGATGCTGAAATCAGTTTGTAGATTGCCTTTGGCATGTCTTTGGACCTGGGCACATCAACCTATGAGTTGCCACTTCCATAATGATGTTAGATCTATAGCCAGATAAATGGTGAATGGGCTAAATGCAAACCACAAACCAAGCCTGAAAGCTCCTCTCATTCAAAATAGAGTAAATGGGAAAACAAAACAAAATGTTGTCTGAGAAAATGTATTGAATAGAAGGGATCAAAGAACATCATCCTAAAAATCCAGAAGAAATGTGATGCTAAAAGTGATTTTCTATAGGAATCAAAAGAAAATTCTTAAAAAGAATTGCCTCTATGAAACAGGAACAAAAAACTTTAGAAGAATAAATGGAGATCGAAAAATTACATGAGGAGATGAATAGGAATACTTACAAGTAAATGATTATTGCAGTAGGAGATGAAGGGCAAATATGAAAGTAGAGGCTTATAATAAATTATAGATTAATAATTTATTCACACTTTTGATCATTTATTGAAAATTGCATACCAGTTATGTGTCTGGCATTGTTGTAGGAGTTGGGAATACAACAATAAACAAGATAAACTGAGACTTTTTCTCATGGAGCTTGCATCCTAACAAGAGGAGACAGACAGTAAACAATATCAGATGGAGATACGTGCTAACTGAAGAATTAAAAGGGTTATGTGTTAGGGAAAATTTTCCATTTTAAGCTGAGTAGTAGAAAAGTCTTTTCTAAGTAGTTGATGTTCAAAGTTATGTTTGAGTTATCAGAAAGAGCCACACATTTCCTCATGGCCCATGTCCTTTGGAGTTTTGTGCTAGGTTCTTTTGTACTTTAATTCTACAAGCATTTCTTAGAGCCCTTTCTCTAAGGGCCTTTATTACTATCTCTCTGCTAATGATTATGATTCTCTTAAGCTATAGACGCAAATATGTCAGTTCCCAAACACTTGGCACTTGGAAGTCATCAATTAAATATGCCCAGTACAGAAGTCATCATTATTAATCTTCCCAAATATAGTCAATTCTCATTATTCGTGATAGTTATGTTCTATAAAGTCACTGGAAACACTGAGTGAGCGAATACTGAGCCATTGCTTTTAGGAGAAATACAGGTTTAGTTTCCTGTGAGCTTCTGGTCACATTTTCATCAACCAATGAATGCATAACCTTGATTTATGAGTGTTTCTGCTTAAGGACATGTTATTTAATATATCTTGTTGATTCATTAACATTGAACTCATAGCGAACAGCACTATACTCATGCCTGAGAGGAGTTTTATCTACCATGTTGGTTTTCACTGTAAGGCACATCACAGTTTTCTTGTGCCTTCTTTCAAAGGCACATATTGTTTCTTGAGCTTAGGAACACTAGACAGCACGTTGGTACTATGGTTGGGGGCCATTTTAAACAGCAAAATCATCAACAAAAAGTGCAAAAATGTAAAAAATGTGGCACTGGATAGACTATGAAAATGACACCCGTTTACAATATGAAAACTAAAATAAGAAGGCAGAGCATTGCCTTGTTTAAACCTTAGCTAGGAACATGTGCATTAGGCAACTCAAATTTTTCACCCCTCTGCACATGTCTGTTGAATGACTATGAAAGAACTATGAGTATTGCTTTTGGGTTTACAAATAAATTTTAGCAAGTAGGCAAATTCACAAATACAGAATCTGTGAATAATGATGTACTGTTTATTCCATCTACTTATGTTCCCTCTCTCACAGATGAAACCACTGTCAAACCAGTTACCCAGGTTAGAAACTTTGTATCAGCCTTCTTTCCTTCCTATTCTTTATCACCCATATCCAATTAATTTCCAGCTTAAACCTCCTAAATACGTCTCAGATTCTGACTGATCTTTTCAATTTTAATTTTTCCCTTTCTTTACTCTCTGCAGTACAACTTCCAAAATATCTAAAACTCTTATGGTCGCTACAGTACAAATACCTTAACATAATTTATGAAGCTTTCCTGCCTCATCTCTTGTCAGCCCTGTACTTTACACCTCAAGTTCCAGCCATGGAGAACTTCTTTCAGATTCTTAGGATATGTGATGCCTTTTTTTCCATTCAGCCTCTTTGTCTCCTCCAGGAACACTTTTTTCCCTTTCTCTCTTTCTGGCTTATTCTTCTGACTCATTCGTCAATTAGAAGTATAAACATCATTTTTCGAAGAAGCTTTCGTTGACACTTCCCCCACCCACCACACACACACACACACACACACACACACACACACACCCTACTTTAATCCATAGGATTCTGTAGTTCATTTTAATATAATTGCTTGTTTGTCAGTCTTCCATAGTCTATAAATTCAGTAAGTACAGGTACTGTTCTCAGTGTGCCAATCACATGGTAACCACTTAGTATATATTAAGTGACTTGGTTTTTGGTGAGATTGTGTGTATTAACACAAAACTTTTGGAGCAGTGTAATACTAATGATATAAAGTAGGAAAAAATCCAAGTTTTACTTGCCTGCTTATTGTTTTATATCTATTTGCTTATGTCTTCAGCAGCTTTTTAAAAAATGTTAATGATTGAAAGAGCTTGGAGCTTAAGTGAAACCTCTGTAGCTCATCTAGTGACCTCTCTGTGAATAGACAGGCACTGCACCAATTACTCAACTGGACTGGTCAAACATCTACGTCTCAAATTCCACCTTTAAGTATTGAGTTGACAAAATTGGCAGAGGGAATAGAATAATGAAAGGTGAATTTAGCAGCCACTAAGGAAACTCCAGCTCATTTTTGTAAATGGGAAGCCAGACCTATTAGATAAATTGGTCTTGTCTTTTGTTTTTATCCTATTGAGGAATACTTGAAAAGCAAAGCTACACCCAGTTTAGAATTAAGTAGAAGTTCATGATTTGGTTTTTATATAGAATTCCATCTTATGTATTTTCTATCATTTATAACAAAAAATTAAATGAGTATAGTGTGGTATAATTAGAGGAATGCTTTCTCTAAATTCTCAAGTAAGTGTGTCTTGGCTCCAAAGCATATTGAATATGTAATGTCACACTACAATAATAAAGGTCCTTTAGGGCTGTTAACCTTAAAATAAAAAGCCCTTTAGTGTATACAGAATGTAATTAAGATTTAATAATACTACTATGCTGTGAAATGGTGACAACTTGAGAATAACTTTAACAAACCAACTAACAGTTTCCTCTTATTTCTTAAATGGAATCATTTGCCTCCTCATTAATGTATGGATGAAAAAAGCTTTGAAATGCTGTCCTAGTGTTCGATTTCATTTTCTAGGAAGGAAAAACTCGGGTGTATACAGTTATAATCACTTTAGAACTTTAAAACTGTTGTTTTTAAGCTACACCAGGGTTCAACAAACCATAACCCATGAACCAAATCCAGCCTGTTGCCTGTTTCTGAAGGGCCTGTGAACTAAAAATGTTTTTTACATTTTTAAAATCAAAAGAAAAGGAATATTTAATGAAAGGTGAAAACTGTGCAAAATTATAATTTGTTTCCATAAACAAGGTTTTATTGGAACACAGCCATACTTGTTTATGTCTTGTTTATGGCTGCTTTTGCACTACACCAGCAGAATTGAGTAGCTGTCCACCAACCCCTCATATATTTACTATCCTGCCTTTTAGAGAAAATGTTTGCCAACCCCTGAGCTACATTAGTGTCTTTCCATGACTAGTACCTTAAGTCGACTTTCCCAATTTTTTAGGACCAGTTTGGGAATCTAACAAATAAATCATCTTGAATAAAGTTCTTCAATTTTTCAGGAAGGCAGAGGAAAACTAAACTAGGTATTGCGTGGCATTTATACTTTTTTTAGGTGGGCAGGGCTTTTACTTTAATCATTGATTTTATCTTATTTATTTTTAAAATAAGCGCTTGCATGAGATACTGTTCTAAGAGCTTTATAACTCCTCTAAATCCTCATTACAACCATATGATGTTGGCATCTCTACAAATGAGAAAACCATGGCACACTTATTAGTGAAAGTTAAATAGTGGAACTTAAATTAGTGGTAGGAAGTTATAGTGCTATTTATAGCAGTTGTACAGCTAGTAAGGGGCAGAGTCACTATTCAAATGTAATAATAGTCTCTGGTTCCAAAGTCAGTTCTCTTTACCACTGGTATTCTCTCTTTTCATTTTTACTCTTATTTATTTAGAAAAGCTTTGGATTAAGAGTAGAATTCAGGGCCGGGCGTGGTGGCTAAGGCCTGTAATCCCAGCACTTTGGGAGGCCAGGTGGATCACAAAATCAACAGATCGAGACCATCCTGGCCAACATGGTGAAATCTTGTTTCTACTAAAAATACAAAAATTAGCTGGGCATGGTGGCGCACACCTGTAGTCCCAGCTACTCAGGAGGCTGAGGCAGGAGAATCTCTTGAACACAGAAGGCAGAGGTTGCAGTGAGCCGAGACTGTGCCACTGCACTCCAGCCTGGTGACAGAGTGAGATGCTGTCTCAAAAAAAATAAAAGTAAAAATAAAAGTAGAAGAATTCAGTAATAAGTGGGGTGTGATAATCTAAACACACTGAGTTTGTATTCATTTCCTAGAGCTGCTGTAACAAGGCCCCATAAACTGAGTGGTTTAAAACAACAGAAATGTATTCTATCCCAGTTTTGGAGGCTAGAATTCCAAACTCAAGGCATGATAAGGGCCATTTTCTCTCTGAGACTGGGTAGAATCTTTTGTTGTGTTTTTCTAGTGCCTGCTGGTGATCAACAATCTCTGATGTTCCCTGGCTTGCAGCTGCATCACTCTATTCTCTGCCTCTGTCATCACGTGGTGTTCTCCCCATGTGTCTCTGTGTCTATTCTTTTCGGCTTTCAGGACACCAGACATACTCTATTAAGGTCCCACCCTCCACTGATAGGATCACATCTTAATTTAACCAATTACATCACAATGGCCCTATTTCCAAATATGGTTGCATTCTGAAGTTCCACGAAGGACATGAATTTGGAGAAACCACTATTCAACCCAGTACACAGCTCATGAGTCAGATATTATTATGTAGAGCACTTCTCATTTTAAGCCCAGAAACCCTAAACGAAAAGTGGGGCTGTGCACCAGGAATCTTCATGCTTTTGTTTTTGTTTTTTGGGTTTAATCCTGTGCTGGATTATAACCTAAGGGGGAATACTAATTTACTGTTCTCAATTCCTGCTTTTTTCCTGCTTCCCATTGCCCCTTTGTTCATGATTCATTTTTATTCTTGATGTTTTTCTTCTGGAATGTTCTGTGAGTTTTTTAAGGAGCATTTTCTTACCTGTTATCATAACTTATGGAAAGGTTGGTTTCCCTGCATTCTTGTGAATTTGAGACAGTTGATTCAGAAACCAGCTTTGGTGTGCTGGTGATTAAGTTCTGGTAGGTTCCTTGTAAGGATATTTTGTACACATCCTTACAGGTTTGTAACTAAGGTTCAATACATGGTAATAGTTATTTGTATTTTCTATTGTTATCATCAATGTTAAAATAGCAGATTTTGAGAAATGTGATACTACCTCAAATTCCAGACCTGGGACCTTCTCTTTTCCCTTGAAATAAAAGAGTAATTGGTCCAATTGTGTCAACCCATTTTCTTTTCTTTATTTACAGGGTGCCCGGGAAACATTTGAGAATTACTACCGAAAACAGAGGCGAAAACAGGCTCGTTTGGTACTTCAACCTCCATCTAACATGGTAGGATTACCATCTTCACTTTTCTCACATTTTTACTTTTCCTCCTTGATGTCTTTTGATGCGTGTGTGTGTGTGTGTGTGTGTGTGTCTGTGTGTGTGTGTTTACTGTCATTCTGAGACCACTTTTGGTGGATGTGACTTGCAGTAAGAAAACATTTATTGATTGCTGTGTGTCTGGCACTGTTCTAAGTACTAGATATGTGCTGTCATATTTCCTCTTCATTGGTAGATAATATTATTATTTTTACCTTATCAGATATCATCTAGGGAGCTGAGCCTTAAGAGATTAAGTGACTGATTTTAACTTAGTCTTAATGTAACAAAACAGAAACAATAACTTTTTCTTCTTTGCTTTGTTGCAGCATGAAACTTTAGATGGCTACAGGAAGTATTTTAATCAAATTGTAGGGTAGGTATATATATATATATATATATATTTATTTATTTATTTATTTATTTATTTATTGAAATTTATACTCTTTCCATACATAGAGTTGTGAATGTTGGAAAAATAAATCAGGTTTTCCTTAGGAAATTCTTTTCATTTTCTTTTTTTTAATCCTTAAGACAAGATTTGTTTTTGATTTTCTAATGATTTAAAAGGAACACCCTGCTGGTTTCAACTTTATATTGCTGGAGGGCATTTTTGTGGATAAAGTGAGAAAAACATTGAATTGTAATCTTATTACACTTGATGTTTTGTTTCTTTGTTTTTGGTAAATGGAACCAAATAATCAGCAAAAGTTGGCAAACTTTTTCCAAAAGGGCCAGATAGTAAAATATTTTAGGCTTAGTAGGCCATATGGTCTCTTTCACAACTGCTTAGCTCTGTTGTTATAGTGCAAAAGTAGCTATAGATGATACGTAAATGATGAGCATGGCTATGTTCCAATAAAACAATCTTTATAAAAACAGGCAGTGGGCTAGGTTTATCCCATAGGCTATATAGTTTGCCACCCTCATCTAGGGTGTATATAGTGGTACGGAATTACATTTCCCAAATAAACATCCCAATACTGGCAGCTTGTTCTAATTGCAAAATAATGACTTTGCAGTTAAAAGAAAAGGAAATAACTTGGATTCTTCATCAGGTTTATTTTTTTCAGATTTAAATTGTTTCAATGTAATTAGTAGTTATTAAAATATATCATAAAAATTCCCTAATAAAGACTTTTTTCATTAATATGAATATTTAGGCAAGACAATGCAGGCTACATTTTAAATGCATAATAACAAAAAGCCACAAGATTGTTCAAACGTAACTTCACATTTTTGAAACCTTTGTATGATGCCTTTTCAAGACTTTGATGATAGAGTCCACATGATGGGAATTATTTTGATATTTTGTGCATTGGATTCTTAAAATATATAGAGAATACATTATATATATATATGATGTATATATTAGCTTTTATGATCTCTTTAAAATTTGTTTTTTTGAAATGCATTGATGGCTGGGTATTTTCTTAATATAACAAAATTTGCCTCCATTACCTCTACACATTTTCCTCTCTTTTAAACTACTGGATAGCATTGTTAACATTTAATAGAAATTTAATAGAAATGTAACTCTGATCTCTCTAGGAGTGGTTATGAAGATGTCATGATCACAGACATAATTTTTGGTCCAAGTAGTCTGATTTCATTTATTCTACTGAATAAGTTTCTTCAAGAAAAAAATGACCACTAACTTTGCATTTGATGGTATCTCTTAATGCTTGTCAAACCCCAGAGAGAGTAATAAAACTGTAATTTCTGACAGCTGTGCTTTCTTTTTTCCTCAATCTTAGCTTTTTTGTGGTTGAAGATCACATTTTACATACAACCCAGGGCTTAGTAAATAGAGCCTACATTGATGAACTGTGGGAAATGGCACTTTCAAAAACCATCGCAGCACTCCGTACCCACTCGGTATGTAAGAAGCCCAAGGGAAGTTGTTATTTAGAGCTGATTATCTATATATTCAGTGTTTTACTGCTTTAAAATCAACATATGTATGTCTTTGGAATCACTCACTTGGAGCTATAGATGTCCTTCAAAGACATAGAAGTAGCTGCTTCAAATTATCACATTTTCTACCACTGAGCTCACTTTTATAGAAGCCCTTTGCAATAAGAAAATAGCAGCTAATATCTATTGATTATTCTCTCTATGTGTCAGACGTTGTTCTGTTTACTTCATACATATTCTCTTATTTCATCCTCAATACAACCCTAGAAAGGTAGGTATTATTATTATTATTATATTTACCTTATAGTCTGGGAAATTGAACCTGAGAGAGGTTAGGTAACCAGCCTAATGCCATACAATAAGAAGTAGAAGTCGGATTGAAACCCAGATGGTCTGACTCTAGAGCCCATGTTCTTAGCCACTATACCATTTTGCCTTCTATAGTGCCTGTTAATATTATAAACACTGATTTGGAGTTCACAGTTCTACTGTTACCTTTTGAAAAAAAAAGTTCATAACATATTAAGCTGCCCAATGTTCTGTTCCCATGATCTATTGATATATTTTAATGTGGCATATATTTTTGGTGATAATCCACTTTATTTCAGTTATAGAATGCTGGCTCTGAATTCCCTTCCTTCTTTCCTTCCTTCCTTCCTTCCTTCTTTCCTTCCTTCCTTCCTTCCTTCCTTCCTTCCTTCCTTCCTTCCTTCCTTCCTTCCTTCTTTCCTTCCTTCCTTCCTTCCTTCCTTCCTTCCTTCCTTCCTTCCTTCCTTCCGTGTTTCTTAAAGATTGATTATGCTTTGGCAGTGGGAATATGACAATGAACAAGATAGATAGTCTTTGCTCTCAGAGAGTTATATTTTGATTGGAAGAGATATCCAATAAACATGTAACAAGAATGTCAGACAGTGATCATGCAATGCAGACAATGAAAATAGAATGACAGATTAGGAAACAGGGTGTTTGCTTTTGAAGTGGCACTCTGAGATTAGAATATCAATGAGTCACCATTTATGCAAAGAAGACCAATTAAATGATCATTTTAGTCCTAAAGAACAGTAGTGCAAGGGCTCTTATCTCAAAGTGTTTGAGGAATAATAGTGAGGAGTCAATGACGGAAGATAATTTAGCATTAAAACAATTTCTTTAAGTGACTGTAGTATCCATCTAGTTGTGCTAGCTAGAAACTTAAAAATCATCCATGACCCATGAACTCTCTTTTCTAATTAATCAGCAGGTGTTCCAGACAGAGTAAATACTGTGTGTAAAAACCTATTTTAAGGGAACATAGCCCTCTCAGAGACCTGAAAGAAGTCCAGAGTGGATAGAACATAGGGTGAAGTAAGAAAAGAGAAGTAGGTAGATGCCATGTTATTTAGAATCTACTTGACCTTTTAAACAGTGGGCTGAATGGAATGTGTTACGTATAGATGTGTTCAAGGTGAAGGTGGGATAACATGGAGTAAGATGATCAGATTTTCATTTTGAAAGATTGTTTTGGCTTAAGTGTGGATAGTGGATGAGGGGTAAGAATGAATTCAAAAACAATTACTAGGCTAGTCTAGTATTCCAGGCAAGTGATAATGATAGTTTGGGTCAAGGAGTGATAGTAAGTATTGAGAGATATGGTTGAATTCAAGAGATTTTTAGGAAGTAAGATTAATTGTACTTTCTGATGGATTAGATATAAGAGGTAAAAGGAAAAGAACTATCAAGGAAATGCTTAGGTGAATGGTTTCCTTTCTTGGATGATAGTGTTAGCAGTTTTGATAGTTTGGAGCGGGGAGATGATGAGTTTACATTCGAAATGATTACTTTGTGATGCCTTTGTGCCATCTAAGCAGCAAGTTCTAGGAGATTGGTTAATATGTATGTGGGTTTGATCCAAAGAGGATATGTCATTATTGAATATGTTGCAAATATTTCTTTCCTTTTATTTTTGCTTATGGTTTTTGTTATAGTATACAGAACTTTTAAATATTTATATATCTGATAATACTTAAGTTTAATTTTCTCTCATTTTACGTATGTAACCAAGGACTTGATCTGACATTTTTATCATTTTATTCTTCTGTTATAATAAAATCTGGCAAACTTGAAATGTTTTTTACATGTTTTTGTGTGTTCTGAGATTTTTAAAAAGTTGCTTAACTATTTTATAATTAGATTTTTACACATTTATATGTTTACAACCACCTGTTGTTTACTCTCATTTATAGTATGATTAAGGATCTCATTTTTTTTGTAGTGGTAGTGCACCCATTGTCTTCGGATCATTTTTTGAGTGCCTTACTTTTTCCCCATTGAGTTGTATGTTCTAACATATAAACATTATAAAAATATGTTTCTATATTAGAATAGAAATTTTGATTATTAAGAACATTTTAGTCATCATCCCTTGCATGGTTATTATTAGCTTTCTGATATATAAATGTAAAGTCCCTTTTTTAATATATAAATAAACTATACAATATATAATGGGTTTTAAGTAGGAACATGCTGTGTTTTTCATTTAATGTCTGATGAATATGATTTAATTTTAATATATATAATATTGCATTGTAGGATTATATTATTATTTTTAATTGATTCATTTGATATTTTGGGCTTTTAAGAAAGTTTTTGGTTTTGTTTTTTTTCTAGCTATTAAAAGCATTGCAGTAAATACTGTTATAACCATGTCCTTACACATGGTTATGTGTAAGGACTTAGAGCAAGTTCTTAAGAAATGAAAATAGTGAGTAAAAGTATTTGGACATTTCTTAGGTTCTAGGTATTGCTCATTTGCTCTCCCAAACTATTGAACTATTTAACACTCTGAGCAGCATCTACTAGAATGCCTATTTCCCTATTCTTTTTATTCCACAGAAAGTTATGTTTAAAAACAGAAAATAATTTCTAATTTCAGAAATTGTATCTTATTTTATTATGCTTTTAAAAAATAATACTGATATTAGGTCGGGCATGTTGGCTCACTCCTGTAATTCCAGCACTTTGGGAGGCCGAGGAGGGCAGATCATCTGAGGTCAGGAGTTCAAGACCAGTCTGGCCAACATGGTGAAACCCCGTCTCTACTAAAAACACAAAAATTAGCCAGGCATGATGGCATGTGCCTGTTATCCCAGCTAGTCAGTAGGCTGAGGCAGGAGAATTGCTGGAACCCAGGAGGCAGAGGCTGCAGTGAGCTGAGACAGTGCCACTGCACTCCAGCCTGGGTGACAGAGCAAGACTCTGTCTCAAAAAAATAAATAAATAAATAAAAAGAAATAAATAAAGGAAAAATTAATACTGATATTGAAAATCTCTTCCATGTCATTTGTATATCTTCATAGAATTTCTTGTTCATATACATTGTCTTTATCTTATATTTTCATGTTTTTAAATATTTTACTATATATTATTAAAACATGGACATTAGCTGTTAATATTAACCTCATCTGACAATATGTTGTAAATATTTTTTCTTAATTTAATGTCTCTTACCTTTTCTGCAGCTTCAAAAAGTTTTAACGTTTTTGAGTAGTTAATTTTATTGATATTTACTTTATAATTTATGTGTTCTTCATTACAAAGCATATGTGTTTATCTTTATTTGATTTTAGTATTTCTGTAGTTCCTTTTTCTACAACCATAAAAAATTTATTTTAGCATAGGGTATGAGATTGGACTCTCTTTAATTATTTTGAAAATGACTCATCACTTCCAATAACATCATTGTGATAATCTACTGTCTTAGTGGGCTCAGGCTACTGTAAGGAAATATCATAGACTGGGTGGTTTAAATGACAGAAATTTATTTTCTTATAGTACTAGAGAATGGAAGTCAGAGATTAAGGTGTCCACATGGTCAGCTACTGGTGAGGGTTCTCTCCCTGGCTTACAGAAGGCTGCCTTCTCACTCTGTCCTCACTTGACCTTTCCTCAGTGTATGCCTGCTGAAGAAGGATTGCTCTCTCCTTCTCTTTTTATAAGGAGAACAATCCCACTGGATTAGGGCCTCACCTGTATCACTTCATTTGATGTTAATTACCTCCCAAAGGCCCCATCTCCAAATATAGCCATACTGGGAGACAGGGCATTAATAGGTGAGTTTTGGGGGCAGAAACAACAGTCTGTCCATCTCTCCTTTCCCTACATATTTTGAAGGCTACCTTTTATATATTATATTATGTATACACTCAGGTTTATTTCTAGGTCATATGATTTGAATTCTCGCTCCTTGAATCAATACAACATTGTGATTATTGTATCTGACATTGTGTGGCTTAATTTTTGTTTATTTATTTTATTTATTTTTATTTATTTATTTACTTTTTTGAGACAGAGTCTTGCCTGTCACCCAGGCTGGAGCACAATGGTGCGATCTCAGCTCACTGCGACCTCTGCCTTCTGGGTTCAAGTGGTTCTCCTGCCTCAGCCTCCCAAGTAGCTGGAATTACAGGTGCCTGCCACCATGCCCGACTAATTTTTTTGTATTTTTAGTAGAGATGGGATTTCGCCATGTTGGCCAGGCTGGTCTTGAACTCCTGGCCTCAGGTGATTCGCCTACCTCGGCCTCCCAAAGGGCTGGGATTACAGGCATGAACCACTATGCCCGGCCGGCTTAATTTTTTATAAGATATGTGTATCCTCTTAAATCGTCTTTTTAAAATATGCTATTTATCCCCTTATTATTCTTCCAGTCAACTTGAGAATCACTTTGTTACAACCCTTCCACCTCTAGTCCACACCCCTAAAAATTGAGATATAATTTGGTTGTGCAGTAAATCTGTAGATTAATTGACACATTTCAGGCTCTGGTATTTTTCACCAAAGAAGATATGTATTTTTGTTACTTATTTGCCTTTCATGTCTTTTGGTAAAATATTTAATAATACTTCCCATCAAAGTACTGTTTTTAGGTGTTTTTTTTTTTTTTTTTTTTTTGCGGGTAATATTTTGTGGAAGGTTTTTTTTTCCCCCATCATATTTATTAACTAGTATTACTGTCATTCTGTGGGTGAAAAGTTTCTGATTTTGTTTATTTTATATCTATCCATTTCACTGAATTCTCTAATTTTATTTTGTTTCCTGAAAAAAGTTATCTTTCCTTTAGAAATCAGATTTATTCCATGCACTGTCTTTTTTTTTTTTTTCTAAAGCAATGTTTTTTTGTGTTCCTGATACATTTGGGAATGTAACAGATCTCTAAATCTCGCAGTACAAAAATGCACCCTCTCTTCTTCAGCATGAAATTTTATTTGATACTATTAAGAGCAGGACACTTTTCAAGTGTGCTGATTCTTTTCAAAGTGTAGATCTGTGGAGAACATTAATCTTAAGGGAGTTTTTCTTTGTAGATCTATTGTATATTCTTTTTAACTGAAGAATAAATGACAAAATACCTTCTTTTTAAAAAATCATTAGTTCAGCATTGATCTGTAGAGGTAAAAAGTAGACTAGTGGTTGCTTAGGGATTAAAGAGGTGATAGCTAAAGGGTATGTATGGAGTTTCATTTTATTATTTTAATTTTAATTTTTAGTTCTGGGGTACATGTGCAGGATGTGCAGGTTTGTTACATAGGTTTCATTTTAAAGTAAAGAAAATTTCCAAAGTTTGACTATGATAAGGGTTGCAGATACCTGTGAATATACAAACAATTAAAAACTATTCAATTATGTACTTTAAATGGGTGAGTTATATGGTATGGGAATTATATCTTGACAAAGTTATTAAGAAACAACTCAGTATTAACACAGATTTACTCATTGAACCATTTTATACGTTAAGAGACAGAGTGTTGGTACCACAAATGCTCACTGTATTTCATGACACTATTTATTTTATTAGTAGTACCCAGCAAACAAAATAAGAACAACCCAAACATCAAATCAAATCTCAAAAACACTCTGGCTATGTGACTACATTATTTATCAAATGTGTCTATATTTTCTAGCATTATATATGGCTGTTTAAAATTACTCTTTACTTTTTCTGATTAAATTATTAGTATAAATTGAAACATTTTGAAAGATTCAATATTTCATGTATTAATATGTGCAACATTCTCAGTGCTGATTTCAAAACATAAGATCTTACATAATCTACTTCACTTAGTAAATTTAGCAATATATTAAAAGATTTAATATGCCTAGTATAAAGGAGAGTTCATTTCAGGAATGGTTCAATATTAAAAGATCTGCTAATATGATTGTTAATGATAATATGATAATACTGAAAAGATATTTTTAAGATTCAACTATACTAATCAACCTAGTCCTTCAGTCCAAAATATGAACAAATAGCCAAGAGTCATAAAATATTTGAAGAAAACCAATTATATCACATGGGAGACAACAATAAACAAATAGAATGGCCGTTCTTTAGCAAATACAAATTATGGGCTGGAAGAAAAATTTACAAAGTAATATTTATGATTTTAGGAATGTAGAAGACTAGGTTATTAATACCAATCCCTCAGCCAGAAACAATTGGAAATGCTGTATTTTATATATAAGATATTCATTTAAGTCTTAAAGTACTTAATAAGGATAGTAAGGAATTACTCAGCTAAATCGAAGGGAAATAAGTAGATAGATAGGTTAAACACTCAAGCTGCCTTTTCGTTGAGGTAACTTCTTAGTCCAGAGTTCATAACTCAAACTTGGATTTTCACAGCCTCTTGGGCCTATTCAAGATGGAGAGTCTAATCTGCTGCCCTTCCCCCATTAAGCTGGAAAGGGCTATTCCTTTCAGGATAAAGGTGAACCAGAAGTAGAAGAAAAAACAGTCAAAATTCTTCCATCAAAGAAATCTCCTATCTAGGCAGTTTTATCTTCAATTTTGTTCTTACATAAATACTCAGAGAATAGACACAAGGAAATGCCAATTCATCTTAATTTTTTTTGCGTTTTTATGTTTTTTTCTTTTCTCAATCCTGCTTCTTCTGTAGCAACTCCTTTTATAATGCATACATGATCTTGATAATGAAACCAGATGAGGGTAGTATAAGAACTTGTAAATGCATAAATATAGATCAGACTTATTTATAAATATAAATCAGGAATCTTAAAATATTAAAAACAGAATCCAGCCATTTACAACAAATATTAATATATTTGGTTGAGTTTCTAGTAGCAAATGCTAGCTTAGTTCAATATTACAAAGTGTATTAATATAATGCACTTAATTGCAGGTTAAAAAACAAAAAATATATAGTCATTTCAGTAGATACAGAAAAGCAATTAATAAAATGCACAATAAACTTATGGTAAAATTTCTTAGTAAATTAGAAACTGGAGAGAATTCCTTAAACTAATAAAAGCAGTCCTCCAAAACGTATTCAAGATAGTCAGGACCCCTGTGGAGAAATTCTAAAATGTCATTCAGAAATTAAAATGGGTTAAAGAAGACCTAGGTAAAAATGAACCATGTTCATTGTTTGGAAGAGTTATTATTACAGTGATATCAGCACTTTCAAAATTGACCTATAGATTTAATTTAGTGTCAATCAAAATTTCAATAGTTTTATTATAGGGAAGATGGGTACCTTACAACCTAATTATAATATTTCAAACTAGTACAAAAGCCAAGAGCAAGTGAGAGATTCCTTAAGACTGAGAATAATGTATTTGGATATCAAGACAATTGAAAAATCATATTAAGATCCTCTGATATGGTCATTGGATAGATAATGGACCTTCAAACAGTCTCACACATATATGGATCCTTGGGATATATATTAGGTGGCATAGGAGGTCGGTGGCATAGGAGGTCATTGGATAGAAGACAGACTTGAATGAATAGCAATGGGACAGCTGACTGTCATGATGGAGGAAAATATACACCAAAGATTGAATTTCAGGTGGATAAAATATGAAAATGTGAAAGCCAAAACCATAAATCTTTTAGAAGATAATATGAGAAATATCTTTATGATTCAGGATATGGAAGGAGTTCTTAACTGAAAACTAAAAGCACTATCCATAAAGGAAAAGATTCAGACACAAAACATCAAACTACAATAAAATTATAAGAAAAAAACCTCACAAAAGAGTAGGAAAATATGCCACTTAGTGAAAAATGGTATTTGTATATAACAGCACGAACTAATTTGGAATATATGAAGAATTCCTACCAAATCATTACATTAAAGATAGACATCTCAAAAGAGAAAAAATGAGCAAAAGACAAACAGTTTACCAAAGAAGGAATCCACCTGGCTGGGAAAACATGTGAAAGGTGTTCAGTCTTCTTAGTATATTGGTAAAATGCAAATTAGAACCAAATGAGGTAACATTATTCAAGAATTAACAGTACTAATGTTGATAAAGATATGGAGCAATAGAAACTCTGATACACTACGAAGGGAATAAGTTTAAATTGATAAGACACTTTGAAAAAGTGTAATATCTTATAAATTTAAAGATCCCCATGGATCAACTTTTCTCTAACTATATTCTCTTCAGTAATTTGCCATAATACACCATAATAAACATGCAAGAATATCTTTCCAGCATTGTTGGATTTTAAAATGAGAAATGACTTAAATGTCCATCAGTAGTAAAATAGATAATCTGGGTTAAACTCAAACATTGGATACTAGAGAGCATGAAAATAACCAAAGTATAGCTATATACAATAGCATTCATGAATTTCACAAGTACAATGTTAAATGAAAGAAGCGAGAAAGAAAATTATACATATGGCTTATTTCCACTTATATAATGTTGAGAGAAAAAATATTGATTAAGTCTCAGTATTTAGGTGGATACAAATTAAGGACAATAGGAGAATGAAAAGACTAGCTACAGACTGAGAGAAATCTTTGCAAATCACATATCTGATAAAGGACTGCTGTTCTAAATATACAATGACGTCTTAAAATTAAACAAGAAAACAAGGCCAGCCATGGTGGCTCATGCCTGTAATGCCAGCACGTTGGGAGGCCAAAGCAGGAAGATCACTTGATTCCAGGAGTTTGAAACCACCCTGGGCAACTTAGTGAGACACCATCTACAAAAAAAATTAAAAAATTAACCAGACATGGTTGCATGTGCCTGTGGTCCCAGCTACTCTAGAGCGTGAAGTGGGAGGATCTCTTGATCCCGGGAACCTGAGGCAGTAGTGAGCCACGATCGTATCCCTGCAGTCCAGCCTGGGAGACAGAGTGAGACCCTGTCTCAAAAAAAGAAAAAAAAGAAAGATGCTCATCATCCTATGTCATCAAGGAAATCCAGAACACGAACCACACCAAATGCTGGAGAGAATGTGCAGCATCAGGAATTCTCATTCATTGCTAGTGGGAATGGAAAATGGTACAGCCAGCTTTGAGGACAGTTTGACAGTTTTTTATAAAATGAAACATAGTCTTACTATATAATCTAGCAGGTGTATGCCTAGGAATTTTTCCAAATGAGTTGAAAACTTACTTCCACACTAAAACCTTCACACAGATGTGTATAGCAGCTTGTTTATAATTGCCAGAACATGGAAGCAACCATGTTTGTCAGTGGGTGAATGGAGAAACAAACTGTGGTACATTCATATAATGGAATATTATTCAGTGATATAAAGAAATGAGCTATCAATCCATGAAAAGACACAGAGGAACCTTAAATGCATATTGCTAAATGAAAGAAGCCAATCTGAAAAGGCTACATACTATATGATCCCAACTATATGCCATTCTGGAAATGGCAAAACTATGGAGACAAGAAAACTATCCCTGTTGCCTGGGGGTTGGGAGATGGAGGTATGGGATGAATAGGCAGAGCACAGGGTATTTGGGGGACAGCAAAATAGTTCTCAATGATAATATGATGGTGGAACATATCAATTTATGTATGTTAAGTCCCATAGAATATATAACACAGAGTAAACCCTAATGTAAACTATGGGTTTTGTTTAATAATTTTGTGTTGATATTGGCTCATCAGTTATTAATTGTACCACAGTACAATTGTTATATAATATTTCAAACTAGTACCAAAGCCAAGAACAAGTGAGAGATTCCTTAAGATATCCAAGTTATTATAACAGGGGAAAAATGATGGAAGCAAGCCAAAGGATGGTATGAATCCAAAGTAAAAATTGGCTTCTTAGAAGTTTATGATGATAAGAATTGAGATATTTAATTCAGAGATTAAATAGATGAGACTGTATATGATGCTGATCAAGAAGATAAAGTCAAATGCTGACCCCAAAATACAGAGAGCAAAGACACAGAGACAGAAAATAGGAAAGGAAAGTTAAGAAACAAGAATAGTTGGTGTAGACTTTTGGTTGTATCTAATAGAGATTTAGAAAGGAAAGACAGTGACGAAAGAAGGGACTGTAGTAATAAAATAAAAGAAGGGGAAATTCCAGTGTAGTGAAAAAAGAGCAGATTCTTAAAGTTGGAAGGATACATTGAGTGTCAAACAGGGTAAATGGCGGGAGACAATTTTTTATATTGGAAATTTTGTATTTTAGTTAGAGGGCAAAATAAAGGCATTTTTAAATATGTGAGGATTCAAAGTTTACTCTTTACCCATCCTGTATTTATTTTTATTTATATTTTTGATATATAGTCTCACTTTGTTGCCCGGGGTGGGGTGCAGTGGTGCAATCTCTGCTCACTGCAACCTCTGCCTCCCGGGTTCAAGCAATTCTCGTGCCTCAGCCTCATGAGTAGCTGGGACCATAGGCATGCGCCACCATGCTCAGCTAAGTTTTGTATTTTTAGTGGGGATAAGGTTTTGTCGTAATGGCCAGGCTGGCCCAGAGTTTCTGACCTCAGGTGATCTGCTGGCCTTGGTCTCCCAAAGAGCCAGGATTACAGGCGTGAGCCACCACGCCCAGCCTCTTTACCCATCCTATCTTCTAGAACTTCTTATTCTTCAAAAAATAAAAACAAAATCCAAAATATCAGATGAGATAGGATTAAATAAAATGTATGCCAAAAATTAGTACAATTCATAGATAAATCTAAATGACGTATTATTATTTGTAATTAATGCTATTAATTCCTACAAAAGGAGAGACATCATGTTTAAGAGTTTTTTTAGGCCAAGTGTGGTGGCTGATGCCTGTAATTTCAGTACTTTGGGAGGCCAAGGCAGGCAGATTGCTTGAGCCCAGTAGTTTGAGACCAGCATGGGCAACATAATGAAACCCCATCTCTACAAAAAATAAAAAAACATTAACCAGGTGTGGTGGCTTGTGCCTATAGCCCCAGCTACTTGGGGGTACTGAGGTGGGAAGATTGCTTGAACCCAGGGGGTCAAGGCTGCAGTGAGCTATGATCCTGCCACTGCACTCCAGGCTGGGTGACAGAGTGAAACCCTGTGGGAAAAAAAAAAAAAAGTGTTTTTTTTCTGTTTTGTTTTGGTTTTTTTTTTGGTTGTTGTTGTTTTTTTAATGAAGACTCAAAATTTTACTTCAAGTAAATAATGGGCAAAAAGGATATAATTTATTAACCATGAAAAGATAATTAAAAAGAGCTGACCCAATAAAAACACTAGTGGAAATTTTAAAAAGCATATCGAAAAGTGGCTTGACTACTAGGTTCGTAAATGTCAGTAATCCCAGGTTTATCAATCCATTTGTGTTGCTATAAAGTAATACTTGAGACTGGGTAATTTGTAAAGAAAAGAGGTTTATTTTGCCCAAGGTTCTGCAGGCTGTACATGAAGTATAGTGCCAGCATCTGCTTCTGGTGAGGACCTCAGGAAGCTTACAGTCATGGTAAAAGGCAAAGGGGAGTTAGTGTGTCACATTGTGAGAGAGGGAGCAAGGGCAAGGGGTGGGTTTGCCAGGCTCTTTAAACAACTAGCTCCCATATGAACTCATTACCTCAGGGGAGGGCACTGGGCTACTCATGAGAGATCCAAACACCTCCCACTAGGTGCTACCTTTGACACTGGAGATCACATTTTAATGTAAGATTTGGAGGGGACAAATATCCAAACCATATCACTAGGAAATGACAAAGCATTAAAAAGTTTTATACTATGTTTATAGGAGATATTCATATATTAAGATTAGCTGAAAAGATTGAAAATAAAGAAGGGGAAGCGGAAGTGGTGGTATTCTACAAGGAAAATAGAAATGAAGTTGAAGATCTTAAAATGGGATAGGAGATGGATATTTGGTATCGATACTAGTTTTAATCTAATGAAAAGGTAATAGCCCTTTTATAAGGAAGCATCAATATGTATAAAACAAAAACTGTTAGTAATATGAAGAGAAACGGACAAGCTGCATAATTGTGGGAGAATTCAAAACACCTCTTTCAGGACTTGAGAGACCAATGAGAGAGCAAGTAACAAAAATTATAATTAAAGAATTTGAATCTCAAAATCAATGAATTTTTACAATAATGACATACACATCTTTGTATCCTGCCCACAGAAATTATTTTCCATGTCAGTTAACTTTTCTGATTTGTTGATATGAGGTTATACATGGACATTATTTGTAATTTTTATTTTCCTCTGTACTTATTTTCTCTTTTGTATTTCTCATGTTTTTTATTTTCTCTTTATTGTTTAATCAATTTTGTCTAAGATTTGTTTATTTAATTGATTTTATTTTTAACTTGGTCTTTGGTTTATTTAATCAAATCTTCCATATCTTTTTTAATTTCATTAGGTTCTGTTTTTAATTTAATTAATTTTATTCTCTCATTTACTTATGGTTCATTGGCTTTCCCCCATAGTTTCATCAGTTCAGTGCTTAGTTTGTTTATTTTCAATCTTTTGTGTTTTGTGATGTTTACATAAAGAAATACAAATTTATTTTGAAAATGGTTTTAGCCACATACCATAGTTTTTGATATGAAGTATTTTATAGTTGTTCATTTTTAAAAGTGTCAATTTTGTTTTCTTCTTTAACCAAAGAGTTATTTAGAAGTGCATTTTTAAATTCCCAAGTGTTAAAAATATAGATCATGGTTATTGAACTTGCTGTACTCAGCTGTTCCCTGGCTGAACCTGGTGTTACCTTGTACCAGGGAAGTGTTGAATTATTTCTAGGGAAAGAATTTACCAGGTAAAGAATTTGCCAGATAAAGCGCTAAACAATTAAATAAATAAAAATTTAATTGCATTTTTACTAATAACATGTTTTTCCTCCTTTGTCTTTTATTTACTTTAGTCTTACTGTTCTGATCCAAACCTTGTGTTAGATTTGAAGAACCTCATTGTGCTTTTTGCTGACACACTTCAGGTATGTGATTTCTGTTTACATATGCTCATCTAGATTGGTATTATAATCAGCTCTAAACCTTTTTCTTGACTGGGTCTGGTGGCTTTTGCCTGTAATCATAGTTCTTTGGAAGCCTGAGGTAGGAGAATTGCTTGAGTCCAAGAGTCCAAGACTAGCCTCAGAAATATAGTGAGACTCCATCTATACAAAAAATAAAAACATAAAAAATCACCAGTAGCAGTACCACATTCCTGTAGTCCCAGGCACTCTGGGGGCAGAGGTGAGAGGATTGCCTGAACATAGGAGTCCAAGCCTGTGGCAAGCTATGATCTCGCCACTGCACTCCTGCATGGGTGATAGAGACCCATCTCAAAAAAAAAAAAAAAAATCTGACTGGGTGCAGTACCTCACGCCTGTTATTTCAGCACTTTGGGAGGCTGAGGCAGGCGGATCACTTGAGGTCAGGAGTTTGAGACCAGCCTGGCCAACATGGTGAAACCCTGTCTTTAGTAAAAATGCAAAAATTAGCCGGATGTGGTGGTAAGTGCCTGTAATCCCAGCTACTTGGGAGGCTGAGGCAGGAGAATTTCTTGAACCTGGGAGGTGGAGGTTGCAGTGAGCTGAGATAGTGCCATTGCCCTCCAGCCTGGGCGACAGGGTGAAACTCTGTCTTAAAAAAAAAAAAAAAAAATCTACATAAGCTTGGATAAGTTACCTGTTAGTTTTAAGTTGGGTTTATTATTTTCCTAGGAACTAGGTCTTTTTATCTCTTTTATAGCATTTCCTGAACTTTACCCTGAGCCATTATGTTTTCATATGTAGTTTCCACCTCCTTTTTTTCTCTCACATCAAATCAATTAATTGAACTACTGACTACATTAGTTTTTCAAAATGTTCTTAATTCATATATGGCAGCTGAGTTAGTTTGCAGTTTCTTTAACTACCATCTTGAATAATGGTGGTTGATTTGAACCACATATTATATCTAATAGAATAGCATTAGAAGTGGATGAGATTCGAAGCATTTTTACTTTCTCTCCCTTCTGTGAACGCTTACTATAGGTAGTAGGACTTATAGGAAGGGATGTAGGGAGGACTTATCCCATAGTATACCCTTTATATATAGATTTTAATTTTCATCTTTTTCTCACTGGCTTAAACATTTTGCTAGGTATTATTTAATTTTTGAGAGATAAATGCTAGATATTAGGTGTGAATGAAAGATTCTACTAAATGGTTTTATTTAATTTGCTGTTCAAAGAATGTAATGTTTTTCAGTATCTTATCCCTCTCATTTTGCCAAAAAAAAAAAAAACCGAAAAAAAAACTCCTTCCTTAGACACTGAAGTGATTTTCTTATTTTGTTTCAGGTGTATGGTTTCCCTGTAAATCAGCTTTTTGACATGCTGTTAGAAATCAGAGACCAATATAGTGAAACTCTGCTAAAGAAGTGGGCAGGTATTTTCAGGTGAGAAATTATCTATAGTCATATGTGTGTGTGTTCATGTACATTAGTGTACACACATGTATTTATGCGCAAAGGTTTTCAGATGTTATAGGCAACAAGTATATGTTACTTATATTTTGTAGCTACTCTAGGTTATGATCCAGAATTCAAATAAACTGTTAGAACGTCCAAAATTAAGTTCCCAAGATATCCAGTCTCAGTGTATTAGTGTCTACTGTAGTGGGAAGTCCCCAAACCCTATTTTGCCTTTTTGTTTCCTTCGATAAATATCAGATTCCTTGGTTCATGTCATTCAGATCATCTTGGTGTCATCTTATTCTGTTATTTGGTTTTCATTTTGAGGTTCATGCCTAGTCTACAACTCAATTATAGTGAGTAACATTTGAGCACTTAGGAATAATTTAGGCTTTCGGAAAATCTGTTTGGATGACTCACTCATGTTGTTCCTCATCATCTTCCCTCTCCACACACAGCAAAGGGGCATATTACAGCCCAGTGTTTGAAGCCTGTTATTTAAGTAGTTATTGCAACATGCATACAATAATAAGAAAGTTATTCTGTCACATCTATCACTCACAGATGTCTTCTCGAACTGTGCTCTTGGCACATAATCCAGGTCAACTCATTTGACTTTCTTCTCTTTTTATACCTTTACTCCTTTACTTTAAGTGATTATGCTGCCTATTGCAAGACCCCTTTCCCTGATCAGTTTGTCCTCTTTTCAAACTCTTATAGCTTCAAGATCTTACATTAGTCCTTTACTCTTACTCTTCTCGTTTATGAACATATCTCTGATCATCACTTAGTCCAATTTATCTGTATATTAATATAAATATTTATATTTCTAAAACCTAGATTTAGCTAATGGTATAATTGTATTTAAGGGAGTCTTATCTCTATAGGATATTTGAAAATTAATAACATGATATATCCATAGTCTTAGATGCTCTGATCTGACGCCTTCAGTGAGTCTTCTGTTTTGATTTTGGTAGTATGTTCCCTACTATTAGAGAATGCCCAGTTTATTTAAGGAGAGAGAACCTATCGATTTAAAAAAAGTCATCCTTGATATAGAGCAGTAGGTAAAGTAAATGAAAATAGTTTGAATTTATTATTGAAGTTACTCTGTTTGCCAATTTTGAAAGTTAGAATAGAACATGATTTTAAAAACCTTATCAATGGGCCAGGTGCAGTGGGTCATGCCTGTAATCCCAGCACTTTGGGAGCCAAGGTAGGAAGATCCCTTGAGGGCAGGAGTTTGAGACAATCCTGGACAACATAGCAAGATTATATCTCTACAAAAAAATTAAAAATTAGCCCGATGTGGTGGTGAACAACTGTAGTTTCAGCTACTTGGGAGGCTGTGGCGGGAGGATTGCTTGAGCCCCAGAGTTTGAGGTTACAGTGAGCTACGATCATGCCACTGCAATCCAGCCTGGGTGACAGAGCGAGACCCTGTCTCTAATAATAATAATAATAATAATAATAATAATAATAATAATAATGTACATTTATATATCATATTAAACCAAACAGAAAATATCTTTGCCTTTTCTAGAGCACACATTCTTTTGTTGTTTACTTCTCACTTACATTGAAATGTTCTGTCCTATTTGTAAATCTCAGTTCCTAAGAGATATGTTTATAATTGTGGTCCATTTGTTTCAGAGGATAGTTTTCTTTTTGTCTTCTTTAAATCCAAAACCAAATAGCTATATTGTGGAAGGAATATAATAGGGACTGGGAAATGTTCATTTTGGGTTGTGGCATATATATTAAGATTGGAGTTCATCAGAAAAATATTTGTGATTAACCCACCTTCCCTCTGTTCCCCTCCCCTACCCCCCCACTTTGTCTATCCTTCCCTTCCCTTTGTCTATCCTTCCATTTATAGAAACATACTTGATTCTGACAACTACAGTCCTATACCAGTAACAAGTGAAGAGATGTACAAAAAGGTGGTAGGACAATTCCCATTTCAAGATATAGAACTGGAAAAGGTAAGGAATACTTTAAAATAAATTTCTCTGGTTGTTTTGGCATCCTCTTAAAAGCTTTCATTGGATCAGTTTGATTGAAAGCATTACCTTTAACTCAATGGGTTAGAACTCTAAAACAATTTCAAAGGATTCTTTTTTCTTTTTCTTTTTTTCACTTTAATCACCTTTCTGACGATGAAGGATTCTTTTTGGGGAAGACCAGAATTTCCTGATTTGGGAATCAGCAGATGGCTTTGGATCCTATTACCTCTGAAGTGTTTGGAGGATTGCTGCGGATGTTCTAATTCAGTTTACACTTTGAAATACTTGTTTTTATTAAAATTTAAAGACATTTTTTCCCCACAACATAAAATTTACACTTTGTGGTGTACAATTCTGCTGATTTTGACAATGTATTGAGTTATGTATCCATTACCACAATGTTGATACCAAATAGCTCTATTATAAAAAAAAAATTATTTAATGATGCCCCTTTGTAATACCCCTCCCTTAACCCAGCCCCAGGACAGCAGAAACCTGGGCTCTGTGCATCTACTTTTGCCTTTTTCAGAATGCCATATAAATGGAATTGTGTAGTATATAACTTCTTGAGACTTACTTCTTTGATATAACATAATGCTTTTGAGATTCGTCCAAATTGTTGCATGTATCATTGTTCATTCATTTTTATTGCTGAGTATGTAACACAATTTGTTTATCTCTTTCCATGATGAAGGACATTTGAATTATTGTTTTATTTAAATTTATGTCTTTTTAATATCAGAAAACTTTGGGAGATATTTTCTTATATTTGAGTTTGTTAAGGAGACAATTCACAATGTGAAAGAATGTTCTTTTTGCAACCTAAATAATTTATAAATATCTTCAATCTTCGTTGGTTTGTGACTTGATTTCATTACTTCTTGCATTTACAGCAACCATTTCCAAAAAAGTTTCCTTTCTCTGAATTTGTGCCAAAAGTTTACAACCAAATTAAAGAATTTATCTACGCTTGTCTGAAGTTTTCAGAAGATCTTCATCTAAGGTATAATACAAAATAGTAGAAATGTAACCAATGCTAAGATTGTGACTCCATGTATTTACATATTCTGAAAAACTTTTGATAGTCCCGTCAGCCCTGATTTTGGAAATCTTAATAATTAGCTTTTCACTGCATGGCACTGCTGTATTTCTATAGTCACGATGAAAGAGAAGATTGGTAACTTTTGCATAATTTTGAAAATTTATATTATCTATCTTATTCTTTATAGATTTGCATTTCAACACTTATTAATGACAGTTTACTAGAAAATGGTAGGCTGGATGCAGTGGCTCATTTTTGTAATCCTAGCACTTTGGGAGGCTGAGGCAGGAGGATCGCTTGAATCCAGGAGTTCAAGACCAGCCTGGGCCACATAGTGGGACCCCCATCTCTATAGAAAAAAAAATAGACAAAAAATACTGATTTTGACATTCTACTTAATGAAATGTTAAGGCCAAAAGGGGAGTATCAGATAAAATCCTTTGGAAACACTATTGCTCTACTTGTATATGTATATTTTCTATACGTGCTAGAGTGTAGGCTCCTTTGTTTCTTTATTCATGTATTGGTTTATTCACCGTAGATTTTGGCTAATGTATTATTTGTCAGATGCTGCTTGGTATAGAAATAATTAAGTTGCTGAAAATGTGGTCCCTGTCTTCAAGGAGTACCTAGTCTAATTAAGAAGCTGAACAATTAATAAGTGCTGGAGCAACATACAAGCCAAGCCAAACACAAATGAGGATGTTTGTGTTCCATCCTTTTGTAGGGTGGAAACATTTTATCTTTGTTCAACACAATATCCCCTGTACCCAGCTCGGAAAATTTTTTTTAATGAGTGTATGTATGAAATGAATGGAAAGCATGGTATGCCAGGCTACTCTGAAAATAAACATAGTTGGGGAATAGTTTGAGTCACTTCTTTGTTAACTATTCTTACTAAGAAAATAAATGAAACATGGGGTTTGTACAATTAATTTGTCATTTTCTCTGAAAATGAAATTGTTTTCATAGAAATGTTCTCTTGAAAATAGATTGTCTTTTGAAGTTACAAACCAAAACTTTTTTACCCTGGGTTTCCATCCCCCACCTGCCTGGCCTCCACTTCATTAATATAAGTGACCTTATATCAGATAATTGTCTGTAGGGTATGTTAGGTATATTATTGTAGATAAATCATTACAAGTTGATTGCAAAATTACTTTTTCTATCTTCTTTTGGAAGAAAGGTAATATGGTAAAGGAATAATATTAGTAATGGGATAATGTCAGATGCCTTTTTCTTGCCTGAATATGTGAAGTTTTTGCCTGAAAACTTCCTTTGATACTTTTCACATTTAATATTTAAATAAAATATTTAACTTGGGGATTTTAGAAAAAGCTAGATGCCTTTTACTCTTCATTTGGCATTTATCTTATATCCTGGAATATGTTTACCTTATAACTTGGAGTGACAGAGATTGCTTTGTCAGTCATATCTGTTTTGGAGGCTAACATGGAACATGAGACAATTTGTATAAAAACCATTATTTCTTTTACATGCAGGCTCTCAAAACAAGAGAAACCGCTGCATTCAGATTTTAATGCAGCTTTAAGAATAATTATTCTCTTAGTTTTCTCTTTTACACTAGACAGAAGAGGCCAAAAAGCATTATACATATTGACAAAATTTGTAATTGCATGAATTCTGAATACGTAAAACTTTCTTTTTGAAAGAAAGATTTTTTTAAAATAGCAAACACATGGCATTTCTATGGTAAAATACTCTTCTAGCATTCATACTCATCTTAAAAAAATAGAATATATACACACCCACATACATACGCGAGAGATCCTGTTTCACATTATATTAATAAAATTAAATGTTTTTAAAGAATTCAGGCGATAAAGAACAGCGCAAAGAGGGACAATGTAAATGACCCAAAACTCTACCACATAGTAATAACACTTCTGATATGGTTTTTTTTTTCTTTTAATCTTGCTTGCATGTGAATACATGCACAAACAGCATTTTTTTAAAGCAAATTACTGCAAAATACTTCTGTTTCTGTCTACAGTATAGAAGACTGGAAAGAATATTGCTTCCTATGTAAAAATGCGGGGGGGGGGGGGGGAGAAAAACAGAGAAGGTACAAAATTAAAACTTTTTTGGAACTCATCAGAGAGGCGAAGTCAGCAGGAAACTAAGTAGTCCGAAAACCATGATGGGACTGGTCCCTCTAAGGGGACAGACTCCTGCACCTGTGGCAGAATAGGAAAGGTGTAACTACCATTCATGTGAGAAAGACAAAATCAACTAAAGTCTTAATGTATTGTTAACAGTGTACTGTGAGCTAGCATGACAATATAGAACCCAGAAGAAAAGGTGAAAGAAATAGAACAAAGTGCCCAAGATCTGTAGGGCATTTTCAAATGGTAGATTAAAGTAGAAGACTGAGATAACTGGGAAGAGGAAATACTTTAAATTAAAGTGGCTGAGAGTATTCAAAAAAATAATGAAAGGCATCAAACAAGAAATTCAAGATTTTGAGAACCCTAATTCAGATAAATAATAGCAACAACAAGAAACAAACAAAAATATTTAAAGACATCATATTCAAACTGGTGAAAATGAAAGGTAAAGAGAATGTTTAGAAGGCATTCCCAAAAATAAAAATTACATGATAGTATAATGATAAGAATTATAATAGACTTCTTTTCTGAAACTATGCAAGCCAGAGAAAATGGAGTGACATCCTTAAAGTACTCAAAGAAATAAAGAAAAAAAAACAGCCAGAATTCTATAGACAGAAAAACAATTTTCAAAAATGAAGGCAAACTATTTTTTTTTCAGCCAACAAAAGCTAGGAGAGTTTATTATAGTACTTTTTCTGACTTACAATAAGTATTATTTGCTGCTGCTATTATTATTTTATTATTATTACCACGAATACCACTGGCACCGTTTGTTTGCCGAAATAATTCTGCTACCTGCTATGACTGACTCTTAATGCTTCTTTTTCAGCTCAACTGAAGTTGATGACATGATTCGGAAATCAACAAACCTGTTGCTAACCAGGACTCTGAGCAACTCTCTGCAGAATGTAATTAAAAGGAAGAATATTGGGCTTACTGAGGTAAACCTGCTCCTAATGAAGGCAGCCGAGCCAGTATGTGAACAGATGTCCTAAGCTCTGGGCCTTATGTCTGAATTCGTTAAAACTTTCTACATGCTCTTCCTGATAGGCTTCTAATGGTGAAAGTGCAAAATGAAATCTCTTGTTCTTTTCTTTGGTCACCTTTGAAAAATTTATTTATTTTTTTCTAAAAAAGTCGTTTTTCTCTTTGTTTTCACTAGCTTAACTGGTTTTCCTTTCTGAAGTTGTTAGAATACATTTCTGTTACCTGGCATTGATTATACACAAATATTTTTGTTTGTAGAATATATTGAGCATCAGGTTCCAATCAAGTGAATGGCAGTTCATGTACAACGTAGAATATGAAATCACATTTTGCTTGCATCAGTTATTGATACCTAGGATAATGCAATCATAGTTCTTGGTTAGTGTCAGACTCAGCCTTTATTTTTAAGATATCTCATATGTATGAAAGGTAAATTACTCTTTATCAGCTTGTAGTTTGTTTGCAAAAGGACTAGATATTTGGGATCAAGGGAATGTGTAGAAAAGGCAATAGTCACATTTCTGTGGAGGTTTATGGAATCTCATAAAAAGAGGAGGGATATTTTACATATATTGAATGTAGTACCTTGGCAAACGAGATTTGGTCTATTGGTGTGTAGTTCTAAAATTTAGAAAGATGTGAAGTTCTCTCCCTTGGAAACTCAAGATTGCGTAGTAACCTCAATCTGTTTTTCACTGGATGTTATAGTGCCTAAAGTGAGAGGAGTTTAGAAGAATTTTTTTTCACAAGGAAAGGGAAAGGCTGTTTGCCATCTGTTTTACCTATAGAGGTGGTGCAGTTTGGAAGTCTGTTACTCTAGGAAAAAATTGACATTTAAAATGTACACTGTCAAGGATTATGGTGAAGCGCAGCAAAAGGTTAATGATACTGACCTATAGGTAAAGACAGCTGGAAGCCAGGTGGGCATTTACTTCTGATTTTGGAGTTATTTTCTCTTTCTCTGAATTAAGATAAAAAAAAAATAAGATGGGACATTGGAAGTGATTGAGTTCTACTTATAGCAAACTTTTCTTTCAATTGAAAATTACCTTAGACTTTATTTGGGATAATCCCCTCATTTTACAGAGCTTCCTTTCTATTGCCTAGTACAGAAATATTAGGCATTTGCCTTTATGTATCTGAAAAATAGCTAACCTCCTTTATAATCAAGAAGGTTACAGAAAAGGAAGGTTGGAGTGAAAATTAGGAAGTCCTCCTGCTTTTGTTAGATTATAGTGTTTTCTTTTTCTGGATGGGAAGTTTATTATTTATTTTGTGAACTATCTCTTCATTATAACTCTTCATGTAACTGTTTTTATGTCATTTAATTTAGCAGTCTCTTAACAATTTTATAACAAGTAGCATAGCAAGAACATGGTCTGATAGAAATAGCTTTGGCCTCAGAAGAATCTTGGGTTCAGTTCTGGCTGAGCCATTGGTTTACTGTGACATTTTAAGAGAAAGGCGTAACTTCTCAGCTTGGGTTTCAGGAAACACTGTACGGGTCAGGTAATAATAGGAAGAACAAGTACGAAGTTATCAAGGAAGAACCGTGTAATTTTGGCACCATTTCATTGAATACTAAATGTTATTCCTTAGTCATTGGGTGTTTTTAGGGAACTATACTTTCAGTATCTTTGCATATGAATGAAGAAACATGCATACGCTTTTGTTTGTTTTGGCTATTATGGTGGTGTGTACATGTATAGACACATACACATAAAGTGATTTTTTTTATTACTAACGAGATACACTTTGAATAATTATACTACCTACCTTTGGAAAGAGAAGACACATCCTTTATGAGTAACTAAAGTGAGTTCACATCTGGAATCATCATCATAATAGGTAACATTTGTGGAGCAGTTTATATTCTTCAAAGCTCACTCACAAATTTGATTTCAGTTAGTACAGTAACATTTGAAGCAGGCTGGGCATGTGTTATTATTCCCATTTTATAGACAGCCTAATTAAAGTCCAGGGAGATTGCTTGAGGTCATACAGCTAGCAAACATGGTAGAAATGAGACATAAATCTAGGTTTTTTTCCCCAAACCTATCCACTTCTACTGTATTGTACTGCCTTCCATATTGATTTAATTATTTCATCCTAACAAAAATTGAGATTTTTACAGGAGGTCCATAGTAACATGGATATTGTTTTAGTCAGAGATAATAGAATTATGATAAGCCCACAAAATTTACAGATTCCTATTTCAGCATGTCAGATAATTCTCTTAGGAATTGGAAGTTCCTATAGACAAATGTCTCTCTGCCTGCCCTTCTTGTTTTGGGGTTACACAGTGTTTGCTCTGTTTTGGGGTTACACAGTGTTTACTCTGTTTTGGGGTTACACAGTCTCTTCTTTTTCTATGCATATGCTCTATCTTTTTTCCTCATGGCTTCTTTGTTTCTCCATGTTGAGCCAATTCAAAATTACCTTTCAGTTTTAGCACCACTAGAACATGAATGCCTTTCTTTTTCAAACTTTATGTGACTATTCATTATTTTTTTAGCGAGAATGGCTATTTTCCTAGGGCTGCTTCATAAGGTCTATGAAAAGTGTAATTGAGTATTGGTTAAGACTGTATGTTCTAATATATACTGCCTGGGTTCCAATTCTGGCCCTCCTCGTAATAGCTGTGCCCTTGGGCAAATTACTTTGCTTTCTATGTAAAATGGGGATAATGGTAGCATGTATTTCACAGGAATGTTGTGAAGCATGTAAAGTACTTACTGTGCCTGGTATATAGCAAATACTCAATGCATATTACCTGTTATTATTAAGAGGTCTAAGCAGTCAAGCACTGATTAATACTAGTATAGAAATGGAGTTTTTTAATTAAGAGAAGTAAAAAAAATTAGAACAAGAGGTTCTATTAAGATAATTTGTTTATTACCTTTACAATTTTTAAAATATGTACTCTCTATTAGGCACTGATTCCATGCCCTTAAGATAAATCAGTGAACAATAACAACAACAATAGAGATCCTTGCTTACATTCTACCAGAGAAAAACAGATAATAAATAATAAACAAAATAATTAAGTCAATTTTGTAGTATGGTTAAAGGTAGTGAATGCTATGGAGAGAAGAAAAAGCACCTGGGTTAAGGAAATCAGGATTCTAGTAGATGTTCTAGGTTGGTTTTATTTTTATAGCAGCACCTCGAGGGTAAGTTATTATTGCAGGAGAAATTTCAGGTAGAGATTAGAGCCAGAGCAAAGGCCTGAAGGTAGGAAAGTTCTTGGCAAGTTGAGGGAAAAATCAGGAGGCTAGGGTAGCTGGAGTGGAGTGAGCAAGGGGAAGAGAAGCAACTGGTTAGTTTAGAGAGGTATCAAGCATTCATGGTAGGCCGTCGTAAAGCCTTTTGCTTTTATTTTGCGTGAAATGGGGAGCTATTGTAGGATTTTGTTTAATGACTTGATCTGACTTATATTTTGAGAGGATCACATTGACCATGGTAGTGAGAATATACTGTAGGATGGAAACAAGGGGACTAGTTAGGGAATTATGGCAGAAATCCAGTGAGACTGGGTGGTAGCTATGGACAGTGATAAGATTTTAAGTGTAGAGCCAGCATGCTTTCCTGATGATTGGATATAAAGGAAGAGAAAAAGTGAAGAGTTGAAAGTAACTAACTCCAGGATTTTTTGACTTGAGCAACGAGAAGGCTGTATATACCATGAACTAAGATAGGAAAAATTTTAGGCAGAGCTAAATTTGCTGTGAGAGAACATTGGGAATTTGATTTTAGACATATTAAATTTATAGTGTTTATTAGACATATAGGTTGAGATGTTGAGTAAGCAGTTGTGTATATGAATTTGCAGATTGGAAGTGAGGTTTGGCCAGGGGATAAAAATTGGGGAGAATATAAATATTTATATTCATGCTACTGGATACTATCACTGAGGGAATGAATAAAGATGGAGAAGAAAAGAGGATGAAAATTGAACTTTTGGGTACTCTGATATTAAGATATCAGGAGAAAAGAGGAACCATGAAAGGAGATTGGGAAGGAGCCACCAGGGAAGTAGGAAAAAGCAAAACAAAAAAAACAGGAGTGTGCATAAATTATATAAAGAATGAGAGAGTGATGAATTATGACAAATACTGCTGATTGATAAAAAGAAGGTGAAGAATTGCCATTGGATTTAGCAATTTGGAATAAGTTGGTGACCTTGGTAAGAGCGCTTTTAATAAAATGGTGGAAGGAAACTCCTGATTGAGTAGGTTTTAAAGAGAATGGCTCCTGCAGAGAGGAATTTCAAATAACTAATATAGATACTATTGCCACTACAAGGTGATTGTGAAGTGTGCTTAGTGACTTGTTTCCAAAAAGTATAGGGTAGAATGAGGAAAAAAGTAACCTTACAGTGAAGAAAACTGGCAGACGCTGCCTTGCTCAAGTGTTCCAGGTTAACATCATCAGTGATGTTATGTTGATAGTATGTACCTTTCATATGATTTGATGAGAGGGCACTTTGCCTCTGTGTTCTCCCTCCCTAAACCCATGAGCCCAGTCTAAGCATGGGAAAACATTAAACAAACAAAAATTGAAAGACATGCTATAACATAGTTGACCAGTACTCCTTAAAACTGTCAGTGTAGGATTCGGCACAGTGGCTCACGCCTGTGATCCCAACACTTTGGGAGGCTGAGGCGGGTGAATCACGAGCTCAGGAGTTCGAGACCATCCTGGCCAACATGGCGAAACCCCGTCTCTACTAAAAATATAAAAATTAGCTGGGCATGGTGGCACGTGCCTGTGATCCTAGCTACTCGGGAGGCTGAGCCGGGAGAATCGCTTGAAATAGGGAGTTGGAGGTTGCAGTGAGCCGAGATTGTGCCACTGCACTGCAGCCTGGTGGCAGAGCGAGACTCCATCTCAAAAACAAAAACAAAAACAAAACAAAACAAAACAAAAAACTGTCAGTGTAATCAAAAAGAAGGAAAATCTGATAAACTGTCACAGACCAGAGACTAAGAAGACGTGACAACTAAATGTAATGTGGTATCTTAGATGGAATCCAGAAATAGATAAAGAACGTTAAGGAAAAACTAGTGACATCTGAATAAAGTATGGCGTTCAATTAGTAGTAATGCGTTTATGTTGGTTCCATAGTTGTGGCAAATGTACCATAGTAATGTAAGATGTTAACAATAAGGGAAGCTGGGTGAGGAGTATATGGGAACTCTGCAACTTTTTTGTAAATATAAATACAAAACTGTCCTAAAATAAAGAGTTTATGTAAATAAAAAAATTAAAGAATGGGAAAAGAGGAATTAGAGACAGCAAATATAAGACAGCTCTTTCAGGAAATTTTGTTACCAAAGGAAACAAAGAAATGGGGTGATAGCTAGCAGGGGAAGTCGGTTAAGACAGGTTTTTTTTTTTGTTTTATTTTTTAATGGGACAGATAACAGTCTGTTATTTATTGTGGGAATGATACAGTATAGAGCAGAAAAATGGGTGATGTAGCAGAAAGGGAGAAATCTCTGATGCAATGTCCTTAAGTAAGAGAGTTTAAGATAGAATACACAGTTAAAGGGATTGGCATTAGATAGTGTCAAGTTCACCTCTGGTAACAGGTAAGAATCAGAGTGTGTGAATGCAAATGGTAGTGGTTGGGTAAGTATTATGGTGGCAGGCTCCCAAATGCTCAGTTTTCCCAGCAAATGCAGGGTCTTCAGCTAAACCTACAGATGGGAGAGCAAGCATGGGAGTTGAAGGAGAAAGAAGGTGTGTTGAAGTCCTCTAGGAGTGTGTAAAAAAAATTGATTTGTGCCAGATAATGTGATTATTTGGTAGCATCAAGTGCCCACTCTTGACTAGTGTACATGAATTAAAGTGAAACTAGCTAACATGATTGTACATTTTCTTTTTCTTTTTTTTTTTTTGAGATGGAGTCTCATTCTGTCTCTCAGGCTGGAGTGCAGTGGCCTGATCTCGGTTCAGTGCAACCTCCACATCCCAGGTTCAAGCAATTTTTCTACCTCAGCCTCCCGAGTAGCTGGGATTACAGGCATGTGCCACCACACCCAGCTAATTTTTGTATTTTAGTAGAGACAATGTTTCAACATATTGGCCAGGCTGGTCTCCAACTCCTGACCTCAGGTGATCCACCCGCCTCAGCCTCCCAAAGTGCTGGGATTACAGGCATGAGCCACTGCGCTCAGCCATGATTGTGTATTTTCTTAAATCATATTTAGCTGGAAGCTGCAATATATCAGTTCATATCAATACTAGTTCTAAAGAATTGGTTATATTTTCATCTGATACTTTATAATTTACAGTAGTATTTATGTTTAATTATTTATAATATGTAGAAAGAAGTTCAGAGTTCCTTCTGGTGAAACCATATTGGGTATTTGTATTTTTATGATCACAGGGCACTACTGTGATGTAGTGCACTAGACATACCTAATATGGTAGTAGAGACCTGAAGAAATGACTAGTGCTTTGCATTTATTCTTTGCTTTTAGTATAATTTAGATTGTTGACCATATGATTCTCTCCTCTCATTTTCCACATTCCATTTATCTCCCCTCTCTCTTGTTAACAGAAGTGATATTGCTCACGTTGTTAAAATGTTTTGTACTTAAGTCTAGTCAAATATAAACTTTGTACTTTATCTTGGAATTCGTAACCAGGAGTTTCATGTATTTTAGTATTTTAGGTATTTTAATCATGGAGATGGTATAAAATGAGTGGTTGACACAGTTTTTTGTACCCTGACTGGGGTGAAATGGAGATCAAATCCCTTGAAGTCTATGTGATAGCTCATTTTTGTGAATGAGAACCAATGCTACTATTTCATTTTTTGTTTTGCAAATTTAACAGTTGAGAGGCATTGGTGGCATGAAGAAGAGTGTGACTTCTCATTTTCTTCCTTTGGATTAGTCCTGTTGAAGGTTTATTGTACTGAATTGTCTGTTTTGGGAAACATGCTAAAAGCAGTTTTAATATATGCAGATGTGTATACTCCAGAATTAATTTATAGTTGGGAATGGAAACATCTTCTTGGAATTTAAGGCTAGTTTTGAACTATGGAAGATGATGAAGATATTTTCTGGGGTTTGTCAAGAATAGAATGTCATCATGGTTCAGGTTCCACTGGGGTGTTTTGAGCAGGCTTGGAGGAGAAATTACCTCCACAAGAAATAGGAATGCTTTTACACCGTTGCTGGGAATGTAAATTAGTTCACCCATTGTGGAAGACAGTATGGCAATTCCTGAAGGATCTAGAACCAAGAAATAACATTTGACCCAGCAATCCCATTACTGGGTATATACCCAAAGGAATTTAAATCATTCTACTATAAAGACACATGCATTCTACTATAAAGACACATGCACACATATGTTTATTGCAGCACTATTTACAGTAGCAAAGTCACCAACCCAAATGCCCATCAATGATAGACTAGATAAAGAAAATGTGGTACATATACATCATGGAATACTATGCAGCCATAAAAAGGAATGAGATCATGTCTTTTGCAGGGACATGGATGAAGCTGGAAGCCATCATCCTCAGCAAACTAACACACGAACAGAAAACCAAGCACTGCATGTTCTCACTCATAAGTGGGAGTTGAACAATGAGAACACATGGACACAGGGAAGGGAACAACACATACCAGGGCCTGTTGTGGGGTTGGGGATGAGGGGAGGGAATTTTTTTTTTTTTTTTTTTTTTGTGACGGAGTCTCGCTCTGTCGCCCAGGCTGGAGTGCAGTGGCGTGATCTCGGCTCACTGCAAGCTCCGCCTCCTGGGTTCACGACATTCTCCTGCCTCAGCCTCCCGAGTAGCTGGGACTACAGGCGCCCTCCACCATGCCCAGCTGAATTTTTTTTTTTTTTGTATTTTTAGTAGAGACGGGGTTTCACCGTGTTAGCCAGGATGGTCTTGATCTCCTGACCTCGTGATCCGCCCGTCTCGGCCTCCCAAAGTGCTGGGATTACAGGCGTGAGCCACCGCGCCCAGCTGAGGGGACGGATCTTTAAGAGTACGGGTCAATAGGTGCAGCAAACCACCATGACATACATACACCTATGTAACAAACCTGCACGTTCTGCACATGTATACTGGAACTTAATGTAAAATTGAAAAAAAAAAAAAAGAAATTACCTCCAAGGTGTGCTATGTACCTTTCTTGTTAGATTTTCTCCGATACAAGGAAGGAGAGACAGAAAAATTTTCCAATTCTTAATGGTTTTTCACTTAAGTGACTTGTGTCATTTACTTGTGAGAGATAGTCGTTTGATTTATAATGTTCTTTTTTGACAATTCTCATAGAACTTTATGTAAGAGATAATCAATATTTGATCTATTATTAGTTTTATGTCCTTGAAATAATGTTTAGGACAGTTTGGATTACTGCAGTGTTATATATTGTAAGAGACTGGGAAGTAGTCGTTAAAAATATCATCAAGGGAGCTCAAACTCTGAGGGAAGTTATCTGAAATTGCTTCATTTTATCTTTCAATTTGAAATTATGCCCAAAGCCTCTGGTTTTACATTAGTAAATGCCCTTGTAAGGATTTTGGTAGCTGTCATTCAGGAGTAGTTATCACTTAGTCCTCGTTAACAGACAATATTCTCTCTGAAAATGACATGGTATCTACTGTAATCCTAGAGTGTCTCAATAGTCTATTCTATGCTCAGCAATGAAACATTTCAAAAAGTGACTGACAGCCAATTGATGTAATTCACAGTGATCTTTTGTGTTGACAGATCTTTAAAAAGTCATGGGAAATTACTACTGTACCCAGTGAAGCCACCTCCCTTTTTTTTCTTTAACTGCCAATATCATGTAAAACAGGATAATTTTCTCTTTGACTGCCACTGTTTTTTATTTCGATAACATGACATGATTCCTCCTTATTATTAGGATTTCTTTTGATTGGCAGAATGTGTTTCCATAGGTAATACTGATTTTAAAATAGAAATTTTTCAGTTCTCAGATTAACTCTCTTAATTTTCTGACTTCCACATCAAGACAACCTTTCCAGTAGCCACCTTCCCACTCAGGAAGATGAATGATTTAATTCACACAACTTAAATATTTTTAAATGATTTTAGTCCTCCTCTGAAGGAGAAAATGATGAAAGCAAGAGGGTGATGAATTGCTTATTTTGGTGGATATTTTTTCCTAGAGCACTCCAAAGTTAAAAGGTTGTTTGTTTTGGTAATTTTATAGGACGTAGTAGTCTTGTGTTCAAAACTCAAAATTTCTGAATTAAAACTATGGAATGAATGGAAAGGAGAGCTGATGTATATGAACTTGTCTGATGAGTTATGGGGGAAAATATAGAGATCTAGTCCCAGTGTTGCCCTAACTTTTCATCTAAGAGAATTTATTCGAATTGTATCGCTGTGTTTTTGCCCTTTGTTATTGTGTTTCAAAGTAGTTATCTTCCTAAGATTGTCAGGATGATCCTTAGTGGAGTAGAAGGTACACTTTTTCTTAGTTGAAACCAGTACTAAAACATTGTCTTTATGAGTTGACATGTATTTTTTGAGAATGAAGTGTGTGCTTTCATCCTGTGCTGGATGATGTAGAAGAAGTGAGAATGTATTTTCTGATTATAGTCCTATTTGTATTTTTGTTTAATATCCTACAGCTTGATATGATTCTTACTGAATTTAAATTCAAACTTTTTAACGTTGTTTTGAAATATCATGGATTGTAAACATGTGTAGTACCACCCTCATCTTTAGTTCCAGTTTCTGCTTTGTGTCATATGCCACCCCCACCCCCCAACCTCTTGGCTCACTGTCTCACTAGACCAAAAGACCTAGATTAATTCATTGCCTTACACACCAAAACTCCCCGCTACCTGCCACAACCTCACCATCAGACATATTTTTGTGAAAATGGAAAGTAAAGATGTAGAAAAGAAAGACAAAAAAAAGGTCCATTCTATTTCCTGTTTGTATTTCTTTTAGACTCTAAGGAATATGAACATTTTTATGGTTTAATAGTTAAGAAATAAGTAATAGATACCACTTTTTTTCCTCTTCTTTTTACAGACAGTAGAATCAGAGCATATTGGGGTCCAGTTGATTGCAGGCCCAGAATCTTATATTTTAGTCTAATGTACACAATCATGCAGCACTTCAGAGCTGCCATATTATGCTTATGCTAAAAGGCACTGGCAGAGTTATTTAGATGAGTCCATAATTGGAAGGTACAGGACGTAGTATTAGTTTCATTTAGGCTGTGTGATCTAAAGAAAATCACTTCATTTTCATTTCTGTTATAATAAAATGGAAGTTATAATTATGTCCCTTTAACTACTTTTCCAAGTTTTTGGGAAAACAGTGTAGGAAAATGAATCATGAAGGTCTTTAGAATCCTTAATTCTATACAGACAATAATAGTTATTCTTCTTTATCTTCCTCTTCTAGTAATTTATAGAAGACAACTTTTTTTTTAACCAGTACTGTCTTTTTAATGATCTGTTCTATGTAAGAAAAGGGAAATAGTGTTGACAACAGAATATTTAATCCTCACAATAACTCTGTGAAGTAGACATTATTATTGACATTTTACAGATAAAGAAATAGGGTTATAAAAGATAAGAAAATTTCACAAGATCAGTAAGTAATAATAATAAAGTAAGTCATTAATTCCCTGGTTACTTTCACTTTGATGCCCATGTTCTTTCTTCCACAAACTGATGTAGTTTATTAACATATTGTAATCTCTCCTAACATCTCTGTTCATCATGCCTAATTTTGAAACGTCTTGTTGCCATTTTAATGATTCCTGTTCTTTTGGTGATCATTTATTTGTTTAGTTCATTTGGCAATGTTTTAGTTGGAAGGCATCATGCTAAACCGTAGCAATTTCTGTTCTTAGTCTAATCTTTTTTAAACAGAAGAAAACATACCTTTAGAATACAGTGATAAGTGTTCCCATAATATGGGGGAATACAAAATGTTTTGGAATGCTAGGACGTATTAGTCCATTTTCATACTGCTATAAAGAACTGCCCGAGGCTGGGTAATTTATAAAGGAAAGAGGTTTAATTTACTCACAGTTCAGCATGGCTTGGGAGGCCTCAGGAAACTTATAATCATGGTGGAAGGCAAAGGGGAAGCAAAGAACTTCTTCACAGGGCAGCAAGAAGGAGAAGTGTGAGTGAAGGGGGAAGAGCCCCTTATAAAACCATCAAATCTGTGAGAACTCACTCACTATCACGAGAATAGCATGGGGGAAACTGCCCCCATGATTCAATTACCTCCACCTGGTCTCTCCCTTGATACATGGGATTATGGAGATTACAATTCAAGATGAGATTTGGGTGGGGACACAAAGCCTGACCATATCAAAAACTTCCTAGAAGAGGTAACATGAAAGCCCATGCTTTAACATACCCCTTGCCCGAATGTGGATGGCCTTTTCCATTATGCCTTACATTTGTTTTGTACCGGCAGATTCATATTGAGCCATTCATCCTGGGGTGAGTAGTTAAATGACTTTTACATGTGTTTGTTGTTTTCTAGCTTGTTCAGATTATTATCAATACAACACATTTGGAGAAATCCTGTAAGTACTTGGAAGAATTTATCACCAACATCACTAATGTGCTTCCAGAGACAGTTCACACTACCAAGCTCTATGGCACCACAACTTTTAAGGTGAGAGGGCCCTACAGTACTGTGGAACTGCTTCTGGTGTACACAGTCTGGGACGTTCTACCTAACATGGCCTTGTTTCTGTAAGATGGTTTATAACATGCTCTTGAGAATGAGTGTTTATGATATGTTTGGTTTCCCTTCTCTATTTTCTTTGAAAAAATAAATACCAGTGCGAGTTTTTGGGTGTTTAAACAAAACGAAACAAAATGAAACAACTACAACTGTGTCTCTAAACCCTTCCTTATGTTTTGTACATGTAAATCACTATTTCCTAAGTTGAACCCCCATCACAGTCAACAGTTCTTAAGTATGGTCTAGATAATCATAGTTATGGCTGACATTAACATTAATTAAAATTTTCTACTAAGCTGTCCCCTGCTCTCTGTATCCTGTGACCAATTTTTTTTTTTTTTAAATCAAATCTTGCTCTATTGCCCAGGCTGGAGTGCAGTGGTGCAATCTTGGCTCACCGCAACCCCTGTCTCCTGGGTTCAAGTAGTTCTCATGCCTCATCCTCCCAAGTAGTTGAGATTATAGGCGTGTGCCACCATGCCCGGCTAATTTTTAGTATTTTTAGTAGAGACGGGGTTTCGCCATGTTGCCCAGGCTGGTCTCGAATTCCTGGGTTCAAGCGATCCACCCACCTTGGCTTCTCAAAATGCTGGGATTGCGGGCATGAACCACCACACCCGGCCCTGTGATCAATTTTTTAATCTTACTTTTTAGTGAGGAATTTCTGTCCCTGCTTTTCCAGTTAGCAATTTTATAATTTCATATGTCCACAGCACTAGTTTTGATCCAGAGCTGGATCAAATGGGAAGAAATGACAGTCATGTAGAACAAAAGAAGGATTGATGGTAGATGAGTTTCTGGAGAGTAAATGCTATAGCTTAGAGCAGCTTTAATAAACTCCTTCATATTTATGTGAGCTTTAAATAGGTATTAAGCAGTAAAAGTAATAGGACAACATCTCAAACATTAAAAATATGGATCTAACATATAGGCTACTTATATGGTTTGATTTTTTGTTTATATTGTTATTTGATTGTTTTAGTTTTGAAACATATTCCATGTCACCCTTTTGAGATCCAGAAATTGATATTAATTAAATATACAGTTGTAGAGTTGGAACCATGATTTATGTCCCCTGTAGTCTGCTTTTTCCCATCATCTTAACCTCTTTCTCTATTTTTGGTACATTCTTTTGACAGTAGGCGCAAGAGAAGAAATGAAATTTGATTCATACTGCTATTATACTTTATGACAGATAAAAATTTTTGGTGTGACTTACTATTTTTCTATTGTTTGAAAAAAACACAATGTTGAATCAGAAAGTATTCTTTATGTATCTATGTGATTAGGTCAGCTGCTAGGTTAAGTTACACATTCATTAAATTACTGTAAATTATTTGTTTCAAAATGATAATAAGATTAGTTAAAATTCATTACACATAATGTTATGTTCATATCATGACTTACTAATTTTTCACAATGTCTAATGATACTAATTTAGATGTTCTTTTAGTGAGGAAAAGAATGACTTAATAAAAAGGCCCTGAGAATGAGTATGAAAATATGACAAAAGCTTTCAGAGCTTCAGAATGACCTCAGGCAGTTTTATAGGAATTATAATTACTCTCAAATACTAGCATTATTATGGAGCTTGGGCATTAGATTTATCAAAAAAATTTCCATACTTGCTCTTCTGTGAAAGCCAAAATTTCTCTAGGAAAGAAAATGTAAAAGAAATAGTTCAGTGTTAAGTAGATAATAGGGAGTTAGGGAATTAGAACGTGAGGTTCATTTGTCTATCAAAAGAAGAATATGTGGTATCCACTGATACTCTTTCTCTCAACCAGTCTCAATTTTTTATGTCAATAGCTTTTCAACTTATGTTCAGAAATTCTCTCAAAGGATGGCTTGTGTATTTTGTTGTTGCTCTAGCATGAAAAAATGCTGAGGGAAAATTAAAGGCAGACAGGAAGCCATAGGGGCTGAACAGCCAGTTAAATACTTAGTGAAGGAGAAGTTCTGGAGACCACTAAAGGTCATGTTGACAGTGCTTATTGGAAACACTGATTGCTTAAAACACACTGAAAATTTATTTTTTACCAGGGCTGTTTCAGACTAGCTAACCCAGAACTCAATATAAACATGGCAATTATAACAGCTACATGTTGTGTATTTTCCTAAGCTACTGTTTCCAGAAAACTTTCCCTTGCAGATGGAAACCTTTATGCTGGAAAAGGGGTAGAAAGAGTCTGAAGGTCTTTAAGGTATTTTCTTGCAGAGTTCCCTCTTATTTCTGCCATGTGTGACATAATCAAGCTGGCGTCCTTAGCTTTCCTGATTCATAAGATTTTCCTCACTCTCTTACAAAAGAGAATGAAAGTGTTTATTAATTTACTCCATAATAAATATTGCTTGTGTATCTACTGTGTAATCATCTGGTAGATTCTTGGGGAGAGACAGAAAAAGTACTTTGTCCCTGGACTTAAAGTTTATGATTTACAGAGAAGACACCCACTATACTGGAATAATACATTAGATGTATTCAATCTCTCATTTATTGAACAAGTTTTAATACAGTGTCTACTACAAATTAGGAAAAGTTTCAGGCATGAACAAAAAAGTGAGTCTCCTCACTTTACAGAGCTTATATTTTAATGAATTAGTGGATGATAAACAAACAAAAAAATCTAATGTAATGGCAAGTAGTGATAAGAACTAGGGAAAAAAAAATAAATGACCAAAAAGAAGTGAGAAATTAAATCATTTGGATTTCTGATGGATATGCATTCCTGTCAAAGGGGACAGCACAGTGGTAGGTATGGATGTGTTCAAGAAATAGTAAGGGGGTCAGTCTGGCAATGATGTATCTATCACTAATGGTATGGACGATAAGAGATGAAGTATTCAGGAGTTAAATTATTTCTGGCCTTGTAGGCCATCATAAATACTGTACATTGTATTCTGAAATGAGATGTGATGTCATTAGAAGATTGAGTTGTGGGGGGTAATGATCTGAGTTATCATTTAATGTGATACTGGTTTTTATGTGGAAATAAATATATTGTAATTTAATAAAAGGGGAAGAAGAAAGTCTAATTGGGAGGTAGTTGCAATACTCCAGGCAAGAGATAGTGGTCACTTGGACTAGAGTGGTAGAGGTAGAAGTGGTAAGAAATATTTTTGAAGGTACAGATAGCAGGTCTTAGTACTAGATTGGGTGTGTGTATTAAGAGAAAGACAGGAGTCAAAGATAGTTCCAAAACTTTTGAACAGAACACTGGATGAATACTGTTTACTGAGATGGGGAACACTTAGAGAAAAATGCATTTGGAAAGCAGAAATACGATCAAGACTTCCATTTTTGATACATTAAGCTTGGTATGTTTAATTCATAGCTATATAGAGGTATTAAATTGGCAGGACAAAATCATAGCTAGAGATAAAAATTTAGAGTTCACCAGTGTAAAGATGATATTTGATGGCACAGGATGGACTTTCTTCTGGGATTTGAGTATACATAGAGGAAAGATGTGAGGATTGAGCACCAGGGGACTTCAACATTGACAGGCTCAACAGAGGAGAATTCCCAAGAGGATGAGGTTCCACCTTTAGGACCGCCAAAGAAGACTTCCCAGACAAGTACAAGTTGGAATGGATCTTGGAACCAGCAGGATATTTATAGGCAGAGAATGGATATAGAGGGAGTGAAGGATATTTTAACTTCATGTGCAAAGATTAAATGATAAAATAAAGCCAGTATTCAGCATAGAATTAGGATGGCAGTGAGATACCGAAGTAGATAAATACCAACCTGAGAAGCACTTTGTTTTATATTAGTAGATAATTTGGACTTTATTCTAAAGTCTTTGAAAGACTTCAAGTGAGGGATGTTGCATTTAAAAAAATAAACATTCTACTGTGCTTCATTGAAAGGAAGGGAAGAACTAAAAAAAGGAAAAGAAAAGATGAAAGTAAGGAAGGAAAGAGAGGAAAGAAGGAAGAAATAACAACATCAATCACAATTACTCACAGTTCAGAATGAGAGGAATTGAATTCCTAAGACTGTAACTCTGTGCTAATAAATTTGAGGACCTATAGGGAAATAGATATGATGTGATAAGGAAAAGATATGAAAGAGGATAGCTTCAAGATGACCGACTAGAGGTATTTCATACTCACCTCCTCCACTAAGAAGAACCAACATAATGAGTAGATGATCACATTTCAAATAGACCACCCAAGAGAGAACACTGTAATTCAATAGAAAAGTGACAGTAAATGCCTAAACCAAGGAAGGGGAAGGAAATTAGGCAGTCTACTCAGTAGGATCAGCTGGGAGCTGAGGGAGACTCCTTAATACGAGGAAAGGGTTAGTAGAAACTTTCAGTGGTTTCCATTTCCACTATGGAGTCCTGAAATCCTGGCAATAGGAGAGTCTCTTGACCCTCACTTGCCCTGAAACTAACATAGGAAGATGCTGAGAGATTGTGTGATGGCACTGGTCCAGGGAAGGAGCTCACACCAGGTCACACACATTCCATGAGACCTAAGCAGCTATAGCAAGCCGCCATCTTAGAGCCCTGACTCCAACAGATAGCGCATTATCCTGGAGACCACTGGTACTGGGGCTGAGGTGCAGGAGAAGCACACTTGCTGCCTCCCAGCTTAGGTGCCAGTGACCAGGGGCCACCCACACCAGGGGCCGAGATGCTATCATGATGCATGCTGCTGCCATTGAGGCTGAGGCATGAGCAATGTATCAGCTAGGGCAGAGGGGCTGAGGAAAGAGTGCCACTTGGGCTGTGGTGAAAATGGTGTGTGTGTTTTCCACCTGCTGACCTAACCTAGGTTGCCCAATACTGAAGGTGGCACTGCCCTCCCCAGTGGCAGGGAACCAGCACAGCTGCTGCCACCTACCATCAGAGCATTTTACTTTTCTAGGGATTGCCTCACCCCTAACTACTGCATCTGGTGCCTATACTCATTATCAGAGGGCTTGAGGACAAGTTTGGCTCAGCTTTGACCTGCCACCCCCCAACCCCTGTGCCAGAGCACACCAGAAGCAAGAGGATCACCTAGCCCTGTCCTCCACAGTTGGCACCTGAACACTCCTCCCAGGTGCCTGAGGTCGGGCCTACCCACATGACTGCTACTACCACAGCTGGCACCTACCTGCATACACCACCTGTGTGCCTGGAGACCAGCCCACTCGGCTGAATGCAACCAACACCAATACCCGTGTGAACCACTTGGGACTAAGAGGATGTTTCTGCCACTGCCATTGTCATCATTCACATCAAGCTGGCTGCCCCAGGGGTTCAAGAACATCCCCACCCACCCCACCTACTGTTGTCACTGCTGGCATCCAAGTAATCTGTCTGGAAACTCAACAATTGGCCCATCTGGACTCACTAACAATGGTGCCAGACCACCCTGGAGCCCAAAGACACACATACTCATCCCACTGCTGCCACCACTGGGGCTCAAAGACCGACCTACCTGGTGTTACAGTCCCCAGCAAAACCACAGCCTCATTTAATAATTGCACCCTGAGCCACTGAAGAAATTATAGATACCACTGGTACTATTTATACCTGAAGGAATCGTACAGAGTTTACACTACTGCACTCAAAATAACAACCAAAGTGTCCTACCCAACTAACAGCATAGATACATCTTCTGGAAAATGTCCTCCCCTACCAGAGCAAATTTAAAAAATTGCAAGAAGTGACTGTTATAGTAGATGTACAGATATGAATATAATGGTACAGAAAATAAGAAAAAGCCAGGACATATGACACCTCCAAAGGAATAATTCTCCAACAACAGGTCCCAAAGAGAAATTAATGAAATCTCAGAAAAAGAAGTTAAATGATTGATTCTAAAGACGCTCAGTGAGAAACATGAGAATTCTGCAAAACAATACAAAGAAATCAGAAAAACAATGCATGATATGAATAAGAAATTTGCTAAAGAGATTGATACCAAAAATATAACCAAACATAAATTATGGAACTGAAGAATTTATTAAATGAAATGCAAAATATGTTCAAAATCTTCAACAGTAGACTAGATCAAGCAGAAGAAAGAATTTCAGATCTAGAAGATAATTCTTTATATAAAATAAAAGAAAAAACAACTAAAAAAAGAATGAGCAAAGCCTTTATTACATACGGGGCATCATAAGAGACCAAATTTTCAAATTATAAGGGTTCCAGAAGGCAAAAAGAAATAAAAAAGAGTTGGAAAACTTACTTAATGCAGTAAGAGATGAAAATTTCTCAAGTCCAATGAGTGATTTAGACATTCAGATACAGGATGTGCTGAGATCCCCAAAAGGACACAATGCAAAAAGAGTATTCTCTCCACGGCACATTATAGTTAAACTATCTAAATGTAAACACAAAGATTTCTATAAACAGCAAGAGAAAAGCATCTAGTTACCTATAAAGGAATCATCATCAGACTAACAGTGGATTTCTCAGAAGAAACCTTACAGGCCAGGAGGTGATGGGATGATATTTTGAAAGAGCTGAAACAAGAAAAAAAAAAAACATGTTGGGCAAACATACTATATCCAGCGAAATTATTCTTCATAAATGAAGGAGAAATACAATCTTTCTCATACAAGCAAAAGCTGAAAGAATTCATCACCACTACACTGGCCTTACAATAAATTCCTCAAGGGAATTCTAAACTTGGAAATAGTGAGTGACATTTGCTATCATGAAAACACACAAAAGTATAAAACTCACTGGTAAAGCAAACAAACAAATGAAGAAGAGAAAGGACTCAAATAGTACTACTGCAGAAAACCACCAAACCGCAGTAACAAACAGTAAGAGAAAAGGAAAGGAACAAAGAATACACAAAATAACCAGAAGATAATTAATATGATAAAGGGAAGACCTCACATATCAATAATAATTTTGGGTGTAAATTGATTTAATTCTTTACTTAAAATATATAGACTGGTTGAATGGATGAAAAAAACATGATCTAGCCATATGCTGCCTACAAGAAACATAATTTACCTTTAAAGATGCATATGAACTGAAAATAAAGGGATAGAAAAAGATATTCCATGCAAATGTTAACAAAAAATGAGCAGGCATAGCTATACTCAGATACAACAATTTAAATAAAAAACAGTAAGAAAAAGACAAATAAGGTCATTATATAATGATAATGGGATCAATCTAGCAAGAGGATGTAACACCAAATCCATATTGGCATCCAACACTGGAGCACCTAGATTCATAAAGCAAATATTGCCATATCTAAATAAAAAGGTGAACTCTGATATAATAAAATTGTGGCACTTTAACACCCCACTGCCAGCACTAAACAGGTCATTGAGACAGATAATCAGAAAAGAAACATTTGTTTTAAACTGGACTTTAGACCGAAAGGACTTAACAGACATTTAGAGAACATCTTACCCAACAATAACAGAATACACATTCTTCTCATCAGCACAAGGAACATTCTCCAAGATAGACCATATATTAAGCCACAAAACAAATCTCAACAAATTTTTGAAATTCAAAATCACATCAAGTATATTCCCAGATCACAATGGTGTAAAACTAGAAATCAATACCAAGAGAAACATTGGAAATGATACAAATACATGGAAATTAAACAACATGCTCCTGAACAACCATTGGTTCAATGAAGAAATTAATATGGAAATAAATGTTTTTTGGAACAAATGAAATGGAAACACAACATATCACAACCTGTGGGACACAACAAAAGCAGTACTAAAAGGGAAGTTCATAGCAATAAGCACCTACATCAAAAAGCAGAAATATTTCAAATAAACAATCTAACAATATACCTCAAGGAACAGGAAAGCAGCAACAAACCAAATCCACAATATCAGAAGGAAATAATGCAGATCATAGTAGAACTGAAAAGAAAAATATGAAAAGATGAATGAAACAAAAAGTCGGTTCCTTGAAAAGGTAAAATTGATAACAACCACTAGCTAGACTAACCAAGAAGAGTACAGTGAAGACTCAAATAAAATTATAAATGAAAACAGAGACATTATAACTGATACCACAGAAACAGAAAAGATCATCAGGGACTGTTATGAACAAATATATGGTAACCAGTGGAAAATCTGTAGGAAATGGATGAATACTTGGAAATGTACAACCTACTAAGATTGAATCAGGAAGAAATGGAAAACCTGAACAGACCAATAACGGGCAGTGATTGAAGCAGTAATAAATAGTATCTGAACAAAGAAAAGCCCAGAACCAGGTGGATTCACCACCAAATTCCACCAAACATATAAGAATAACTCATACCAATCCTGAAACTGTTCCAAAAAATTAGGGAGAGAATTCTCCGTAACTTATTCTGTAAGCCTAGCATTACCCTGATACCAAAACCAGAAAAAGGAACAACAACAAAAGAAAACTACAGACCAATATTCTTGATGAAAATAGATGCAAAAATTATCAGCAACATACTAGAAAACTGAATTTAATTAAAAGATAATGTATGATGATCAAGTGGGATTTAGACCAAGAGTGCAAGGATGGTTTAGTATATGCAAATAAGTAAATGTGAAACTTCACATCAACAGAATGAAGGGTAAAAACCATATGGTCATCTTAATAGATGCAGAAAAAGCATTTGATAAAATTCAACATCCCTTCACAATTAAAACTCCCAACAAGCCAAATATAGAAGGAACATACCTCAAAATAATAAAGGCCACATATAGCAGACCCACAACTAACACCATCCTGAATGGGAAAAGGTTGACTGCCTTTCCTTTAAGAATGGGCAAAAGCTGGAACCATTCCCCAGGACAAGGATGCTCATTCTCACTACTCCTATTAAACATAGTATTGGAAGTCTGAGCTAGGACAGTCAGAGAAGAGAAAGAAATAAAAGGCATCCAAATTGGAAAACAGGAAGTCAAATTGTCCTTCTTTGCTGATGATACGATCTTTCATTTAGAAAAACTAAAAGGCTCCATCTAGACCTAAAACCATAAAAACCCTAGAAGAAAACCTAGGCAATACCATTCAGGACATAGGCATGGGCAAGGACTTCATGTCTAAAACACCAAAAGCAATGGCAACAAAAGACAAAATTGACAAATGGGATCTCATTAAACTAAAGAGCTTCTGCACAGCAAAAGAAACTACCATCAGAGTGAACAGGCAACCTACAGAATGGGAGAAAATTTTTTCAACCTACTCATCTGACAAAGGGCTAATATCCAGAATCTACAATAAACTCAAACAAATTTACAAGAAAAAAACAACCCCATCAAAAAGTGGGCGAAGGACATGAACAGACACTTCTCAAAAGAAGACATTTATGCAGCCAAAAGACACGTGAAAAAATGCTCATCATCACTGGCCATCAGAGAAATGCAAATCAAAACCACAATGAGATACCATCTCACACCAGTTAGAATGGCGATCATTAAAAAGTCAGGAAACAACAGGTGCTGGAGAGGATGTGGAGAAATAGGAACACTTTTACACTGTTGGTGGGACTGTAAACTAGTTCAACCATTGTGGAAGTCAGTGTGGTGATTCCTCAAGGATCTAGAACTAGAAATACCATTTGACCCAGCCATCCCATTACTGGGTATATACCCAAAGGATTACAAATCATGCTGCTATAAAGATACACGCCCATGTATGTTTATTGCGGCACTATTCACAATAGCAAAGACTTGGAACCAACCCAAATGTCCAACAATGATAGACTGGATCAAGAAAAGTTGGCACATATACACCATGGAATACTATGCGCCATAAAATATGATGAGTTCATGTCCTTTGTAGGGACATGGATGAAGCTGGAAACCATCATTCTCAGCAAACTATAGCAAGGACAAAAAACCAAACACCACATGTTCTCACTCCTAGGTGGGAATTGAACAATGAGAACACATGGACACAGGAAGGGGAACATCACACACCGGGGCCTGTTGTGGGGTAGGGGGAGGGGGGAGGGATAGCATTAGGAAATATACCTAATGCTAAATGACGAGTTAATAGGTGCAGCACACCAACATGGCACATGTATACATATGTATCAAACCTGCGCGTTGTGCAATGTACCCTAAAACTTAAAATATTAAAAAGAAAAAACTCTTAGAGCTGAAAAACAAATTCAGTAAAGTTGCAGGATATAAAATCAACATACAAAAATCAGTAGCCTTTTTATTCTTCAATAATGAAACAGTAAAAAAGAAATCAAGAAGGCAGTCCTATTTACAATAGCTTCAAAAACATTAGAATACCTAGGAATAAGTTTAACCAGGGAGGTGAAAAATGTCCGCAATGAAAACTACAAAACACTGATGAAAGAAACGGAAGAGGACACAAACAAATGGAAAGAAATACCATACTTATATATCAGAAGAATTAATATCATTAAAATGACCATACTTCCCCAAGCAATCTATAGATTCAATGCAATCCCTAACGAAGTATCAGTGTCATCTTTTACAGAAATAGAAAAAACAATCATAAAATTCATAGGGAACTAAAAAAAGAACACGAATAGCCAAAACAATTCTGAGCAAAATCTAAAAGTACATACAAATAAATGAGGGATTGAAGTAAGGTTAGGAATGCGTGAATGATTAGTATTAGAAAATTTTTCAAAGTTACTTACTACTTTAGAAGATCAAAGATGGAAAAATATGAGTATTTTGAAAGATACTAAAATCTTATTTTATATGTTAACATCTATTGTCATTAAAATTTCTGGAACACTTCTACTGTAACTGACAAATCCAGGAGGCAGAAAAATCAGTGTATATATATAGTTGAAATGACTGACACCATCCATCAAGTGAATCTAATGGACATTTATAGAATGTTTTATCCAACAACAACTTATACAAAATATTCACCAAGACGCACCATGTTCTAGGCAATAGAACATCCTTTAAATAGGAATTATACTAACATTCCTCTCAGACCATGTGAAACTAAACCAGAAATGAGTAACAAAGATAGAAAATGTCAAATTATTTGGAGATTAAACAACATATTTCAAAATAAAACATGGTCAAAAAAAGTCTCAAGAGAAATATTTCAAAATAAACAAGAATTAAAATACAACTTATTATAATTTGTGAGATGCAGTGAAAGCATTACTCAGAGGGAAATTTGTACCATTAATAACATATATTAGAAAGAAGAAGGATCTAAATTTAATAATCTATACTTACACCGTAGGAAACTAGGCAAAGAACAATTTAAATCTAAAGTGAGCAATAATAATAATACCAATAATGAAAATTAGAGCAGAAATCAATGAAAATGAAAACCAGTATAGAAAATCAGTAGAGAAAATCCTGGATGGATGAATAGGTGGAATTCAGTAAATTTTTAGGGCAGTGAAACTATCTAAATGATACTGTAATGGTGAATTAGTGACATTATGCATTTTTAAGTACCCACAGAACTTGATATCTCAATGATTACACCCTAATGTAAACCAGGGACTTTAGTTGATAATAAAATATCAATATTGTTTCATTAATTGTAAAAATTGTACCACACCAATTTTAAATAGGGGTAGTAGCCTGGAGGGTAGTGGTATGTACAGAGGCAGTGTACTTGCTGCTTAAGTTTTCTTTAAACCTAAAACACTAAAAAATAAAGCCTATTAATGAAAAAGACTTTTAGCAAAACAGAAATTCAAGGACACCTTAAGATTATTATGCAAGTAATGTAAAGATGAAAGTATAGAAGTGCTCATTGAAATATTTAGAAGACCTGTTGAAAAACTACAAAACATTGAAGAAAAAATTGAAGAAATAAAAAGATATCCTAGTTTGTGGATTGAAAAATTAACATCGTTAGAATTTCCATATTACCCAAAGTGATCTACATATTCAATGGAATCCCTATTCAAATTCTAATGCATTTTTCATAGGAATAAAGTAAATAATAGTAAGATTCATATGGGACCACTAAGACTCCAAATAGCAAAAGCAATCTTGAGCAGAAAGAACAAAGCTGGAAGCATCAGTCTACCTGACTTCAAAATCTACTACACGTTATAATAATCAAGATAGCGTGATTCTGGCGTAAAAACATACAGACCAGTGGAACAAAATAACCCTGACATAATCCTACTCATGTACAGTCAGTTAATTTTTGACAAAGATGCCAAGAACACACAAAAGGGGAAAGGATAGTCTCTGAAAAAATAAGTGGTGTTGAGAAAACTGGATATCCACATTTACAAGAATGAAATTTGTTCCTCATCTCACACCATATATAAAAATCAGCATAAAATGGATTAAAGACTTAAACATAAGACCTGAAACTAAAATTACTACAAAATAATATAGGGAAAAATCTCCATAACATTGTTCTGGGCAATGATTTTTTTTTTAAGCTATGACCCCAAAAGCACAGGCAACAAATGTAAAAAAAGACAAATCAGATTGATTATATCAAACAGGAAAGCTTTTGCACAGCAAAGAAAACAATCAACAGTTGAAGGATAACCTACAAAATGGCAGAACAGGCAGAGCATGGTGGCTCACGCCTGTAATCCCAGCACTTTAGGAGGCTGAGGCAGGCGAATCACTTGAGGTCAAGAGTTCGAGACCAGCCTGGCCAACATGGTGAAACACAATGTCTACTAAATATACAAAAATTAGCCAGGCATAGTGGCACACACCTGTAATCCCAGCTACTCGGGAGGGTGAGGCAGGAGAATCGCTTGAACCTGGGAGCTGGAGGTTGCAGTGAGCCAAGAGTGTGCCACTTCACTCCAGCCTAGGTGACAGAGTGAGACTCTATCTCAAAAAAAAAATAAATAAAAAAGAATGGCAGAATATATTTGCAAACGATACAGCTGACAAGGCATGCATTTCTAGAATATATAAAGAACTGAAATAATTCAATAGCAAGAAAACAACCCGATGAGAAAATGGGCAAAGCTTTTGAATAGACATTTCTCAAGAGAAGACATACAAGTGACCAAGAGGTATATGAAAAAATATTCAACATCATTAGTCATCAGAAAAATGCAAACTAAAACCACAATGATATATGACTTTCCACCTGTTAGGTTGACTATTATCAAAAAGACAAATGGTAAGTATTGGAGAGGATGTGGAGAAAAGGGAACCCTTGTATGGTCTTGGGAATGTAAATTAGTATAGCCATTGTGGAAAACAGTATGGAGGTTCCCCCAAAAAATAAAAATAGAACTATCATATGTTTCAGCAATCCCACTACTGGGTTTATTTCCAGAGGAAATGAAATCAGTATGTCATCAAGATATCTGCACTTTTATGTTCATTGTAACATTTTCCACAATAGCCAAGATATTGATTTGACCTAAGTGTCTGTCAACTGGTGAATGCATAAAGAAAATGTAGTATGTATACAGAATGCAATACTATACAGTCTTACAAAAGAAGGAAATCCTGCCATTTGCAACAGCATGGAAACCTCATGGAGACATTATATTAAGTGAAATAAGGCAGGCACAGAAAGAAGAATATGCATGATCTCATGTGTAGCATCTAAAAATGTTGAATTCATAGAAACAGAAAATAGAATGATAGTTACCAGAGCTGGGGAATATGGCTGGGGAGTTTTTGGTCAAAGGATAGAAATTTTCAGTTAGATAGAAGGAATTATTTCAAGAGATCTATTCTATAACATGATGATTATAGTTAATAACTGTGTTATATTCTTGAAAAATGCTAGCAGAGTACTTTTAAGTATTCCTACCTCATAAAATAAGTATGTGAGGTAATGCATATGTTAATTATTAGGTTGGTGCAAAAGTAATTGTGGTTTTTGCCATTAAAAGCAGTTTCTTTTGCATCCAACTTAGCTCAATTTAGCCATTTCAGTGTATACATATTTCAAAAATCAAGTTGTACGTCACAAATATATAATTTTTGTATAATTTTTATTTATCAATCAAATTTTATAAAGCATTGTTCACATTAGTAAACATAGTCACCAACTATGTTATAGTATGTAAATATATTGCAAAATTATTCTGGCTTTTAAAACGTGAAAATGTAGAGGGCAGTACAAATTACAGAGAAATTTGGGAGATATAATTTACAGAACTCATTTTCTGACTGTGGAGGAAAGAATGGAATTTAAGATCTTGCTTAGATCTCTGCCTTGGTCTGAGTTGAACAGGTAAAGAGTGGTAAATATGATGAGTCTCAACCTGGACCTACTTATTTCTTTTCTTTTCTTTTCTTTTTTTTTTTTTTTTGAGGTGGAGTCTTGCTCTGTCGCCCAGGCTGGAGTGCAGTGGCATAATCTCGCCTCACTGCAACCTCCGCCTCCTGGGTTCAAGCAACTCTCCTGCCTCAGCCTCCTGAGTAGCTGGGATTACAGGCTCCCACCACCATGCCCAGCTAATTTTTGTATTTTTAGTAGAGACAGGGTTTCACCATGTTGGCCAGGCTGGTCTCGAACTCCTGACCTCAAGTGATCCACCCACTTCGGCCTCCCAAAGTTCTGGGATTACACGCATGAGCCACTGCACCTGGGCACTTATTTCAAAGTTTGTCTGGGTCAGAGATGTCCATGAAACACTCGCATATATGATTGTTGAATTAGAATGATTTTGTAGTAGATCTGTACTGAAGATAGAGATACTGGAAGCTATTGGATTTCATTAAATCACCCAAAGAAAGTGAGAAGATTTGTGTCCAGAGAAGTAAAAGGAAATCCAGGAGAAAACCATCTCATGAATTCCACGGGAAGACAGAGTTTTAAATAGAGAGTATTTAACAGAAGTTAAGGAAGATCAGAATGAAAGTGAATATTGAATGTGGTGGCAGGTACTTCATAACTTACTCTGCACAAGTCTGTGTTGATGGAATTTTAGCATTGGAATACTGGTTGTTGTGGAGTAATGTATGATCATTTGTCCTGAAAATATTTTTGTAAGAATATTAATCTCACCATACTTCTTAGAGCCTTTAATATGCTAGTGTATATCATAATCTTTTATATAGGTATGTCAAACTTATATGATCTGGGCATTCTGCTTTCATTTTAGCATCTCTTAGGATGCAAACAAAAAATTAGAAAAAACCTACACAATGGTTTTGAAAAAGAAAAAATTAAAGAAGACTGTGATATGTATGGCTCAGTATTCCCAGTTATATTCCCAGTTACTTAATGGATATGTCAGATGGCTCTAAGCTCATAGAAATTTCTGCCCATATTGAAATCTGAGTGATTTTTCAAATTTTATATTTTTTCACAGGATGCTAGACATGCAGCTGAAGAAGAGATTTATACCAACTTAAACCAGAAGATTGACCAGTTCCTACAGCTGGCAGACTATGACTGGATGACCGGAGATTTGGGCAACAAAGCTAGTGATTACCTGGTAGACCTCATTGCCTTTCTTCGTAGCACCTTTGCTGTATTCACACACCTTCCTGTAAGTGGCAGTTGCTTACTTTGTCCTTTATATATAAAAAGATTTCCTTATAATTTAGTTTGGTGAAAGATGTTAGTTTCTGCTGTAACTACCCAGGAAGATTTTCAGTATATAAAGGCGCATGCTATATTTATTAACCTTTAATGATATGTAGAGGCTACTTCCATCATTTTTTCATTGACCTTTGCATTTTTTTCATCTGAAAATGGTTCCTGGTATTATGTCTGCTTATCTTCCTATGATGTTCAAGGTAATTAGTACAAAGACAATATAAAAGCCTTGGTAGAATTAAAAAAAGAAACTTAGTTAGAATTTCAGATATGTATATTTTAGTTTTAGAATATTCTTTAACTTTTTTATATAAACTGAAATTCTTTGATGAAATGCTCCATCTTTTTTATCTAATTTGTCTATGTTTTCTCTGTTTTCTTAAGCATATTAATTATAGACATTCAAAATCATTCTTTACTACTTCTTATATATATTATACATACATATTGGTGGATTTTTTTTCTCTTGGTTTTCAGTGATATGGTCCTGTCTGTTTCTAATATTTTTCGGTTGATGTTAGACATTGTATAAAATATGTAGAGATTCCAGGTGGTGTTATCTTCCACCAGAAAAGGTTCATGTTTTCCTTTACTTAGTAAATAGAATGGGCAGGTGGGTTGTGGTTTGAAGCTGACCACCTTAGTACCATCATGGACTGATTTGGATTAATATTGGGTTGCAGTTGTAGTGTACTTTGTTTGCCCTTGTTGGTAGGATATGGCTCTGCAGAGCTTTTAAAAACTGCCTGATATGTCATTGTCTTTTTAGCACCAAAGAGGACTATAGAAATTCCTGCTCTTCACAGAAACCTTGTCTGTTCAGCCTCCTGTACTCTTTCGTTTTAGAATCTGGTAAATGTCTTGAGAAGGAGACTTAGCAGTACCCAGTATCAGCAATTGCTGATGGGAAAAAAAGTGTTGGGGATTGTCAGTGTTACTTTACCATCCCTAATGAGGTTTCAGCTCCTATGTGATCTGAATGTTTGTGTACCCCAAAAAATCATATGTTGAATCTAATAACCAGTGTGATTACATTAGGAGGTGAGGCCTTGGGAGGTGATAGATTATGATGGTAGAGCCTCGCAAATGGGATTAGTATACTTATAAAAGAGACTTCAGAGAGCTGCCTTGTTCCTTGTGGCCATGTGAGGATACGGGGATACAGGAAGAAGACTCCTTTTTTATTTCGCACTAGGAAATAGGCCTTCATCAGACACCGAATCTGCTGATACCTTGATGTTGGACTTCCAAGCCTCCAGAACTGTGAGAATTCTTTTGTTTATAAGCTACCAGTCTATGGGATTTTGTTACATTATTCTGAATGGACTAAGATAGCTCCTGTCATTTTTAGGCATTCTTCTACTAGTGAGTCTTTTTCTCTGAAACACTGTGAAACTGTGAGAAATCTCCTTGCTTTTCAAAGATTTTGGCTTAAACCCTTATTTTCCTCAGCCGTTTAGCTTTAGAATTCAGTAAATATCTTGAGGGTAAAACTAGTCCTCAAACCTCTAACTGTGGCACTCTAGTCTGTTGGAAGCAGCAAAGATTCCAAGTTTTTTTCGCCCCCTAGTAGTTAGTCTCTGCCTGGTTTTAAGATTCTCAGTCTGTTGCCCTTGTCTACGTTCCTCAAATGCCCACAAGGAAAGCTGCAGATTTTCACCTCACCTTTAAAAGGTTTTGTCCTCTCTGCAGTTTTATTCCCTTTAGTCTTCATTGCTTCACAGCACCTGATGCCTTTTAATATGTTTTTTCTACATGTTTTACTTCCTCTCCTAGTTGTTCCTAGTGGGAGCATTTATCTGCAGAAAATTATGTCATTTTGTCTAGCTTTATCCTGATACCAAAGCCAGACAAAAAGAGCACACACAAAAAAACTATGAGTTAATCTCACAATTATGGATAAAAGTAAAATAAATAAAATTTTAGCAAGTCAATTCCCAGTGTTTTAAGAAAGTAATTTTGTACTAGTGTGTAGGATTTATTCCAGAAATGCAAGGATGGTTTGATATTTTAAAAAAATATGTTAATATAATTTATCATATTACTAGGTGAGGGAGATACAGTTTCTTGATGTATTCTAGAAAGACATTTTATTACATCCAGGCTACATTCTTGATTTAAAAACAAAGTTTACTAAATTCCAAGCAGTATAATATTTTAATAACAAAATAAAGAACATCTATTTGAAATTTAGTGGCCACCATAGATTGAACAGTAGAACAATAAAACATTTATTTTCATTGACAACAGGAATTGGGTGAAGATGCTTCTCACCAACACTTTAGAAGTTCTATAAAATAAATGTAAAAAAAGAATAAATTACATTATAATGAGCCATGCATGTCTTAGTCCATTCCTGCTCCCATAACAAGATACTGTAGACTGAGAAATTTATAAACAACAGAAATTTGTTTCTCACAGTTCTGGAGGCTGCAAAGTCCAATATTAAGATGTCAGCAGATTCAGTGTCTGATAAAGTCCTGTTACTCATAAATGGCACCTCTGTATCCTTACGTGGCAGAGAAGGCAAAAAGGACAAACTCACTCCCCCAATCCCTTCTATAAGGCACTAATCCAATTAATGAGTGATGTAATCACTTCTGAAATTTTTGTGCCCTCCCCCACAAAAATTAAAAATTAAAAAAAATAACAAAGTTGCATTGGGGATTAAATTTCAATATGAATTTTGGCAAGGCTCAAACATTTCAAACCATAGCACATGCATATTATTATTCATAGGTTATTATTATCTAAATAGAACATACTAAAAATTCATTAAGACCAATAAGAGTTTAGGTTAGATGATTCACTTAGAAAACAAATAAACTTTTCTTATATTAGCAATGCCCACATAGAAAATATAGTGTCAAAAGTGTCTTATTTACTATTGGGACATAGATATAATTTTTCTATGCAGCTACTTAGCAAGTCAATTTAGAAATAATGTGACAACATCACAGAGTAATATAAAAGAGACTTTCTTATGCACAAATATATATGGTATTCCAGGATGGGAGTATTTCATTCTGTAGAAAGTTTTTTCAAATTTAATCTAATTGCAGTGAGTATCAAGTAAATTTGTTTAGGGAAGAATCTTAATGAAATCATTCTGAAATTCATTTGTAAGCAAAAATGGACAATATTTGGTAAAAAATGATAACATGAACATAATTTGTAACTCTATTAATAAGACATACAAATTAAGCTTGTGTGATATTTTTGACTATAAACTACTCAGAAATAAGAAAATGGTAACACTCCTTGTTTATAAGAAATATTTGTGGAAATAGGTATTTTCATACCTGCTGCTAGGGGTCTAGTTATTGTAGTCTTTTTGGAGTCAGTTTTTCAATATGCCTCAGAAACCCCTTAAAATGTGCTTACCTTTTTACTATGTAATTCCCCTTTTAGAATTTGAACTTAATGAAATAATCATGATTGTATTATAATATTCAGATGTAACTATATTTAATACAATGTATTTTGTATAGCGAGGAGTAGGTATAAATTAAAAATCCAACAAACAAATGTGTTCACAAACTAAATTATTGTATATTCATATAATGTGATATTCATTAAATTAATGTAAATTTATATTTATTCATTAAAAATATATTCGTTATTTCTTAACTGGAAAAAGAGATGTGATCTTATTTTAATTAATATATACACAAATTAAATATCTATATTATGTACAGTGCAAGCCTAGAATTGTATACTCCATGGTTTATCCTTATTTCTTTTTTTTTTTTTAATACTTTAAGTTTTAGGGTACATGTGCACAATGTACAGGTTAGTTACATATGTATACATGTGCCGTGCTGGTGTGCTGCACTCATTAACTCGTCATTTAGCATTAGGTATATCTCCTAATGCTATCCCTCCCCCCTCCCCCCACCCCACAACAGTCCCCAGAGTGTGATGTTCCCCTTCCTGTGTCCATGTGTTCTCATTGTTCAATTCCCACCTATGAATGAGAACATGCGGTGTTTGGTTCTTTGTCCTTGCCATAGTTTACTGAGAATGATGATTTCCAGTTTCATCCGTGTCCCTACAAAGGACATGAACTCATCATTTTTTATGGCTGCATAGTATTCTATGGTGTATATGTGCCACATTTTCTTAATCCAGTCTATCATTGTTGGACATTTGGGTTGGTTCCAAGTCTTTGCTATTGTGAATAGTGCCGCAATAAACATACGTGTGCATGTGTCTTTATAGCAGCATGATTTATAGTCCTTTGGGTATATACCCAGTAATGGGATGGCTGGGTCAAATGGTATTTCTAGTTCTAGATCCCTGAGGAATCACCACACTGACTGCCACAATGGTTGAACTAGTTTACAGTCCCACCAACAGTGTAAAAGTGTTCCTATTTCTTCACATCCTCTCCAGCACCTGTAGTTTCCTGATTTTTTAATGATTGCCATTCTAACTGGTGTGAGATGGTATCTCATTGTGATTTTGATTTGCATTTCTTTGATGACCAGTGATGGTGAGCATTTTTTCATGTGTTTTCTGGCTGCATAAATGTCTTCTTTTGAGAAGTGTCTGTTCATGTCTTTCACCCACTTTTTGATGGGGTTGTTTGTTTTTTTCTTGTAAATTTGTTTGAGTTCATTGTAGATTCTGGATATTAGCCCTTTGTCAGATGAGTAGGTTGCGAAAATTTTCTCCCATTTTGTAGGTTGCCTGTTCACTCTGATGGTAGTTTCTTTTGCTGTGCAGAAGCTCTTTAGTTTAATGAGATCCCATTTGTCAATTTTGTCTTTTGTTGCCATTGCTTTTGGTGTTTTAGACATGAAGTCCTTGCCCATGCCTGTGTCCTTGAATGGTATTGCCTAGGTTTTCTTCTAGGGTTTTTATGATTTTAGGTCTAACGTTTAAGTCTTTAATCCATCTTGAATTAATTTTTGTATAAGGTGTAAGGAAGGGATCCAGTTTCAGCTTTCTACATATGGCTAGCCAGTTTTCCCAACACCATTTATTAAATAGGGAATCCTTTCCCCATTTCTTGTTTTTCTCAGGTTTGTCAAAGATCAGATAGTTGTAGATATGCAGCGTTATTTCTGAGGGCTCTGTTCTGTTCCATTGATCTATATCTCTGTTTTGGTACCAGTACCATGCTGTTTTGGTTACTGTAGCCTTATAGTATGGTTTGAAGTCAGGTAGCATGATGCCTCCAGCTTTGTTCTTTTGGCTTAGGATTGACTTGGCGATGTGGGCTCTTTTTTGGTTCCATATGAACTTTACAGTAGTTTTTTCCAATTCTGTGAAGAAAGTCATTGGTAGCTTGATGGGGATGGCATTGAATCTATAAATTACCTTGGGCAGTATGGCCATTTTCACGATATTCATTCTTCCCACCCATGAGCATGGAATGTTCTTCCATTTGTTTGTATCCTCTTTTATTTCCTTGAGCAGTGGTTTGTAGTTCTCCTTGAAGAGGTCCTTCACATCCCTTGTAAGTTGGATTCCTAGGTATTTTATTCTCCTTGAAGCAATTGTGAATGAGAGTTCACTCATGATTTGGCTCTCTGTTTGTCTGTTATTGGTGTATAAGAATGCTTGTGACTTTTGTACATTGATTTTGTATCCTGAGACTTTGCTGAAGTTGCTTATCAGCTTAAGGAGATTTTGGGCTGAGACAATGGGTTTTTCTAGATATACAATCTTGTCATCTTCAAACAGGGACAATTTGACTTCCTCTTTTCCTAATTGAATACCCTTTATTTCCTTCTCCTGCCTAATTGCCCTGGCCAGAACTTCCAACACTATGTTGAACAGGAGTGGTGAGAGAGGGCATCCCTGTCTTGTGCCAGTTTTCAAAGAGAATGCTTCCAGTTTTTGCCCATTCAGTATGATATTGGCTGTGGGTTTGTCATAGATAGCTCTTATTATTTTGAGATACGTCCCATCAATACCTAATTTATTGAGAGTTTTTAGCATGAAGGTTGTTGAATTTTGTCAAAGGCCTTTTCTGCCTCTATTGAGATAATCATGTGGTTTTTGTCTTTGGTTCTGTTTATATGCTGGGTTTATCCTTATTTCTTTGTAGCTTTTAGGTTTTCCTTTTTGTTTGTGTTTTTAGAAAATGTTTTCTGAATTGAAACATCTGCAGCTTTTATAATGCTGGGGGTATGTGGAGGTGATATTTAGAATAATTGTTTTCCACCTCAAGAATTGTTGTGTTTAATTACTAATTTATATTTTTTAATTGCTTTTGCCAGCCCACCTGTCCCCATTTCATCATGCTGTCATATTTCAGCACCACACTTTGTACTCCTTACTTTAACCTCTAGGTCATTTAGAAGCAGTAATGTGGATCAAACCTGGTGCTTGTCTGAATTAAAATGCATGCTTTTACCTGTAGAGTTGTGAACTTTCTTGCAAGGCTGTACTGTAAATAACTAATTGAGGTTTATTTCCCCCTCTTTTGTTTATTCTAAACTGTCGTTTTTACCTAAATACTATAAAACGTCTCAGTGTGGATAGAGTTGATTCTACCACTCAGGCTGTAGAACCAGTTACCATGTACCATTCAGAATCAAAGTAGGAAGTAACTGACAGGCTTAAGTCCTCAATATTGCTTCCATTGGTGCCATATTTCTGTCTTGTCTACACTTTTCTGAAGCTACACTTTTAAAAGTAATTGGATTCACCAACCATTATATTCTCTAGAATCAGATGACTTCTTAAACTACCCCATCTGGGTTTCCACAAAATAGATTGCCTAACATTTGTGTTTATCTTCCCTAGAATGCTACATAATTTCCTCATGGAACCCTGTATTAGTCACAAAACAGAGCTGTGTCTAAGATTTGCCTTCGGGCATTATTCGAGAAAGAATGGGAGAGAAAAGAGTTCGTTTCTGAAAAAGAACCCAAATCATTTGTCTTTTACTTACTATAAATATTTTCTTTTCATATTTGAAATTCCCTGACAGAAGTGGCTCTCTCTCAGAGAGGGATTGATTGATAGAAAAAATGTATATAGAGAGGACTGGAAAGACAAGGCAAATTCTGTCTTGTTCTCTTACATTTTGGAATCCCCAGTTTCTCTTAATTCTCAGGGATATTTTACCACATCACAGCAGCAACATAGCCAACGGAATACGTCAGTGTCCAGAAGTGTGTTTGTGTGTGACACAGAGAGAGAGGGAGAGGGAGAATCCGAGTGTGTTTGTTTGCAGATTATTCTCATTGTTAGATAGGCAGTGGTCAGAGGAGAAAATTATTTAATTTTGCAACTGTTTTTTCCCTTGAAGTTTTTGTGACTTAGGCAGCCTGCCTATCTTCATGAGGCACCCAGAAATGATTATAATAATATTTTCCACATTTAGGGTTTTTAAATCTTACTGTTTCCCTTGAGTTAACAGATGAAGTAAGTACACAGACATTTTTTTTCAGACTTCAGTTGTATAATTTACAATTGCATACACAGTTACCCATTTTGCATGCTCAGCGTAAGAGCATGTTTTTGAGAATTTATTCTTGTTATCCTGATAATTATCTTTCAGAAATGCTTAAGAGAGGAAATGCTGTCTCAAGTAACAGACCCAGAAGATAGAATCCTGAATTTGTTTTCTCTGTCTGTTGTTAATGTTAATTTGTATGACATAGGGCAAGATCTCTCATAGCCGACCTTGGTTTGTGGGTTAAGCGTGGAAATTCTCCTAGTTTCTTTGTCTAGTAATACAATGATACCTATCCCTGGCCTTACTTTCTCTTAGGTCATCCTTAAGAGAAAATTATTTCCTACATAAAAGTTTCTGAAATTCTTCCCATTTAAAACCCTTTCAAAACTGACATTTCTTTTAGTACTGAATTTATTTCCAGGAATTGCTGCCATCTCCGACCTAACCAAATTATGCTGCTAGTGAAGAACTGTCAGTACAAACTGTCAGTACTCCCATTAAGTACAAAATGTTTTCTGTGTCCATCAAGACTTTTCATAATGGGACCTTAAACTACCTTTCTGTCTTTTTTCTGTCTCTGTCTCTGTTTTCCATTTACCAAAGATTCTCCTCCCATAATGAAGTAATGCTCTTTGTTAAGCACACCCAACTGTTTTCTACCCTGGGTCTTTTTTTTTTTTCCCCCCCATGCCTTTCGTCTACTTTTACTGCTTCTGCCCTTTAACTATGTGTGTTGAAAATCTTACATACTTCAAGGTTCATTTCAAGGACCACACCTTCTATGAGGCCTTACCAGTTCTCCTAACCAGATGTGACATCTTCCTTTGTGGCACTTTTTAAAATGGCACGAATTAAATTTTACCTTGGGCTGGACATGTCATTCATTTGTGTACTTTATTCAGGAAAGGAGACAATGGTAATTAAAGCATCTGCTGTGTTCCAAATGCTTTACATGTGTTATATGTCATCCCAGTTGATGAGGACTCAAAATACCCCCATCAGATAAGTATTAATATTATTATTACATTTTATGATGAGACCATAAACTCAAGGAGGATATGTACTTTGTAAGGGATACAGCAAATAGGTGAAAGGGTTAGGATTTAAACAAATTTATTTGACTTAAAATTTTTTCCATTATACCATCGTGTCTATTAGATTGATTGCCAACTATGGACTTGTGAACCCTGTGGATAAAGACCTTGTCCTATTCATCTGTATTTCTGTGTATAGTGCAGCAGCTTGCATGAAATAGTGCATAGTAAGTTTTTATGGAGTTTACCTGTTTTGAATAATAAAGTAACTGAATTCCTGCCTGGGCATTGACAATCATTTTTGAGTCATATGTCATTAAAAGTAACCATTTAATTATAGAAAAGAGAAGTCAAAAGCTATTATTTTGAGATAATGACCAAAAGTTTGCTTAGGTTGAAATTCTGAATTGGTCTTTCTCCTTCCATATTCTCTTGTTTCTCCAAATAAGAAAGAGTATTGTTTTCAAGTGACAGAATTTTAATTATAAAATGCCTTGCATTCATTATTACTTAGTAATGTTCACATTTCTTTTATATGTCATTATCCCATTTCTTTTTTCAAAAGGGCAACCTCTATGATATACGGACAGTCACTATTTTCCCCATTTAACAAATATGGAAGCTGAGGCCTAACAGGGTCTTGCCCAGAGGTCAGAAAATTAATCAATAGTGGGGCTAGATCCTAGGTCATTTTTCCTTGTGTCATGTTCTTTTCACTATATCAAGCTGTCTCTTAACATTTAACAATAGCTACTATCTTTTGAGTACATACCATATACCAGGTACTGTACAAAGTGTCCTCTCCCTCTCTGTTTCTCTCTTTTTCTTTCTCTCTCTCTGTGTGTCTATAGATATACACCCATGTATATATGTATACACACACACGTAGGTGTATATATTCTAATGTACCTGTATGTAGGTATTAATATATATTCTCATTTATTCCTTGCAACAAATTTCTGAAAACATTGTTATTCTCCCAGTTTACAAATTAGAAAAGAAAAATTAGATTAGCTTACACATTAGTAAACATAGAGAGGTTTACTATTGTGTCAAAAACTATTCATCTAGAGTTAGTGAATCTGGGGTGTAAACTGCCTCCAAAGTCCTTGTTCCTTCCCACTAGGCTATATAATACCTCTAAACTCTATATGAGAAGCACTAAGCTATGTTTCATAGAGCCATCATTTAAATACCTTTTTCTCTGTGGGATTCTTATTCAGAATCTTTTTTGTTAGTGTATAAAATTTTGGTCATGGTGACCAGAACAATTCCCGGAACGGGTGGTAAATTGTGGTAACATCCCCATAAAGTAGAAACTCTATCTGGTAATGGGAAATATACCAATAAGTGGGTTGCTTGTTTCTAACCTAACTTGAATTCCCTTCTTTGACACCTTATGTGGAAATTCTGTCATCTGCTGATAAAAATGACTGTAATTTAGCCCAATTCCTATGACTTTCTCTGGAACAAAATAAAGAAGTTTCAGGTGTCCTTAAAAAGGGCTAGAGGCATCAGATCCTTTAGGACACAACCACATTTTTCTTCATTACATTAATTACATAGGTAGATCCAAGATTCAAGATTTTTTTTTTTCGTTTTCCCTGATGGAGTACAAATTACTGATTTACTAATGATTTTTCTGCCTATCAAGAGATTGATTTATGTTTCCTGTTTCCATGCAGTTAACAGTTACGTTATTTGAGCTACATAGAGTACATTGAAATAAAAAAACATTTGCTTCTTATCAATGTGGTATTGGGATCTTTTGTTTAGTTAGAAACTTAAATCCTTTAGAGGTTTTGTATTTCTTCAGAAATATCTTTGTGTGTTGAGCTATTACTTAGAACTTTTCTCCCCATAAAGCTACTATTACCAAGCCAGAGCTGTTCTTTCTGGTAGTATCCAGCCAGTAGTCCTTTGCCTCTTTAATGATAATGACCTTTGAGTCTTCTTCTGCTCTTGTAATTATTAAATAAAAGCTTAAGTATGTTTGGTTCCAAATAGAGCCATTTACTTCTAATCCTATTTTTGTTGATAACATAGAAAATAAGGAGAATCTAGAATTTAACATACTGCAAAATTCCACACTTACAAATTTTCATACTTGATTTCCTTTTCTTTTTCTATTCCTTTTTGTTGTTGTTGTTGTTGTTGAGATAGTCTCACTCTGTCACCCAGACTGGAGTGCCATGATGTGATAACAGCTCACTGCAGCCTCGCCCTCTCAAGCTCAAGCAATCCGCCCACAACAGCCCTGCAAAGTGTCTAGGATTACAGGCGTGTGCTGCCATTCCTGGCTAACTTATTATTTTTTTGTTGAGATGGGGTCTCACTATGTTGCCCAGGTTGGTCTTGAACTTCTGGGCTCAAGTGATCCTCCTGCCTTGGCCTCCCGCAGTGCTAGGATTATAAGCATGAGCCACTGCACCTGGTAAGAGTCAGAGATTCCAGTGAGAATATGTTAGATATTGCTATACTTGGTCACTTTAGTATCTTTGATACCTGATATGGTTTGGCTCTGTGTCCTCACCCAAATCTCACCTTGAATTGTAATAATCCCCGCGTGTCAGGGGTGGGACCAGGTGGAGATAATTGAACCATGGGAGTAGTTTCCCTCATGCTGTTCATATGATAGTGAGATCTGATTGTTTTATAAGGGGCTTCCCCCTTCTCTCAGCACTCATTCTCTCTCCTGCTGTCCTATGAAGAGGTACTTTCTGCCATGATTGTGAGTTTCCTGAGGCCTGACCAGCCATGCAGAATTGTGAGTCAATTAAACTTCTTTTCTTTATAGATTACCCAGTCTTGAGTATTTCTTCATAGGAGAGTGAGAACAGACTAATACAATACGTTTAAAAGATGAAGTGGCTTGCATTCTTTCTTATTGATGCTAAAGTTGTGGGGTGTTGAGTTTTATCTGAGGAGAAAACAGTTATTTCATCATTGCTAATATCAGCAAATAATTAAAAACCTTAACTGTGTAATGATAGGCAAACTGTTATATAAACTTTAATACTATTATTCAGTGAAATGTTATGTATTTATGAAAACTAATTTGTGAAATTAAATAATAACTTTGCAAAGCACTTATGTTAAATGAAAGAAATAAAATGAAAGTTTTATAAGACAAATTATTGCAAACATGTAAAAACATGTTCATAGTGAGAAAAAAGTTCACCAGGAAATATTTTAAATTAAAATAATTATGTTGGTTATGTGACTTCTTAGTTTTCTTCAAAATTGTTGTTGGCATTTTAAAAATCTTTAAACATTTCCTTTATTTAAAAAAGTTTTAGATCTTTACAGCTTCTCTCTCAGTTCAGATTTCCTTTTGCTTATAAATTCAAAGTGAAACAAAAAATATCCACATTTTTAGATTCTTTTACGTGCCAGTATCCTTCATTTATCTCATCTTTGTTTGCGAAGTAGCCCCTTTTTACTTTTTACTTAATCTTTTTACAGATTAAATTTAGGTATAGGTAGGTTAAATCATTGCTTAAGATCTTATAAATAATATATTTTTGGAATACAGATTTAAATTTAGTTCTCCCTAATTCCAAAGCATATACTCTTTTTGCTACAGTAAACTAGTTGCTTTTCCCCTAATATTTCTAAGTCTAAAGGAAGGTGTTTGGGTCTGTAGGAGTGCTGTTGAATTGAGGTTTCCAAGCAAACTTCTAGGCAAGGGGACTGAGAAGCATGGTTGTGATTAGATCAGGAACAATAAAGCACAACTAAGGACAACTGAGGATGTGTGATCATTATAAAGAAGAGCAGCAGTGGAAGAACATAGGCAGAGTTTATTTTTATGTCAGTTTATTTCTAGATGTGCCTTCCAAGAACACTGGTTTGTCTGTTACTCTCTCTGTTCAGAAATTTTTAATAATCCCCACATTTTAAAGTATAACTACTATCCACATTAAATGCATTTGTTGTAATTCCCTTACATAAAGCTGTAACTTCAGCCAAATATATCTGTTAATCATTCCCAAACATACTATGCTTATTCCTGGCTGTAGATTCTTGCTCATGGTTTTCCTTCTCAGAATGACTTCTCATCTCACTTTCAAATCTTTCCCTCCTTTAAAATACAGCTTAACACCTGTTTTCCCCATGAGGTCTTTTATGACTGTTCACCCTTTTTCCCACAATTCATACCCCAAGGTTTGATTTTCTTGTGAACTCCTGTAGATATTATTGTCTCAATTTTCTACTTGAAACTTTGGATATATGATCTTAAATATTATTTTCTATATTTTCCCCTATTATGAACTAATGTTACATGTTATTTGAAGGAAAGTATCTCAGACATTTTAATATGGCCAGCATTGAGTAAATATCCAGTCAATGTTATGATGAGATTGGAATGTCTAACAGGGACATCATGCATGGAATAGTGTCCTCCAACTCAGATGACTATTTGTCTTTACCTGACATCTATTTTGATCACAGCTCTTTATTATAAATATGTATTTCTTATAATTCCACTTCATTAAGAATGATGTTGGGAGTGCACTGTAAAGGTAATAATCCAAGTTCAAAAGGAAGAAAATATTACTGCTTGGAATATCGCGATGAGGTCAGTCTAAACTACATTTTTGCTTCTTTGACAAGAGGACAAATTTGAGCCTGCAAATTGGTGTCAGGATACCTTAGCATATATATTGTACATGTTGTGGGGTGAGGAGTTCACAGTTAAATGAGCAACAGGAATGTGGTATATTCCACTCTTCTGTAATACTTTCATGGTAGTCTATAGCCACAATTTTAATATACTTCAGTAAGTGCTTGAACTTCTCCAAACAAATAACACACAATGTTGGAAATCACAGTACGTACTTGCCCCCGGGACCTCCCTGTCTTTGAATTAGCCGTTGCAGGCTTCTTGGTCTTTAGCTCCTTGGTGATAGATGAAGTCCACTCTCTTCCTAAGGAAAAACTACCTTCTTAAAAAGTGATTAGGGATACACACACACACACACACACACACACACACACACAGGCACAAAGACAAAAAGTGAATTTTCTACCCTGCAATACATCCCTGAATGCATTATGTTACATATTTTTTAAAGTGTTTCTGTTAAGGACATCCACTTGTTATTTTTATGTCATGTAGGATTATCTTATTGCCTTTATAGATTTCTGCAATTGAATGATTTACCGTCTTTAACTGTTCTAAGATGGTAACAAAACAAGGAAGTTTTATTTCATGTTTTTGTCTATGTGTTTTGTTTTATTGGCCTACTATTTTTTGTTTTTACTTAAGTTGCCTTTAATCTTCATCTTGATAACTACTTTGAAAAATAATCTTAGGATTAGGAGGTGACAGAGATCTGAAAATGGGAAGCAGTCTTTCAACAGACAAACAGGCCCTAACTCTATACTCTCAAGAAGTTTGACATGAACCTTTTGTAAGGCTAATTTTCTTTTGTGCCTATTTTTCCTAGTTGTGAGCACGCATTCCATCTGGAAGTATGTAAAATCTAAGGATTCTTCATTGAAACAATATTCTTTGTGCCATATTGACAATATCTATATTTTTGCTATTGTAAAACAGATACAGTGAGATTATTAAAAGAATCACATTGATATGCTACGTTGCAGGTGGTAAAGGAAATAGGAGGTATCGGTTCCCTAGGGTACAAGTAATTGTGATCTTTCCTTAGGGTTTCCCTTCCCTTCAGCAGTTGTCCATGGGGATCCTTCCAGTGTTTTTTGTTTATCTTTTTACCTTCCTGGTGGAACCTGGCTCCCTTGAGTAGCGCAGGGAATGAGTCTAATGAGCATAAGGTTTATGGCTTCAATAGTAATGCTTAAAAATTCTAGTCCTAGTCTAGCTCTAATGTTAGTTTATGGCCCCAGTCAACTGCTAATGATATGACTATGACTATTCCTAATCATACTTATTCTATGCTATTGAGGGAAGATCACTGAATGTAACACAATTATTTTACTGATGCTAACTGTAGAAAGTCAAGAGAAACTTCCAGTGGCCTTCTGCATGATTCAGTGAATTCCTGTAATTATGGAATATAGGACTTTAATCTGCTTTTGATTAAAAAACATCACTACCTAAAACTACCAAACCATGACATCTTCATAGGGGTATCTCATGAATATCTACTTGTCTTATTGACTCTCTTTTGATATTAGTTAACAAGTACACTCTCTCACTGTTTTAATTCCTTTACTTTTTAAAATAATGTGATAGTTGTGAGATTAACTTTTAATGTGTCTATACCCTCTATGTCATGTGACCTCTGTCTTTCAGGTCCCTTTAGTAAACTTGCCACTCTGTTTCTGATTTAATGGAGCTGGAACAGATATTTGGCTTAAATGCTTTTAGTCCGAAAACCTGGGAAGCACTCCGACAAAGTGATCATATCCACATACCAGAGTTTTACTATTTTTTTTTCTATTTCTTTAAGATCTCTTTGCAGGCCATTTTAACCTCTCTACATAAATAGGGTATGGGAATTCTGGGGAGCTTGTCACAGTTTTCTTGAGTACTGATTTTGTCTGTTTATTATTTTCTCCAAAGGAGAGATTGTCAAATTATTATAGATAGAAAAGAATGTACACCTGGTGGCCATAAATGTTGTTCCTGACCCTTATTAATTTGCTGTATTTTATTTAGAGTAAGATTTGAATACCTAGTTGCTCTTTCTGTTATAAGTTGTTCTACAAAGTAGAAGTTAGACAGAGATAAATAAGAGTATGAACTAGTTAATTCATGGACAACATTGTGACAGAGAATAGCTGATTCTCTGGGATGGTGCAAAGGCAATCCATGTGTCGGACAGAGTATTAGACTAGAACTCTAAGTCTTCCAACCCAGAGATTCCTGTGCTTCTGCCTGTATGTGCTGGAACCATATAGGAGGAATTACTTGGTATATAGTTTGCCACAACATCTGTTTAGTATAATGTTTAAAGGTCATCCAAAATAATAACTGTAAAAGCATATTAGACATTAAACTTATAGTGAAGACAATTTTAGATCAAGGCCTGAATTTGGAGGAATTTTTACCTTATATTTTTGTATTTTTCTTATCTATGAAAATATTTATATTGGTCCTGTATGGTTATATAATTTCACTGGAAGGGATCATTTCTAAAAATTCATTATAATTTTATTATTGCATAACTGCAATGCAAAAAAAAAAAAAAAATTGACAATGCTGGCCAGGCGCGGTGGCTCACGCTTGTAATTCCAGCACTTTGGGAGGCAGAGGCGGGTGTATCACGAGGTCTGGAGATCGAGACCATCCTGGCTAGCATGGTGAAACTCTGTCTCTACTAAAAATACAAAAAAATTAGCTGGGCGTCTGTAGTCCCAGCTACTTGGGAGGCTGAGGCAGGACAATGGCGTGAACTCAGGAGGCAGAGCTTGCAGCGAGCCGAGATCGCACCACTGCACTCCAGCCTGGGCGACAGAGCGAGACTCCGTCTCAAAAAAAAAAAATTGACAATGCTGTAGGACAAATTGGAAAGTGAAATGAGCAACATAACTTCAAAAGTAGAGTGCTTAAAACAAATTTAGAGCTTATTGCTCTGGCTGGAGATTTCCAAAAGCTTTATAATATGAGCTGAGGTATATTTTTCTTTTAGGCTTAAGTTTAAGGGAAACAATAGGCTTGTTTTATTTTTGTCTTTTTTCACAGTCTGGCGCTATGAATTTCATACGACTCTTTTTAAACTTGTGAATATATAAAAGAGTGCTAATGACACTCTCTATCGGCCCAAAAGACTTAGCCATCTTCCCAGATGCAACAGTGACAGTAATAGTGTCTCATCCAAAACTGGGCAGAAGCTTACACTAAAGTGAAATGATCTGTGGTTAGTTTCCTGTCTAGTTGTTTGAACACAACTCTGAACTCAGTATTTATAGAGAACTTAGTTTTGGGCCATTTACATTTGAAGATATTATTGATTTAACCAGATGCTCCAAACCAAGGGAGTTTTTTTTTTAGTAGTACAAAATATAATCATTTTTGCTAATTCTTATACTCTACTTTCATATAAAATAACATATAACTTGTTATTTTAGTTGCCTGGCTTAACATTTAGTTCATTTATTCTGTGTTCCACAGTAAAATTTCTTTGTTACTTGGGAGACAATGGTAATAGATATCTTTAATTTTCTACCCCAGGTTATTCTTGTTTAGTATAGCTTAAATAAAAATATATGAAGCAGACAAATATTGAAAATATATTGTTTGTCACATTGTAAGATATTACCTATATTATAAGTTGATTTTGGAAATAATTACCTAATCACCTAACTTGAATACCATTTACTTAGAGAATGAGATGTGTTCTCTAGCTAGAGACAGACAATTATGTTCTTCAAAAAGATGAAGAGGATCAAAAAATTATATAACAGTTTGGTAGCATGGTAGGCATCTGGTAGAAGAGAAAGGAAAAAACACTAGGCAGAGGGTATAGTATATGTAAAGAAACAGGGGAATGAAATTATTCATGGAACTTTTAGAATATAAGGGGATATTTTTTGGGCTATTGTAGAATATGAAGTTAGTATCGTAGATAGTGTCTTGAACATGAATGCCTTAAATGGCACATAAGGAAATTGGACTCTACTGAAAATGGTGAAGAAGCATAAATGAATACGGGAAGTTACTGATTAAATTGCATTTAGGGGCAGTCATTTTGCAGTTTAATGAGTGGATTAGAGTATAGTATGAATGATGGCCAAGAAATCATTTAGCAAATGTTCTAATATTTCTGGTGAGAGACAATGAATGGTTATTACCATGTCAGTGGCATTGGTATTTTAGAGGAGAGGACTAATGCAAGTAAGATTGCATATAATAAGTATAACCATAATTGGATCCCCCAATTCATCTATGCAAGTACAAAGTACAAGTACAAGGAAAGACACAGCTTAGCATCAAATCCCATGACCAAAGTTTGGAGAGTGTAGAGAAATTGTCACTAGTGAAATACAGCTTTGAAAACAGGTTATGTTAATTTAGGTTGCATTATTATTAATAGAAATACATTTTCTGAAATTAGCACCATGGTGGTCCAGTATCTGCTGTATTTTAGTCTAGCCACACCTAATGTATTGAGTTTTATTCTGGCCCTGCATTTAGAAATGATGTCAATATACTGGAGCTCATAAAGAAGAGAGTGACTAAACGACTTGAGTTTTTTTGGTATAGAAGTGTGAAGACTCTGGGTAACATACTACCTTCATATATTTGAAGGTATATCAAATAGATTTATTTGATTTCATTACAAGATAATTGCTAGGTACTTCCAGAGAGATAGATCTTAGTTTAATAGACATTTCTTAGGTGTCTATCATATGTGAGGCACTATGTTAAGTTTTAATGATACAAAAATGAAATAAAGATGGTCCTTCCCTCAAGTAACTAGCTCAGAGTTTAATGGAATAGAAATAATGAAGAACTTTATAAGAGGAACATTTTTCCAAAGATAAATTTGGTTTTTAGAGGTGGTAAAAGGAGTTGAATACAACATAGGTGGATGTTTGAACAATCTCTAACATTCTTTTTTTTTTTTTTGAGACGAAGTCTCACTCTGTCGCCAGACTAGAGTGCAGTGGTGCGATTTCAGCTCACTGCAACCTCCAACTCCCTGGTTCAAACGATTCTCCTGCCTCAGCCTCCTGAGTAGCTGGGATTACAGACATGTGCACCACCACGCCCAGCTAATTTTTTTGTATTTTTAGTAGAGACAGGGTTTCATCATGTTGGCCAGGACGGTCTTGATCTCCTGACCTCATGATCTGCCTGCCTCGGCCTCCCAAAGTTCTGGCGTGAGCCACTGTGCCCAGCCAACATTCTTAAATTCTGTTAGTTTGAAGCAGGATTTTCTTTTTTAAAAAACGTTTATTTTAAGTTTGGGGGTATATGTGCAGGTTTGTTATGTAGGTAAACTTGTGTCACAGGGGTTTGTTGTACAGATTATTTCATCACCCAGGTATTAAGCCTAGTACCCAGTAGTTATTTTTTCTGCTCTGCTCCTTCTTCCCACTCTCCCCACTCTAGTACACCCCAGTGTCTGTTGTTCCATTCTTTGTGTTCATGAGTTCTTGTCATTTATCTCCCACTTACAAGTGAGAACATGGGTGTTTGGTTTTCTGTTCCTGCTTTAGTTTGGTAAGGATAATAGCCTCAGCTCCATCCATGTTCCCATAAAAGACATGATATTCTTTTTTAATGCCTGCATAGTATTCTATGGTGTATATATACCACCTTTTCTTTCTTTTCATTTTTTTTTTTTTTGAGACAGAGTATTGCTCTTGTTGCCCAGTCTGCAGTGCAGTGGCATGATCTTGGCTCACCGCGGCCTCCACCTCCTGGGTTCAAGTGATTCTCCTGCCTCAGCCTCCCATACATTTTCTTTATCCAGTCTGTCATTGATGTGCATTTAGGTTGATTTAATGTTTTTTCTATAGTGAATGGACATTTGCATGCATGTGTCTTTATGGCAAAATGATTTATATTCCCCTGGTTATATACCTAGTAATGGGATTATTGGATCAAATGGTAGTTCTGCTTTTGGCTTTTTGAGAAATTGCCATACTGCTTTCCACAATAGTTGAACTAATTTACACTCCCCAAAACAGTGTATAAGCGTTCCCTTTCCTCTGAAACCTCACCAGCCTCTGTTATTTTTGTTTACTTTTTAATAATAGTCATTCTGACTGGTGTGAGATAGTATCTCCTTGCGATTTTGATTTGTATTTCTCTAATGATCAGTAATATTGAACTTTTTTACATATGCTTGTTGGCCACATGTGTGTCTTTTAAAAAGTGTGTGTTCATGTCCTTTGCTCACTTCTTAATGGGGTTGTGATATGGTTTGGCTGTGTCCCCACCCAAATCTCATCTTGAATTCCCATGTGTTGTGGGAGGGACCCAGTGGGAGGTAATTGGAACATGGGGACAGGTCTTTCCCATGCTGTTCTTGTGATAGTGAATAAGTCTCATGAGATCTGATGGTTATAAAAAGGGGAGTTTAGCCGTACAAGCTCTCTCTCTCTTTGCCTGCCACTATCCACATATGACTTGTTCTTCCTTTCACCATGATTGTGAGGCCTCCCCAGCCATGTGGAACTGTATGTCCATTAAATCTCTTTCTTTTGTAAATTCTCTAGTCTCGGGTATGTCTTTATCAGGAGTGTGAAAAAAGACCAATACAGTAAATTTGTACCAGTAGAGTGGGGCCCTGCTGCATTCCAAAAATGTGGAAGCAACTTTGGAACTGGTTAATGGGCAGAGGTTGGAACAGTTTGATGGCCCAGAAGTCAGGAAAATGTGGGAAAGTTTGGAACTGCCTAGAGACTTGTTGAATGGCTTTGATCAAAAGCCTGATAGCAATATGGACAATAAGGTTCAGGCTGAGGTGGTCTCAAATGGAGATGAGGAACTTGTTGGGAACTGGAGCAATGGTCACTCTTGTTATGTTTTAGCAAAGAGACTGGTGGCATTTTACCCCTGCCCTAGAGATTTGTGGAACTTTGAACTTCAGAGAGATGATTTAGGGTATCTGGTTGAAGAAATTTCAAAGCAAAGCATTGAAGAAGTGACTTGGATGCTGTTAAAAGCATTCCATTTTAAAAGGGATACAGAGCATGAAAGTTTGGAAAATTTGCAACCTGACAATGCAATAGAATAGGAAATCCCATTTTCTGAGAAGAAATTCAAGCCAGCTGCAGAAATTTGCATTAGAAATGAGGATCCCTATGTTAATCCCCAAGACAATGGGAAAAATGTCTCCAGGGTATGTCAGAGGTTTTCATGGCAGCCCCTCCCATCATGGGCCTGGAGGCCTAGGAAGAGAAAATGGTTTCATGTGCTGGGCCCAAGGTCCCTGTGCTGTGGTGAAGTCTAAGGACTTGGTGCCCTGCATCCCAGCCACTCCAGCCATGAATAAAACTGGCCAAGCTACAGCTCAGGCCCTGGCTTTGGAGGGTGCAAGCCCCATGTCTTGACAGTTTCTATGTGGTGTTTAGGCTGCAGTTGCACAGAAGTCAATAATTGAGGTTTGGGAACTTCTGCCTAGATATCAGAGGATGTATAGAAATGCCTGGATATCCAGGCAGAAGTTTGCTGCAGGGGCAGAACTCTCATGGAGAACCTCTGCTAGGGCAGTGCAGAAGGGAAATGTGGGTTGGGAGTCCCCACACAGAGTCCCTACTGGGGCATCACCTAGTGGAGCTGTGAGAGGAGGGCCATCATCCTCCAGACCCCAGAATGGTAGATCCACCTATAGCTTGCACTGTGCAGCTGGAAAAGCCACAAGACACTCAATATCAGCCCGTGAGAGCAGCTGGGTGGGACACTGTACTCTGCAAAGCCACAGGGGCAGAGCTGCCTAAGATAATGGGAATCCTCTCTTACATCAGCATGACCTGGATGTGAGACATGGAGTCAAAGGAGATCATTTTCGAGCTTTAAGATTTGACTGCCCTGCTGGATTTCGACTTGCATGGGGCCTGTAGCCCCTTTGTTTTGGCCAGTTTCTCCCACTTGGAATGGCTGTATTTACCCAATGCCTATACCCCCATTGTATCTAGGAAATAACTAACTTGCTTTTGATTTTACAGGATCATAGGTGGAAGGGACTTGCCTTGTCTCAATTGAGACTTTGGACTGTGGACTCTTGAGTTAATGCTGAAATGAGTTAAGACTTTGGGGGACTGTTGGGAAGGCAGGGTTGGTTTTGAAGTGTGAGGATATGAGATTTGGGAGGGCCTATGGGCAGAATGATATGGTTTGGCTGTGTCCCCACCCAACTCTCATCTTGAATTATAGCTCCTGTAATTCCCACATGTCGTGGGAGGGACCCAGTAGGAGGTAACTGAATCATGGGGGCAGATCTTTCCCACACTGTTCTCGTGGTAATGAATAAGTCTCATGAGATATGATGTTTTTAAAAAGGGGAGTTCCCCTGCACATATTCTCTCTTGTCTGCCGGTATGTAAGACATGCCTTTCGCCTTCTGCCATGATTGTGAGGGCTCCCCAGCCATGTGGAACTGGAAGTCTATTAAACCTCTTTTTATTTATAAATTATCCAGTCTTAGGTATGTTTTTATCAGCAGCATGAAAATGAACTAATACATGTTGTAAGAAAGGGGTCCAGCTTCAGTCTTCTGCATATGGCTAGCCAGTTATCCCAGCATCATTTATTGAATAGGAAGCCCTTTCCCCATTGCTTGCTTTTGTCAGCTTTGTCAAAGATCAGATGGTTGTACATGTATGGTCTTATTTCTGGGTTCTCTGTTCTGTTTCATTTTTCTAAGTGTCTTTTCTTTCTTTCTTTTTTTTTTTTTTTTTGACAGAATCTCGCTCTGTCACCCAGGCTGGAGTGCAGTGGCGCGATCTTGGCTCACTGCAACCTGTGCCTCCCAGATTCAAGTGATTCTTCTGCCTCAGCCTCCTGAGTAGCTGGAACTACAGGTGCGCCACCACGCCTGGCTAATTTTTGTATTTTTAGTAGAGATGGGGTTTCATCATATTGGCCAGGCTGGTCTCGAACTCCTGACCTAGTGACCCACCCACCTCAGCCTCCCAAAGTGCTGGGATTACAGGCGTGAGGCACCGCGCCCTGCCTATGTGTCTTTTCTTGTATCTATATCATGCTGTTTTGGTTATTGTAGCCGTGTAGTATAGTTTGAAGTTGGTAGCATGATGCTGCCAGCTTTGTTCTTTTTGCTTAGGATTGCCTTGGCTATTCAGGCTCTTTTTTGGTTCATAATGAATTTTTACATAGTTTTTTCTAGTTCTGTGAAGAATGTCAATGGCAGTTTAATGGGAATAGCATTGAATTTATGAATTTCTTTGGGCAGTATGGCCATTTTAACAATATTGATTCTTCCCTTCCATGAACATGGACTTTTTAAAAATGTATTTGTGTTCTCTGATTTCTTTGAGCAGTGGTTTGTAATTTTCCTTGCAGAGATCTTTTACCTCCCTACTTAGCTGTATTCCTAGGTATTTTATTCTTTTTGTTTCAACTGTGAATGGGACTGCATTCCTGATTTGGCTTCAGCTTGGCTGTTGTTGGTGTATAGAAATGCTAGTGATTTTTATACATTGATTTTGTATCCTGAAACTTTGCTGAAGTTGTTTATCAGCTTAAGAAGCTTTCAGGTTGAGACAATGTGGTTTTCTAGATATAGAATCTAGAAACCACAGGGATAGTTTGCAGACTATTTCAATGCCCTTTATTTCTTTCTCTTGCCTGATTTCCTTGGCCAGAACTTCCATTACCATGTTGAATATGAGTCTTGAGAGAGGGCATCCTTGTCTTGTGCCATTTTTTGCGGGGGGGAATGTGTTCAGCTTTTTCCCATTTAGTGTGATGTTGGCTGTGAGTTTGTCGTACATGGGTCTTATTATTTTGAGGTATCTTCCTTCAATACCTAGTTTATTGAGAGTTTTTAACATGAATGGATGTTGAATTTTCTGATAAACCTTTTTTGCACCTATTGAGATAATCATGTGGTTTTTCTCTTTAGTTCTGTTTATGTGATGAATCATATTTATTGATTTGCATATGTTGAACCAACCTTGAGTCCTGGGAATTAAGCCTACTTGATCATGGTGCATAAGCTTTTTGATGCGCTGCTCGATTTGATTTGCAGTATTTTGTTGAGGATTTTTGCATCAATGTTCATCAATGATATTGGCCTGAAGTTTTCTTTTTTTGTTTTATCTCTGCCAGGTTTTGCTATCAGGATGAGGCTGGCCTCATAGATTGCATTAGGGAGGAGTCTTTCCTTTTCAGTTTTTGGAATAGTTTCAGTAGGAATGGTACATGCTCTTCTTTGTACATCTGGTAGAATTCAGCTGTGAATCTGTCTGGTCCTGGGCTTTTCTTTTTGTTGGGCGGGGGGTGGTTGGTAAGTGGTAGTACTCAATTTCAGTACTCATTATTGGTCTGTTCAGGGATTCAGTTTCTTCCTGGTTTAGTCTTGTGAGGGTGTATGTGTCCAGAAACTTATCGATTAGTTCTAGATATTCTAGTTGATATGCATAGAGGTGTTTATAATATTCTCTGATGGTTATTTGTATTTCTGCGGGTTTAGTGGTAATATCCTCCTTATTGTTTCTGATTGTGTTTATTTGAATCTTCTCTCTTTTCTTCTTTATTATTCTAGTTAAAGGTTTATCTATTGTATTTTTTTTTCAAAAAAAGTTTCTTTATTTGTTGATCTTTTGAATGGTTTTTTGGTTCTCTATCTCTTTCAGTTCAGCTCTGATTTTGTTTTTTCCTTGTCTTCTGCTAGCTTTGGGATTTGTTTGCTCTTGGTTCTCTAGTTCTTTTAGTTGTGATGTTAGATTTTTAAATTGAGATCTTTGTAACTTTTTGATATGGGTATTTAATGCTATAAATTTCCCACCTAACACTGCCTTAGCCATGTCCCAGAGCTTCTGGTGTGTTGTATTTTTATAGTTAGTTCTTCTTATTGAATAGAAATAAGAGAAATAAGATCTTTTTCAGACAAGCAAAGGCTGAGGGAATTTGTTACCACCTTATCTGCCTTACAAGAGCTCCTGATGGAAGCACTAAATATGGAAAGACCGTTACCAGCCACTACAAAACACACTGAAGTACATAGACCAGTTACACTATAATGCAACCACATAAACAAGTCTGCAAAATAACCAGATGATAAAGGGTGAAAATATACTCTTTACCATTGTGTAATGCCCATCTTTGTCTTTTTTTTTTAATCTTTGTTGTTTTAAAGTCTGTTTTGTCAGAAAGTAGGATAGCAATCCCTGCTCTTTTCTGGTTTTCATTTGCTTCGTAGATTTTCCTCCATCCCTTTATTTTGAGCCTATGTGTGACACTGCATGTAAGATGGGTCTCTTGAAGACACCATACCAATAAGTCTTAGTCTTTTATCCAGCTTGCCACTCTGTGTCTTTTATTTAGGGCATTTAGCCTATTTACATTTAAGGTTAGTATTGATAATGTGTTGATTTGATCCTGTCCTCATGATGTTAGCTGGTTATTTGCAGACTTGTTTATGTGGTTGCTTTATAGTGTACCTGGTCTGTGTACTTCAGTGTATTTTGCAGTGGCTGGTAATGTTCTTTCCTTTCCATATTTAGTGCTTCCTTCAGGAGCTCTTGCAAGGCAGGTCTGGTGATAATGAATTCCCTCAGCATTTGCTAGTCTGAAAAGGGTCTTATTTCTCCTTCACTTAGTTTGGCCAGATATGAAATTTTGAGTTGTCTTTAAGAATGTTGAATATTGGCCCCCCAGCCTCTTCTGGCTTGTAGGGTTTCCAATGAGAGTTTCACTGTTAGTCTGATGGGCTTCCCTCTATAGGTGACCTGGCCTTTATTTCTCACTGTCCTTAACATTTTTTCTTTTTCATTACGACCCTGGAGAACCAAAGCCAACTGGGCACAGAAATGGACCCCAGCACAGCACAATTCCTCTATGAAAGTATTTCCAGACTGCTTATTTTAGCAGGTCCCCAATCCTATTTCTGCTGACTAGGTGAGACCTCCCAACAGTGTCTTCAGTCGCCTCCTACAGGTGCGTTTGGGCTGGCCACAGGTCCATACCTCCCTGGTACAGAGCTCTCAGAGGAAGGGGAAGACTGCTATCTTTGCGTTTCTCAGCCTTCACTGCTGATACCTCCAGGTACCCAAAAATTCGAGGTGCCTAGGGACTAGAGCAAATGAACCCCCAGCAAACCACAGCAGCCATATGGAGAAGTGGCCAATTTGTATAAAAAAAAATATCCAAAGGTCAGCAATCTGAAGGATTGAAGGTGGATAAGCCCACAAAGATGAGAAAGAATCAGTGCAAGACACTGAAAGCTCAAAAAGCCAGAGTACCCTCTTTCTTCCAAATGACTGTATCACCTCTCCAGCAAGGGTTCAGAACTGGGCTGAGGCTGAGATGGCTGAAATGACACAAGTAGAATTCAGAATTTGGATAAAAACGAACTTCACTGAGCTAAAGGAGTACCTTGAAACCAAATGCAAGGCAGCTAAATATCATGATAAAACATTGCAGGAGCGAACAGACAAAATTGCCAGTATAGAGAAGAATGCAACCAACCTGACAGAGCTGAAAAACACACCATAAGAATTTCATAATGCAGTCACAAGTATTAATAACAGAATAGATCAGGCAGATTAAAGAATCTCAGAGCTTAAAGACTGTCTCTCTGAAATAAGTCAGGCAGACAAGCACAGAGAAGAAAGAATGAAAAGGAATGAAGAAAATCTCCAAAAAGCATGGGAATCTACAATTGATTTGTGTACCTGAAAGTGCTGAGGAGAATGGAACCAATATGGAAAACGTATTTCAGGGTATCTTCCATGAGCACTTTCCCCACCTCGATAGACAGGGCAGCATTCAAATTCAGTAAATTCAGAGAACCCTAGTTAAATATCCCCAAGATGCATAATTTTACTTTTTTCTTTAAAAAACCTTACATATCAATAGAATATACTAACTGTTCTATGTTGCTTTACAAATAATTATTCTTTAAGAATCCTGTGAGATTGGCAGAATTGTTTTATTCATTTTGCAAATGAAGATCATTCACACAGAATTAAGTAAGATACCCAAGGTAACAGCTTCTAAGCAGCAGAGGTAGGATTTTTCTGCCTTTAGTTCTTGAGTAATAGCATCAGAAAACTTTTCTGGAATTAACTTACTATTTCCTAATAGTTTATTAATAGCTGTTTTTCAAGACAGCATAGTGTAAGTTAAGTAAAATTAGGCTTTAGTAAATATTTTAAAAGAAAATTCTAGCCTAGCCAATTTCTCTGATATTTGCATATCTTCCTTCAGACACCCTATAGCAAGACTCTCAAGCAGGACCTGAGGTGTTAATGAAAAAAGAGTGCATTAAAAGTGAGTTGAAGTTTAAGATGTTAAATTTTATGTTACATTTATTTTACCATAATAATGAAGGTGATTTCAAAAAGAGTAAGGAAAAGAAAACATGAAATATACTGGTCTATATGAATGTTTCTCTCTCTCTGTTTTTTTTCTCGAGAGATAGTGTTCTCACTGTGTCACCCAGTCTGAAGTGCAGTATTGACTGCAGTGGCACAATCACAGATTGCTGCAACCTCAAACTGCTGGACTTAAGTGATCCTCCCACCTCAGCTTCCTGAGTAACTAGGTCTACAGGCACATGCCACGACAGTTAACTAATTTTTAAATTTTCTGTAGAGATGGGGTCTCTCTATGTTGCACAGGCTGGTCTCAAACTCCTGTCCTCAAGTGATCCTACTACCTCGGTTTCCCAGAGCACTGGGATGATGTGTGAGCCACTATGCCCAGCCAACTTTTTTTTTTTTTTTCCACAAAGATTGATAGCTACAGGCTCAAGCTTCAGAATCATCACATTTTTCTTTCTGGTGTTTTTCTGATTGAGTTTTAATATATCTTCATAGCCTACCATCCTAGGTAAATTGGTGTAATACAATTCTAATTTAATTGTTTCCTTTGCATTGTTTAGTCTGTTTTATTATCACGTGTACAGCTTTAGAATAACATGAGCTCCTAGAATTTCAAGTTCACTGCTTTCAATTTAGTTCAATAAACATTTATTGAGTACCTAATGTGTACTCAATGATCTAACCACATGGTGAGGTTATAAAAATGAGATTGCTTCTCTGGGGAAGAATATAGTGACATGATTTGAAGTATTGCAAATTTAATCACATAAATTGCATTAGTAGTCCAGCTGTCCTAAAAATGTTCTTTAGGAATAATTCACCACTGAAATAAATTAATAATTTTAATATATTGCTAAATAGATTTACTCTAGGTTTAATTATTTGCTGTCATTAAAGACCTATGTAAGAGCACAATCTGATACAATTTTTGTTCTTATATGCATATTAGATAAGAGCAAATTGTTAATTCAGTGTTCATATGAGAGGAGTTAACATGCAGCAAAATTTATTGAAAAAGCTAGTTATCAAAATAATTGTTTAAAATTTAGCTGGGAACCCACCACAGCTCAGCAAAGCCACTGTAGCCAGACTACCTCTCTTGATTCCTCTTCTCTGGGCAGGGCGTCTCTGAAAGAAAGGCAGCAGCCCCAGTCAGGGGCTTATAGATAAAACTCCCATCTCCCTGGGACAGAGCACCTGGGGGAAGGGGCGGCTGTGGGCACACCTTCAGCAGACTTAAATATTCCTGCCTGCCAGCTCTGAAGAGAGCAGTGGATCTCCCAGTACAGCACTCAAGTTCTGCTACGGAACAGACTGCCTCCTCAAGTGGGTCCCTGACCCCCATGCCTTCTGACTGGGAGACACCTCCCAGCAGGGGTTGACAGGCACCTCATACAGGAGAGCTCTGGCTAGCATTGGGCAGGTGCCCCTCTGGGACAAAGCTTCCAACAGAAGGAGCAGGCAGCAGTCTTTGCTGTTCTGCAGCCTCTGCTGGTGATACCCAGGCAAACAGGGTCTGGAGGGGACCTCTAGCAAACTCCAGCAGACTTGCAGTAGAGGGGCCTGACTGTTAGAAGGAAAACTAACAAAGAAAAAGTGATAACATGAACAAAAAGGACACCCACAGAAAAACCCCATGCAAAGGTCATCAGCATCAAAGATAAAAGATAGATAAATCCACGGAGATGAGGAAAAACTAACGCAAAAATGCTGAAAATTCCAAAATCAGAATGCCTCTTCTCCTCCAAAGGAACACAGTTCCTCATAAGCAAGAGAACAAAACTGGATGGAGAATGAGTTTGATGAATTGACAGAAGTAGGCTTCAGAAGATGGGTAATAACAAACTCCTCTGAGCTAAAGGAGCATGATCTAACCCAATGAAAGGAAGCTAAGAACCTTGATAAAAGGTTACAGGAACTGCTAACTAGAATAACCAGTTTAGAAAAGAACATAAGGGACCTGATGGAGCTGAAAAACACAGCACGAGAACTTTGTGAAGCATACACAAGAATCATTAGCCGAATTGATCAAGCAGGAGAAAGGATATCAGAGACTGAAGATCAACTTAATGAAATAAAGCATGAAGACAAGATTAGAGAAAAAAAGAATGAAAAGGAATGAACAAAGTCTCCAAGAAATACAGGACAATGTGAAAAGACCAAATCTATGATTGATTGATGTACCTAAAAGGGACAGCGAGAATGGAACCAAGTTGGAAAACACACTTCAGGATATTATCCAGGAGAACTTCCCCAACCTAGCAAGACAGGCCAGCATTCAAATTCAGGAAATACAGAGAACACCACAAAGATAGTCTTTGAGAAGAGTAACCCCGAGACACATAATCATCAGATTCACCAATGTTGAAATGAAGGAAAAAATGTTAAGGGCAGACAGAGAGAAAGGTCAGGTTACCCACAAAGAGAAGCCCATCAGACTAACAGCAGATCTCTCTGCAGAAACCCTACAATCCAGAAGAGAGTGGGGGCCAATATTCAACATTTTTAAAGAAAAGAATTTTCAATCCAGAATTTCATATCCAGCCAAACTAAACTTCTTAAGTGAAGGAGAAATAAAATCCTTTAAAGATAAGCAAATGCTGAGGGATTTTGTCACTACCAGACCAGCCTTACAAGAGCTCCTGAAGGAAGCTCTAAATATAGAAAGGAAAAAGCGGTATCAGCCACTGCAAAAACATATCAAAATGTAAAGACCATTGACACTCTGAAGAAACTGCATCAACTAATGTGCAAAATAACCAGCTAACATCATAATGACAGGATCAAATTCACACATAACAATATTAACCTTAAATGTAAATGGGCTAAATGCCCCAATTAAAAGACACAGACTGGCAAATTGGATAAAGAGTCAAGACCATCTGTGTGCTGTATTCAGGAGATCCATCTCACGTGCAAAGACAAACATAGGCTGAAAATAAATGGATGGAGGAATATTTACCAAGCAAATGGAAAGCAAAAAAAAAACAAAAAAAAAGCAGGGGATGCAATCCTAGTCTCCGATAAAACAGAATTTAAACCAACAAAGATCAAAAAAGACAAAGAAGGGGATCAATGTAACAAGAAGAGCCAACTATCCTAAATATATATTCACCCAATACAGGAGCACCCAGATTCATAAAGCAAGTTCTTAAAGACCTACAAGAAGACTTAGAGTCCCACACAATAATAGTGGGAGACTTTAACACCCCACTGTAACTATTAGACAGATCAACAAGACAGAAAATTAACAAGGATATCCAGGACTTGAACTTAGCTCTGGACCGAGCAGACCTAATAGACATCTACAGAACTCTCCACCTCAAATCAACAGAATATACACTCTTCTCAGCACCACATAGGACTTACTCAAAATTGACCATACATTTGGAAGTAAAACACTGCTCAGCAAATTCAAAAGAATGGAAATCATAACAAACAGTCTCTCCGACCATAGCACAATCAAATTAGAACTCAGGATTAAGAAACTCACTCAAAACAACACAACTGCATGGAAACTGAACAACCTGCTCCTGAAAGACTACTGGGTAAATAACAAAATTAAGGCAGAAATAAATAAGTTCTTTGAAACCAATGAGAACAAAGACACAACGTACCAGAATCTCTGGGACACAGCCAAAGCAGTGTGTAGAGGAAAATTTATAGCACGAAATGCCCAACAGAAAAAGCAGGAAAGATCTAAAATGGACACCCTAACATCACAATTAAAAGAACTAGAGAAGTAAGAGCAAACACATTCAAAAGCTAGCAGAAGACAACAAATAACTAAGATCAGAGCAGAACTGAAGGAGATAGAGACATGAAAAACCCTTCAAAAAATCAGTGAATCCAAGAGCTGGTTTTTTGAAAAGATTAACAAAATAGATAAACTGCTAGCCAGACTAATAAAGAAGAAAAGAGAGAAGAATCAAATAGACACAATAAAAAATGATAAAGGGGATATAACCCCCAATCTCACAGAAATACAAACTACCATCAGGGAATACTATAAACACCTCTACGCAAATAAACTAGAAAATCTAGAAGAAACGGATAAATTCCTGGACAAATACAACCTCCCAAGACTAAACCAGGAAGAAGTTGAATCTCTTAATAGACCAATAACAAATTCTGAAATTGAAGCAGTAATTAATAGCCTACCACCCAAAAAAAGTCCAGGACCAGACGGATTCACAGCCAAATTCTACTAGAAGTACAAAAAGGAACTGGTATCATTCCTTCTGAAACTATTCCAACCAATAGTAAAAGAGGGACTCCTCCCTAACTCATTTTATGAGGCTAACATCATCCTGATATGATGACCTGGTAGAGACACAATAAAAAAAGAAAATTTCAGGTCAATATCCTTGATGAACATCGATGCAAAAAATCCTCAATAAAATACTGGCAAACCAAATCCAGCAGCCCATCAAAAAGCTTATCCACCATGATCAAGTTGGGTTCATCCCTGGGATGCAACGCTGGTTCAATATATGCAAATCAACAAATGTAATTCATCATATAAACAAAAGCAATGACAAAAGCCACATGATTATCTCAATGGATGCAGAAAAGGCCTTCGATAAAATTCAGCACCCCTTCATGCTAAAAACACTCAATAAGCTAGGTGTTGATGGAACATATCTCAAAATAATAAGAGCTATTTATGACAAACCCACAGCCAATATCATACCAAACGGGCAAAAGCGGGAAGCATTCCCTTTGAAAACCGGCACAAGACAAGGTTGCCCTCTCTCACCATTCCTATTCAGCATAGTATTGGAAGTTCTCGCCAGGGCAATCAGGCAGGAGAAAGAAATAAAGGGTATTCAAATAGGAAGAGAGGAAGTCAGATTGTCTTTGTTTGCAGATGTCATGATTGTATATTTAGAAAACCCCATCGTCTCAGCCCAAAAACTCAAGCTGTTAAGCAACTTCAACAAAGTCTCAGGATACAAAATCAATGTGCAAAAATCACAAGCATTCCTATACACCAATAATAGACAAACAGAGAGCCACATCATGAGTGAGCTCCGATTCACAATTGCTACAAAGAGAATAAAATACCTAGGAATCCAACTTACAAGGGATGTGAAGGACCTCTTCAAGGAGAACTACAAACCACTGCTCAAGGAAATAAGAGAGGACACAAACAAATGGAAACACATTCCATGCTTATGGATAAGAATATTCAGTATCATAAAAATGGCCATACTGTCCCAAGTAATTTATACATTGAATGCTACTCCCATCAAGCTACCACTGACTTTCTTCAAAGAATTAGAAAAAACTACTTTAAATTTCATGTGGAACCAAGAAAGAGCCCATGTAGCCAAGACAATATAAACAAAAAGAACAAAGCTGGAGGCATCACACTACCTGACTTTAAAGTATACTGCAAGCTACAGTAACCAAAATAGCATGGCACTGGTACCTAAACAGATATAAGACCAATGGAACAGAAGAGAGGCCTCAGAAATAACACCACACATCTACAACCATCTGTTCTGTGACAAACCTGACAAAAACAAGCAATGGGGAAAGGATTCCCTATTTAATAAATGATGTTGGGAAAACTGGCTAGCCATGTGCAGAAAACTGATACTGGACCCCTTCCTTACACCTTATACAAAAGTTAACTCAAAATGGATTAAAGACTTAAATGTAAGACATAAATCATAAAAACTGTAGAAGAAAACCTAGGCAGTACCATTCAGCACATAGGCATGGGCAAAGACTTTATGACTAAAACACCAAAAGCAATTGCAACGAAAGCCAAAATTGACAAATGGGATCTAATTAAGCTAAAGAGCTTCTGCACAGCAAAAGAAACTAACATCAGAGTGAACAGGCAGCCTACAGAATGGGAGAAAATTTTTGCAATTTATCCGTCTGACAAAGGGCTAATATCCAGAATCTACCAAATTTACAAGAAAAAAAACAACCCCATCAAAATGTGGGTGAAGGATATGAACAGACACTTCTCAAAAGAAGACACTTATGCCTCCAAGAAACATGAAAAAAGGCTCATCATCACTGGTCATCAGAGAAATGCAAATGAAAACCACAATGAGATACTATCTCATGCCAGTTAGAATGGGGATCATTAAGAAGTCAGGAAACAACAGATGCTAGAGAGGATGTGGAGAAATAGGAATGCTTTTACACTCCTGGTGGGAGTGTAAATTAGTTCAGCCATTGTGGAAGACAGTGTGGTGATTCCTCAAGGATCTAGAACTAGAAATACCATTTGACACAGCAATGCCATTACTGGGTATATACCCAAAGGACTATAAATCATTCTACCATAAAGACACATGTACATGTATGTTTATTGCAGCACTATTCACAATAGCAAAGACTTGGAACCAACCTGAATGCCCATCAGTGATAGACTGGATAAAGAAAATGTGGCTTGGGAGGCTGAGGTGGGTGGATCACCTGAGGTCAGGAGTTCGAGACCAGCTTGACCAACATGGTGAAACTGCGTCTCTACTAAATACAAAAAATTAGCCAGATATGGTGGTGTGTGCCTGTAGTCCCAGCTACTTGGGAGGCTGAGGCAGGGGAATCGCTTGAACCTGGGAGACGGAGGTTGCAGTGAGCTGAGATTGTGCCGTTGCACTCCAGCCTGGGAAAAAAGATTGAAACTGTCTCAGAAAAAAAAAGAAAAAAGAAAAAAAAGAAAATGTGGCACATATACACCATGTAATACTATGCAGCTATAAAAAGGGATGAGTCATGTCCTTTGTAGGGACATGGTGAAGTGGGAAACCGTCATTCTCAGCAGACTAACACAGGAACAGAAAACCAAACATTGTATATTCTCACTCATAAGTGGGAGTATAACAGTGAGAACACATAGACACAGGTAGGGGGTCATCACACACCAGGGCTCGTTGGGGTGTGGGAGGCTAGGGGAGGGGTAGCATTAGGACAAATACCTAATGTAGATGAAGTGTTGATGGGTGCAGCAAACCACCATGGCACATATATACCTGTGTAACAAACCTGTACATTCTGCATATGTATCCCAGAACTGAAAGTAGAATAATAATAATAAAAAAATTTAGTTGGATGTGGTGGCTCACTCCTGTAATTTGAGCTATCTGGGAGGCTTACTTGAGGCCAGGCATTCCACACCAGTCTGGGCAACACAGAGAGACCTGGTCTTAGATAGATAGATAGATAGATAGATAGATAGATAGATAGATAGATAGATAGATAAAGAAATCAAGCCAGTCATGGTGGCACATAGTAGTACTCCCAGCTCTCCAGGCGGCTGACACAGGAAGATTGCTTTAGCCCAAGAGTTCAAAGCTGCAGTGAGCTGTGATTGTGCCACTGCATCCACCTGGAGGACAATAGACTGAGACCCCATCTCTAAAAAAATAAAAATAATTAAAATTCATCATAAAATTGTCAGTGAATCTTATTTGAAGCCAAGTTATGAATTTTCTAAAAGTATATGTCACATGAGAGTTTCTATATTAGGTAAGAGTATTCTACTTAAAATTATAATATTTAAACACTAAGTATTAAACGCTAAAAATTATAATACTTAAAAATGATACTGGGGCCTTAGTGCTCTATGAAATTAAATTAGGCAGAGTGAGCTCTCTGATCTTTTAGTTCCATTATGATTAAAGTAATAATAACATGCAACCCCCAACAAGGTAGCTTTTTAGCATCCCCATTTATCAGTGGAGGAACTTAGGACCTTTATGGTTATGCACTCAGTCTGTGTTTCCATAGCCATGAATTGGTTAGCCCAAAAACCAATCTCAAGTCTCTGGCTATGGAATTTGTTCCCTTTAGTGCATAATATGTTATGTTTCTCATTGGCAGGATTGGCAGTGTCAGCAGCTCAGTTTGTTTGAATAGCTTAACCAAAATAGTGACATTTAGGAATTCTTCTGCCCATTTATTTTCCTTTAATCAAGGTTATTTATTTCTTTCAGTGGACTTTGGTTGCTAGTGAAATGATATCTTAAGTGAGATAAAATTTAGTTCCTTCTCTGATATGAATTTTTAAGATACAAAGGAGTAATTGTTTTTTCTTTTTTGAGATGGATTCTCATTCTGTTGTCCAGGCTGGAGTGTACTGGTGTGGACTCTGCTCATTGAAACCTCTGCCTCCCAGGTTCAATCCATTCTGCTGCTCTAGTCTCCCAAGGAGGTGAGATCACAGGCATGTGCCACCATGCCTGACTAATTTTTGTTTTTTTATTTGTATTTTTAGTAAGACAGGGTTTCACCATGTTGGCCAGGCTGGTCTCAAACTCCTGACCTCAAGTGATCCACCCGCCTTGGCCTCCCAAAGTGCTGGGATTACAGGCATGAGCCACCACACCCAGCCAAATTTTTATAGGTTGTTTTACAGTTACATCTTTTTACTCAGAGTTTATTGTAAGCAGATTTCAAGATTTGTAGGGAGAACCATCTATTCCATCCACATATAGTATTTGGAAGAAAAGACCAACTTTATAGATGAGCAGAAGGTATTGGCTACATCAGTAGTTTTATTTTTCCTGTCTTATAAAACTCTGTAAGTAATAAGATGAAAAGATGTAGTCTTCTCAGATTTCTTGTGTCTTTAGTTGTATGTGGCTTTTAAAGCAATTATATTATTACGTTCTTTCAAAATTTTGTCCTTCAAAATAGTTCTCTTGGAAAGCTATACAGTTTTCCCCTTAGCAATATATTTAGAGCCACTGTATGGATCCTTTTGTTTTGTGATGATAATTTATCATCCCAAACAGTGTCATTTCCCTTAATTATTCCTTCATCCAAGAAATATTTGTTAAATGCCCACAGAATGCAAGAGACTATGCTAAAGCAGTCTCCCATCTTTTTCATCATTCTTGACTCTAATGCAGGGTTCCTCACCCTTGGCACCATTGACATGTTGGGATGGATAATTCTTTGTTGTGGGGGCTGTTCTATGCACTTCAGAATGTTTAGCTGCATTCCTGGCCTCTACATATTCAGTGCCAGTAGTGTTCCCCCTCTCATAACTTGTGACAACCAAAACTGTTTCCAGGCATTGCCCAACATCGCTTGAAGAGAAAAATCATTCCCAGTTGAGAATCACTTTTTGTGTCTGAATTAAAACATTAAAAAATTTCAGATAGTAAATAATTGCTACCACTGAAATTAGTAAAATAATGGTTGTGAAAGCTGTTCTAAAAGGGAATTCCAAAAGTGTTTCAGAGAATGATTATCATTAATGTCTTACCTGCTATGATTATCTAAGATCTGATGTATGTATATATCAAATCGAACCACTTTATGCTCACATTTTGTCATTACTTGTTCTTGGTAAAAGGAGGCCTGTTTGCTTTGATCAGGACTTACTTAATCATCCTGAAATAATCTTCAACTTAAAAAATGTTTCAGTTATCTTTCAATATCTTCATGTTTTTATTTTTCTTTTCTATTTTGGATAGGAATGGCTAACCCAATGGTGAGGTTAGTCCATTGAAAACAATTGGTGCTCATTTGACAAAAAGTGTCCAGGATATTTTTAGGCATCAAATGCAAACATCAGGATATGTGACTCCCATGATGACTTTCAGAAAAGTTTTAGAATATTGACAGGGTCATAGGATCAAATGAAAGGTAAAGATAATTTGTTTGCTTGTGCCTTAAAAGAGCTAAATTAGTGAAATTGTCTTACATCACTTGAAGTTTAACATAAAATTTAAATATTATCACAAATTAAAAAGGTCTATTTGATCTTTCATCTGCTTTCATCTTTTACTTTAAATCATTGGAAACTTATGTGAAAACTGAAATTCTAGGAGTTCTAAGAAAGATGACTGATTGAGCTGATTGCTGTTCTTGAAATGCTCTCTGAAAAGGACGAAAAGAGCCAAGGATAGAGGTGTAAGCTTTAGCCATAAATGAAACAATAGCAGTGACCTTGGCTCCATTCCACTTATTGCAAAGGCTATTTTCTAGATATTGTTGTTATGGGATCTTTGGGGTGTTGCTTTTTTGGCTGGAAACCTCTGGCTGTTGGTGCCTTTGCCCAAGTTTTGCTTGTGCCCGCTTGGCTTTTTCCACCCACTCAGCCTGGTAGGCTGCGCTCTTCTCATGCTACTGATCTGGATCCCATGCCTCCAAGGGAGACTGCAAGTCAAGCGTGGAATTGGGAGGAGTGTATGAGCGAGCATGGGGTCCAGCCACTGTGCAGTCAGACTTGTCTGCTGCTGCCACACGGCAGGCAGCTCCAGGTGCTGGCATGGGTTCCAGCTCTCTGCAAGGCTGCAACTGGACCAGGTGCAAGGCAAGCAGCTTCCCCAGCTGGTACCAGGGAATGTGGTGGCACCCAGAAGCTTGTAGATGCCATGAAACACAGGGCCCCAAAGAGGGAATCACCACCCTGGCTCTGGGAGCTCCCAGGTCTGGGTTCCCCCAAGGGCCACAGCTCTTGTCTCCTTATCTTTGCCTGGAACGTGGCGAACAAGGGGTGTGTTTCAGCCCTGTTTGTGTTACAGCTCTTTTAGCCATGCCATTTGGTGGGTTCTGAGTTCTTGTCCTGTGACCAGGAAGATTGAGGTACACAGACAAGTGATGGGTGACCAAGAGGAAGAGGAGCTTTTCTGAGTGATAGAACAGCTCAGAGGAGATCTACGGGGTACAGCTCATTTCTATAGCCAGGGTGTTCCATGGAGTATTCAGCTTCTAGGAGAGGGTAGCTCCTCTTTGCAGGCAGGACATCCCAACATGTTTCAGCTCCCAACAGAGAGGGTAGCTCCTCTCTTCAGCTGGTTGTCCCATTGTCTGTCCAGCTATGGCTGAGCTCAGAGCTTTTGTGGGCCTCAGGGGAGGAAGTGTGTGCCAATTGGTCCATGGGTGGCCATGGGCAGGACTGGAAAAGGCACTGCAAGTTCCCACTCTGGTCTGTGGGACTGCCAGCCTAGCCCCCAGCCTTCAGTGCCTCCCTGGCCTGAAGGTACAGCCTCACCAGGGTCCCGCCCCCTTCCACCAGGGTGCCCGTCTGCCCCCTGCTGCCGACCATGGCACCCAGGCTGCTCAGGCTGCTCACGCCAAGGGTCACCTGCAAGCCAGTGCTGAGTTCCTCTCAGCACCCCCTCATGTTCCCCACAATGCTTGTTGGTGTTCAAAGTCCAGAGGGGGCCAAGGCAGCAGGGGGCTGGCGTGTCAGTGCTGCTCCCGAACATGTACACACCATGCCAGGCTATGACAGTGCCTGTGCTTAGCCCCAACCCTGCTCCGAGATGGGAGTGGGCACCAGGAGTGGGGAGAGGCCAGGTAATGGGAGCAGACACCCCTGAGGCTGCGGGGGCAGTGGAGGCCTTCCTGGGCCCCTGAGGGTGCAGAGTGCAGAGACACCCAAGTCCTGCGCTTGGGAGGGTGGGGCTCCCGTCTGCTCCATGGAGCATGCTGGCAGCCCTGGCCACATCTTTCAGCCTGGGGTGGGGGCTTGAGGTCCTCACTGGGCCCCTCTCTGTCCACCCCTCTGTGCCCAACCATGCTGTTCCCCTGCCAGCGGGTGGCTCGGCCAGGCCCCACTGCTGTGGCCACGGGGCGGCTGGCTCCAGGGGGGCTCCCACTTGTCCCTGGCTGCTGCGGGCTCTGTGAAGCATCACACTGCCCCAGGCCCAGCTCTGCCAACCCCCTTCTCCCTCTCTGCAGTGGCTGTTGGCAAGAGTGGTGAGCAGAGCCAGGGTCTGGAGTGGCTGAGGCTCCGGGCCTGGGAGCCCATCCCGTCTGGCTGCACGAGGGTGGCAGCAGTGCATTTGGCTGCCTCGGGGACATGGGGCATAGGTGACCCACTGCCGCCATTTCTGCCCCTGCAGCCACTGCTTGCACCTCCTCTCTGCAGCTGGAGTGGTAGCAGCGGCCGCTCCGGATGGCCTGCCACTGCCATCATTGATAATATTTGAACTAAATTAAAGTTAGATGTCAAATGCTGATACATATGTCCCTAAATTCAGAAAGTTCTTACCAGTAACACTTAACTGGGAAATAAGCGCACTGGGGATATGAGTGGCAAATAGCAAATTGGGACTGATAGGAGAGGTGGGGTCTGACAGAGGATCGCTTTGTACTCTCTATTTTTCTTATCCCAGTTCTAGCTTTGCAGCTCATCTTATAGAAGTATGTTTGAAAAAGTGACCTGGTAAGTAGAGAAACTCAAGCACACTAATCATAACAAATAGCAGATATACTTAAACTCCCCTCTTATAATATAAATGTCAACTTCAGACCTGTATATGAGTACTACCAAAAAGAAATAAAATAAATGAAAATACAAAGGCAAATAAGGAAAATATTTTGAAAAAAGAACCATTTGGGGAAATGAAGAACATTTTAAGAAAAATTTTCAACACTCTCAAGGAGATAAAATGATCTTAGGCTTTATGATAAGAGATCAAGGAAGAGATTTAAGAGATCAAGATATAGATAAAAGGATACTAAAGTAAGGTTAGAAAAGTGTTGGCAGATGGGGATGAGCAAAGCTATCAAAAATAATTAAAACCACATTAGACCCAGGAAGATGTAGAGTGAATAATGTAGCAGATGTTCTTAATGAGTTGGAGGAAATACTTCAGAAAAAAATCACACAAAATGTAGTGAGGTAGAAATTAAAAACTACTTGGAAATGTTATTGATATAGAGGGAAGGGCTATCCCTGAAATTAAAATTGCAATCTATAGATTGAGAAGGTTTACTAAATACCAGGAAAACGTAATAAAGACTAAAAGATACACTTTTAAGATTTAAAAAATTTCATAAGCATGACTAGACTAAGAAAAATGTCACATACAATGTTTTTAAAAATCAAGTATTTTTTTCTCTGACTTCAAGTGACACTATAATATCTGTAGAGTATTGAAGAAAAATAGGTGAAAATTTAAAAAGTAAGAAATTATAGCTTTTATGATCTGTCTCTAAAAACTTACATAGAAGGTGAATCAAAAGAAGGAATGCATAAATGGCAAAATTACCATCTAGAAGGATTGGTGATTAACATGTTAAACATAAAATCAGACAGACTAGGAAAAGGGGATGTAATACTGGAATTCTTAAATAAAAGGTAAATAATAATTTGATGATAGTTAACTGAGACAAAAAGTTCAGAAAGAACTGGCAAAATGGAGATTTGGGGAGAGGGGTTGGAGGGAAGGTCATATTAATATGCTGATTGCTTCATCTTTCTGAGGACAGTTTGTTTTTGATGTATATAAATGGAAAAATGTGGCTTAAGCATACTATTGTATTTCATCAATTCTAAGAAACATTTCTGAAATTAGAATATGTCTTCCAATCAGTAATAACATGTAGTTGTAACTGGCACCATATTTTCTTTCAAGATCATTTAAAACTAACAAAGCATCTTATAGTTAATGACACTTGAGAGTATTTTAAATATAATGTTAAATACATAAAGTCATCACTAATAGACCTAAAACCTGACAGTTGTATGTATTTTCTAAATTAATAATTGAGGGGAAGAAGGGGAAATTTCAAAACTAATAAAATCCAGGCCATAAAGCAAAAGATATAAAACAAACAGCAGGTAAGGAGGCAATAGAAAATAAGAGTTAAGAACTCAAAATGTGGAGTCAGAATAACTTGCGTTCAAATTGTGATGCTATGTTCTCACTTATAAGTGGGAGCCAAATGTTGAGAACACATGGACACATAGAGGAGAGCAACATACACTGGGGCCTATAGGAGGGAGGAGGATAGGAGAAGGGAGAGATTCAGGAAAAATAACTAATGGGTCCTAGGCTTAATACCTGGGTGATGAAATAATCTGTACAAGAAACCCCCATGACACATGTTTACCTATGTAACAAACCTGCACATGTACCCCTGAACTTAAAATAAAAGTTAAAAGAAAAATGTGATGCTATCAAATATGAAGATATAGTCAACAAATTATCTGTGTATCAGTAATCCTGATAATTAGATATGTTTCTATTTGATAATTGTTTGATCACAGGAGTAGTCATATTAATAAACTTGAAGAAGTCAAATAGAGCTACAATTAGCGTCATACTTCAAGGAAAATTTATAGCCTCAGTTTTTCCAGTTTTAATCTAGTAAGAATGAAAAACAAATACGTTTTTAAAAAATCAGCAAGAAAAGGAAAGCAACAGGAATTGATAATGAAAACTATTAATCTGTGTTTAAATATCAACTTAATGTATTTAAGAGCTTGTTTTTTGATGATATAAAAGTCATTAGTTGGGGAAATGAAGAAAGCCAAAAATACAGAAAATTATGGATAAAAATTGGGAGATGACTTAAAATACAGAAAAAATTAAAAGAATGCTACAATTTTACACAAGTCTTATATGTACTAAAATTTGAAAATGTGGGTTAAATGAATGACTTCCAGGAAATTTAAAACTGGTTTAAAAGGAGATAGAAAAATCTAATGAAAAAAAAAAGCATAATGGAAAGAATAAAACTGTCAAGGAGCTTATCTACCTCTACCTGTTAATTACATCTTCTGGATGGCTTCACAGATGAATTTTGTGTAAATTATCAAGAATTGTGTAATATTAACTTATGGCATATTAAAACTGTCCCCCAATCATAGAAATAAGAGGGCAAAAATAACAGTAACCTTTATTAGACAACATAATATTGATACAAAACCTGACATAGAAAAGACAAAAACAATTTGCAAGTCAATCTTGCACAATATTGATGAGAATCATCTTAGAAAATGTAGCAAATGCAATTCAACAGTGTATTAAAAGAATATATTCCTTTGCCAAATGAGGCTCATTCCAGGAATGCTGAATTGCTGCAAGAAAATTCTCAGTAATGTGTAATGAAGAAATAAAAATATTACATTTTGAATACCTAAAAAACGTTTGATATTATTGAATATATATAACCCAAAACGGATAAACAGTTTCTTAAAATAAGTGTGTGTGTTCATGTGTGTGTGCATGTGTGTATGTATGTGTGCACGTGTATGTATGTGCATGCACACACACGGGTGCATGCATGTATGTGTGAGTAGATGTTTGTAGGACAAAACAAAGATTGTTTCCTAGTACCACTATTATTTAATATTTTTCACTGGAGGTGGTAGCTAAAGCAGTTATGTAAAAGCATTAAGTTATAAATGTTGGGAAAAGAAGAGATAAAATTATTACTTGCCAATTATATGATCCTATATCTAGAATACCATGAAACTTAACTAGAGAACAATTTGCAACATAAAAACACATTATTTAATAAATTCTTAATTTTTAATTTTCTTATATATGAATCAAAACCCATATATAAAATCTTATATATGAATCAAAATCCCATTCATAGTAGTGTGTCCAGAATTGGTGGGTTCTTGGTCTCACTGACTTCGAGAATGAAGCCACGGACCCTCGCGGTGAGTGTTACAGCTCTTAAGGTGGCGCGTCTGGAGTCTGTCCCTTCTGATGTTCAGATGTGTTCGGAGTTTCTTCCTTCTGGTGGGTTCGTGGTCTCGCTGGCTCAGGAGTGAAGCTGCAGACTTTCGCGGTGAGTGTTACAGCTCTTAAGGCAGTGCGTCTGGAGTTGTTCGTTCCTCCCGGTGGGCTCGTGGTCTCACTGGGCTCAGGAGTGAAGCTGCAGATCTTCGCGGTGAGTGTTACAGCTCATAAAAGCAGCGTGGACCCAAAGAGTGAGCAGTAGCAAGATTTATTGCAAAGAGCGAAAGAATAAAGCTTCCACAGGGTGGAAGGGGACCCGAGCAGGTTGCCAATGCTGGCTCGGGCAGCCTGCTTTTATTCTCTTATCTGGCCCCACCCACATCCTGCTGATTGGTAGAGCCCAGTGGCCTGTTTTGTCAGGGCGCTGATTGGTGCGTTTACAATCCCTGAGCTAGATACAAAGGTTCTCCATGTCCTCATCAGATTAGTTAGATACAGAGTTTGGACACACAGGTTCTCCAAGGCCCCACCATAGCAGCTAGATACAGAGTGTCGATTGGTGCACTCACAAACCTTGAGCTAAACACTGGGTGCTGATTGGTGTGTTTACAATCCCTGAGCTAGACATAAAGGTTCTCCAAGGCCCTACCACAGCAGCTAGATACAGAGTGTCGATTGGTGCACTCACAAACTTTGAGCTACACACAGGGTGCTGATTGGTGTATTTACAATCCCTGAGCTAGACATAAAGGATTTCCAAGGCCCCACCAGAGCAGCTAGATACAGAGTGTCGATTGGTGCACTCACAAATCTTGAGCTAGACACAGGGTGCTGATTGGTGTATTTACAATCCCTGAGCTAGACATAAAGGTTCTCCAAGGCCCCACCAGACCAGCTAGATACAGAGTGTCAATTGGTGCACTCACAAACCTTGAGCTAGACACAGGGTGCTGATTGGGGTGTTTACAATCCATGAGCTAGATAATAAAGACTCTCCAACGTCCCCACCAGACTCAGGAGCCCAGCTGGCTTCCCCTAGTGGATCCCGCACTGGGGCTGCAGGTGGAGCTGTCTGCCAGTCCCGCGCCGGGTGCTTGCATTCCTCAGCCCTTGGGTGGTCGATGGGACTGGGCACCCTGGAGCAGGGGGTGGTGCTCGTTGGGGAGGCTCGGGCCGCACGGGGCCCATGGAGTGGGTGGGAGGCTCAGGCATGGCGGGCTGCAGGTCCCGAGCCCTGCCCCGCGGGAAGGCAGCTAAGGCTCAGTGAGAAATCGAGCGCAGCACCGGTGGGCTGGCACTGCTGGGGGACCCAGTACACCCTCCGCAGCCACTGGCCCGGGTGCTAAGTCCCTCATTGCCTGGAGCCAGCAGGGCTGGCCGGCTGCTCTGAGTGCGGGGCCGCCAAGACCATGCCCACCCGGAACTCCAGCTGGCCCGCAAGCGCTGCACGCAGCCCCGGTTCCCGCTCGCGCCTCTCCCTCCACACCTCGCTGCAAGCTGAGGGAGTGGGCTCCAGCCTTGGCCAGCCCAGAAAGGGGCTCCCACAGTGCAGCGGCGGGCCGAAGGGCTCCTCAAGTGCCGCCAAAGTGGGAGCCCAGGCAGAGGAGGCGCCGAGAGCGAGTGAGGGCTGTGACGACTGCCAGCACGCTGTCACCTCTCAGTAGCAACAAAAATATTAGAACATTTATGAATAAAGTATGTGAATGCTATATTGGGAAATTTCTGAAACTACACAGTGTCATCAAATAATCTTTTCATATGTGACAAGATATTTGTAAAATGTCAATTAGTCATTAGTACAATGCAGCCCAATAAAAATTCTTCTGAAATTTGCTTTGGAATTTATTAAAAGTAGGTGAAATTTATCTGAAAATTAGAATGTGACAAAAAGGAATGATCAATAAAATAATTTTAAAAAGATAAAGAGAACATACTCTTCTCACCTAATTTGGAAGGTTAGTATCATGCAAAATTTTGGCCTTCAGAATAATATAAAGAATGTGTAGTTCCACGTAATAGAATAGATAATCTAGAAATAGACTTAAGGCTATTTGGGAATTTAGTATATGTAAAGACATTTCAGCACAGCAAAAGAAACTATCATCACAGTGAACAGGCAACCTAGAGAATGGGAGAAAGTTTTTGCAATCTATCCATCTGACAAAGGGCTAATATCCAGAATCTACAAAGAACTTAAACAAATTTACAAGAAAAAAATAAACAACTGCATCAAAAAGTGGGCAAAGGATATGAACAGACACTTCTCAAAAGAAGACATTTATGCAGCCAACAAACATATGAAAAAAAGCTCATCATCAATGGCCATTAGAGAAATGCAAATCAAAACCACAATGAGATACCATCTCAGGCCAGTTAGAATGGTGGTCATTAAAAAGTCAGGAAATAACAGATGCTGGAGAGGATGTGGAGAAATAGGAACGCTTTTACGTTGTTGGTGGGAGTGTAAATTAGTTCAACCATTGTGGAAGACAGTGTGGTGATTCCTCAAGGATCTAGAACTAGAAATACCATTTGACCCAGCCATCCCATTACTGAGTATATACCCAAAGGATTATAAATCATTCTACTATAAGGACACATGCACACGTATGTTTACTGTGGCAGTGTTCACAATAGGAAAGGCATGGAACCAACCCAAATGTCCATCAATGATAGATTGATTAAGAAAATGTGGCACATATACACCATGGAATACTATGCAGCCATAAAAAAGGATGAGCTCATGTCCTTTGCAGGGACATGGATGAAGGTAAAAGCCATCATTCTCAGCAAACTAACACAAGAATAGAAAACCAAACACCACGTGTTCTCACTCATAAGTGGGAGGTGAACAATGAGAACACATGGACACAGGGAGGGGAACATCACACACTGGGGCCTGTTTAGGGGTGTGTGGCTAGGGGAGGGATAGCATTAGGAAAAATACCTAATGTAGATGATGGGTTGATGGATGCCACAATCCACTATGGCACGTGTATACCTATGTAACAAACCTGCACATTCTGCACATGTACCCCAGAACTTAAAGTATAATAATAATAAAAAAGATTCTCAAAGAACTACACAAAAATGTGGAAAAAAAATCAATGAAATGATGTATGGAAAAAATGGAAATATTAGTAAAGAGGTTTAAAAAGAAACCAAAACAAAATTCTGGAACTGAAAAGTATAATACATAAAGTGAAAAATTCACTAAAGATATCCAAAGACAGATTTGAGTAGGCAGACCAAAGAATGAGCACACTAGAAGGGAAGATAATGGGAAGAGTTTAGTTTGCAGAGCATAAAGCCAAAAGATTGAAGAAAAGCGAACACAACCCAAGGGACCTATGGGACACCTTCAAGCCGACTATTATGCACATTGTTGTACCCCAGAAGGAAAAGAGAGAAAGGGGAAAGTAGAATATCTGAAGAAATAATAGCTGAAAACTTTCCAAGATTGTTGGAAGACATGAATATCAACATGCAAGAAACTCAAAAAACTCAAAATTGGATGAACTAAAAGAGACCAACACTAAAGACACATTAAAAATAAAACTTTTGAAAAACAGAGAACCTTGAAAGTAGCAAGAGATAAGTGACTTGTCACATACAAGGAATCCTTGATAAAACTATGAGCACATATCGCATCAGAAATGTTGGAGGCCATAAGGCAGTGGGCTGTTATATCAAAGTGTTAAAAGAAAAAACAAACTGTGAACCAAGAATTCTATATCTGGAAAAATTGTCCTTCAAAAGTGAAGGAGAAAGTAAGGCATCCCCACATAAACAAAAGCTGAGGGACTTAATTACCACTAAATTTTTCCTGCAAGAAATCTTAATGAATGTCATGCAGAGTGAAATGAAAGGACACTAGACTGTAACTTGAAGCCTCATTAAGAAAGAAAGATCTGAGCAACAGTAAATACGTGGGCCATTATGAAAGCTGTTATTATTGTAATGAGAAGTTGTAACTCTGCTTTTTGTTTTAGATATGATTTTAGATACTAAAACATTTTAAAAACACAATTGTTAGTCTAAAAGCTAATATTATTATAACTTTGGTTTGTAACTCCACATTTTGTTTTCTACATAATTTATGAGACTAACACATTAAAAATAATTATTCATCTAGTTTTTCAGACATACACTATATAAATTTGTAAATTTGTTGACAGTAGCAACTGAAAGGGGTGGAGATCGAGCTATAAAGGAACAGAGTTTTTGTTTATTTCTTAAGTTAAGCTGGTATAAATTCAAATTAGAGTGTGATAACTTTAGGATGTTAAACATAACCTATATTATAACCACAAAGAAAATAGCTCGATACACAAAAGAAGAAATTAGAAATGAATCTAAATATTTCACTACAAAAAAATTAACTAATCACAAAAAAAGACAGTAATGCAGGAAATAAGGGGGGGACAGAAGGTCGTAAGGCTTCTGGAGAAGTAATAGCAAATGACAAAAGAAAGTCCCTCCTCTACCAGTAATTATTTTAAATATAAGTGGTTTAACCTCTCCAGTCAAAGGACAGAGTTTGGCAGAATGGATTTTTAAAATGGTCCAATTATGGGCTATCTATAAGAAATTCACTTTAGATCTAAAGACACAAACAGGTTCAAAGTAGAAGCATGGAAAAAGATTCCATGCAAACAGTAACCAAAAGAGAACAGAGACAACTATGCTAATATTAGACAAAATAGATTTTAAATCAATAAAGGTTGCAAGAAACAAAAACAATGTATATTAATAAAATGTTCAGTACTGCAAGGAGATTACAGTTATAAATGCTTATGCATCTGCTAACAGACCATCAACATATATAAAACAAAGATTAACAGAACTGATAGGAGAAATACATAGTTCTGCAATAACAGTGGGAAACTTCAATACTTTTCCTCTCAATACTGGATAGAACAACCCTGCAGAAAGCAGAATGGTGGTTGCCAGGAGTTGAGGTTAGAGAGTAATGGGGACTTGTTTAATGGGTATAGAGTTTCAGTTTTGCAAAATGGAAAGTGTTATGGAGATGGATGTTGGTGATGTTTGTACGAGAATATGAATGACTAAATTAATACAATATATTGATTAACTGTAGACACTAACTGAATTACATCTTTTAAATGAATTTAAAATTTCAGAGTAATAATTTATGGATACATAATAGAAAGCTATATAATAGCAGAAGGGAAAACCATAAAAGGCAAATTTTACCAGTTTAGAATTAGAGAAGATAAGAAACTGTGGTAAGATAGAAAATATGAAATAAGATGATAGTAATGAGTCCAAACATGTCAATAATCACTTTAAATATGAAAATAGTAAAATAAATTTTAAGCATGGAAACTCCCAGGATTTCTTTAAAACAAAATTCACCTCTGTGTGTTTTATAAGAGATGCTACTCAAAATAAGATAAAAATATATAAAATAAATGTGTGACAAGATACTACAGGCGAATGTGAAGGAAAAGGAAATAAATATTGCGATATAAACATTACATAAAATAGAACTTAAGGCAAATATAAACTCAAAATTGAATAAGGGAGTTATATATCATACCATAAAAATGTACAACACACCAGGAGGATTAAAAGACTAAACATATACATTTTTCTCTGTTACAAAATCTATTTGTCTTAAAAATTGAATTTTGTGTATGTGCAAAATACTATAATCTAAAATTAAAGAGTATGCTGGATAACTAATAACAGAATAGGAAAATATTTATTTTATATAACAGAGGTTAACATCTGACTCTTACAAATTATTAATTATAAGCAGTAGAAAAATGAGGCAAGAATATGGAAGACATCTTATAAAAGAAACAGAAATGACCAATGAATTGGCCAGGCATGGTGGCTCATGCCTGTAATCCCAGCACTTTGGGAGGCCAAGGCAGGTGGATCACTTGAGGTCAGGAGTTTGAGACCAGCCTGGCCAACATGGTGAAACCCTGCCTCTACTAAAAATACAAAAATTAGCTGCTCTAAAGGCTGAGGCAAGAGAATCTCTTGAACCTGGGAGGTGGAGGGGTGAGAAGAGGTCGCGCCATTGCACTCCAGCCTGGTCGACCAGAGTGAATTAAAATGCTACAAAGCCAGAGTATCTGACAGTAATTTGAGCAAGAATTGAAACTGTTTTATAAACCACTGAGATTTATGAGTTGTATGTTATTTTATTATAATTGAGTATAAGCTGACTGATAAAAAAATTGATACCAGAATGGGATACTATTGTAATTAATACTTTAAAAAATAACTAATAGATATGACATTGATTTTGGGGATGGACAGAAGGTGGTTCCTATGATAAAACTTTTGATTATATTGTCACCTGAGGTAACTAGAAATCAGACAATGTACCGAACGAGTATGTGGTATTGTTACCAAAACACCAGGGATTCAGTCAAGGTCCTGCAAAAAGCAGGATGCTTTTTGTAAAAGAGTCTGCGATTGTTAATGACTTGTGTGCCTCTAATCTTCTGTGACTAGGAAGCAGCCTGAGAAAGCTTCTCAGCCACCAACATGGTAGTAGTGAGTGTGTGTGTTTGTGGAGAGGAGGCATATTCTATAATCCCTTATTTATAGACCCAAGGAAGATCAAGGAACAGGAATAACCTCCTATGGGGCAGAACCAGCAGCCTCAGAGAACAGTAAACTGGGAAACTTTTCCCAAAGAGAAGAACCAGGACCCAATTAAAGAATGTTTCCCAGTCCCAGGGCAAAGCAGCAGCCCCTGCATCTTCTGCCCAGCAAAATTTCAGAATTTACATAGTTAAGTGGCTGCTGTGTTTCCCATTTGTCCTCTTTCCAATTTGGAGATATGTGCAAGTTATATCATTCCCATTCTGCAGTTATATGTTAGATATTTGAGGGGCAACTAACTAGTCTTTTTAGTTTATTAGTCTCCAGAGTAAAACGCACCACATTTGGATTTTAAATAAGGGTTATCACAAGATCTGAGACTTGGCGAGTCTATTGCCATAATTGGAAAGGAGTTAGGGTTATCTCCTCTGAGGAGCATTATTATTTTCCCCAATTATTTGCTGGCTCTCTTGATGAGAGAATTCTAATTCCCCACCCAGTGACATCTAGCTTGGCTGTGTGACTTCCTTTGTCTAATGAAATGTAAACAAAAGGGATGGATGTCACCTCAAAACAGAATCCTTAAGAAACATTTTTCTGCCATGGCTGTCATCCCTCTGCCATGAAAGCTGCTGTGCTAGAAGAGGGGTGCATCTTCAGCTTGACTGACAGCTGACGTGTAACATTAGCAAGAAATAAACCCTTGTAGTTGTAAGTCACAGTGATTTGGGAATTTTTGTTACTGCAGCATAACCTAATTTAAACTGCCTGATAAGTCACTACCGTATTGGTCAAAGTTTGTGTATTCATCTCTAGAATCCTGAAGAAGATAAGCCTTCAAGCTTTCTTAGAAATCACGTTTTCTCTGCACTTTAATAATGAAGATATAATGTAAATAAATCCATTACTGCTATTTGGCACTATTCCATATATACTATATATACTATGTGTACCATGATCATAATCGCTTTGTGATGAGGTCAATGCATAGTCAGAAATTTCACTTTGTGCTGCCTATTCTTCCTCATTAATGAGGAAAAGCAGTGTTCCATCAACAGTGTTATTCAGTTGGCTTTTATGCTTGCATGGTTAAATCTAGTAGAATCTTGGATCTAAGTCCGATCATCACACTTTGGACACTGTGAGACAGCTGTAGCATCTGTTTGTGATTGAGTACACTCTCAAAAAAAAAAAAAAGAAACCACAGATGGAATGACTTTCATACATTTTAAAGCACATTGTCAGTATATTTTTAACAGTGTTCAGGGTACTTTTCAAATATAGGTGTTTTCTGTTTGTTTTATCTATGAAGAGTTTACTACTTTTTTGCCACAGCCACAATGAGTCAGCCTTTAATCACTGTATTTTTTTTTTTTGGAGGACTCCAGGCTCAGCATCTTTTGCTTTTAACAGTCAGGAATTCAATTTGTAAGCTTTCAGATCTCCATAGCTAAGTATTTGAGAGACTGACGTAAAGGCATCATTTGGGATATTTGGCTTCTTTAATTTAGCTGAATTTAGAACCGTAAAGCTCATTATCTTTCCTGACTTGAAAATGTAAATGAATACCTGAGTCTTAAGGATCCCTCAGGGTTGCTATAGCAATTGATTTTATTTCTTAAATGAAAAATATTTAAAAACAGAAAATGTTAATATCATTTAGCATAAATATTTCTACCCAATAACTGACAGAAGAGTACTTACTATCAACTTAACTCAGCCAACTCAGTGGGCACAGTCTTAAGTTAGTTTGAGACCACCCTAGGCAACATGGCGAAACCTTGTCTCTACCAAAACAAAAACAAAAACAAAAACAAAAAACTAATAATAAAAGAAATGTCATAGAATTATATTGTAATCTAGCAATTATCTGACCATTGATCCTGTGCTAACCAAAACATCTTGAATTAGGGTAAGTATTAACAGAGCCAAGCCCTTTCAGTGAGCTGGTAAATTTATGTAGAGTTGAGTATCGTATTCTTGGGATGTACCTTGAATCTGTCAAACTGACTTGAATTGAACTTGGGTACTCAAGAAGTTGGCACCAAAAAATGACTAAGCAAAGCTAGTGAAGGTCATTAATTTCTAAAGTTTAGCTGATTGACACTGAGTGCATCTGTTTCTTAAAAGGCTGTTCTCTTAGCATATTAAGATCCCTGCACAGAGGGCCTCTGTCCCTGTTATGTGGAATTGGCAGGGTTCTTTGTCTTCTTGTCACATTAGCTAACTGGAGTCAAGCACTCAACCTTGAAACTAATTTTTTTTTCCGTTGTGGATAAGTATTTATAAAACTGGTTTTTTGAACCTCTAGTAATTGGACAATAAGATAAACTATTCATACACTTGAGAAGCAGCCAATGGTTATTTTTCAAGGGTTTTTGGAAAGCATTGTGTAGTTGATTCATTGTTTAGCAATTGTGCTGTTGTTATGGGACTTTAGAAAAATTATTTGTAGAATACTCAGTGCAGAGCCTTGGAATTCTCTTAATGTCAGGGAAAGGACACCAAGAGATCTCAAAAACTGACTCACTTGTAAAATTGGAGACAACAGAGGTCTTCAACTCCTTTTAGCTCATGAATTAAAGCTAAAATATAAAGAATAATATGTTCTGTTTCATATGTGAATATATAATTAGTGATTTGGCATCTGTAACATGCTTTTTGTTGATTTTATCAATGTGTTACAAAACAAGAAATGGGAATATTAAGTAGGTTACTAAAATCAACTGTGCTTATAAAAAAGACTTGGGAATTTGAATTGACTGCAAGTTCAGATTTAGTCAACAAGATTGTAGGTCTGCCAAAAAGCTAAACTGATCTTAGACTGAGGTTCATGGAACAGTAGAGTCAATATCACTAGACAACTTGTTAGAAATGCAAAATCTCACCAGGTGTGGTGATACATACAGTCTGTAATCCCAGCTACTCAGAAGGCTGAAGTGTGAGAAATCACTTGAGGCCAGGAGTTCGAGACCAACCTGGAACAGCATAGAGAGGCCCCATCTTTTCTTTTTTCTTTTTTTTTTTTTCTTTTTTGAGGCGGAGTCTTGTTCTGTCACCAGGCTGGAGTGCAGTGGAGTGATCTCAGCTCACTGCAATCTCTGCCTTCTGGGTTCAAGTGATTCTCCTGCCTCAGCCTCCGGAGTAGCTGGGATTACAGGTGCGTACCACTACACCCAGCTAATTTTTGTATTTTTAGTAGAGATTGGGTTTCACCATACTGGCCAGGATGGTCTCGATCTGACCTCGTGATCTGCCCACCTCGGCCTCCCAAAGTGTTGGGATTACAGGCATGAGCCACAGTGCCTGGCCGACCCCATCTCTTAAAAAAAAAAGGCAAAATTTCAGGCCCTATACCAGACTTTCTGAGTCAGAAACTTGGGCATTAGCCTAGAAACCTGTGTTGTAATAACTCCTCCAGGTAATTGTGGTGTATGCTAAAGTTTAAGGACTTCTGGGCTGGGCGCAGTGGTTCACGCCTGTAATCCCAGCACTTTGGGAGGCCGAGGTGGGCGGATCACGAGGTCAGGAGATCAAGACCATCCTGGCTAACATGGTGAAACCCCGTCTCTACTAAAAATACAAAAAAAACTTCGCCGGGCGTGGTGGCGGGCGCCTGTAGTCCCAGCTACTGAGGAGGCTGAGGCAGGAGAATGGCGTGAACCCGGGAGGCGGAGCCTGCAGTGAGCTGAGATCGCGCCACTGCACTCCAGCCTGGGTGACAGAGCGAGACTCTGTCTCAAGAAAGAAAGAAAGAAAGAGAGAGGGAGAGAAAGAGAGAAAGAGAAGGAAGGAAAGGAAAGGAAGGAAAGGAAGGGAACTTCTGGTCTAGAACAAAAGCTTCTTCTACTTTATGCTGGTTAGAACAGGCCAGGATCAATTATTTTGCTTATTTTATAGTCTAAAAAAGGTGATGATGAGCTGGAGTACTTCTAAAAGAAAATGCTGTGTTCTAGAAATAACTAAGAACTAAATCCTATGGAGATATGTGAAAGACATTTTATTTATTTAGCCTAGGGAAAAAAAGAGATAACTTAAAGGGTTAAGATATATAATTGTTGCCTCAGTAGCTAAAGTGTTATCTTAGCTCCAAAAAGTAGGACTAAGCAAAATAACTTTTTGGCAAAAGTGTCTCCTTGATTTAGTGAGCTTCATCTTTCTGTAGACGTTTGTGTTAGGTTCCAGACATTCTCTTAATAGCAGTGTTGTGGTAATCATTCATATAGTGGATTGAATCAGATGGCCACTACTTGAGGTCTTTTCTAGCACCTAGAGGATGTGTATCTATGACTTGCAATGACTATGCATACTCTGTGGGCTTCTGGTTGTTACCTAGAGCAGTGTTCTCAGATTTCAGTGATCTTTGATCCCCTAACTGAAAATATTTTTATTTCACCTCTGTTCACCTATAGCTAGTGTTAGATTTATGAATTAAACCTAATTTTCCTTCAGCCTATAACAGATAATATTTCATTGTTTTGTAGCCTCTTGTTGTTGATGTCAGTCTTATTTATTTTTTGGTTATAACCAATCTGTTTTTTCTTTCTTGTTACTGTTGAGATTTTTATCTTTTTATATCTTTGACTTACATTCTTCATAATTCTTCAGATTTTTTTCTAGTCCAATCTACTGTTTATGCCATTCATTAATTTTTAAATTTCAATGATAGTATATTTCCAGAAGCGCTGTTTGGTTCTTTTTCATATGTGTTTGTTTCATAGTATGCTATTATTTTGTAATGATTTAAATTGCTTTTATCTTGTTTTTCATCTTAAACATACATATTTTATCTAACTTTCAAAAAGTTCCTTCATCTCAGGTTTTTGTTTAGCTTTTGATTCTACTTGTTGAACTTTAGACTCTATCTCCTCAGGCATCATTTCTTTAGGCAGTTTTAAATTTTTGATTATGAACTCATTTTTGCGGGAATCACCTTTACTGTGGAAACTCATGTTTCCTAGGTTATATACCTACTGAGCTATTTTGCATTTGTTTTTCCTGGTTGTCTCAGGGGTTTTACTAATCCACGACCAGATTCTGCTCATATTATGGCTTAGGCATTCACATACTACATGTGTATTATAAATGCTGGCAGCAAACCCACACTTGGAATTTGATTTCTCATGAGAAACTAGTTTTTTCCCCACCACCAAGTGCACAGGGGAAACCAAGCTTCCGTGTCGCTTTAATCTCCTCCCTTTTCAATAAAAGTATAGCCTTTTGAGGTCCCATCTATATGCTGGAGTCTAGTTTATTTCTCCATTGCTTCTGCAGAACCAGGGCCTATTTCTGTATTGGTACTAAAATCCAATATGTAGCTGTTATGTAATTCTGGCCTTATGTCCTCCTGAGATCTCAGCAAAATCAGCCTAAGAGCTCCTCTGGCTTGTTTCCTGTTCCTTTCTAGCACCAAGAGATTTCCTTTTTTTTGAAGCTCAGATGTGTTACTAAAAGTATTATTATATTTAATTGATAGTGTCTATTTTTGTTTGTTTATTTGTTTTTTGAGGCAGGGTCTCACTCTGTCACCCAGGCTGGAGTGCAGTGGCACAATCACAGCTCACTGCAGCCTTGACCTCTTCGAGCTCAAGAGACCCTCCCACACCTCCACCTCCTAAGTATCTGGGACCACAGGCGTGCACCACCATACCCAGCTAATTTTTGTATTTTTAGTAGAGACAGGGTTTCACTATGTTGCTCAGGCTGGTCTTGAACTCTTGAGCTCAGGCTATCCACCGGCCTTGGCCTCCCAAAGTACTGGGGCTATAGGAATGAGTCACTGTGCCTCACCTGTAATTTCTATGTTTTATCTCAGCTCAGTCGGCCATGTACCAGAGCTAAAATTCCTTGACTACTAGAATTCTCTCCCAATGGTTATTTTTTTTTCTTAGTAGTGTTACCTATATGTGTATAAAGTAGGTATAAATGTTATACATATAGTTCTTATATATCTATAAATCAAAAACAAATTTATAACTTAAATATAAATATTTACAACCAATATAAGTAAAATTAAAATTAGCTTCATAAGATCAGTGTTGTTTTACCAAAGCTAAATTGCTGTACTCAACATGAATATAGTAATATCTTTTAACATGTGGTGTGTGATTTTTCAGTATTTCTACCATATTCATCTATTTAACCATTGTAAGACTGTTTTCATACTGTTTGGTAAGCTGATTTGACTTTCACCTGATAAAATTGCATAAAGGCCTGTGTATAGCCTTTTGCTTGTGGCAGCAATGTTGCTTACTTGATACTAACCTAAGTGTTAACACAGACACAAATTGAGATACTGAAATCACATAGTAGTTTTCAGTTATAACTACAAGCATTCAGATGAAACAGACCACACATTTTGTGTTTTTAGACAGTCATAAAAAAGGAGAACAAATTTTCAGAAACGTTCCATCAAGAACCATGGTACCCATCATTGGAAATAAGATTGAACATTGCTGATCTATGACATATAATTTGTGATATAGCTGCTTGACTTAAGAAAAGCAGTCTCTGGGAATGATGGTTGCAAGTGGCAGAATATGCAGCTTCAAAGTCGTCCTACAGAAACATTGAAGAATAAGCAGAAACTGTCAGAACCAATTTTGTCAGAACTCTGGGGAAGAGTCAAAGGATTACAGCAGAAAAACGAATGTTGAATCAAGATAAAGGCAACTTAGAAATATTGAAAAGCTGTGTGCAATTTTTACTTGCGCTTGTCCCTCACCTTCCTCTGTGGGGGAACGACGGCATCCCATGTTCTCATTGTGGGACCCTGTTATTAGTTCCAAAGGGAGCAGAACATGTCTATATTTTTAAGTTTTTTTTATTGGTATACATATATATATATTTTATTATACTTTAAGTTTTAGGGTACATGTGCACAACGTGCAGGTTTGTTACATATGTATACATGTGCCATCTTGGTGTGCTGCACCCATTAACTCATCATTTAACATTAGGTATATCTCCTAATGCTATCCCTCCCCCCTCCCCCTACCCCACAGCAGGCCCCGGTGTGTGATGTTCCCCTTCCTGTGTCCACGTGTTCTCATTGTTCAATTCCCACCTAGGAGTGAGAACATGCGGTGTTTGGTTTTTTGTCCTTGCTATAGTTTGCTGAGAATGATGGTTTCCAGCTTCATCCATGTCCCTACAAAGGACATGAACTCATCATTTTTTATGGCTGCATAGTATTCCATGGTGTATATGTGCCAACTTTTCTTGATCCAGTCTATCATTGTTGGACATTTGGGTTGGTTCCAAGTCTTTGCTGTTGTGAATAGTACCGCAATAAACATACATGGGCATGTGTCTTTATAGCAGCATGATTTGTAATCCTTTGGGTATATACCCAGTAATGGGATGGCTGGGTCAAATGGTATTTACAGTTCTAGATCACTGAGGAATTGCCACACTGACTGCCACAATGGTTGAACTAGTTTACAGTCCCACCAACAGTGTAAAAGTGTTCCTGTATCTCCACATCCTCTCTAGCACCTGTTGTTTCCTGACTTTTTAATGATCGCCATTCTAACTGGTGTGAGATGGTATCTCATTGTGGTTTTGATTTGCATTTCTCTGATGGCCAGTGATGATAAGCATTTTTTCATGTGTCTTTTGGCTGCATAAATGTCTTCTTTTGAGAAGTGTCTGTTCATATCCTTTGCCCACTTGTTGATGGGGTTGTTTGTTTTTTTCTTGTAAATTTGTTTGAGTTCATTGTAGATTCTGAATATTAGCCCTTTGCCAGATGAGTAGGTTGCGAAAATTTTCTCCCATTTTGTAGGTTGCCTGTTCACTCTGATGTTAGTTCCTTTTGCTGTGCAGAAGCTCTTTAGTTTAATGAGATCCCATTTGTCAATTTTGTCTTTTGCTGCCATTGCTTTTGGTGTTTTAGACATGAAGTCCTTGCCCATGCCTATGTCCTGAATGGTATTGCCTAGGTTTTCTTCTAGGGTTTTTATGGTTTTAGGTCTAACATTTAAGTCTTTAATCCATCTTAACTTAATTTTTGTATAAGGTGTAAGGAAGGGATCCAGTTTCAGCTTTCTACATATGGCTAGCCAGTTTTCCCAGCACCATTTATTAAATAGGGAGTCGTTCCCCCATTTCTTGTTTTTGTCAGGTTTGTCAAACATCAGATAGTTGTATATATGCGGCATTATTTCTGAGGGCTCTATTCTGTTCCATTGGTCTATATCTCTGTTTTGGTACCAGTACCATGCTGTTTTGGTTACTGTAGCCTTGTAGTATGGTTTGAAGTCAGGTAGCGTGATGCCTCCAGCTTTGTTCTTTTGGCTTAGGAGTGACTTGGCAATGTGGGCTCTTTTTTGGTTCCATATGAACTTTAAAGTAGTTTTTTCCAATTCTGTGAAGAAAGTCATTTGTAGCTTGATGAGGATGGCACTGAATCTATGAATTACTTTGGGCAGTATGGCCATTTTCACGATATTGATTCTTCCTACCCATGAGCATGGAATGTTCTTCCATTTGTTTGTATCCTTTTTTATTTCACTGAGCAGTGGTTTGTAGTTCTCCTTGAAGAGGTCCTTCACGTCCCTTGTAAGTTGGATTCCTAGGTATTTTATTCTCTTTAAAGCAATTGTGAATGGGAGTTCACTCATGATTTGGCTCTCTGTTTGTCTGTTATTGGTGTATAAGAATGGTTGTGATTTGTGCACATTGATTTTCTATCCTGAGACTTTGCTGAAGTTGCCTATCAGCTTAAGGAGATTTTGGGCTGAGACGATGGGGTTTTCTAGATATACAATCATGTCATCTGCAAACAGGGACAATTTGACTTCCTCTTTTCCTCATTGAATACCCTTTATTTCCTTCTCCTGTCTGATTGCCCTGGCCAGAACTTCCAACACTATGTTGAACAGGAGTGGTGAGAGAGGGCATCCCTGTCTTGTGCCAGTTTTCAAAGGGAATGCTTCCAGTTTTTGCCCATTCAGTATGATATTGGCTGTGGGTTTGTCATAGATAGCTTTTATTATTTTGAGATACGTCCCATCAATACCTAATTTATTGAGAGTTTTTAGCATGAAGGGCTGTTGAATTTTGTCAAAGGCCTTTTCTGCATCTATTGAGATAATCATGTGGTTTTTGTCATTGGTTCTGTTTATATGCTGGATTGCGTTTATTGATTTGCATATGTTGAACCAGCCTTGCATCCCAGGGATGAAGCCCACTTGATCGTGGTGTATAAGTTTTTGATGTGCTGCTGGATTCAGTTTGCCAGTATTTTATTGAGGATTTTTGCATCGATGTTCATCAGGGATATTGGTCTAAAATTCTCTTTTTTTGTTATGTCTCTGCCAGGCTTTAGTATCGGGATGATGCTGGCCTCATCAAATGAGTTAGGGAGGATTCCCTCTTTTTCTGTTGATTGGAATAGTTTCAGAAGGAATGGTACCAGCTCCTCCTTGTACCTCTGGTAGAATTCAGCTGTGAATCCTTCTGGTCCTGGACTTTTTTTGGCTGGTAAGCTATTAATTATTGCCTCAATTTCAGAGCCTGTTATTGGTCTATTCAGAGATTCAACTTCTTCCTGGTTTAGTCTTGGGAGTGTGTATGTGTCGAGGAATTTATCCATTTCTTCTAGATTTTCTAGTTTATCTGCATAGAGGTGTTTATAGTATTCTCTGATGGTAGTTTGTATTTCTGTGGGATCGGTGGTGATATCCCCTTTATCATTTTTTATTGCGTCTATTTGATTCTTCTCTCTTTTCTTCTTTATTAGTCTTGCTAGTCTTCTTTATTAGTCTATCAATTTTGTTGATCTTTTCAAAAAACCAGCTCCTGGATTCATTGATTTTTTGAAGGGTTTTTTTGTGTCTCTGATTCCTTCAGTTCTGCTCTGATCTTAGTTATTTCTTGCCTTCTGCTAGCTTTTGAATGTGTTTGCTCTTGCTTCTCTAGTTCTTTTAATTGTGATGTTAGGGTGTCCATTTTAGATCTTTCCTGCTTTCTCTTGTGGGCATTTAGTGTTATAAATTTCCCTCTACACACTTCTTTGAATGTGTCCCAAAGATTCTGGTATGTTGTGTCTTTGTTTTCGTTGGTTTCAAAGCACATCTTTATTTCTGCCTTCATTTCGTTATGTACCCAGTAGTCAATCAGGAGCAGGTTGTTCAGTTTCCATGTCGTTGAGCGGTTTTAAGTGAGTTTCTTAATCCTGAGTTCTAGTTTGATTGCACTGTGGTCTGAGAGACAGTTTGTTATAATTTCTGTTGTGTTACATTTGCTGAGGAGTGCTTTACTTCCAACTATGTGGTCAGTTTTGGAATAGGTGTGGTGTGGTGCTGAAAAGAATGTATATTCTGTTGATTTGGGGTGGAGAGTTCTGTAGATGTCTATTAGGTCTGCTTGGTGCAGAGCTGAGTTCAATTCCTGGATATCCTTGTTAACTTTCTGTCTCATTGATCTGTCTAATGTTGACAGTGGGGTGTTAAAGTCTCCCATTATTATTGTGTGGGAGTCTAAGTCTCTTTGTAGTTCTCTAAGGACTTGCTTTATGAATCTGGGTGCTCCTGTATTGGGTGCATATATATTTAGGATAGTGAGCTCTTCTTGTTGAATTGATCCCTTTACCATTCTGTAATGGCCTTCTTTGTCTCTTTTGATCTTTGTTGGTTTAAAGTCTGTTTTATCAGAGACTAGGATTGCAACCCCTGCCTTTTTTTATTTTCCATTTGCTTGGTAGATCTTCCTCCATCCCTTTATTTTGAGCCTATCTGTGTCTCTGCCTGTGAGATGGGTTTCCTGAATGCAGCACACTGATGGGTCTTGACTCTTTATCCAATTTGCCAGTCTGTGTCTTTTAATTGGAGCATTTAGCCCATTTACATTTAAGGTTAATATTGTTATGTGTGAATTTGATCCTGTCATTATGATGTTAGCTGGTTATTTTGTTCTTTAGTTGATGCAGTTTCTTCCTAGCATCGATGGTCTTTACAATTTGGCATGTTTTTGCAGTGGCTGGTACTGGTTGTTCCTTTCCATGTTTAGTGCTTCCTTCAGGAGCTCTTGTAGGGCAGGCCTGGTGGTGACAAAATCTTTCAGCATTTGCTTGTCTGTAAAGGATTTTATTTCTCCTTCACTTATGAAGCTTCGTTTTGCTGGATATGAAATTCTTGGTTGAAAATTCTTTTCTGTAAGAATGTTGAATATTGGCCCCCACTCTCTTCTGGCTTGTAGAGTTTCTGCCAAGAGATCCGCAACTAGTCTGATGGGCTTCCCTTTGTGGGTAACCTGACCTTTCTCTCTGGCTGCCCTTAACATTTTGTCCTTCATTTGAACTTCGGTGAATCTGACAATTATGTGTCTTGGAGTTGCTCCTCTCCAGGAGTATCTTTGTGGCGTTCTCTGTATTTCCTGAATTTGAATGCTGGCCTGCCTTGCTAGATTGGGGAAGTTCTCCTGGATAATATCCTGCAGAGTGTTTTCTGACTTGGTTCCATTCTCCCTGTCACTTTCAAGTACACCAATCAGATGTAGATTTGGTCTTTCCACATAGTCCCATATTTCTTGGAGGCTTTGTTCATTTCCTTTCATTCTTTTTTCTCTAAACTTCTCACTTCATTTCATTCATTTCATCTTCCATCACTGATACCCTTTCTTCCAGTTGATTGAATCGGCTACTGAGGCTTGTGCATTTGTCACGTAGTTCTTGTGCCATGGTTTTCAGCTCCATCAGGTCCTTTAAGGACTTCTCTGCATTGGTTATTCTAGTTAGCCATTCGTCTATTTTTTTTCAAGGTTTTTAACTTCTTTGCCATGGGTTGAAACTTCCTCCTTTAGCTTGGTGTAGTTTGATCGTCTGAAGCCTTCTTCTCTCAACTCGTCAAGGTCGTTCTCCATGCAGCATTGTTCCATTGCTGGTGAGGAGCTGCGTTGCTTTGGAGGAGGAAAGGCGCTCTGATTTTTAGACTTTCCAGTTTTTCTACTCTGTTTTTTCCGCATCTTTGTGGTTTTATCTACCTTTGGTCTTTGATGATGGTGATGTACAGATGGGGTTTTGGTGTGGATGTCCTTTCTGTTTGTTAGTTTTCCTTCTAACAGTCGGGACCCTCAGCTGCAGGTCTGTTGGAGTTTGCTGGAGGTCCACTCCAGTCCCTGTTTACCTGGGTATCAGTAGAGGAGGCTGCAGAACAGTGAATATTGGTGAACAGCAAATGCTGCTGCCTGATGGTTCCTCTGGAAGTTTTGTCTCAGAGGAGTACCAGGCCATGTGAGGTGTCAGTCTGCCCCTACTGGGGGGTGCCTTCCAGTTAGGCTACTCGGGGTCAGGGACCCACCTGAAGAGGCAGTCTGTCCATTCTCAGATCTCCAGCTGCGTGCTGGGAGAACCACTACTCTCTTCAAAGTGGTCAGACAGGGACATTTAAGTCTGCAGAGATTTCTGCTGCCTTTTGTTTTGCTATGCCCTGCCCCCAGAGGTGGAGTCTACAGAGGCAGGCAGGCCTCCTTGAGCTGTGGTGGGCTCCACCCAGTTCGAGCTTCCTGGCTGCTTTGTCTACCTACTCAAGCCTTGGCAATGGTGGGCGCCCCTCCCCCAGCCTCCCCGCTGCCTTGCAGTTTGATATCAGACTGCTGTGCTAGCAATGAGCAAGGCTCCAGGGGCATAGGACCTTCCGAGCTAGGAGCAGGATATAATCTCCTGGTGTGCCGTTTGCTAAGACCCTTGGAAAATCGCAGTATTAGGGTGGGAGTGACCTGATTTTCCAGGTGCCGTCTGTCACCCCTTTCTTTGACTGGGAAAGGGAATTCCCTGACCCCTTGCACTTCCTGGGTGAGGCGATGCCTTGCCCTGCTTCGGGTCATGCTCGGTGTACTGCACCCACTGTCCTGCACCCTCTGTCTGACACCCCCCACTGAGATGAACCCGGTACCTCAGTTGGAAATGCAGAAATCACCAGTCTTATGCGTCGCTCACGCTGGGAGCTGTAGACTGGAGCTGTTCCTATTTGGCCATCTTGGCTCTATTTTTAAGTTTTTTACTTTTTTAAGGACAGGGTCTTGCTCTTTTGCCCAGGCTGGACTGTAGTGGGCAGTACAGTGGCACAATCATAGCTCACTGTGGCCTTGAACTCCTGGTCTCAAGCCATCCTCCCACCTCAGTCTCTTATCTAGGACTACAGGCATGCACCACCATGCCTGGGTTATTTTTTATTTTTTATTTTTATTTTTGTAGAGATGAGGTCTCACTATGTTTCCCAGGCTGATCTCAAACTCCTAGCCTCAAGCAATCCTACCACCTTGGCCTGCCAAAGCACTGTGATTATAGGTATGAGCCACCACACTGGGCCCTAGAGTATGTTTTATGCACAAATTATTGTGTATGTCTGTTCTGACTTATTTAGAGCCACTTCAGTGAAGACACTTGCCTTTGTTTTGTGGAACTTAAAACTCAGACCAGAAAAGTGATGAGCAGTGTTTCAAAATGTTATAAAGTGAAATAAAAAGTTACAGGTGTGTGGAACAAAAAATTACAATGCAGACATACAATAGACTGTCTAAACCCCAAGAAGAAAAGCTTGGTAAATTTATAAAGCCATGTGCATGCTAAGTGCAATACACTCAGAAAAGACTTAAATAGACCCTAATCTTTCACCTGAGGTAAATCTCTGGGCTCAGTGCAAGCCTGTATAAATTTTGAAATCTCCCAACAGAGATCCAATTTGCAATGACTGGGACTTGTGTTTTGTTGTTTTTGGTTTTTTGGTCTTGGTTTTTAAAATTTTTATTGGGTTTGTTTTTTGTTGTTGCTCCTGCTATTCAAGGAAATCTCCCTCAAAACTTCAGCTCTACATGAGCTGAAAGAACAGAGACTGTATGATCATCCATGATGGAATATAGTCTTTGCAAAAATAATGGAAAATATCACTAAAAAACAGGCTAGTATAGCCTCAACAATTAAAAAAAGCAAACCCCATTGAAAGGGGGATCTGAGTTCCAGAGTTACTGCCTTATATTATTCAAGTATCTAGTTTTCAACACAAAAATCACACAATATACAACAAAACAGGAAAGTATGGCCTATTCGAAGTAGCAAAATACATTGACAGAAACTATCTGAGAAAGCCCAGGAATTCTATGTCTGGCAAAATGTTTCCTCAAAAATAATGTAGAATTTAACACATTTCTAGGTAAACAAAATCTGAGGGAATTTGTTACAACTAGACAAGCCCTACAAGAAATGCTGACAGATTCTTTTATGGTAAAATGAAAGGAAAGTAGATAGTAACTGAAGGCCATATGAAGAAATAAAAATCTTTGGCAAAAGTGAATTCATGGGAAAATATAAAAATCAGTGTTATATTTTTGGTTACAATTCCTCATTTTATTTCTACATGATTTAATAGACAAATGCTTAAATATAATTGTAAACATTTTATTAAGGACAAATGTATAAAATGTAATTTGTGACAACTATGTAAAGATAACCTAGATGAAATCGACAAATTCCTAGAAACATGCACGTTACCTAAACTGACTCAAGAATAAATACAAAATCTTAACAGACCTATAATGAGAGAAGGGAGAGATTTTGTAATCAAAAGCCTCCTGGTAAAGAAAAGTCCAAGACTAGATGGTTTCAGTGGAGAATTCTACCAAACATTTAAAAAATAATTAACACAAATTCTTAAAATTTTGCTAATAGTAAGAGGAAATGCTTCCTAACTCATTCTATGAGGCCATTTTTTTGTCTAAAAAATTATTTTTTCTTCATTTTTGAAGGATTTTAAAAAAAATCTTATGTCAGCAATCTCATTATCTTCTTGCATTTGTCATTTCTGTTGAAAAGTCAACTGTCAATATTATTGATGCTATAATTTTTTTTCTCTAGCTGTTTTTATAATTTTAGTTTTGTCTTTAATTTTTTGTATTTATGCTATAATGTTTCTGGGTATCTGATTCTTTTTATTTTTTAACAGAAACTTTCTGTTTCTGAGTAATTTCACTTAAGATAATGGACCCTAGTTCCATCCATGTTGCTGGAAAAGACATGATTTCATTCTTTTTCATATATATATATATATATACATATATATATATATATATATGTATATATGTATATATATATATATGTATATATATATATATACACATATATATATATATATATATGTATATATATATATATGTATATATATATATATATACACATATATATATATATATATATGTATATATGTATATATATATATATATATATGTATATAAAATATTTTCTGTGTTTTTTTTTTAAATACGGAGTTTTGCTCCAGTTGCCCAGGCTGGAGTGCAATGGCATGATCTCGGCTCACTGCAACCTCCGCCTCCTGGGTTCAAGTGATTCTCCTGCCTCAGCCTCCCAAGTAGCTGGGATTACAAGTGCCCACCACCACACCTGCCTAATTTTTGTATTTTTAGTAGAGATGAGGTTTCACCACACTGGCCAGGCTGGTCTTAAACTCCTGACCTCAGGTGATCCACCCACCTCAGCCTCCCCAAAGTGCTGGGGTTACAGGCGTGAGTTACCACGCCTGGCCATATATAACATTTTCTTATATGGAACTCATCTCTTTGAGGTCCTTCCACTTGGAGCTCATTAACATAAATGTTGTATCTATATTTATCTATATATATATATAACATTTCTTTGTCCAACCTTCTGTTGATGGACACTTAGGTTGATTCCTTATCTTTGCTATTATGAATAGTGCTGTGATAAATATATGAACGTAGGTATCTTTTTGGTGTAGTGATTTCTTTTCCTTTGAGTAGATACCCAGTAGTGGGATTGCTGGGTCAAATTTTAGTTCTTTTTTAGTTTTCTGAGAAATTTTTATGCTGTCTTTTATATAGGCTATATTAATTTACATTCCAACCTACAGTGTATAAGCATTCCCTTTTCTCCACATTGTCACCAGTATCTGTTGTTTTTTTGGCTTTTTAATAATAGTTATTTTGACTGGTATAAGATGGTATGTCATCGTGGTTTTAATTTATTTTTCTCTGATAATTAGTGATGTTGAGCATTTTTTCTTTTTTTTTTTTGGCTGCGTATGTCTTTTTTTGAGAATTGTCTGCTCATGTCCTTTGCCGATTTTTTAATGGGGTTATTTATTTTTTTCTTGTTGATTTGTTTGACTTTCTTATAGCTTCTGGATATTTGTCCTTTGTCAGATGCATAGCTTGCAAACATTTTCTCCCATTCTGTATTTTGTCTGTTTATTCTGTTGATTATTTCTTTCACTGTGCAGATGCTTTCTAGTTTAATTAAGTTCCATTTTTCTATTTCTCTATTTTCATTTTTGTTCTATTTGCTTTTGAGATCTTAGTCATAAATTGTTTCCCCAGGCCAATGTCTGGAAGAGTTTTTCTTACAATTTGTTTTATGATTTTTGTGGTTTCAGGTCTTGCATTTAGGTCTTTAATCCATCTTAAGTTAATGTTTGTATATAGTGAGAGATATATGTCCAGTTTCATTATTCTGCATATGGCTATCCAATTTTCCCAAAACTGTTTACTGAATAGGGGTACTTTCTACAGTGTATATTTTTGTTGAGTTTGTTGAAGATCAGTTGGTTATAGATATGTGACTTTATTTCTGTGTTCTCTCTTCTTTTCCATTGATCCTTGTGGCTATTTTTATACCAGTACCATGCTGTTTTGATTACTATAGCTTTGTAGTGTAATTTGAAGTGAGATAATGTGTTTCCTTCAGTTTTGTTCTTTTTACTTAACATTGCTTTGGCTATTTGTGTTCTTTTTAGGTTCCATATGAATTTTAGGATTGGTTTTTCTATTACTGTGAAAAATCACATTGGCATTTTGATAGAAATTGCATTGAATCTGTAGATTGCTTTGGGCAGTATGGTTATTTTAATAATATTGATTCTTCCAGTCCATGAACATGGAATGTTTTTCCATTTGGTTGTGTCATCTATGACACAAGGTTTTTTGGTTTTCCTTGTAGCAATCTTTTACCAACTGGGTTAAATGTATTTCTGGGTATTTTATAATTTTGTAGCTGTTGTAAATGTGATTGAGTTATTAATTTGGTTCTCAGCTTGATTATTATTGGTGTATGGAAATGCTACTGATTTTTGTACATTGATTTTGTATCTTGAAACTTTACTAAAGTTATTTGTCAAATCCCAGAATCGTTTGGTATTGTCTTTAGGGTATAGAATCATATCATCAGCAAGGAGAGATAGTTTGACTCCTTCTTTGTCTATTTGGATACTTTTAGTGAGATAGTTTGACTTCTTCTTTGCCTGTTTGGATACTTTTTATTTCTTCCTCTTGCCTGGTTACTCTAGTTAAGACTTCCAGTACTGTGTTGAATAGGAGTGGTGAAAGTAGGCATCCTTATATTGTGTCAGTTTTTAGGGAGAATGCTTTCAACATTTCCCTGTTCAGTATGATGTTGGCTGTGGGTTTGTTGTATATTGCTTTTATTATTTTGAGGTATGTTTCTTCTCTGCCTAGTTGTTGAATGTTTTTTATCATGAAGGGATGCTGAATTTTATCAAATGCTTTTTCAAATCACATTTACTGATTTGCATATATTGAATTGTCTTTGCATCTTTGGAATAAAACACACTGGATTGTGCTATATTATATTTTTGATGTGTTGCTGGATCATATGCTCATACATAGTTGATATGTTAATCAGGGATATTGGCTTATAATTTTTTTCTTTTTTTTTTTTTCTTTTTCACTGCCTGGCTTTGGTATCAGGGTGATACTGGCTTCATAGAATGAATTAGGGAGGATTTACTATTTTCTTTTTATTGTTTTATGTTTTTCTTACATTGAAAACAGTTTATTTTATACTCTAGATACCAAAGAGTTTCTTGAACTTTTCCTTTCAATCATTCAATATATAATTTGTTAAGACTTGCTTATTCTCTCTTTCAAATGCTGTAGTAATCAGGATGTTCCAGAGAAACAAAACCAATTGTGTGTGTGTGTGTGTGTGTGTGTGTGTGTGTAGACAGAGAGACAGTTTTTTTTTTTTTTTTTGAGATAGAGTCTCGCTCTGTCACCCAGGCTGGAGTGCAGTGTCGCGATCTTGGCTCACTGCCACCTCTGCCTCCTGGGTTCAAGCCATTCTCGTGCTGCAGCCACCTAAGTAGCTGGGATTACAGGGGTACATCACCATGCCCAGCTAATTTTTGTATTTTTAATAGAGACGGGGTTTCACCATGTTAGTCAGGCTGGTCTTGAACTCCTGACCTCAAGTGATCCACCTGCCTTGGCCTCTGAAAGTGCTGGGATTACAGGTGTGAGCCACCAGGCCTGTCCTGAGAGAGAGATTTGAAATTGGCAATCTGGAGAGCCAGGTGAGTCAATGTGTAGGTTCAGTTTGTGTCTGAATGCCTGAGTACCAGAAGAGCCTATGGTTTGACCTCCATTCTGAACACTGGCAGGCTTGAAACCCACGAAGAGCTGATGCTTTAGTTGGGTCCAAAGGCCAGAAAAGACTGATGTTTCAACTCAAGGCTGTTAGGAAAAGTTCTGACTTAACTGCAAGATGGTCTGGCTTTTTGTTGTAGTCAGGCATTCAGTTAATTTGATGAGGTTCACATCAGAAAGGGCAGTGTACTTTATTCAAGTCTACTGATTCAAATGTTAATCTCATCCAAAGACACCCTTATAGAATCATGTTTGACCAAATATTTGAGCACCTGGTGGCTCAATCAATTTGACACATAAAATTAACCATTACAAATGCTATACCCTTTCCTTTGTTTTGCAGTATTTTTTTCTTGTGCCCCATGCTAGTATCTTATTTCCCTCCTTTCTCTACCTCAGATATGGTGGGATCTTTACAGATTGTATACTTTGAACAAACAAGTTGAGTAGATAGCCCTTGATCATTTTATTCAGCCCCATTTGATGGCTTTCTCATCCTTTATATTCACATCATTTATATGCTAATGATGTGCACATCTCTCATATGATTTCAGATTCTACTGAATTTCACATACTTATTAGGTGTCAGTAGTATCAGATAACCAAGTTCAATGCCTTGAATATATGAGTGTATATATATATAATTTTATTTTATTTTATTTTATTTTATTTTATTTTTTTTTTTTGAGATGAGGTTTCACCTGTCACCAGGCTGGAGTGCAGTGGCGTGATCTCGGCTTACTGCAACCTCTGCCTCCTGGGCTCAAGCGATTCTCCTGCCTCAGCCTCCCGAGTAGCTGGGACTATAGACGCATGCCACCATGCCCGGCTAATTTTTTGTATTTTTAGTAGAGACGGGGTTTCACCGTGTTAGCCAGGATGGTCTCGATCTCCTGACCTCATGATCCATCTGCCTCGGCCTCCCAAAGTGCTGAGATTACAGGCGTGAGCCACTGCACCCAGCAATAGTATATTTTCTTACATAAGAAGAATTCCAGAAATGATATTAGTCAGAGACTGAGGAATATCAGGGCTGAGGTCTTTGTTATCCTTTTGACCATTTCCTCAAGGTTCCAAGATAGCTGCTAAATTCTAACCATCACAATTATATTAAAGTCATGAGGAAGAAGGAAAGAAGGAAGAGGAGAAAGAGACAAAAGAGCTTCTACAGGAGTTGGTACTTTCAAATTCTTTGCCTTTCCTATCTGACAACAGGCTGAGAATTATAATTTTTGTAATTGCCATGGATTATTATTATTGGGGTATAAGGGAGAACATAGATAATGAGTAAAAAGGCAACATATTTTGAAAATATGTTTTTTTTTTTTTCAGTAGAGTTCGCATCTTCTCCCAGTCGCCAATGTCTGGAACTCTGAAAATTTTCTGAATTTGTTGAGTACAATGTAAATAATAAATATCTAGCATCACCTGTTATTACAAAGATTCTTATTTCTTGTTCTTACTTTGCTTTGCTCAAGGGACTATTTGTCTTCAATAACACAATTTGGCAGGGTTTTTTTTACCTTTTACTTCTACATGTTTACATAGGAAAGAGGCTGAGTAGCAGAGTAGGTGATGGAGTCACTAGGAATAAGGGAAACCATATTCTAACATAATGGCTAGGAGTAGCAAACTATAGATCCTGGTTCTCTGTAACACTTTATCCAGGAACTCCGAGAACAGGGGATAGATGTTTGATGTCCCATATTCTGAGTCCTAAGTAGGTTTTTCTCAATTCACCTTTTGTCTTTTGCTTAGGATCACTTGTGATTTCATTAATCTTTATTTTAGCATTGTTGTGGCTTCTCTTCTTTTTCTGGTTCTATGCTGTTTAGGAATATTTAGAAGAAGCTAAATTGAGGGGCTGTTAGCCAGGCAAATTTTTTTCAGTGGATATTTATTTTAATAGCCATTTGGTTTCATTACCTTTTAATGAGTTCTTTGATAGCAAGTTCCTTAATTAACAAGGCAGTCTTTCAGGTTTCCTCTTCTCTAATTGTTAACATATTTTGGTGCTTTCACACAGATGCACTGTGATGAAGTTTCCTCTTTTACAGCTCCTTTTTGGGCCATTCAGAAGCAGTGAAGAAGAGAGTGGGGAGAATACATGGCATTTTTCAAAAAGATATAAATTATTTAAGAGTATCCTCTCAAACTGAGTGAAATATTTACATTTCATGTTCTCTTCTCTACAACGTGATTAACTCAGTGGATTTCTAGGTGTATGAAAGTTGATTGTTAGTCTAGTTCATATTAAAATTTTATGTTAAATTTTACTATAATCAGTTTTCAAGAAATGTGGAATATTTAATTCTATCTGGGACACCCATATAAAATTTCCTTTTAAATTTCCCTTAACCTATGGACAATACTTCTCAACATGATGGGAATATTTTATAATAAGGTATCTATTATTCATTGAGCCCCAATTATGTGCCATACACTGTACAGGGCTGTATATTATATTATCTCATTTGTTGCAAACAGTCTCTATTAGGTTGGTGACGTTATCTGCATTTCACTACTGAGGAAGATCAGTCTAACCAAGATTAAATAACTGTCCCAAAGGTCACATAACTAAAAGTGTGAAGATTTGACCCTAAGTTAATATGAACCCAAATCTTTGCTATTTCTCTCCATATCACTTCCTTTTTAGTCCTATCTTGTTTTTACTACCATTTCCCATAATATGGATGTGTTGGTTCATGCACCATTCTCCCATATTGAGGTTAATTAAAGAGCTTATTAAGTTCTTGTAAAGCATATCTTAAATGATTTCCCTCAGAGAAGCCTAAGGTTTTAAATATTCTGAAATGAAGCATTTGTTATTGGCAGAAAATAATGACCAAAGCACCTACAGGATACTTTAGCTCAAAAAAGCAAAAAAGAAACTAGGGCTAATGAGGTGTTTGGGAGGAGAAATGCTCTTATTTAGGGTATTGACCAGTTAGGGACTGAGTAATAAGTTGTATGTGGAAGTTAAAAGAGACTGGCTGGCAGACAGTCAGGCGTCTACCATTGTATTTTGTAAACTTTCTCCTATGGCTGTGGTGTGTTTTTTCCAAGCCCACTTAATTTTTTATGAGGTTTGTAAAGGTCTTGAATAAACAATTGAGATTATAGAGGTTTTCCTGGAAGCTTTAGTTAATATTTTAATACTCTTGCTTTGTCACATTATTAAATGGCTTATTGGAAAGTTTGAAAGACAAAGTTTCTTTTTTATTTTTCCTTTTTTTCTTTTCTCTTTTTTGTTCTAGTAGTTAAGCATCAAAATTGGATTTAGTTTTTGGTTGATTCCCTTTCTTCCTTTCAATTTTAACTTTATACCTCTACAGATCATCCTTGGATTGGGGATCTGGCATCTGGGAGGGCTCCACTTAAAATGCACTTTAAGTGAAATTACAGTTGAGAGGGTGTGTCTTGAAACCAAGCCAGTGACTGTAAATGTGTGTAGTAAGAGAGAACTGGAAAAAGGGCAATGGGAATTGGATAGGGTCAGAAAACAGGAACTAATAGGGCTTTGTAGATTATTTCATCATGACCTTTTGCTCATTAATATTTGAATCAGATTCTTTGACATCTTGGTTGTAGTCTGGTGAAACATTAAGCATAGCAAAGACTGAATAATTTCAAAGACATGTCTTTGTTAATGAGATGACTTGATAAAGTTAACCTTTAACCTGAACAGGAGTTGAGGAAAGAGAAAGGAAGAATTTTTATTTTCCATTATGAGTAATTCTCATTCTATGGAGGTTTATACAGTAGTAATATTTGTTATTTTTAGGATACTTTATATTACCTCCATTTCAATTTTTAAGCCACTTAAAAAAATTCCCATGTCATTGTTGTTGGGATGTAATGAGGGTCACCCAGCAAGCCCCACCACTTTTCTGAAACCTTCTCTGAGTATTGTGCCCTCATAATATTATGCTCAATTTAGCACTTAATTGTCTGTTCTCCTTGATTTGCTTCAGAACAGGAAATACATTTTCCACTTTTTTGCACATACAGAATTATTAGAATAAAAAAACAAAATCATATGACTATAAAAGATATACTTTGTAAAATATGATGCATTCATAAAATACTTACATTTTAAGCAAATATACCTAATGTCATTTTCAATTATTTACTATATAGGATCATAGGAATAAAAGTTGTAATAAATCAGAAGATATTGACTAAGTACTTAACATATAATCCAGGTACTGTATTAAAAATGCTACATAAGATTTATTTTTATTTAGCTATTATAATAATTCTGTTTGGCAGATAAGGAAATTGAGACAAAGGTTAAAGTCAGTGTTCTAGAGCATCACATTTAAAGTGTATATTGGTTTTTATTAAACCACACATCTGTAATTTTTCTATTTATCTTTATATATATTTTTTCTTTGCTTTTGCTCTGACACTATTATTAGTCCTTGCCAGTAGAACACATTAGGTGTTTGTTGGTGGTGTTATTGTTGTTTTGAATTGGGCATGCACTGATTAATGGCTACACCCTTTATCCTTTACTGTAAATTTGGGTTCAAAAGACACACATATATAAGCATTTTGTAAATAAAGCAAAAATGTTTGCCTAGATGACAATGGAAATCAAGACTAAAGCTTAGAAGATTCTTGACCAGAAAGAAATTCTTTAAATATCTATTATAGTTTTCTTCTGGTTTCATATAAATTTAGTAAATTAAAAAGATTCATTTTGGTTTCTAATTGTGATACCATGGTATCAGTTTTATCCTCTAATCATAAACAACCATAAAAACCTGGAGAAAATATAAAATTACACTATTGCTAAGTGAAAGAAGGGATCAATGTTTTGGATGTCTGTAAGTATAGGATTTAGATAAGCAGGATACCAAAGAGGAGAGAAAAGATGGAGAAGAAACTCCCCTAAAAAAATCTTTGGCCAGACATGGTGACTCACGCCTGTAATCCCAGCACTTTGAGAGGCCAAGGTGGGTGGATCACGAGGTCAGGAGTTCGAGACCAGCCTGGCCAATATGGTGAAACCCCATCACTACTAAAAAAATACAAAAATTAGCTGGGCGTGGTGGTATGCGCCTGTAGTCCCAGCTACTTGGGAGGCTGAGGCAGGAGAATTGCTTGAACTGGGAGGTAGAGGCTGCAGTGAGCTGAGATCATGCCACTGCACTCCAGCCTGGTTACAGAGTGAGACTTTGTCTCAAAAAAAAAAAGAACCCCAAAAACAAACAAACAAACAAAAAAACCAAACCTTCATTAAGTTCCCCTTTTTCCTTGACTCATTTCTAAGCTGTAAGCTGCAGGTGCATAGGGCACACTCTGGGGGCTTTGAAGACAGCAGCTGCTAGCATACTGATTGCTGAGCAAATATTCTAGAAATTACGTAGCAGAGACATTGAGAATTGGGCCCACAGAGAGAGCAGATGAGCACTTTGTGCTTTCAGTTAAAATATCAATGAGGTCATACACAGGGATTAAGTATAAGGTCCTTTCAGAGTAAGGGCAAAACTAATGTGGACCCATTGTAATAAAGTTTAAAAACAAGCCTGACAAAATCAAGATAATCCATCAATAATTTAACTGTCTGCTAGAACAAAACTCAAAACTCTGCTGGGGCTGATAAGATAATCTAGTCTCTCTATACCACTTTATCTGCAATGTATGCCACACAAAACAAAATTTTCTAAGGTGCTAGTAAGTGGAGAAAACTGACCTAAAATCAAAGGTTTAAATAGTCAGTAGAAGCAGATCATGAGCTGATCCGGATATTGATGTTAGCAAAGACTTCAAAATAGCTATGATTAACATGTTAAAGAAAACAGGGGAAAGAATAGACAAATTGTATCAAAGATGAATTATTTGAATAGAGATTAAGAATCAGATGTGGAGTATGGCCAGGGTCTGAGCTGGGGTTCAATCCTCACTGGGCTGCTGCCCAAGCTGGACTGCCATTATGGAACTTAGCACTGAATGCCACCAGGGGAAGTTGCAACAGGACCCAGAGGCATGGAGGTAGAAGATGTAAAGCTCAGCTGTTGCACATCCAGCTTCTTAGTCCTGGTATGTTGACCAAGGCCAAGGGTAAGCCACTGCTTCAGGGTTACCAGCTGATGAATGCATGCCCAGCTGAAAATCTCTTGTGTATCCATGCCTTTGAACAGAAAACCCTGACTCCAGAGCAGCGGGCCTGTGAGCAACAGAAATGAGGAACCAGGACCTGCACAGCCTTTAAATTATAAATCAAGATTTTTAAAAAAAGAATGAAATATGTATTCTAGAATAGCAAAATATAAAATCTATAATAACAGCTCATTACATGAATTTTTAAAAATGTATTGAGTGGGTTTAAAAACAGACTTAACAAAGCAGAATTCAAGATTAGTGAACTCAGATATGGGTCTGTAGAAAGCACCCAAACTGAAACACACAGAGTGATAAAAGAGATTTGAGTCTCACTATGTTGCTCAGGCTGGACTTAAATTCCTGGGCTCACAGGATCCTCCACCTTAGCTTTCCAAGTAGTTGGGATTACAGGTGTGCACCACCATGTCCAGCACTAAAAATTTTATTTTTGATGTTAAGAATGGAAAAGAGCATATGAGATAGGTGGAACACAGTTGAAAGGTTTTAAATGGATATATTTGGAGTCCCAGAAGGAGAAGAGAGAAAGAGAATGATACAAAGCAGTACTTAAAGAATTTTGTACTTGAGAATGCTTGAGAATTTTCTGTATCTGAAGAAATGCATCAATCCACAGATTCTGGAAGCTCAGCAGCCCACACAGGATAAACTTAAAGAAAACTATACCTAGGCACATAATGGTCAGATTGCCAATATTAAAGAAAAAAGTCTTACAAACAGCCAGAGAACAAGGACACATTCATGGGAAAAACAGTAAGAATTGTGGCTGACTTCGTATAAAAATGATGAAGGCCAGAGGACAACAGAATGAAATGTATAAAATTCCAAAAGAGAACAAAACTGCCAATGCACACTTCAGTACTCAGCAAAAATATATTTCAAAAAATGTTGAGGTAGCCACTACCGGCCACAGTATAGTAGCTAGTACCAGACTTGATCTCAACCATAAACATCTAGAATACTGTACAAAATAAATGAAACAACTGTTTTTAAATACCATACAGCAGGGAGTGCAGGAAAGTGATCCATGAGAGAAGACCAACAAATGAAGTGTAAACCCAGCAATCTCCTAGAAGTACTTTGTAACACTGCAGTGCAAGAAAGGGTGAACCCAGGCAAAGCATAGCAATACTGGTAAGAAGACAACGACTGGAGTTTGGGGACGAAATAACTGAAATTTGCTAGGAAGCAGTTTGGAAATGAAAAAGAGTTTTGGGAAGAATAACCTTGCATTGAGATTCTTTTGAGGCTTTGGCTGAATACTAAGCTATTAATGTATAGGGCGAAAAGTCCATGAGGTCAGACAAACAATCAAACAAACAAACCATCAAATTGTGAGGGCACAGAAGCTAAGCACAATTGCCAGAACTCAGATGAAGAGATGGGGGTGGGGATGTTCAAATTACAACCTGTAAGAAGGTGAAGGCCCCACTGAACTGAAGCATACAGCAGAGACAGCAATGAGAGGCTAGTCATGGGTCTAAAGCAGCATTAGTCCTGGACCTAATAGTATAGTTTTGGGCCTCTACATAAAAGATAATTCTGATCTCTGCATAAAAGTGCATACCAGTAAACTTTAAAATTTCACACTGATCCGGGAGTAACTTAATTGTTTGCAATAACAAAGCCCAACCCTCCTTAAGGAAATTTAACAAAGTACTGATATTCAACAGTAACATTCACAATATCCAGTATTCAATAAAAAATTTGCTAGATATGCCAAGAAACAGGAAAATGTGATCCATAACATGGAAGAAAATCAGTCCATATAAACATCCAAACATGACAGAAGTGACAGAATTAGAAGGCAAATGCTTTAAAAATGCTTATATGCTCATACACACATGCTCAATATATTCAATATTTAAAGGTAATAAAATGAGAGTAATAGAAGTTATACAAAAAGGAATCAAATGGAACTTCTAATAACAAAAATGTAATATCTAAAATGAAAATTACACTGAATTGTATTAGTAGAAATTAGCAACTATAGAAAATAAGATTGGAGAACTTAAAAGACATAGCCATGGAAATCATGCAAACTGACGTATAGAGGAGAATTAATGGAGGAAGAATTTTTCGTTGTTGTTGAGACAGAGTCTCGCTCTGTCACCCAGGCTGGGGTGCAGTGGTGCGATCTCGGCTCACTGCAACCTCCACCTCCCAGGTTCAAGCAATTCAATGGAGGAGTAATTTTTCCTGAACCTGAGATTCTTGGGGGACAGACAGTATGTCTTGTCTAACTGCCTTCTCGGAAAAAGAGGAAAGGAAGGAAGAATAGGTAAAGTATTTGAAGAAATAGTGACTAAAAATTTTTGAAAGTTGATTAAAACAACTTGCTGAAAAACAACGATAAAAAGAAACTCTTAGAAGCAACTAGGGAAAAAATACATAGTACATACAGAGAAAAAGTGATGAAATGACTAGATACTTCTTTTTAATCAGAAACTATGCAAACCAGAAATAATGAAATGACACGATTAAAATGCTGAAAGAATAAAAAAGAACCATCACCAAGGAATCCTATAATCAGCAAAAAATTAAGGTATAATAATGACTTTTTTAGATGATCAAAAGCTGAGGGAATTTATTGACAGAAGACATGAATTTCAGGAATATCAAATTAAGTTTTTCAGAAATAATATAAAATGGAAGCTTGCATCTACATAGAGGAGCAAAGAATACCAGAAATGAAAAATATGTAGTTAAGATAAAAAAGTTTTTACTCAATTTTTGTTTTTTAATATGTAATGGACTTTAAAAGCAAAAATAATGACAATGTATATATTGATAACATATATAGAAGTAAAATATGTGAAAATAATCACCTGGAAGGAGGTAAATGCAAGAATACTGTTTTTATATATGGAATTGTGTAATATAATTCAAGATAAACTGTGATAATTTAAAGAGACTTATTACAAAGCCTCAGATACTAAATGTATAAAATAAGGAAATATAACTATTAAGTCAAAAGTGGAAATAAAATAGCATTATAAAGAACACTTAAGTAATATAAGAGCAGACAGGAAATAGGAAAAAGGAAACAGAGCAGATTAGACAAAAAGACAACTAAGATCAACATAATAGATTTAAATCCAATCGTACTGTGAATTATATTAAGTATAATTAATGATGTAAACCCTCTGAATAAATGGCAGAGATTTATTACTCTGGATAAAGCAGAATGACTCAACTATATTTGGCTTACAAGAACATCACTCTAATGTATAAAGACATAGATTGGTCAGAAGTAATAGCAAGGAATAAGATATACCATGCAAATACTAATCATTAAAACATTGAGTTTCTGTATTAATGTCTGGTAAAGTAGACCTAAGAAGCAGGATTATTCTAGGGATAAAAATTGACATTTCATTATGATATAAGGGTCAATTAATCAAGAAGACATTACAACCGTGTGTCTGCACTCAATAACAAATCTTCAAAATGCATCAAACAAAAACTGGCAGAACTGAAAAGATGAATAGACAAATTCATAATTGCAGCTGCTAATTTTAAGTCTTTTCAGTAATTATTAAAATTAAAATTATTAAAATAAATAGGGTATCAGTAAAGCTATAGAAGACTTGAACAACAATTATCATACAACTTGACTTAATTGATGTCTATTTATAGGATATTACACCACCAATAGCAGCTTTTTTTTCTTAGTGCATATTGGAATATTCACTAAGCTAGACCACATCCTGGGCTATAAAACATGCGTCAGTAAATTCAAAAGGAGTAAAACTGTATAGACTATGTTAGTCATCTACAACACAATTAAATTAGAAATCTATAACAGATATATTCCAAAAATATCACCAAATCATTGGATATTAGACAACATTTTTCTAAATAACCTCTTTCTCAAGGAAGAAACCACAAAGAAATTTAGAAAATATTTTGAACTGAAGAAAAATGAAAACACTACTTATCACAATTTGTGGGATGCAATTAATGCACTGGTTGGAGCAAAGTTTCTTAACCTTGGTAGTATTGACATTGTGGACCAGGTGTGTTTGACTGTCCAGGGTGTTATAGGATGTTTATCAGTATCCCTGGCCTCTACCCATGATATGCCAGTAGCGTTTCTCCCCTCCTTCCACCTCCTGCCAGTTGTGACAACCAAACATGTCTTCAGACATTGCCAAATGTCCCTGGGAAACAAAATTGCCCCCAGTTGAGAACTGCTAGCTTAGAGGAAAATTGATCACTTTAAGTACTTATGTTATAAGAAAAGTAAGATCCAAAATCAAAGTCCAAGTTTTGTCTTATGAAGCTAAAAAAAGAAGAGCAAATTGAAACCCAGCTCAATAGGAAAAAGGAAATAATAAATATAAGAGCAGAAATTAATGAAATAGTAAATGGACACAATAGTGGAAGAAATAAAACACTATTTTTTAAAAAAAATACATTGGTTAAGAAAAAAAGAAGATTCAAATTATTAATGTCAGGGATGAAAATAGGAATATCACTACAGACCTCAGAAACTACAGAGACTAAATATATAGTCAAGTAAAATATGAACAACTTTATTCTAATTAATTTGACCATGTAGGTGACTTGGTTAAATTCTTTGAATTACACAAATTATACATTTATAAAAGACACAAATTACAAATTACTCAAGAATAAACAGAAAACCCAAATAGGCTTATTTGTAATAAAGAATTTGAATTTATATTTTAAAAACCCTCCCACAAAGAAACTACAGGCTGAGATTTCTTCACTAGTAAATTCTATCAAACATTTCTGAAAAAAATTAAACCAATTCTAAGCAAAATGCTTCACAAAACAAAAGGGTTTTCTAAACTTATTTTATGAGACCAACATTACTCTAATAGCAAAATCAAACAATGACAATATAAGAACAGAACACTGTAGACTAATATCCTGCATAAACACGGACTCAAAATCTTCTACACAATAGTATCAAATGAAATCCAGCATTATATTTTAAAAAGATACACTGTGCCTAAGTAAGGTGTATTGTATAAGTTATATAACTGTGTGTGTGAGTGTATCCATGTGCTCATCTTAATATGTACACAGAAAGCACTTAACAAAATTGAACACCCTTTCAAGAAAAATAAAATTCTGTCAGCAGTGTAGGCTAGTCTTATGTAATCTGATAAAGGATATCTATAAGAAATCTATAGCTAACATTTTACTTAATGATGAAAGACTGAATACTTCTCAAATCAGGAAAAAGGCAACTGTATGAATGAATCTCAGAAACATGCTGAGCAAAAGAACCTAGGCACAAAACGGACACTAATGTAAAATTATTTTTAAAAAGTTAAATTACATTACATTTATTTAAGGTGTACAACATGATGTTACAGAATACATATAGATAGTAAAAAGGTTACTATAGTGAAGCAAATTAACATATCCATCATCTCACATAGTTTCCCGTATTTTCTCTGTGTGTTAGGCAAGAGCAGTTAAAATCTGTTCATTTAGCATGAATCCCAACTCTTGCACTTTGTGCACCCACACACTTAACACATGAAAGCTGCCAAGGCTTATGGCTTGCACCCTCTGAAGTAGCAGCCTGAGCTGTACCTATGCACCTTTGAGCCAAGGCTGGAGTTGGAGCAGCTAGGATGCAGGGAACAGTGTCTTGAGGCTGCACAGGGTAGTGAGGCCTTGGTTCTGGCCCATGAAACCATTCTGTCCTCCTAAACCTCTGGGCCTGTGATGGGAGGGGCTGCCTTAAAGGTCTGTGACTTGCCTCGGAGACCTTTTCCCCTTTGTCTTGGCTATCAACACTTACCTTCCTTTTAGTTATGCAGATTCCTCTAGCAAGTGGTTGCTCAGCAGCCTGCTTGAATTCTTCTCCTGAAAATGGGCTGTTCTTTTCTACTACATGACCAGGCTGCAATTTTTCTAAACTTCTGCCCTCTGCTTCTCTTTTAAATATAAGTTCCTGTTTTACATCATTTTTTTTTTTGCTCATGCCTATGAGCATATGTGGTATTCCACTGTATGTATGTATGTGTGTGTGTATATATATAGCAGATTTTTTTTTTACATTCATCCATTGATGGACAATAGGTTGACTTCATATTTTGGCTATTGTGAATAATGCTCCAATGACCATGGCAGTGCAGGTGTCTTTTTGACATACTGATTTCATATCCTTTGGGTATATATTCATTAGTAGGATTGCTGGATCATACAGTAATACTATTTTAAATTTTGTGAGGAACTTCCGTACTGTTTTCAATAGTAGCTATACTAATTTACATTTCCACCAACAGTTGACAAAGGTTCCCTCTTCTCCACATTCTCACCAACACTTGTTACCTTTTGTCTTATTGATAATATTCATTGTAACAAATGAGAGGTGGTATCTCATTGTGGTTTTAATTTGCATTTTTCTGATGACTAGTGATGTTGTACATGTTTTCATATACGTCTTGGCTATTCATGTGTCTTCTCTTGAGAAATGTCTATTCAGATCCTTTGCCCATTTTTTAATCAGTTTATTTCTTTTCTTGTCATTGAGTTTGAGTTCCTTATATAGTTTGGATGTTAACTCCTTATCAGATGTGTGGTTTGCAAGTATATTCCCCCATTCTGTAGGTTCTCTTCACACTTTTGATTGTTTCCTTTGCTGTCCTGAAGCTTTTTAGTTTGATGTAATCCTGTGTGTCTGTTTTTGCTTTTGTTGCCTGTACTTTTGTGGTTATATACAAAAAAAAAAGTCATTGTACAGATCAATGTCATGGAGCTTTTTCATCTGTTTTTTTTTTCTAGTAGTTTCATAGTTTCAGGTCTTATGTTTAAGTCTTTAATCTATTTTGAATTATTTTTTGTTTACAATGTGAGATGAGGGACTAATTTCATTCTTATGCGTGTGGATGTCTAGTTTCCTCAGCACCATTTATTGAAGAATCTTTTCCCCATTGTGTGTTATTGGTATCTTTATCAAAAATTTGTTGACCATAAATGTGTGGGTTTATTACAGAGTTCTGTGTTCTGTTCCATTGGTCTGTGTATCAGTTTTTGCACTAGTGCCATACTGTCTTGATTACTATAGATTTGTATTGGATTTTGAAATCAGACTATGTGACAGCTCCATCTTTGTTATTTCTGTTAAAGATTGCTTTGGCTATTTGGGGTCTTTTGTGGTTCCATACGAACTTTAGCATTATTTATTCTATTATTTGAAAAAAGTCATTGGTATTGTGATAAGGATTGCATTGAGTTTGTAGATCACTTTGGGTAGAATGGACATTTTAACAATATTAATTCCTTCAATTCATGAACATGATACGTCTTTCCATTTCTTTGTGTCTTCTTAAATTTCTTTTAGTATTGTTTTATACTTTTAAATATACAAATATTTTATCTCTTTAGCTAAATTTATTTCCAAGTTTTTTTAAATAGTTGTTGTAAGTGACATTTTTTGCTTGATTTCTTTTTCAGATAGTTTGTTGTTAGCATATAGAAACACACCTGATATTTGCATGTTTATTTTGTATCCTGCAACTTTACTGAATTTGTTTATTCTAACAGTTTTTGGTGGAATTTTTAGAGTTCTGTCTATATAAGATCATATATATTTTTCAAACAATTAGTGAACAATTTAACTTCATTTTCAATTTGGATGCTTTTTATTTCTTTCTCTTGACTAACTACCGTGACTAGCACTTCCAGAACTGTGTAGATTAGAAATGATGAGAGTACACACCCTTGTCTTGTTCCTAATCTTAAAAAAAAAGATTTCAGCTTTTCACTTTTGTGTATGACATTAGCTATAGGATTGTCATATATGGCTTTTAATGTATTAAGTTACATTCCTTCTATACCTAATTCGTTGAGAGCTTTTTTTTAATCATGAAAGGAGGCTGAGTTTTTTCAAATGCCTTTTCTGCATCTATTGAGATGATCATATAGTCTTGCTTCATTCATTCACTCTATTCCCACTCTCATTGTTGAAAAGCTATAGAGTCTCACACCTTTTGTTTTGCTTTGTTTTCATTTTTTGTTTGTTTGTTTTCTTTTAACTTTTAGGTTCAGGAGTATATGGGCAGGTTTGTTATATAGGTATACTCATGTCATGAGGGTTTGGTGTACAGATTATGTCATCACCCAGGTATTAAGCATAGTGTCTGAAAGGTATTTTTTCTGATCCTCTCACTTCTCCCATCTTCCACCCTCAAGCAGGCCCTAGCATCTGTTATTCCCCTCTTTGTGACCATGTGTTCTTTTTATTTAGCTCCTGCTTATAAGTGAGAACATGAGGCATTTGGTTTTCTGTTCCTGCTTTAGTTTCTTAAGGATAAAGGTCTCCAGTGCCTTCCATGTTGCTGCAAAGAACATGATCTCATTCTTTCTTTATGGCTGTGTAGTATTCCATGGTGTATAGGTACCTAATTTTTTTATTCAGTCTACTGTTGATGGGCATTTTGGTTTATTCCATGACTTTGGTATTGTGAATAGTGCTGCAGTGAACATAGGTGTGCATATGTCTTTATGGTAAAACAATTTATATTCATTTGGTTATATATTCAATAGTAGGATTGTTGGGTTGATGGGTACTCTGTTTTTAGTTCTTTGAGGAATCACCACACTGCTTTCCACAATGGCTGAACTAATTTACACTCTGACCAGCAGTGTGTAAGTGTTCTCTTTTCTCTGCAACCTTGCCAGTGTCTGTTTTTTTAATTTTTTTTTTAATAATAGCCATTCTGACCGGTTTGAGATGATATCTCCTTTTGGTTTTGATTTGCATTTCTCTAATGATTGGTGACGTTGAACATTTTGTCATATGCTTGTTGGCCACATGTGTGACTTCTTTTGAAAAGTGGCTGTTTATGTCCTTTGCCTACTTTTTAAGGGGGTTTGTTTGTTTATTTGCTTGTAAATTTGTTTAAGTTCCTTATAGATTGTGGACATCAGACCTTTGCCAGATGCATAGTCTGTAAATACTTTCTTCCATTCTGTAGGTTTTCTGTTTTCTCTGTTGATAGTTTATTTTGCTGTGCAGAAGCTCTTAGGTTTAATTAGATCCCATTTGTCAGTTTTTGCGTTTGTTACAATTGCTTTTAGGGTCTTTGTCATGAAATCTTTGACAGTTCCCTTGTCCAGAAAGGTGTTTACTAAGTTATCTTCCAAAGTTTTTATAGATTTAGGTTTTACATTTAAGTCTTTAATCCATCTTCTGTTGATTTTTGTATATGGTACAAGGAAGGAGTCTGATTCCAATCTTCTGCATATGGCTACTCTGCCTAAAAGCTCCTTGAGCTGATAAACAACTTCAGCAAAGTTTCAGGACACAAAATCAATGTACAAAAATCAGTAGCCTTCCTGTACACCAATAGCATCCAATAGCACCAAAGTAGAGAGCTAAATCAGGAACCCAATCCCATACAAAAAAATAAAATACCTAGAAATACAGCTAACCATGGACATGAAAGAGCTCTATAATGAGAAGTATAAAAACACTGCTCAAATAAATCAGAGATGACTCAAAAAAAATGGAAAAACATGCCATATTCATGAGTAGGAAGAAGTAATATAGTTAAAATGGCGATACTGCTCAAAGCAATTTACAGATTCAATGCTGCTCCTATCAAACTATTTATAACATTCTTCACAGAACTAAACTATTTAAAAATGTATATAGAACCAAAAAAGACCCCGAATAGCCAAGGCAATCCTAAGCAAAAAGAAGAAAGCTGGAGACATCACGTTACCTGACTTCAAACTATACCACAGGGCTACAGTAGCCAAAACAGCATGGTACTGGTACAAAAACAGACACATAGACCAATGGAATGAAATAGAGAGCCCAGAAATAATTCCACACACTTACGACCATCTGATCTTCGACAAAGCTGACAAAAGCAAGCGATGGGGAATAATGTTCAGTATTGTGCTGGTCTCATACCTTTGTCCCCTCTGAAAGTTCACAGTTGGCATAGCCAGACCATTATGTTGAACCCTGTTTTTCTTTGGAGGTGCCTGTCCTAGGTCTCTGGTGGGTTTAATTAAAACCAAGTAATTTAATGTGGATTTCTTTTATGATGTGACTTTTCTCTTTAGAATTTGTTTTTGCCTCTATTGTGTCTGTTCCACTTGATCTCTAAATTACCTCCTTTGTTGTTTTAAATCATGCAGAGTGTGGCCCATCAGAAAATACAAATGAAACCATGGAGATGAGGAAAATTTATAGTCTGTATACTGAAATAGGTCATCATTATTTTTTATGCTACAAATAAGATTTGAGTCAAATAAATACTAATTTAGAAAATATTCAATTGCACACAGTAATCAAAGACATAAAATCCATAAAATATCTTTTGTTTCATTGGTAGAAAAATTAGCAGAAAAACTTATAAAACTGCTGGTGATTATGCAATGAAGTAATACTCTACGAAATATCTGGGGACAATGCAAATCAGAACATACCATAAGCAGAGTCATTTAACTGGATATTTGGGAGTCTAGTTTTCACTTGTGTTTGTCTTCACATATAAGCATATGCATTATGGATCACAGTCTTGATACCCCTCATCCTAGTAGCTTCAAAAAGTAATTCCAAAGAAATTATCCAAAGTACATAAAATTATGTAAATTTTAAAATGTAGTATGATATTATTTATTTATGGTTTTTCTCTTTAAAGCCTGCTAGATTCATTGAAGACCCTGGCCCAGCATAACATATGAAAAAACATATAAAAGGGACACTGTAGTCATGCTCTTGCATTTTCATGATCTCTTACTAGAACTGACTTACTCTGTTTATAATAGCCAAAACAAAAAGAAAGAAAGAAAAAGAAATAACTTAAATCTCCAGCATGAGAAGAATGGCCAAATAAATTGTGGTATACTTCCAAAAAGGAATACTATGGAACAACTAAAGGAATAAACTACAACTAGATACAATACACTTCAAAATCTTCATATTCATAATATTCAACTGAAAAAGGAAGTTGCAGAAGGACCTACATAATATTATAGAAAGTTTCAAAATATGTAAAATAATACAGCATATTGTTTCTGGTTATATACTTGTCATAATAGTACTTTTTAAAAACAAATGGGATACCTAATACCAATAATGGTCATCTGTGGGGACTGGGAGGAACATGATTAAGGAGGTCACACCGGGGCTTAAACTGTATTTGTAATGTTTAGGGGATACGTTAAGTATTTATCTGATGATTCTGTATTTTTCTGTATGGCTGAAATATTTTGTTATTTCAAAAAAGAAGGATGATTCACTAAATAATTTGATCATAGTGTTTTTAAAACATCATCCTGTATTTTGAAACAGATTATAAATAACAGATATAAAATTTATGTAATTCACTAAATGTAGAGTACTTTGAATCTTTTAAAGAAGACACTAAAATATTAATTTTAAAATCCATATTTTCAAAATTGACCTAGAGTTTATATTCATAAATCTCAGTATTTTCTAAGAAAACAAAATGCATCCCCTTAATTATTTTTTTCAGGTAATCTTTTTGTTTTAAATAACCTTCCCCTCCCCTCCCCTTCCCTCTCCTCTTTTTTGAGGCGGAGTCTCTCTCTGTCCCCCAGGCTGGAGTGCAGTGGCACTGCTCACTGCAAGCTCTGCCTCCCGGGTTTATGCCATTCTCCTGCCTCAGCCTTCTGAGTAGCTGGGACTACAGGCGCCTGCCACCACGCCCAGCTAATTTTTTTGCATTTTTAGTAGAGATTGGGTTTCACCGTGTTAGCCAGGATGGTCTCGATCTCCTGACCTTGTGATCTGCCCGCCTCGGCCTCCCAAAGTGCTGGTATTACAGGCGTGAGCCACCGCTCCTGGCCATAATTATTTTCACTTTATATGTGTTAAATCATAAAGCAGTAAACACTGGTTTCTAGATACAGTGGGGATTATTGTTCACATTTTATTTTTAAGAATTTTTTAATTTGGAAGGAAGTTTTTGAAATTTATTCTCTGTGGAATATTGTATTCTGCAATATTGTAGAATATTGTTTCTCACTTTACTTAAAATTTTGAATATTGTTTGATGTCAATTTAGAAAAGAAGTAATTCTTGACTAAATAACTGGGCTTTGTGAATTTTAGCTTAGTGTTACAGCTACCATGACTGATGGTGACGGAGCTATTATATAAGATGATTGCCATCAGATGCTTTAATTCCAAGATTATTTGAATGGAAGGGTATTATGATGAGGAGAACCTTAGGGAAATTCCTAATTGAAAAAGAAGTAATTTTAAGTTTTGTTGAAATTTTATTTTAATTTATGTTAGATGCATTAACTTTATGATTTACACTCTTGTGTTTCAGGGAAAGGTGGCCCAGACAGCGTGTATGTCAGCTTGCAAGCATTTAGCCACATCCTTGATGCAACTTTTGTTGGAAGCTGAAGTGCGGCAGCTCACCTTGGGAGCATTACAGCAGTTCAACTTGGACGTCAGAGAATGTGAACGTAAGACAGTGACCATCCCTGTGCTTGTTTATCTTACCAGCAAACTCATTTCTGTCAGGGGAAAAAAAGTTTTAGGTGTTTAGGGTCCTTGTTCCTAATGCAGTCAAAGAATACCTAGATAACAGAGATAACTTATAGAACATCTAGAAATAGAGTTTATCAGCAAGCTAATTTGAACTCCCAGAAGTGCTTAGACTCATATTTAAAACAGAAGATCTCTAGCTACAAGGAAGTTTGTAATCTATGGGGTGATATAAGGGAGGCGTGCATTTAATAGACACTAAAGAAAACCTGATTGGTCCAAAGGCTTCAAAAGAATGCAGCTTCTAACTACTTTCTTCTAATATTCTATTTAAAAACTAGCTACATCTTATATGCAAACTATTGTTAGTTTAAAGAACAAATGGTATGTGCATTAATTAGTCAGAAATGCTTTCTATTATAAGAAATACAAAACTTAAAGAGTGGCTTAAACAAATAAATTTTATTTTTCTCAAAGGCAGTCAGTTGCTGTATTGGTTTAGTTGCTCAGTGATGTCATTATGGACCCAGGCTCTTTTGTTTCTCCTCCTTTGGTATAATTAGAGTGTGAACTCTTCATTCTCATGTATATTACAGTCAGAAGAGACCCACATTCAAGACAGGAAATGGAACAGCCTTCACCTATTCCTTTTATTAAGAAAATAAGAACCTTTTGAGGAGATCCCTGACAAACTTTCCTGTATGTCTCATTGAATAAAACACTGCCATATGATCACTTCCAGCTCTATGGGAGGCTGGGAGATTGAGTATCTGACAAAGTAAAATAGGAGCATCATTATTGGCATAGTTGACTCATCATAAATCATCTACTCGAAGTTGAATGCAAAATTAGGCTTTGGTTAGGAAAGAATGAAGAGCTGTTGGTGAGAAATGAAAATGAACAAGAAATGATGTGACTCTTGGAATTTTTTTTATTCTAAGAAAATTAAAATAATGGGAAATTACACGAGTCTGCTCACACCCTTGCCCCACATTTTTATTTTACTACTTATTAGTTTCCTTTGGTTGACTTTTGATGTATGGAAATTAAGGTTTTATTGGCAGTGCTATTTTTAATTTAAAAAGGCATTAATAGGACTTCTAGTTACAGCCATCACAGAGTAAAAGGTATCAAAGTTACCCTTTTGCCATAAACAATTGTAAATTGGATAAACTACATGAAGCAACCCTATTCATGCATTAGACAGAAGACATAAAAAGGCTGTGATCCTTCAAAGAAGGGGAAACACATAAGGTAATCTTGCCATTCTCCATTTTTCTGTCTGGGGACACTGTCTAAACAGTAACACAGGAAAGCAGAGCCCAAACAAAAAGCAGTGTTTTTACACAGAAAACACAAAAGCAAAATCCCAGAGACTGGCATATAGGGCTGATGTGACAGCTGGGATTGGTGGAGCAAGGTACCAGAGAGCAAGGAGTTGTTCAAAGAAGTAGTTCTATTAATCAGCACTGGAGAGACCTTGAGTCTTCGGTAAAAACATTTAGTAGCCATGTGCAGAGTGAAACTCTGTGAGGCTTGGCAGAGAACAGCCACTGGAGGTCTGTGAGATGAATAAGGGTGCCAAAGGTCACTGGAAACATACATGGAAACATTGGAATTCTGACCAACCAGAATGGAAGAGTCCAGCTAAACATCTTTTGCATTTAGTAAGACCGCAGAAGATGAGGTCTTAAGAGTGCTACTCAAAGCTCTAGAGGAGGAGCTCCTCTGTTTTTTTTTTCTTAATTGTATATGTTCATCATGTACATTTGTTGTTTTGAAATATGTATACTTCTGGAGTGGCTAAATTGAGCTAGTTAATATATATATTACTTCATATACTTTTTTAGGTGGTTAAAAAAACAAAGTCTCCTTTCTTAGCAATTTTCAAGATTTCAGTACATTGTTATTAACTAAAGTCACAACGTTGTATAATAGATCTCTTGCACGTATTTCTCCTAACTGAAATTTTGTATTATTTGACCAATATGACTCAACTTCTTTGAGTTCATTTGCAGCCACCATTCTGCTGTCTACTTCTATGAGTTCAACTTTTGTAGATTCCATGTATAGGTAAGATTATGCACTATTTGTCTTTCTGTGCCTTTTCTTACTAAACATTAGGTCCTCCAGGTTCATCCATGTTGTCACAAATGACAGGATTTCCATCTTTTTAAAGTCTGAATAATATTCCATATTTTATTGTCTATTTATATTACATTTTCTTTATGCATTCCTCCATTGATATACACTTAGATTGATTCCATATCTTGGCTATTGCGATAATGCTACAATGAACATAGGAGTGCAGATATCTTTTTGACAAACTGATTTCATCTCCTCTGGATATATACTCAGTAGTGGGATTACTGAATCATATGGTAGTTGTATACGTTAAAACTACTTGAGGAATTCCCATACTGTTTCTCTTAATGGCTGTACTAATTTACATTTCCACCAATAATGCACAAGGATTTCCTTTTTTTCACATCCTTTTCAACACTTGTTATTTCTTGTCTTTTTGATAGTAGCTATTCTATTAGGTATGAATTGATGTGTCATTATGGTTTTAATTTGCCTTTCCCTGATAATTAGTGATTCCAAGCATCTTTTCATATTCCTGTTGGCCATATGCATATCTTCTTTTGAGAAATGTCCATTCAGGTCCTTTACCCATTTTTTAATCGAGTTATTTTTCTTGCTGTTTAGTTTGAGTTTTTGACATATTTTGGATATTAACCCCAAGAGCTACTCTTCACCCTAACAATTTCACAAGATAAAGTGACTCTGCCGATAAAAAAAAAAATGCCTTCTAACAAAACTCAATAGCCTTTGAAGGATGAGGAAGAAAAAAACAATTCCACGCTCTCAAGCACATAGCATACACAGTTTTACAGCAAAAAGCTAAAATTTGACATGCAGAGAAGCAAGAAAATGTTACCCATAAAAGAAGAAAAGATAGACAATAGAAATAGATCCACTGATGACACATACGTTGGAAATTGCAGACAGGGGCTTTAAATAATTTAATATAGTCAGTAATTTAAAAGATAAGATGGACCTAATACATAACTGGGTTCAAAGTTTCTCAGGTTTGAGAAAAAGTATTAACACACGAATTTAAATAGCTCAAAAAACTTTATCAAGATAAATACAAAGAAAGCTACACTGAGGCACATTGTTATCAGATTGCTAAATAAACAATAATAAAGAGAAAAATTTTAAAGCAGCCAAAGACGAAAAGGTATAGTACATAATGAAGAACAGTGATAAGAGCTACAGCCAACTTATCAGAAACAGAGCAAACCAGAAGGCAGTAGAATATCTGTAAAGTCCTGAAAGAAAAACAGAACAAAACCTGTCAATGAAAACTCTATGTCTTGTGAAAATATCCTTCAAAAATAAACGGAAAATAAAGACATTTTCAGATAAACAGAAGCTGAGAGAATTTGTCACCAGATTTGCACCACAGAAATGTAAAAGGTAGTTTTTCAGGTTAAATGGAAATGATAGTATATGTCAACCCAGATCTATAATATAGATTACATTGTTCAAAGATGTCTACAACAATATCTTCCTTAACACATTTTTTTTTTCTAGAACCTTGAGACTACTTCATTAAGAAATGGCATCTAATTCGCCTCCCCTTGAATCTGGGCAAGCTTGTGAGTTGATTGTAACCAACAGAATGTGGCAGAAGTGGCCCTTTGTGACTCTGAGGCTAGGCTGTAAAGGATGGTGCTGCTTCCATCTTGGTTGGCTGTTGTGTAAAAAGTCCAGCTACGCTGAGGCTTCCAAGCTTGAAGAAACTTAAGCAAGCTCATGTGGAGAGACCACATGAAGAAGGCTTGAGCCTATGTTAACAGATGCCTAGCTAATTTCTAGCTTTCTCATTTCCACCTTTACTGTTTTTTTCTTCTGCTTACTTTTTGTTTATTTGCTCTTCTTTTGTTAGTTCTTTTGGGTAGAAACTTAGATAATTTATTTGAGATTATCTTCTTTTCTAATATGAGCATTTTAGTATTAGAAATTATTGTCTAAGTACTACTCCAGCCACAGTATACAAATTTTGATATGTCATGTTTTAATTTTTATTCATTTCAGTATTTTCAAATTACTTTTGTGTTTTCTTTTACTTGTGGGTTATTTGGAAATGTGTTGTTTACTTCCCAAATATTTAGAAAATTTTTAGATACATTAATACTTCTGTTTTAGGTTTTTAATTTACTTTCATTTTGATCAGAGAGCATACTTTATATAATTTCAGTTCTTCTAAATTTGTTGAGACTTGTTTTATGACCCAGTATATGGTCTAGTCAAATGTTCCATTTGCACTTAGAAAGAATGTGTTTTCTGCTGTTACTGTGTGGAGTAGCCTATAGACATCACATGGGTAAAGTTGATTGACAGTGTTATTCAAATCTCCTGTATTCCTACTGATTTTTTTATACTTGTTTTATCAATTACTGAGAGGAGTTGAAATCTCCAGTTATATTTATCAATATCAATCCTGTCAGTTTCCATTTTATCAGGTTAATGCATTTTGAAGCTCTGTTATTGGGTGCATACTACTTAGAACTGATATGTCCCTATGATGCACTGATTATTATTATGATGAAATGACCCTCTTTATCCCTAGTAATATGTCTTATTTGAAAAAAAATCTACTTTTTGTGATACTGGTATTGACCCACTCAACTTCCTTATGACCTTGTGTTTGCATAAGTATATTCTTTTCTATCTTTCTCTTTTAATTTTTTAAAAAAATATGAAGTTGTACACAGCTTATAGTCAGGTTTTGCTTTTTTATTCAGTGTGACAATCTTTTATTTTTAATTGGGTTGGTTAGGTGATTTATAATGAATGTAATTTTTTAAATTTTGTAGGTATCTAGTAGGCATATGTATTTATGGAGTACATGAGATATTTTGATTCAGGCATGCAATGTGTAATAATCACATCATGAAAAATGGAATATCTGTCTCCTTAAGCATTTATCATTTGTGTTACAATCTAATCATACTCTTAGTTATTTTAAAATGTACCATTAAATTATTTTGACTATTGCCACCCTGTTGTGCTAATACTAGGTCTTATTCATTTTTCTAACTATTTTGTACTCATTAACCATCCCCACCTTCCCTCTCAACACTGTGCTTCCCAGCCTCTGATAACCATCCTTCTACTCTCTAGCTTCATGAGTTTAATTGTTTTGATTTTTAGATCCTACATATAAGTGAGAACATGCAATGTTTGTCTTTCTGTGCCTGGTTTAACACTTATCATAATTGCCTCCAGCTCATTAAAATAACAGGATCACTGTTACAAATGACAGGATTTCATTCTTTTTTTGTGGCTGAATAGTACTCCATTGTGTGTAAGTACCACAGTTTCTCTCTCCATATATCTGTTGATGGACAATTAGGTTGCTTCCAAATCTTGGCTATCGTGAATGGTGCTGCAACAAATATGAGAGTGCAGATATAAAATCTCTTTGATGTACTGATTTTCTTTCATTTGAATAAATACCTAGCAGTGGGATTGCTGGATCTGGATCTTATGATATCTCTATTTTTACTTTTTTCAGGAACTTCCAAATTATTCTCCATAGTGGATTTAAAAAAAAATTTTTTTTTTGAGACAGGGTCTCACTCTGGAGGCGCAGGCTATACAGTGGCATGACTTGGCTTACTGCAATGTTTGCCTCCCAGGCTTAACTACCATGCCTGGCTAATTTTTGTATTTTTTAGCAGAGATGGAGTTTCACCATGTTGCCCAGGTTGGTCTCGAACTCCAGACCCGTGATCCACCCACCTCGGCCTTCCAAAGTATTGGGATTATAGGCGTGAGCCACCACACCGTCTCCATAGTGGTTATACTAATTCACATTCACAACAACAGTATATGAAGGTTTCCTTTTCTCCACATCCTTTCCAGCATTTGTTATTGCCTGTGTTTTGGATAAAAGACATTTTAACTAGAGTTAAGTGCTATGTCATTGTAGTTTTGATTTACATTTCTCTAATGATCGATTATGTTGAGCACCTTTTCATATACCTGTTTGCCATTTGTATGTGTTCTTTTGAGTAATAGTTATTCAATTCTTTTGCTCATTTTTAAATTGGATTATTAGTTTTTTCCTATAAAGTATTTTGTCTCCTTATATATTTGGGTTATTAATTCCCAGATGGATAGTATGCAAATATTTTCTACTACTCTGTGGGTTGTCTCTTCACTTTGTTGATTATTTCCTTTGCTGTGCATAAACTTTTTAACTTGTTGTGATCCTATTTGTCCATTTTTGTTTTGGTTGCCTGTGCTTATGCGGTATTAATTAAGAAATGTCTGCCCAGGCCAGGCACGGTGGCTCATGCCTATAATCCTAGCACTTTGGGAGGCTGAGGTGGGTGGATCACTTGAGGTCAGGAGTTCCAGACCAGTCAGGCCAATATGGTGAAACCCCTTCTCTACTAAAAACACAAAAATTAGCTGGCCATGTAATCCCAGCTACTCGAGAGGCTGAGGCAGGAGAATTGCTTGAACCCGGGAGGTGGAGGTTGCAGTGAGCTGAGACTGCGTGCGCCATTGCACTCCAGCCTGGGCATTGCAGCGAGACTCCATCTCAAAAAAAAAAAAAAAAAAGTCTTCCGAGACTGATATCCTGAAGAGTTTCCTCAATGTTTTCTTGTAGTCCTTTCATAGTTTGAAGTCTTAGATTTTAAAGTCTTTAATTCATTTTGATTTGCTTTTTGTATATGGCAAGAGATAGGGGTCTAGTTTCATTATTTTGCATATGGATTTCTAGTTTTCCCACCATAATTTATTGAAGAGACTGTCTTTTTCCCAGTGTGTGTTCCTTTTTTGAGACAGAGTCTTGCTCTGTCACCCAGGCTGGAGTGCAATGGTGCAGTCTTGGCTCACTGCAATTCTGCCTCCCAGGTTCAAGCAATTCTCCTGCCTCAGCCTCCAGATTAGCTGGGACTACAGGTGTGTGCCACCATACCCGCCTATCTTTTTGTATTTTTAGTAGAGACAGCGTTTCACCATGTTAGCCAGGATGGTCTCGATCTCCTGACCTCATGATCCTCCCACCTCGGCCTCCCAAAGTGCTGGGATTACAGGTGTGAGCCACCACGCCCAGTCAGTGTGTGTTCTTGACACCTTTCTCTAAAAGGAATTTACTATAGGTATGTGAATTCTTTTCTGGGTTCTCTATTCTGTTCCATTGGTCTGTGTGTCGGATTTAATGCCAGTACCATGCTGTTGTTATTACTATAGCTCTGTAGTATGATTTGAAGTTAGGTAATATGATTTCTCCAGTTCTGTTCTTTTTGCTCAGGATAGCTTTGGCCATTCTAGGTCTTTTGTGTTTCCATATAAATTTTCTGATTGTTTTTTCTATTTCTGTAAAAATGTCATTGGTACTTTGATGGGAATTGCATTGAACCTATAGATTGCTTTGGGTAATATGGGCATTTTAACAATATTGTGTCTTCCAATCCATGACCATGCAATGTCTTTGCATTTTTTTGTGTGTGTCTTCTTTAATTTCTTTCATCAGTATTTTATAGTTTGTAAGATCCTTTACTTCTTTGGCTAAGTAAATTCCTAGGTATTTACTTTTATTTGTGGCTATTATAAAGGGGATTACTTTTTGATTTCTTCTTCAGATTGTTCACTGTTGGCATATAGAAATGCCACTGATTTTTGTGTGCTGATTCTGTATTCTGCAACTTTACTGAATTTATCAATTCTTATCATTTTTTTGGTGGAGGCTTTAGGTTTTTCTAAATATAATATCATCTGCAAACAATGATAATTTGACCTCTTCCTTTTCGAGTTGGATGACCCTTTTTTCTTTTTCTTGTTTAATTGCTCTATAGGACTTTCAGTACTATGTTGAAAAACAATGCTGAAAGTAGGCATCCTAGTTGTGTTTCACTTCTTAGAGAAAAAGCTTTTGGTTTTTCTCCATTCAGTATGATACTAGCTATGGATCTGTCATACATGCCTTTTATTTTGTTGAGGTAATGTTAATACCCAGATTTTTTAGGATTTTTACCATGAAGGGATGTTGAATTTTATCAGATGCTTTTCAGCATCAGTTGGAATGATCATATGGTTCTTGTCCTCCATTCTCTTCATATGTTGTATCACATTGATTGACTTGTGTATGTTGAACCATCCTTGCATCCCGGGGATAAATCCCACTTGGTCATGATGAATGACATTTTTAATGTATTGTTGAATTCAGTTTGCTAGTATTTTGTTGAGAATTTTTATGTCAATATTCATCAGAGATGTTGGCATGTAGTTTTCTTTTTCGATGTGTCTTTGATTTTAGTATCAGGGTAATACTGATCTTGTAGAATGAGTTTGGAAGTATTCCTTCCTCAATTTTTCAGAACAGTTTGAGTAGGATTAGTATTAGTTCTTCTTTAGATGTTTGATAGAACTCGCAGTGAACTGGGTCCTGGGCTTCTCTTTACTGGGAGACTTTTTATTATGGTTTCAATCTTGTTACTTGTTATTGATTTGTGTTCTAGGGCCTGAAATGGGGACCTCATGACTCTGCCTGGTGCCCTATCCTACTGTGGCTGAACTGGTATCCAAGACACATGACAGAGTCCTCTTTATTCTGTTCTTCTTTTTTTTTTGGAGGAGGAGTTTTGTGTCCTCTAATTCATCTTTTATATATATATATTTTTATTATACTTTAAGTTCTAGGGTACATGTGCACAATGTGCAGGTTTGTTACATATATATACATGTGCCATGTTGGTGTGCTGCACCCATTAACTTGTCATTTACATTAGGCATATCCCTCCCCCCTCCCATCACCCCACAACAGGCCCCAGTGTGTGATGTTCCCCTTCTTGTGTCCAAGTGTTCTCACTGTTCAATTCCCACCTATGAGTGAGAACATGCGGTGTTTGGTTTTTTGTCCTTGTGATAATTTGCTGAGAATGATGGTTTCCAGCTTCATCCATGTCCCTACAAAGGACATGAACTCATCATATTTTATGGCTGAATAGTATTCCATGGTGTATATGTGCCAACTTTTCTTGATCCAGCCTATCATTGTCGGACATTTGGGTTGATTCCAAGTCTTTGCCATTGTGAGTAGTGCCGCAATAAACATACATGTGCATGTGTCTTTATAGCAGCATGATTTATATTCCTTTGGGTATATACCCAGCAATGGGATGGCTGGGTCAAATGGTATTTCTAGTTTTAGATCCCTGAGGAATCACCACACTGTCTTCCACAATGGTTGAACCGGTTTACAGTCCCACCAACAGTGTAAAAGTGTTCCTATTTCTCCACATCCTCTCCAGCACCTGTTGTTTCCTGACTTTTTAATGATCGCCATTCTAACTGGTGTGAGATGGTATCTCATTGTGGTTTTGATTTGTATTTCTCTGATGGCTAGTGATGATGAGCATTTTTTCATGTGTCTTTTGGCTGCATCAATGTCTTCTTTTGAGAAGTGTCTGTTCATATCCTTCGCCCACTTTTTGAAGGGGTTGTTTGTTTTTTTCTTGTAAATTTGTTTGAGTTCTTTGTGGATTCTGGATATTAGCCCTTTGTCAGATGAGTAGATTACAAAAATTGTTTCCCATTCTGTAGGTTGCCTGTTCACTCTGATGTTAGTTCCTTTTGCTGTGCAGAAGCTCTTTAGTTTAATGAGATCCCATTTGTCAGTTTTGGCTTTTGTTGCCATCGCTTTTGGTGTTTCAGACATGAAGTCCTTGCCCATGCCTATGTCCTGAATGGTATTGCCTAGGTTTTCTTCTAGGGTTTTTATGGTTTTAGGTCTAACATTTAAGTCTTTAATCTATTTGAATTAATTTTTGTATAAGGTGTAAGGAAGGGATCCAGTTTCAGCTTTCTACATACGGCTAGCCAGTTTTCCCAGCACCATTTGTTAAATAGGGAATCCTTTCCCCATTTCTTGCTTTTGTCAGGTTTGTCAAAGATCAGATAGTTGTAGATGTGTAGTATTATTTCTGAGGGCTCTGTTCTGTTCCATTGGTCTATATCTCTGTTTTGGTACCAGTACCATGCTGTTTTGGTTACTATAGCCTTGTAGTATGGTTTGAAGTCAGGTAGCATGATGCCTCCAACTTTGTTCTTTTGGCTTAGGAGTGACTTGGCAATGCGGGCTCTTTTTTGCTTCCATATGAACTTTGAAGTAGTTTTTTCCAATTCTGTGAAGCAAGTCATTGGTAGCTTGATGGGGATGGCATTGAATCTATAAATTACCTTGGGCAGTATGGCCATTTTCACGATATTGATTCTTCCTACCCATGAGCACGAAATGTTCTTCCATTTCTTTGTATCCTCTTTTATTTCGTTGAGCAGTGGTTTGTAGTTCTCCTTGAAGAGGTCCTTCACATCCCTTGTAAGTTGGATTCCTAGGTATTTTATTCTGTTTGAAGCAATTGTGAATGGGAGTTCACTCATGATTTGGCTCTCTGTCTGTTATTGGTATATAAGAATGCTTGTGATTTTTGCACATTGATTTTGTATCCTGAGACTTTGCTGAAGTTGCTTATCAGCTTGAGGAGATTTTGGGCTGAGACAGTGGGGTTTTCTAGATATACAATCATGTCATCTGCAAACAGAGACAATTTGACTACCTCTTTTCCTAATTGAATACCCTTTAATTCATTCTCCTGCCTAACTGCCCTGGCCAGAACTTCCAACACTGTGTTGAATAGGAGTGGTGAAAGTGGGCATCCCTGTCTTGTGCCAGTTTTCAAAGGGAATGCTTCCAGTTTTTGCCCATTCAGTATGATATTGGCTGTGGGTTTGTCATAGATAGCTCTTATTATTTTGAGATATGTCCCATCAATGCCTAATTTATTGAGAGTTTTTAGCATGAAGGGCTGTTGAATTTTTTCAAAGGCCTTTTCTGCATCTATTGAGATAATCATGTGGTTTTTGTCATTGGTTCTGTTTATATGCTGGATTATGTTTATTGATTTGCATTTGTTGGACCAGCCTTGCATCCCAGGGATGAAGCCCACTTGATTGTGGTAGATAAGCTTTTTGATGTGCTGCTGGATTTGGTTTGCCAGTATTTTATTGAGGATTTTTGCATCGATGTTCATCAGGGATATTGGTCTAAAATTCTCTTTTTTTGTTGTGTCTCTGCCAGGCTTTAGTATCAGGATGATGCTGGCCTCATAAAATGAGTTAGGGAGGATTCCCTCTTTTTCTATTGATTGGAATAGTTTCAGAAGGAATGGTACCAGCTCCTCCTTGTACCTCTGGTAGAATTTGGCTGTGAATCCCTCTGGTCCTGGACTTTTTTTGGCTGGTAAGCTATTAATTATTGCCTCAATTTCAGAGCCTGTTATTGGTCTATTCAGAGATTCAACTTCTTCCTGGTTTAGTCTTGGGAGTGTGTATGTGTCGAGGAATTTATCCATTTCTTCTAGATTTTCTAGTTTATCTGCGTAGAGGTGTTTATAGTATTCTCTGATGGTAGTTTGTATTTCTGTGGGATCAGTGGTGATATCCCCTGTATCATTATTCTGTTCTTCTTAAGCAGAAGGAAGGACTCATTTTCTAGCTATGAGCTGCACTGCCTGGGATTGGCAGAGAGGTGGTGCAAGCATTCCCTTAGCTGCCCTGGCTGGGTTACTGTCCAAGTCACATACCACCCTAATCCTCTGGCTCTGAGCCCAGCCCAACACTAAGAGTTGCCTAAGAGTTCCATTCCTTGTGTTCTAGACTGTCTTTCAAGTTTACTCAAGACCGCAGAGCATGTTGGCCTGTGGCAATGAGGCTTGCTGAGAGCTCAAGTTCTGACCTCTAGAATGGATGATTCTCCTTTGGCTAGGGCTGGTCCAAATGTTCCCTCCATGTGTGGGTTCTGAGTGAGCCCAGCCAGCACAATTTTTTCTCCACTATGACAGGGCAGCACTGAGTTCAATGTAAAGTCCCCCAGTTGCTGCACTCTCCCTCTCCCAAGTGCACAAACTCTCCAGGCCGTTCAACCACTGCCAGGGGATGGGGGAGGGGTGGCGTCAGCAATACAAGATTGTCTTTCTGCCCATCTTCAATGTCTCTTTTAGCGATATGATGTAAAAATCTAGGTAGCGTGATTGCTCACCTGATTTTTGGTTCTTGTGCCAGTGGTTTTCTGTCTGCAGATAGTTGTTAAAATTTGGTGTTCCTGCAGGGGTGGGGTTGGGGAGGGAGGAATCAGACAAATGATGTAATCATATATTCTACCATCTTATTCCACCTCCTGAATGTAATTTTCAGTATGATTGGGCTTAAATCTACCATCTTGCTATTCATTTTATATTTCCTTTTTCATACTTTGTTCATTTTTCTTCTTTCATTGCTTTTTTTTAGATTAATCAGTGTTTTTTTATGTGATCTATAGTTTATTAGCTCAGACTCTGTTGTATATTTTAGTTATTGTTCCTGGATTTACAATATACATCTTTAACACAGAATACCTTAAAATAATATTATGCCATTTTGCATTAATGTAAGAATCTTACAAAAGTATTGTTTTTCTTCTATGTTTTGTCCTTTGTTTGTGCTATTGTTGTTATACATATTACTTCTACATAGTCTATAAACCCCACAATACATTATTACTGCATCTTTGCTTTAAACACTCATTTATTTTATAAAATGTCTAGAAATGATTCATATATATTTCATAATTACCCATGTGTTTACTGTATTCTGCATTCTTCATGTCTTTGTGCAGATTCAGATTTCTATCTGATATCATTTTTATTCTACTGAGGAGCTTCCTTCAATGTACACTATAGCGCAATTCCACTTATATTAAATTCTCTAAACTTTTTTTTTTTCTGGTAAAATCTTCAGAAAGATGTTTTCACTGTATAATGAATTCTAGGTTAATAGGGTTTTTTTTTTCTTTCAACACTTTAAAGAGTTCCAACTATTTTCTTTTGATTGATATAGTTTCTGATGATAAGCTTTTTGTTATCTTTGTTCCTTTGTACAAATTATGTCTCATTTTCTCTACTTTTTTGAGATTTTCTTCACTAGTTCTCAGCAATTTCATTAGGCTGTGTCTTTTCTGTGGGATTCTTTATGTTAATTCTGCTTAGAATTCATTGAGTTTGGACATGCAAGTTTATACCTTTTATTAAATTTGAGAAGGCTTTGGCTATTATTTCTTTGAATATCTTTTCTATCTCTCCTTTGTGTCTGAAACTTCCTTTACATATATTTTAGACCACTTCACATTGTCCTGTGGTTACCGATACTCTGTTTATTTTCTTTTCAATCTTCTTTTCTTCTTTATGCACTTCATTTTGGATGCTTTCTATTGATGTCTTTGAGTTCTTTGAACTTTGCTTTTGCAGTATCTAATCTGCTGTTTATCTATTTCAATGTATTTGTCATTTGAGGTGTTTTTTTTTTTACTTTTATATGAACTCCATTTTGTTCTTTTTGATATCTTCCATTGCTTTCTTCATAATATTCCTGTTCCTCTACCTTGTTAACATATGGAACATTCTTATAATAGCTATGTAACAGTCCTGTTCTACCAGTTCCATCATGCGTATATTTTCCAGGTTATTGATATTGTTCACCTGATTATAGGTCATATTGTCCTGTTTCTTTGCATCCTGGTCATTGTTTACTGGATTCGTGAAATTTTACATTTCATATTGTTGGATGCTGTGTTGTATTCCTTTAAATAATATTATATTTTGTTTGCACATGGATTTTAGTTATTTGCAATTGGATTCATTCAAGACTTGCTCTTAAGTATCTAGTGGGTCCATAGCAGCTTTTTGTCTAGGTCTAATTTGTCACCAGTTCTAAAGCAGTACCCTTGGGAGAATTCTGCATGATGCTTTGGATAGCTTGGAGGTCTTTAAACTCTGGCTGGTGGAAACACAAAGTATGGTCATCCCTGTAAGACTTTCACAGATTCTTTTCCTTTTCATTTCTAATGGTTCTTTCTCCAGCCTTTGGTAATTGCCTCCCCTACAAACACAAATTAGTACTCCACCAAATACCGAAAGGACCTTTCTGTAGTTTTCCTGGATGCTCTCTTTTGTAGCATCCTCCTTTCTGATACTCAGTCCTGTAAATACTTGTTGCCTTGAACTCCTGGGCTCTAGTCTCTGACTTTTCAACTCAGTAAGACAACCATGTTCTGTTTCAGTTCTCTCCCTTTGCCTGCTTTATAGCACATCCTGGAAGCTGCCTCTAGGCTAGCTTGCCTCGCTTGCTCTCCTGCTCTCAGTATCATTATGTCTGTGGGATCATAATTCTGCATTACCTCTTGTCCAGTATCTAAAACCGTTCTTTCAGACTCCTTGTACAGTTTTCCAGGTTTCCAGGATTTTTTTTTCACACTGGAAAGATTAGTGCTGTGCCTATTAGTTTATCATAACCAGTAGCAGAATCAAGTGAATACTTTTCAAGATTTTTAGGGGTTTTTTTTAATGAAAGTAATATCTATTCATTGTGGAAAATGGTGGGGAAAAAAGAAAAGTACAGGAAGAAAATAAAAACTACTCTAATCTTACCATTCATAAATAAGCACACTCCCATGCCTTTCACCTAGACATGATAATATATAACAGCAACAGAACTGTTTCTATAAGTTGCCCGCCACATTCCTTGCCTCTAATTAGCCAAAGTTGTTTCACATTCCTCTGTCTTAACCAATTATTTAGTAGGAGATTGAAAACATAATGATTGGCTAAACCAGTCAAAATTGATTCTTGAGATGAGAATGAAGTCATCCTTCTCTGAATTTTGAGGAAAAAATAGAAGCTCATTCTCTTATAAAGAAAAGGAAGGAAAGGGCTTTGGTGTAGGCAATCAACCAATACCACTGGTTAAATAACAAAGTCTGGTGAACTTTTGCGAATGATCAACTACAAGATTGGATTTTTGACAGAGATAAGAGATAAACAGGGATGAAGGATGATAAAGCTGAAATACATGCACATTCTGGAGGAGTGATGATGGACTGGGAGAAACACTGAAGAGTAAGAATAATACCCATCTTATGGCCTGATTTTGAATGAGCAGCTTCTTCTTGAGAGAACCGTAGGAGAATCTACATCCTTAATGCAGAGCCAGCTTTCAGTTAAGACTAAAAGAGCATTTAATGAAAAGGTGGAAACACAACAGAGTTTGTTAACCATGTAAAAGGGGTTCCAGAGAGCCAATATCTTATCTGAAAAGCCATTTGGTATTTGTAATAACCTTTCAGACTTAGAATCAGATTGAAGCCAACATTTGAAGGGCTTGACAGTCCACGAATAACCATAATATCAGCAGTGAAATTTTTTTTCCTCATATATTTTAGAGCCACTAAGGTTCATTGATTTAGAATTTAATGTTTCATTCCTGATTGGCAGTAATTTGTCTGTCAAAAACTTTCCATGGACATTTATTTTACTTTAAAAGAAAGAACTCTATTCTATGTCTTTCCCTATACCACCCCCCTCATTTTTTTTTCTTTAGATGCTCAGTGGTCTATAAAAAAATCTTAAAGAAATGATACATAAAATTCAAGTAACTATACAGAGGCGTATAAAAGCAGTCCCAAATGACAAGATAATTAACACTTACATCTTTCTACCCAGTGGTGTGTGCATGAGGTATTTTCCCTTTTTGTCTGTGAGTCCTTGGAAGAACTGTATAGGTCCTAAAAGAAATCAAACTCTGGACAAGATGAAATGTGAATATACCTTGAGTGTTTTTGAATATGAGGTCAGGTCTTCCATTTTCTTAGGTCCCAAATGCATAGAGGTATTATATGCACTACCAAGAGCCTGAGATATTCAGCTAGGATAGTGTAGTCATTAAGAATATAGATTTTAGAGTCAGTTCAACAGAATGGATTCAGGTTCCCACTTACTTTTAGTGTTACCATATGTAAATTATTTAACCCCTTACAACTCCATTTATGAAGTAGGAATAATAATAGTACTGAACAATATAAAGATGAGAGGGTTTGGATCAAATGAGATAATACATGAAAGGCTGTATTTCATTGTGTGGTAAAGCACTAAGTATGCACTAATTATTAGCTGCTCCTATTTTTGTCATCATCATCATCATCATCATCATCATCAGTAGCAGCAGTTAGCAAATCTGCTAATTCATATTAAGCATATCCAGCATATCTCAGGTCTTTTGCAGAGTACTTGAAACTTTGTCACAGATTGTGAATTTATTAGGTTTAATTTGGTATAATAAATTGACTTTGCTTCTTGATAGTTGTCTGTGAAACTTCTATGGCTGTCCTGAAAAGTATGATCCAGAACTGATGATTTTCTAATTCTCGGCTTGATTATTTTACAAGCAATCAGTCAGTTCAGCTGTTTTCTACAGATGGTAACTACTGCTTAGGGTGCCATTATATAACAGGAGTATTATTGTTAGGTAATTCTTGCTGACAGGCTACCAAACCCAATAACTCTAAGATGGAAGTCACTTGAAATTTACTAGGTGTGATGAAATCATCACTTTTCCTTTAAAAATTGATAATGACCTCTGTGTTTTTCTGCTTTGTGTGGATTTCATCTTAGATCTCAGTATGTTTATATGTTTTATATTTGGTTTTAAACATTAGAGCACTGGATCCTGGCAGAGAAACTGAGATTTAAACACCAGCAGGTGTTGATTGCCTAATAACTTCTAGATCTAACTTAGGCTATTGTATCCCTCATGCACTAGGAATATTCAGTCTGTGTCTGGGTTTGGAATTTCCTAAGCTTTCTCTTTGCATATTCAAAATGAGGAAGTCTAGATTCATATTCCAGCTCAACCACTTGTTACCAGCATTAATTCAGTAATCTGCTCATTCAGTCAGCAGATATATGTGGGCCCTACTCTATGCAAAATACCATGGTTGGAGGCTGGAGTTAAGATGAGAAATCATGGATTTTAAATAGGAGGGTGACTGTATTAGATTTGTATTTTTGGAAGGAACTTGCATTTTGCAGGAGCCTCAGAGACTAGTTAGAAGGCTATTGCAGTAATCTATGGTAGAGTTGATTTGGTAGCCTCAGCATATATTTGTATGATAATTCAAGCCACGAGGGTGAATGAATCAATTCATTTAACCTCTCTGAGCCCATCAATAAACTAGAAATACTAATTCCTGCTATATTTGTCTCACATTATTGTTATAAAGTCAAATGAGATAATATATATAAAATCATTTGAAACAGCCATGGAAATGTTATTTATTATAATTAATTATAATTATTTCTTTATGTATATGCCTTTATGTGTTTTCTTTCATATTTCTACTGATTTATGGTCTACAATGTTAAACATTTTCAGTTTTCAGTTATCTGCATAGTTCCCTAAATTATTCAAAAGATTGGTACATTAAAAATATAATTAAACCAAATCCAGGACACATTTCTTTGCAAGGAAATGTAGCAACAATTGCATCTTTTTAAATGTAATGTAATCCATCATTTCCCAGGATCCATGAATCTTTTTCACAGTATGAACTGGATCCATGAAAAGGAGGGATAGAATGCATCTTATCAGATTCTCTCAGATCTTGATGGTCAATTAAATATGCTTTGGTTTAATTCTTTTGAAAGGGAACACGGGCTTCTAAAGCCTTCCATATCACCATTCTTACCATAATAACCCTCACTCTACAGGTAAGGAAACCAATGTAGAGATTTTGCCTAAACACAGGATTTAGGGAAACAACTTCAGAGTAAATTCTTGGTCTCACTGAGTCTATTGTGATATATACTAGTGGCAGAACAGCATTTACTACTTAACCTCCTCACTCTGACTGAAAGATCACATCATCCCTGGAGAATTTATTTTGTCTCAAAGTCAGTATCCGAATAGTTCCTGAAAAGTTTGAAAGTTTCCATCTCTTTGTATATATTCACAAAAATAAATGGCTACAGGTTTGTGATATAGCTGACTCTCCTCTGACTCAGGTGTGAGATGTTTTAGTGAATATTAACTAGGCAGTCCTTAATAGGCTTGCTTGTGGTTTTGTCACTGGGACATCAGAACTAAAGAATCTTTATAAAGAGATCTCACTGAACCCTAGGTACCAGGCATCAACAACTACCAATTGGCATAACTCTGCCTACTTAATTTTGTTTTCTCCACTACTTGAGCCCAGCTATTCTTGCCTCTCCAGTTCCGTATAATTAATTATCCACCTTTGGTCCGAGATTCCCTCACAGGGCTTCAGGCATTCCATTACAGATCTTTTCCTAATGTGAGGAAAAGGGAATAGTGGAGAGTCCTGAGGACCCTGGTGAGAAACATAGGGCAAGCATATATGACAGATCCACACTAGCATTTTTCTTCTGCAGCCTTTCAAGTTTATATTATGCAAAGGGACCTTTACATCAGCAAACTGTGAAAGTAACTACTAGTTACTACATTAAATCAAGCTTCTCCAGTGAGATGTCCTAGAGTAATTAAGTTGTCAATCAAAATTATGTTTAGTCATCCTTGAAGAAGTAGTGCAAAATGCATAACCACGCAGTTTTCCCTGTTTTTGCTGAATTTACCTAGAAAACTCTTACATTTCCTTCTGGATGTAATTCCTTTCTTCTCTACTCTTACTTTTCTTTTCACCCTTAACACTGTTGTATGTAGATCCTAGTTATAAGACAAGATTCAGTAAGGGACAGAGCATAGCAGAGCAAAATGCTACTCTTCTCTGGGAATGGGGTTGCAATGGAAAGTATTTTGGAGAAGAATAAGGGGTCAAAGTTCCATAATTTTTTTTTTTTTTTTTTTTTGAGATGGAGTCTTCCTTTATCGCCCAGGCTGGAGTGTGATGGTGTGATCTCAGCTCACTGCAAGCTCTGCCTCCCGGGTTCACGCCATTCTCCTGAGGTTCCATGATTTCTTTTACTATCCTTGCATTTATCAAGAAAATATGATGGGATTATGAAGGCAACAGAAACTTGAAATCAACTTATTTGATTTTCAGCTTTCTCAACTATCCAGCTGCAGAAGGAAGGGGATTACTGCAATAGAGCTTCATTATAGTCCTGTGTTTCCTTAGATTCCTGAGATGGGCATTCTAGGAAGGACGAGAATTGGCCTCATTTTTATCTTAAGTTACCCAGTGTTGTTAAAAGCGATCACATGGCTCATATTCCTCAATTTCTTTAAATTGATCAGCAGACACTAGTCCTCCATAGCTTCTCCCTCAGTGGGAACATGGTCATAAGTGACTTAAGATAATACCTTAATTATAAGCTTGGCTACCAAGTTCCACAGACTGTTGGCTTTCCATCCTGGGAAATGAACTTGTAGTATAAAGAAGTATCTGAGAAGTCCAGGTGCAGTGGCTCATGCCTGTAATCTTAGCACTTTGGGAGGCTGAGGTGGGCAGATCATTTGAGCTCAGGAGTTTAAGACCAGCTGGGCCAACATGATGAGACCCTGTCTCTACCAAAAATACAAAAATTGGCTGGGCATAGTGGCACATGCTTGTGGTCCCAGCTACGTGGGAGGCTGAGGTGGGCAGATTGCTTGAGCCTGGGAGGTGGAGGTTGCCGTGAGCTGAGATTGTGCCACTGCACTCCAACTTGGGTGGCAGAGCAAGACCCCATCTGAAAAAAAAAAAAGTATCTGAGGCTGGTTAATTTATAAAGAAAAGAGGTTTATTTGGCTCATGGTTCTGCAAGCTGTACAAGAAGCATGGTGCCAGCATCTCATTTTGGTGAGGGCCTCAGTAAGCTTCTACTCATGGTAGATAGAGAAGGGGGAGCCAGCATGTCACATGGCAAGAGAACCAGCAAGAGAAGTGGGGGAGGAGCCACAGTCTTTTAAACAACCAGCTCTCACATGAACTCATTACTGTGGGGAGGGCACCAAGCCATTTATAAGGGCTCTGCTCCCATGACCCAAACACCTCCCACTAGGCCTCACCTTCAGCATTGAGAATCATGTTTCAACGTGAGATTTGGAGGGGACAAATAAACAAACAGAAATATACAAATAAGTATACATATCAGGAGGGAAGTCTCAATCCTCTTTTCCCTATCATTACCTGCTAACTAATTCCAAACATTCTACTTTCTCTTTTGTTTGGCAACTCATTCCCTAATAATAATCTGTCTTAATTAGAGTATGTTTATTTGCAACTGTCTTAGTCCGTTTGTCCTGCTATAACAAAATGCTTGGGACTAGGTAATTTATAAATAATAGAAATTTATTTCCTATAGTTCTGGAGGCTGGAAGTTTAAGATCAAGGCATTGTCGGGTTTAGTGTCTGGTGAGGGCCTGAAAACTGCTTCCAAGATGGCAACTTATTGCTGCATCCTCTGGAGGGTTCAAATGCTGTGATCTCACAAGGTAGAAGGGGTAGAAGGGCAAAAAGGGCCTAGCTAGTTTCCTCCATTCCTTTTATAAGATTACCAATCCCATTCATGATGGCTGAGCCCTTATGCCCTAATCACCTCCTAAAAACTTTACCTCTTAATCCTGTTGCACTGAAGATTAAATTTCACCATGAATTTTAGAGTGGACACTAACATTCAAACAATACAGCAAGGAGCAAAAATCTATTCAAACCAGTTCAAGAATAAAGAAGGGCTTATTTTAAATATACGCATTTCATAGAGTCTAAGAAAAAGGTAAACAGCAGATTAGTTAGGACAAGGATCTTGTCTGCCCCACCCAGTCCTATCTCCTTAGGACTTAGCATAGTGCCCGCCATATGGTACTTTAATAATAAATATTTTTTGAGTGAATAAATATGATGCAATTAGCAATTACTTCAGTCTGTAGATCTGTTTGGTTAGCTCTGAAGATGGGAGGGAGTTGAGGTAGTAAGTAGCTCAGGATAGATATCATGAGATGTGAATAATAGAGAAAACTAGGATGTGGTTGTAATCTTAAGGAATATTCTCTTAGCATGGTATGGAACTGGAGAGTCAATGAATGGCAATTTTAGTGCATACATCCTACCACAAATTTGGATGGATTATAAAACCATATTTACCACCAACAGTCAATTCTTAATATGCCAGCAATATAATACATAATAATTAAAATCTTAGGTAATAGAAATAGATTGTCCTTTAAAACCTGGATCTTCAATTTAGTAGTTTGGGCATACTCAACTTCTCTAAACCTTATTTTTTTCATTTGTAAAATGAAGTTATATTTGTACCTATCTCATAGACATGTGATAACTAAGTGAATAATTGCTATTGTAAATGCTCAGTAATTGTTAGCAGACATCATCATCATTGGTAAGAGTACTGGGCTGGAGGTCATTGTATTACAACTTCAATTTTGCCAACGACTAGCTATGGTCTTGGTCTTGGGCATTCATTAAACCTTGCTTGGGCTTTGGGCTCCTCATTTATAAAATGAGAAAGGTGGACTAGGTGATATCTGAATTTCCATTTAGTTCCAAGATATTAAGATTTATTATGAGAAGGGGGAGCACGTGGATAGCTTTATGTCTGTGGAGAGTTGTTATAAGTATTAAATGAGATAATGCATGTGAAATGCTTTACAGGTGACAGAACATAAATACATATTGTAATTATTAGATAAATATTAAATATATTTATGTAGTTTTCATTATAGTTATGTATTATGCCATGTTTACCAGGGGACTTACACAGTAGTCACCCCTTATCTATGCGGTATATATTCCAAGAGCCTCAGTGGATGCCTGAAACTGTGGATAGTACTGAACCTTATACAGTCGTACATTGCTTAGTGACATGAATGGGTTCTGAGAAGTGCTTCGTAAGGTGGTTTCATTGTTGTGTGAACATCATAGAATGTACTTATACAAACCTAAATGGTATATAGCCTGCTACATACCCAGGCTACAAACCTGTACAGCATGTATAATAGTACTAGATACCATAGGCAGTTGTAACACAGTCAGTGGTAAGAATTTGTGTGTCTAAACAGAAGCGGTAATGTGTTGCACTATGACATTACAATGGCTACAGCATCACTAGGCAATAGGAATTTTTCAGTTCCATTATCATCTTTTTTTTTTTTAAAGGCAGTCTTGCTCTGTTGCCCAGGCTGGAGTGCGGTGGCACTGTCTCAGCTCACTGCAACCTCTGCCTTCTGAGTTTAATGATCCTTCTGCTTCAGCCTCCTAAGTAGCTGGGATTACAAGTGTGCAACACCAACGCCTGGCTAATTTTTGTATTTTTTTTAGAGACAAGGTTTCACCATGTTGGCCAGGCTGGTCTCAAACTCCTGGCCTCAAATGACCCACCTGCCTTGCCTCTCAAAGTTCTGGGATTACAGGCATGAGCCACCATACCCAGCCCAGTTCCATTATAATCTTATGGGACCACCATCATATATACAATTGATTGTTGACTAAAACATCATTATACAACACATAACTATATATACTATGCTTTTTCCTATACATGCCTCCCTATGTTAAAGTTTAGTTTATAAATTAGGTACAATAAGATATTAACAACAACAATAATAAAATAGAACAATTATAACAATATGCTGTTATGTAATATAAATATGGTGTCTGTCTCTCAAAATATCTTACTGTACTATACTTACCCTTCATCTTTTTATATTGATGTCAGATGATAAAACACCTGTGTGATGAGATGAAGTGAAGAGAATTCCAGAAGTCAACAATTCACACATTTTAAATTGTGCACCATTCTGAGTGGTGTGATGAAATCTTGACTGTCCCACTTAGGGAAATGAATCATCCTTTTGTCCAGTGTATTCATGGTCTATATGCTACCTACCTGTTAATCGTTGGTCACTTAGTGGCCGTCTCACTTCTCAGTTCTGCTCTCTTAGTATGGCAGTACTTGTGTTCAAGTGACTCTTATTTTACACCAATAATGGCCCCACAATGCAAGGGCAGCGATATAATATTTTCAGTCAGTGGTTGACCATAGATGACTGAAACCATGGAAAGTGAAATGGCAGATAAGGGGAAGACTACTATATTTAGAGTATATGCAAGCAGAAAGCAAGCGTTGGGTGTTTGCTATCAGGGGCTCTTGTAAAGTCAATGGCTATGTAATAAGGTCAATAATTTTTTACTAAAAGAAACTTTATATGTGATTCTTTAAGTTGGGACTCTCTCATATAGTCTGCCTTATACTGTTTACTTTGGGGTAATGTTAGTTAGTTAGTTTGTTTTTTTGTTTGAGATACAGGATCTTGCTATGTTGCCCAGACTGGAGTATGGTGGCTATTCACAAGGGCAATCATAGCACACTACAGCCTTGAATTCCTGGGTTTAAGCAATCCTCCTGCCTTAGCCTCCTGAGTAGCTAGGACTACAGGCATCTACCACCATGCCTGGCTGGATAATGTTGGTTTCACAGGAAAATCAAACTGTCTAGTTAAGATCTGAAGCACTGTGGTATTCTGGTAGAGACATTAGTGTGGTTATGAGATCAGAGTTGCCATAGTACAACATGTTAGCTAGGCAGTCCTGAACGTCAGAAGAAACTAAAGAATATGAATAAATTTATTTTGGAAACCTGGGTATCTGAACCTGAACATACTAGTAGAAATGTATTTTAAAAATAAAAGTTGGCTTTACGTGAAATTAAATAAATCTTGGAAATGTTTAATCATTGTAGCAAACAGCACCATTTCATACTAAGGAATTCTTATAAAACATTTTAAATGTACTTCCTTTTCAATTAAAAAATATTTTTAATACCTTATCCAAAGGATGCTTTACCAATTATATCTTAGACATTTGATACCTCCTCAAGAATTAAAAGAGAGCAATCTTAAGAATGTAAGGTTTAAAGAGAGACAAATGGAGGAAGTTTGAACCCAATAAAAATTTAAACTTCATCTACTAGGTTAAATGAAAATAACAGATGTCCCTTTTGTTAGAGAATTTATAGTGCTTTAAAATGCAAATTTCCTATGGGTGGACTACTGAAGGACATGTTGTGTGTTTCAGTATCAATAATTTTCAATCCCTTACCTGCTATCCTTAGCCTCATCCTTCTGAATTATAATTTTAAAATAAGCTGCTTCTTTCTGCAGTCTCTCATCTGAGAAGCATTAAGTCAGAAGATTGATGATAGACTTCAAGTTTGTATGCAGAAAAATAAACTTGTTTTCTATAATTTGCAGTGCACTGCACATGTGGAAATCTAAGGATAGTTGTTATTGCTTAAGATCATGAAGACTATAACTTGGTTTATGAGAAAAGTTCCATGGCTAATGAATTTTGTCTCTTGCTTGTTCGACTGGTTAATGGAATCAGAGAAATATTTTATGTTTTTTACAATTAATGCTTTCATTCTCTACTGGAAATATATAGGGATTTGAGTCGCCAATCTTTGTTAGAGCATACCTTCTTCTTTCATTTTATCATTTGGTTTCCTTTTTTTCAGTTTCATTCTGTATTAGTGTTTCAAAATTCTCATTTGAATTTAATAATTGCAGTGAAACGTATAGATTTACAAGGGAGAATCAATAAGTTGGCAATTATATATATGAGTATGTGTATATATGCATACAGTAATCAATAGCTCATTCATTCTCTGTGTTCCTTGTTTTCTCTGTAGGAGCTGGCACACTGCAGATATTTTATATAAGAAATTATACCGAAAACTCAAGTGCAGTGGGAATGTGTAGGATGAAAATAGCGACCATAGTCTGATATCATTTTCTCAGGCACACAACTCTCAGTCAATTTATGTAAAAGCTTCTTTGGGAATTTATAGATTGTCTCTCCTCCACCTCCCAGGCCCTTACCAGTTCTTTTTAAAAGCAGGATTGAGTTTGGATCCTTAGATCTAAAATGGTGTGGGAAGTACACAAACTGCAAATCTTTTTGTCATCAAAAATAGGCAGTACAAAAGCTCTGCTTTGTTTGCTCTTATCTGACCATGCCTACAAGGCTTGTCCTTGCTCGGTGCTGTGCTTTTATGATATGCCTTTCTTAGCTATGGAGACCCAAATAGAAGCCCTCCTGGCCATTCAAATGGCAATGTCACTTCTTTTTGACTACAGATGATGGACCCTATACTCTCTGAGAGGGCTTTTCTCAGACATGGGTCAATGAGTAGTACCCACTCAGCAGTTATTTTAGTTTATGGGCTGAAGTTCCTTGAATTCCAGAAGATAAGGCAGTCATTGTTTCTCTGAGCCCATTGCCAGATACCTGGTCATTTGATAGTAGGTGCTGCCAACCTGAACAGTGGGGGCAAGCAACCTGTTCCTCCTTATCGTGGCCTAAGATGCCATCCTTGTCAAGAAAATGGAGATGGATCATGCTGCTCTAACCCTGACATACATCATTGTCAAGCCATGCTATTGGCTTTCAGAGATTGGCCAACACAAACAAAGTACTGTTTCTGGTAGTAGAACTTACCTTGGATGCCAAGAATGTTCGTGATGAGGGAGTACAAAGGATCTACTACATGAAAGATCATAATTCACAAATGAACTTCTTTTCTGTGGCAAGTTCCTTCAATACCCTGAAATTCTGTCTGGCTGTTTGGTAAATATGGTACTTATTCCATCTCTAACTATGGACAGTGGCTGGTTGCTCTTTGAAACTGTTTAGCTGTTTCCTTCTGGTTTTATTTCAAGGGATATTGGGGTGGGGGAGCCAGTGGCAGGGGGAGATCTAACTTATTCAACTAATAGTTTCTAAAAGACCATTTTCCTGATACATGGTTTTGAAAAGGAGAGGGACAGATTTATTTTTTAGTTGTGATCCGAAGCTTGCTGCTCCATCCTTCTTTCTCTGCATTTTCAATCTTAACTGTTTCAGATTTCATTTCTTACTTTTTGCAACTTTGAGAGCTACACCTTAAGTTTCATGGACCAGAAAGAATAAGTAATGCCATTTCAAAGAAGAAAACTATGTTGTGGTTATTACTATTTTCATATCACTTGACCCTGGTTCCAGACTTGGTAAAACATGTTTTGTCACAGTTAAAATAGTATATCGTAGGAATTTCTTAATTTCCAAAGCCTTTTTACTGTTGTTTTTTTTTTACTAGAAATTTTAAGAAACAATTATTTAAAGTTTTCATTACACCTGGGCATGGTAGCTCATGCTTGTAATCTTAGCACTCTGGGAGGGTGAGGCGGTCGGATCACTTGAGGTCAGGAGTTTGAAACCAGCCTGGCCAACATGGTGAAACCCTGTCTCTACTAAAAGTACAAAAAAAGTAGCCGGGCATGGTGGCAGGTGCCTGTAATCCCAGCTACTCGGGAGGCTGAGGCAGGAGGATCATTTGAACCTGGGAGGCAGAGGTTGCAGTGAGCCGAGATGGTGCCAATGCACTCCAGCCTGGGCGACAGAGCGAGGCTCCATCTCAAAAATACGATACAATACAATACAATACAATACAATACAACAAAATATAAAGTTTTCATTATGGGGATTGATCCTTGTAATTTGCTTGAAAACACATAGAAGCATTTTCAGGGATAAATGAGCCAGTAGAAAGAACAACCCATCTTAATCATCATTCCAAACCAGAGACCTCACCATTAGCTCAAGGGCAGTGTGTGGCCATCTCTTTCTGCTCTATCAACGAACTCCAAACATCGCTTCAGCTGAAAATTATTTTACTTATTTAGCACGGGTGCCCCTCCTTCCTTCAAGCCATTTGTTCTTCCTTTCACCCATGTAGGCCAAAGTCCTAATGTTCATAGTATGCCCCAATCTCCCAAGAATTTCTGATGCATTCACTGCTCTTGCTTGTCTCCCAGTGTTTACACTGGTACATTTAATATATTTTTTGGCCCTCACTTCATGTTGTTAGGGCGGACGTCAGTAAACTGTATTAATTGAGCGCTTTTATAGGGTATAAACCAGGAAACCATATTAAATACCATGTCTATTTAGAAATTATTTTAATTGTTGCAAGTTGACAGATTTCTACACAGGTCTACAAGAAGTTCCCATAACATTTTAATCCATCTACTGCCTTTATGTAGATAACGCCTTACACATCTCAAAAAAAAAAAAATGATTACAGTCCTAACTTTTATCTTTTTTTTTTTAAGTAAGACATTTTTAAAAATATGCCTTTCCATCATTACTCACTCCAGCATGCCAACATTTAACAGATTCTGATTTGGATTCTGCTGTTTTAATTAAATCATATATTTAATCTACTTCTAGTATTACAGTATTAAAATTTGTCCTCTTTCTTTCTCTTTAATCTATTTGCATTTATGTGCATGAAAGAAAGAAAAGGAGAGAGAGAAAAAAACCCAAATATCACCTTAGCATTCTCAATAGCATATTTCTAAGATTGAAATTTAGAAAAATTGAAGGAAATATCATTGCCAACACTTCCATTTAGAAAACCTGACGTTCCAAAAGCTAGTAAGTCAATGTATAGGCTTTTTAAAGCCTTGCCTTTAATGTTCTGTGCTGGTAGTTGACTCTATTTTCCTTCTACTCTATTTTCTACTCCTTTTCTGGAAGGAGCAGGTGGTATGGTAGGGTCACTAGTGGGATAATGTACATTTGGATGGGTGAATTGAGGCCCATGTTTTTGTTTTTGTTTAACCACTAATAGCTATGAATTTGTGCAACTCAGCTAATCCCTTTTAGAATTTTTTCAGTAATTTGTTATATGTAAATGGGTTGCACTAAAATCCCCAATTGGACTAGATGACTAGGTGTTACCCATCAAGTGTGGTGAAGTAGGTGAGGAAGTGTGTTCTGAAAGGCAATAGTATGTACAAATTGTGAGAGAAAATAAAGAGCATACTGAAGAGGTCTCTTAAATTAGAGGACTAAAACTAGTTCATTTTGACTAAAGAATAGGGTGAAATGAAGTGGGGTGGTCATAAGGAATTCATGGAAAGATAAGTTATTGTTAGATCTTGCAAGATGTATTAAGAAGCATATACTTTATTCTAAGAACACTGAGAGCTGTTTATGTTATGAGAGTGTCATGGTCATTTTCTACTTTGGAAAAATAATTATAGCAAAAGGGTGATAAATCCATAGGAGAGAGGCAAGACTAGATGTAAAAACCAGTTAGAAGTAGGGTTGCCAGATAAAAAACAGGATGCCTGATTAAATTAGAAGTTCAGGGGAAAAAGTGAGTTTCAGATAAACAAATTACTTTACAGTATAAGCATGTCCCATATATTACAGGTTATATGCAAATGTCCTAAGGACATAAAAAGTGTTGCTTTAGTAAGAAGGAAGCCAAAGAAAGAGTACTTTTAGTGGAAGTAGGGTGGTGTAAACCAGATTGCAGTTGAGGAATGAATGGAAGATAAAGACGTTGAGTCAGTGTTTGTAAACAAGTCTTTCAGAAATTGATTTGAAAGGGAAGAAACAAGGTATTTATTTCACTTCCTCTGAGAAGTTCAGTGGTTATTTTTCTTACGTCGCTATTGTTAAGCCAAATGACTATGAACCGTTTAATTGTAAATAACACCAAACATATAATGGGACCACAAATAAAAGAGAAATTATTCTTAATTTGTTTTCTTTGTAGGCATCAGTAAAATTTTCCTAATAAAATTTTTCTTCTTTCTGTCATTCTCTCGCCTTTCATTCTGAATGATGTACCTTTCTGGAGAATTTCAGGTCTCCTCACTTTTTTACCAAATCCAGCTGTCAGACTGCTTGAGGCCTGCCCTTCCCCTCTGACTCACTGGAATCTCTTTCTCAGCTGTCTGCCCGTCAATGGATGGAAACAAGGTGTAGCATGATCCCCTGCCCAGACAATTAACCAGGGGAAAGGGTGAGGTTCTTGACTCTCCCCTACAAAAGCATTTGTGAGGGCTTTTTCAACAAGGAACATTTTAAAGACAGGGCTGCTTTTAATACTTGAAATGCTGATTTATCCTCCATACCTACTGGCACTTGAGATATTCCTTAAAAAGCACCAGTCTATCATGGAAAGAAGTTGCTTATGTAGCTTGAGAAAAAGTTCATTTCCTTTTCCTCAAACTAATCTAAATTCCCTTTAAACACCAATCTCTTTCTCTCAGCAGTACCTAAGAGTTCAAATGCCTAATGCTTCCTTTAGAGCTCCTGTTGTGTCTGAAGTCAAATCTTTGACGCCTTACGTAATAACTACCAGCTTAAGGTCTCAGATTTCACTGGCAGAGATTCTCTTCTCCTTTTTATTTTTTAAAATTTGTTTGTTTTAGGAAAAGAGAAAAGGGAAAACACCACATCAAACTGAGCTCTTAGTTCCAAGTTTATATTCTCTAATAAGATAGATCCTAAGTCTAGCTCTTGACCTCTGAAAATAAATTCATTAGCATTTATAAGCAGAATGACAGACTGTTATCTATGTTAATATTGATCTAATTGCATAAATTTAGCCTGGATGTTAGATCATTGTTTTAATACTTTACATTAAAATTCTATATTGGGGGAAAAGTTATCAACGAATCCTAGAACAATTCCATGAAGCAAAGAAGGAAAACTAGAAAATATAGAAAATGTTAACTTCTTCTAGGAAAGATATGCATAATGTTTTACTATGCCATTATCAAAAACGGTCTTTAATAATGAAGACTGTTTTAATATAATATATTTAAATTTTCAATTCATTGAAGAAGTGGCCATGTAGATAAAAATGCATATTGTTATTTTATTGCATCCAAGGCCAATAGTTTTCACAATTACTTCTGCTGGGACATATATGGCTATAACCTAGTTATTAAAATGGACCCAATATCGAGTTGTACTGCCCTTAATCTGGATTGGACTTTATGTTCTGACCACAATTCCCTGACACCAACTGAGTATCCTACAATTCAATCTAACTGTAACTTCCCAGAGTCAGCAGAGTCCCCACAAATTGGGGGTCAGTCCGACAAGACTGCCCCACTTCAGACTCTAGTTGCAAGTCTCTGGTGTCCTCGGGCCACCTGCACTTCTGCCTAGCCAACCACAGACTAAGGCTCCCCACAATCCCTTCAGTTTCAATAATTTGCTAGAACAACTCACAGAACTCACTGAAAGCTCTGTACTTACAATTATAGTTTTATTATAAAGGATACAACTCAGGAACAACCAAATGGAAGAGACACATAGGGCTTGGCTGAGGTGGGGAGAATAGCAATCTTCCATGTCCACTCCTCATGGAATCTGAGTGTGTCTCCCTCTCAGCTTATCAATGTTTTCACCAATCAGGAAACTGCACTGTGTTTTAGTGTCCAGAGTTTTTATATGGGGTTTTATTGCATAGGCAAGATTGATTAAATCATTAGTCACATGATTGAGCTCAATCTCCAGTACTTCTCGCCTCCTGGAGGTCAGGGATGGGGCTCAAAGCTCCAACTGTTCAATCCCATAATTGGTCTTTATGGCATGGCCAGCCCCTCCCTTCAGATTCTCTAAGACCCCACCATCAGTTACCTCATTAACATAAACTCAGATATTGCCAAAAGGAGCTCGTTATAAATAACAAAAGATATTCCATCACTCAGGAAATTCCACGAGTTTTTGAAGCTCTATGCCAGGAGCCAGGGACAAAGACCAGATATATTCCTTATTATATCACAGACCTCAAGAGTGTATTCGATTCAGTCCCATAGCTTTAAACAAGTGAAATATTATTATCTTCATTTTACAGCTGAGACATCTGGCACTGAGAACTTACATGTTTGGCCTAGGGTCACATAGCTAGTAAATTCTACAAGGGCTAGAATCCCCATTACCTCAGCCAATGATATGTTCATTTTCTGTGGACATTAATTTAGAGTATGAGACTAAGTTTTGCTAGCAGATTGTAAGACCATATATGAAATATATATGAGAGAAACATCATCTCCTTTCAGCTTGGAATGGGTCATGCTGACTTTTTAAAAAAATGTAGCTCTTTTAACCTGAGAAACACCCCATGTGGAACCTACCTTTATAATTTTCTGACTCTCAGCTTTTTTTGTGATGTATGCCATACCTCCACCTTGCTCAAGAGTCCTGAACATTAGTCCTAATATTTTTCTTGTTAACGATCAGCATTTATTTTATATTGTACACTTATAAAACAAGTTGCAGTATTTGCAGTTGTAGCTCAAGTTTGCTACTGTCATCATTGGCTGGGGAAACTGAGGCAGAGAGTTTTTATCCTGAAACTTATATGCTGATCAGCTGTCTTCATTTTAAAAACGTTATATCCTATTGCTTTCCAAAAGTGATTTGTGACCACTTTCAACATGATAAATTTGAAAAATGAATAAATTAGATATAAGAAAGCAAAAATGAGATGAAGAGAAGAATACAAGTAAAGGATTTGTAGAGAGATAATAAAAATGTACTGACAGGCTTGTTGAAGCATATACAAAATATATAGCTCTCTCATTATCTAAGAGGGCAACATTTTTTAAGTTCCAAATACCAAGAGAATTTTCTCATAATGGGAACTGAATAAAAGTCCTATGATCTGAATATTTATGTTCCCCCAAAATTCATATGTTGAAATCCTAAACTTCAAGGGAACTATATTAGGAGGTGGGGACTTTAGGTTAGGTCAAGAGGACAGAGACCTTGTAAATAGGATTAGTGTCCTTACGAAAGTGACCCCAGAGAGATCCCTTACTCCTTCTACCTGTGAGCCTACAATAAGCAGGTGTTATCTATAAACCAGAACGCAGGTCCGACTAGACACTGAATCTGTAGGTGCCTTGATCTTGGAGTTCCCATCCCAGAAATGAGAAATAAATTTCTGTTGTTTATAAGCTCCCCAATGTATGGTATTTTACTATAACAGCCTGAATAGACTAACACAAGAAGCCATAGTGTAGTATCATGGGCATTTCCTTCAATTCCAATTTCATAGCCAATATAAAAATAGAATTCATATTGCTATGGGTTTTGATAGTGCCCTTTCCTTGTCATTCCAGAATCTTAAGTCATTCTTTACGTACTTCATTTTGGTTTCCGTTTGTTATAATCAATGTCATCTAGAGCTACAATGTTCAATACTATTGCTACCAGCCAAAAAAGCTGTTGAGCACTTGAATTGTGGGTAGTCAGAAAATGACATGTGCTGTAAGTGTAAAGTACATACTGGATTTTGAAAGAATACAAAATATCTCAATAATTTCAAAAATATTAATTTCATGTTGAAATTATATTTTAGATATATTGAGTTAAATAAAATATATTCTTAATTTTAGAATTAATTTTACTTGTTTCTTTTTGTAATGTGTCTTCTAGAAATCTAAAAATTACTCATGTGGTTTACATTTCTGTTTAGACAGTGCTTTTCTAGAGAATTGATTTTCACTGTTCTGTTAAATGTCCTGCAGAATGCTTTCTCAATGTAAAATTTCAGATAGCCATAGCTTCGGATATATGTTCATATGGCAGAATAATCAGTGCCAAACAAACACATGGATAAAATTAAGTTCTTAAAAGCATAGTAAAAATATCAAGGATATAAAGTTACTGCTTTGGAACACCAGTCTTTCTCATCTCTCAGGAAACCCACCCCTTTCATGGCAGATCTTCAACTTTCCTAGAGATTATGCACAGAAGCACTGCTGATTGCCAACTGGGAGAGGCCTTGTTCTAAAAGATATATGGTGAAATTGACCCTTATTTTGAAAAATTGTGAAGCATTTGGGAACCTTGGAGGAAAATTGTGACTTTACATAGATCTATGTATTTTAATGAAAAGAATATTTTATATGTATAAAAAGGAATGTGTAAAGTGAATATTTGTTTTTGATATTCTAGGGTGGGAGTTGCATATTGAAATAATAGATTTAAAGGGATTAGATTGTAACTAGTTCACTGACTTAACTTTTTTGACCTTTTAAAATCTATTAATATGAAAGTCTTCAGCAATTACAAATACTCCTTTCATCTTGGGATCCCAAGATTGTAGGTTGAAATCGTAGAACATCTTTGTTATCCTTGGCTATTATTTGTCTATGGAATACTAAGGGAAAATCCAATGCCATATAGCCTGCTATTGTTCTGCCATTTGTTATATTCTTTACTTTCCTTAACTCTTCCTCCTTCATAAGGAACCACATATTGCAAAAATTACTGATTTAATTCAGTGAATATAGCTAAAATAGTCATATCCATCATTTAGAATATTTCCTTAGATAAAAAGCAGTACTTCATTTTTGTAAAGGCCCCCAGTGCCCATGGACTCCATGAACTGGTAGAAAATGATAATCGTCTTCGTTTTTTTAAATCTTGAAGTGAAATTGTTTTTTAGTTTACCTTTTGAGATTCAACCCACTAATTTCCTTATTTACTGATTATTCTTATATGTTAGGCAAGACATAGAAATAAGCTTCTCCAGTTTTCTAGGTTTATTCCTCTTAAAACAATGCCTCTCTCCAGGTAAATGTATGTTGTCATTAACATTAGTCACTCACTGCAAGTGCCTAGATCCTCATTTCTTCTCAATGCACATGGTACAGCCAGATGGAGATTGATCTGCCTATTTATTTAGCAGCAGCAGGAAGGACTCTTCGTGCTTGTGGCTATCTTCTCATTTATGGGAGATTAATTCCTTATTTAATTAAAAAGCCATGTCTATCTGTCTTAGTTCTCAATTGTAAGAAGATAGGAGAATTGAACTTTAGAAAAAATTTATAAATACATTTGGAGTACTGGTTTGGCATTTGCTATTAGACTTCATTATTATCAATTTTAATCACATTTCCTATTAAAAAAAAAACCTTTGAGAATATGTTAGAGTTAGCCTTCACTTTCCTCTGCCCTTTTTATAAATAAATTTTTAGCAGACTTTAATTTTTGGAACAGTTTTAGGTTCCCAGCAAAATTGGGTGGAAGGTACAGAGTTCCAATATACTCCCTGCTCTACCACATGTATAGCCTCCTCCACTATCAACACCCTGCACGAGAGTGGCACATTTATTATAATCAGTGAATATACAGTGACACATCCTTATTACCCAAAGTCTATACTTTACATTAGGGTTCACTCTTCGTGTTGTACATTCTATGGGCTTGGACAAATATATAGTAACATGAATCTGCCATTGTAATTTTATAGAGAATAGTTTCCTTGTCCTAAAAAATCATCTGTTTTGCACCTATTCATCCCTCCCTTTCTTCTGTCCCCTAGCAAGCTCTGATCCTTTACTGTCTCCATAATTTTCCCTTATCTAGAATGTCATATAGTTGGAATCATACAATATGTAGCTTTTTTGATTGGCTTCTGTCATTTAGTAATATGCATTTTAGGTTCTTTTGTGTTTTTTCATAGCTTGATAGCCCATTTCTTTTTAGTACTAAATAATATTCCCTTGTCTGGAAATAACACCATTTATTTATCCATTCACCTACTAAAGGACATCTTGGTTGCTTCCAGATTTGGGAATTATAAATACAGCTGCTCTAAACATCCATTCCCAGATTCCTATGTGGACATAAGTTTTCAACTCATTTGAGTAATACCAAGCAATGCAGTTACTGGGCTGATGATAAGAGTATGTCTAGGAGAAATAGGAAGTACCAGGAATCAGTTTTCCCACCTAGGCAATAATTACACTGGCAGAATTTGTCTGATATAACTGTTTTGGAACTGCAGAGTCTATAAAAAGCTTGCAACTTCCAGGGGAAGGCTTGGACATTAAAGTGTGGTTAACTTTTATCAATTTTATTTCTTAGTACACTAATAGCTACCCATCCTCAACCCCAGTCCCATGGCAGGCAATTGTGCGTGTGTTCCCAAAGCAGCTTACCCACAGCTTATGGGAGCCAGAGTGGGCAAAAATGACCTTGTCCTCCAAATATTGGGTAATTGTCTTCTGATTGTTGAATGCTGCTTCTAATCACAGAGGTTCAGATGGAGATGGGCGACCATTCTTTTTTGTTTTCCCAGGATTGTTGTTTGCTCCTGCTCCTCTGGCTAAAATGATGTCAGGAGATTTAAAGGGCTTGTGCTTTTTTTTCCCCCTACTTCTCTTCATTTTTTTTTCTTTTTCCCCATTTGGGAGCCAAACATTAAAGACTAGGACATTCAAAAGCAACTGCATAATTGGAGAAAATTAGAAACTAACCGTAGAGGTCCAGAGAAAGGCATCTGCTCAGAAAAGATGTGAGAGGACCTGAGTTTACATATCAGGCTGATCCTTGCCATAGACATGGTCTATAACAATCAACAAAACAATCAACAAAAACGGTAACAAAAAACAGCAAGTCCTAGAGAAGGGGAAGAATTTTTTTTCCAAAGTTGCCACATTATTAGATTCAAATGTCCAGTTTTCAATTAAAAATCGCAAGGAATACAAAGAAACAGGAAAGTATTGCCCATGCAAGCAAAAAAAAAAAGTAAATCAACAGAAACTGCTCCTGGAAAAGACCTGATGGTGGATCTACTAGACAAAGACTTTAAAACAACTCTCATAAAGATGTTCAAAGAACTAAAGAAAGATGTGAAGAAATTCATGGAAATGATGTATGAGCAAAATAGAAATAGCAATAAAGAGATATAAAACCTAAAAAAGAAACAAAAAAGAAATTTTGGAGCTGAAAAGTACAATAACAAATGAAAATTGGACTAAATGGATTCAAAGGCAGATTTGAGCAGAAATAAAAAAGAATCAATGAATGGGAAGAGAAGACAATGGAGATTACTGAGTAAGGAATAGAAAGAAAGATGATTGAAAAAAGTAAACAGAACCTAAGGGACATGTGAGACCCATCAAATGGGCCAGTCTAGCCATTTGGAAGTCCCCGAGGAGGAGAGAGAAATGGATAGAGAGAATATTTCAAGAAATAATGACTGAAAATTTTCTAAATTTCCTGAAAGATATGAATATAAACATGCCAGAAGAACTCCAATTAAAATGAACGGAAGGATCTTACAAGACTCTTTGTAAGCATTTCTGTTTTGGTGCTTACAAGACTCATTACATAGAAAAGATCCTTAATAAGATTTGCAGATTTTTTTTATTACAAACTTTGGAGGCCAGACACAGTAAGCCAATATATTCAAAATACTAGAAGAAAAAACTATCAATATGTATTTTTCCAGATATGTATATGTAATTTTATACATATAATTTTATATACATATCTGTAATTTTATATACATATCTGAAAAAAATTATCCTTCAAGTGAGGGAGAAATTAAGACACTACCAGATAAATAGAAGCTAAGGAACTTCTTTCCTACCAGACCTGCCCTGCAATAAATGCTCAAGGGAATCCTACAAAGTGAAATGGAAGTATACTAGACAGTTACTTGAAGCCATATGAACAAATGAAGATTTCAATCAAGGTACATACATGGGCAATTATAAAAGCTAGTATTATTATCACAGTGGTTGGCAACTTCTTTTTGTTTTGTTTGTTTTGACACAGTCTCACTCTGTTGCCCAGGCTGGAGTGCAGTGGCACGATCTTGGCTCACTGCAGCCTCCACCTTCTGGGTTCAAGCAATTCCTGTGCCTCAGCCTCCCAAGCAGCTGGAACTAGAGGTGTGTGTCACCACACCCGGCTAACTTTTTGTATTTTTAGTAGAGATGGGGTTTCACCATGTTGGCCAGGCTGGTCTTGAACTCCTGGCCTCAAGTGATCCACCTGCCTTGGCCTCCCAAAGTTCTGGGATTACAGAAGTGAGCCACCACACCCAGCCTTCTTTTTGTTTTTTATTTAAGAGAAGAATACATTAGAAAAATTATTAATCTAAAATTTAATGTTTAGAAATTAACCAAGGTTGTAAAAGATCCCCACACTAGGCTTAATAGTATTCCATTGTATATATACACCATTTTCTTTCTCCATTGACCAGTAATGAGCACTTAAGTTGCTTTCATGGCTAATGTGAATATGAATATGAATGCTCTAGTGAACACGGGAGTGCAGATATCTCTTTGAGATACTGATTTCATTTCCTTTGGCTATATACCCAGAAGTGGGATTACTGGATCATACGGTAACTATAGTTTTAACTGTTTTTCTTTTCATTGTTTTCTGTTTTTGGGTTTTTGTTGTTGTTGTTGTTGTTGATATTTTCAGAGACACAGTATCTCTCTATATTGCCCAGGCTGGTCTTGGCCTCAAGCAGTCCTCCCACCTCAGCATTCTGAGTAGCTTTGATGACAGACAGAAGCAACCACACCTGACTCATTTTAATATTCTGAGGAACCTCCATTCTCTTTACCAAAATGGCTGTATTTATTTACATTCCCAATAACAGTATACGAGGGTTTCTTTTTTTCCACACCCTCACCAACGTTCATTATATCTTGTATTTTTGATGATAGCCATCCTAACAAGTTGTAGGGTGGTTTTATCTTATTGTGGTTTGATTTGCATCTTTCTGATGACTTTTGATTTTGCGCACTATTTCATATACCCAATAGTCATTTGTATGTCTTTTTTGGAAAAATGTCTATTTAGGTCCTTTGCTCAAGCTAAGGGCTTGTCAATTTTGTTTATCTTTTCAAGAAAGCTAACTCTTAGTTTTATTGATCTTTTCTATTTTTTTCTAGTCTCTATTTCATTTCTTATGCTCTGATCTTTATCATTTCTAACGTTGTGCTTAGTTGGTTCTTTTTGTAGTTCCTTGATGTGTGAATTTAGGTTGTTTATTTGAGAACTTTTATTTTCCTTAATGTAGGTATTAATAAATATCTAATAATTCTGATACCTAATAAATTCTAATAAGAATAAACTTCCCTCTTAAAATTGCTTTTTATGCATCCCTTAAGTTTTGATATATTGTGTTTGTTTTTATTTGTCTTAATATATTTTTATTCCCTTTTTAATTTATTTGACCCATTGGTTATTTAGAAGTGTATTGTTTAATTTCCACATATTTCTGAGTTTTTATAACTTCTTGTTATTGATTTCTGGTTTTATATACCATTATGCTCAGAAAAGGTACTTAAGATGATTACAATCATGTTAAATTTGTTAAGACATGTTTTGTGACTCAACATATGACCTATCCTGTAGAATGTTCTCTGAGCACTTGATAAAAATATATATTCTACTACTGTTGGGTGGAATGTTCTTATATATTTGGTAGGCTCATTTGGTTTATAGTGTTGTTCAAGTCTGATGTTTTCTTATTGCTTTTCTGTCTGGATGATCTATCCACTGTTAAAAATGTGGTATTGAAGACCCCTGTCATCGTATTGCTGTATTTCTCCTTTCTGCTCTGTTAATATTTGCTTAATATATTAAGTATTCCAATGTTAGGTCCATATCCTCCTGATGAATTGATTCCTTTATCATTATATAGTTACCTTCTTTGTCTTTTGTGACAGATTTTTACCAAAAAGTGTGTATTTTGTCTGATATAAGACAATACTTTTAATTATCGTTACCATAGAATGTCTTTCTTCATCCTTTCATTTTCAGTCTATTGTGTCCTTAAGGCTAACACGAGTCTATTGTAGTAATTTATTACATGTTCTGGATACTAGTCCTTTGTCAGACATGATTTGTGGATATTATTCTTTTTAAAATTGTGGTAAGAACACATATATGAAATCTACCCTCTTAAATTTTTAGGTATTCAATACAGTATTGTTCATTATAGGCACAATGTCCTACAGCCCCCTGTCTTTCTCGAAGTTGGAGATCTAGTGAGTTTCATATTTAAATTATAAAAACGCAAAGAATAATTTACATCATACAGTCATACCCTAGATAATTAATGGTATCTATTTTGTATGATTACATGTCCATACAAGCATACTTAGACAAGTATACTCAGATGAATCTCCAAGGAGCTTTTCCCTTCCACCTCCACCTCCTCCTCCTTTTCTCTCTCCTTGACATTGTTCTCCCTTCGTTCTTACTTCCTTATGTTCTGGCCGTCCCTTCTCTGACCAGTAGGATCTGAATTGGATTCCCTGTGGAGTACATCAACTCCTGTTTGTAATTAGCTTAGTGGAACCACTGTGATGTGATGCAAGAAGGCTTGGCTTCCCTAGACACTTCATAGTCTAGCACACCCTTCATCTGTTGCTCCAGGGAGCCAGATACCAGGAAACCGTTATGTTAATACAGCAACAACAGCTCTTATTTTTTCATTCCCACGAAAAAACACATGTGACCTAACATGATCTTAAATTATAAACAAGTACCCAGTATAGCTTAGGATTTTATGCTTTTTTTCCCTACTTATCTGGCATTTTGGCCAAAACCAATCCCTAATCCATTCAGCAAGAGCAGGTGATGCTATCGTGTCCATTGTCTAAACTGGAAGTTTACTGGAAACAATACTGTACTGATGTTATCTAGGACCCTCTTGTTAACATTTTGCAGATTGTCTTTTCACCTTCCTCTTATTTGAACAAGTTATTTTTTCTCCCAAAATTGCTATTTTACATACTTGCCAGACATTGTGCTAGTTTTGCTTTTCTGAAATAGATTTTTCCTTGTTCATCTTCCTTTGAAAGCTCTTCCTGTTCTATGGCATTTTGCAAAGATTTAGAAAAATTAGCTTTATATTTTTTCTCACAGACTTCTTTTGATAAACTCCCAAATGTCCTATATATGTAGATAGATTATAGACTAATTCAGTTATTTTGACTTCTCAAGGCCCCTCCTAACTCTCACTCTACCATTTTATTCTAATTTAGTATTCTGTGCTCTTTTATATATGTTGCTTTCTTCAGCCAAGTATGAATATACCAAATTAAAGTTAATTTTTTTCTTTCCCCTCGACTAAGTGACAGAATTTGTTAATTTTAAGATCAGCCTTCAAGAAGTCTAGAAAGCACTTTGAAATGGGTGGCATCCTTCCTTTTTCCCCTCTGGTAACTTCATTATAATGTGAAGATTATTAGAAATATAAAATTATAGCATATTTTTGAAAAATTAATAGTTTTTAAAAATAATTACCATATCTCATATATATTTGTGTGTATGAGAATATGAAGAGTTAGATATTTGGCAAGTAAAGTATATTAGTGATTTTCTTTCTCCTCTGATACATTTACTGACAATATACCTTCTTTCCTGCTATTTTGTATACCTCCTTTTAATTTTTTTAAGTGAAGATGTTTCCTTCATAAATTTCAAATGAATTGGCAGTTTCCTCATTGAAAGATTTTGCACATTTGCAAATGGTATCTTGGAGTCAGGTCCTGATACCAGCTTTGATTCTGTGAGTTTCTACCATGCGTGCTTGGACAGGGGCAGGGCAGAACTGCTGGGAAGAGCCAAGCTTTCTGGAGAATGGGTTGGTACCTGTCAGAGGCTCTCCTATCCTGAACAAGTTTCCCAAGAAGAAGCCACCTTGCTAGTCTCACTGAACTTTGATTCAGTCTCCCAGTAACAGGAATTGGTCAAAGGTGGGGTTTGGTTCTGCATTGAGTGGAGCAAGTACCTTGCTTTCCTTGCCAATGCTTCAGAATCTCTGGTGCTGGCTTGGATCACTTAGATACTGAAAACCTACTAAAAATTCTGGATTGCAAAGATAAGTCCACAAAGCGAATTTCCATTGTGACCTATGTATCCATTGGTTCTGCTTGGCCAAAATTGCATGTATTTCCCCTTTTTATTATGTCAAAGAAGGACAATTTTAATTAACAGCTCTAAAGAGAGGCTTCTTGTGTGTACATATAATCAATTTGTGGATGCATCAGCATATTACAAGAGTCTGGGAGCCTCTTGCCCCTCTCTCATGTGGTAGTTTTCCTCTTTTCTTTCTATCAAGCAGCATCTGAGAATTTGGGTTTACAGACCAATCCTAGTTGCCAATAATGCTAAATCTTGAACAAATTATATCTCTTGTTACTAGGGAAAGTACTGCAATATGAGCTTCACTACATAATGTGTATGTGTATGTGTATGTATGTGTATGTGTATGTGTATGTGTATGTGTATGTGTATGTGTATGTGTATGTGTGTGTTCTTCCATTTCCTTCTCTCAGGTTATAAAAGTGGTCTGTATTTATTTTCAAAGTTTATAAAATATAAAGAAGAAAAAAAAACACCCTCATAACCTTCCTGTCTGTAGCAGCCTTGGGTAACATTATGAAGTGAGTGCTTACTATCATGTTTTCTGTGCGTATTATATTTTATATAGTTGAAATTAGACCGTATACAAAGTCTCCTATATTTTAAAAAATATTCACATTTTCTAATGCTATTAACATTTTTTAATATATGTAAAAAGTTAATCATGTTTCCCAGGGCATACTGAGTCACAAAATTACAAAATACCTATTTTATACATTTATTAAATTTTTAAAACAATACTAATGAAAATTGCTATGCTGTAGCTAAAACACTAATACTTAATATCAATTTCCTTTAAATGAAGTAATTAAATAGTGCCTATAAATAAGTTTGCAATGCCAACTCACTAACTCATCACTGAGCCATAGCTGAATTTTTTCTTATGTTTTGTTCTTGATATAGAACAGTGTTTCTTAACCTTTTTTGAGCTACCAGCCCTCTGAGAATTCAGTGTACGCTATGAACCTTCTGTGCAGAGAAATTCATATTTACACTAAAAAACTAATTATAATGATACTCAATTATGCTAGGCACTCTGCCAACTGCTTTACATGTGTTATTCTGTTTAATCCTCATAGCAGCACTGTAAGGAATGCTGTATTATCCTCATTTTTGAGATAAAGATATTGAAGTGTAAAGAGGTTAAGTAAATTGTGTAAGCCCATAGAGCTACTAAGTGGAAAGCTGGGGCTCAAATTCTGATTTTTATTGCTCCAAAGTCCATCCCCTTAATCAATGTGCATGTAATTTTAGGGAGCTCATGAATTCCTAAAGCCTGTTTATTGATACTCAGATTAAGGACCCCTTATAATCCAGAGATTTTCATTGGCAGTGAAGAGTACATGTGCCCAATGAATCTTGCTATTTGTGTAACTTATTTAACTAAAACACAATATTGGTTGAACATCTACTATTTTGAGTGGATGTTTGGTTTTGTGAAATGGTCTTTATCCCTAAGGAGTTTGCTATCTATGTGGGAAGACAAGAATTATATACATAAAGCAATGAGAAAAAATACAAATATGAAGTTGAATATATAGTCATTAAACATTTCCATAAACTATATGTGAAAATTAATTTCTTTACTTTATCATACCTGATGCAACTGTCATTCTTTGATTCCTTGATTTATAAAAGGGGCAATCAAACTTAAAAGGCCATTATATCCTTTGGGAACCTGGAAGATTCAGTGTGTCATAAAAATGAGGTCCATAAAGTGACTCCGAAAACTAAATATGTATCACATCCAGATTCCTAAGTTGTTTCATCAGCTTAATCTATTAGCCCCAGGGAGCATGCCCAATAAGGAGATTCAAGAATGTGTAGCCAGCTCCCAAGCATTCAGGTGGGTGATTCTGTTGAGTTGGACATATATAGGATGGCAGAACATCTTGATAGTTGCTGCCATTTGACACAAGTAGGGTTTGAACTGACAGAGAAGTCTTCAGATGCTTCAAGTGATACAGCATAGACTTGAGTTATGCAATGCCAAGTGTGATAATCCAACATCCTTGGAAGAAACCATCAAGTATGGGAAGCTAATTTTAGCTGATCACCTAACAATCCAAGTAGTCAAAAAGAATAGCTGTGGCTGTAATTCAAAGAATTGCTATTAACAGGAGCATAGTATAGGAAAATTGTACATTTAACTCAAATAGCTCCTGTATACAAGGTTATCACAGATATTGGCTATTGTAGATATAAACAATGGATTATATCAAGCTTTTTATTAACATGGCCTTCATAAAATCTTCATACAGTTTTAGAATTTTACTTTTTTTTTTTTTTTTGAGACTGAGTTTCGTTCTTGTTGCCCAGGCTGGAGTGCAATAATGCAATCTTGGCTCACTGCAACCTCCACCTCCCAGGTACAAGTGATTCTCCTGTATCAGCCTCCCAAGTAGCTCAGATTACAGGCATGTGTCACCATGCCCAGCTAATTTGTTTGTATTTAGTAGAGACGGGATTTCACCACGTTAGTCAGGCTGGTCGCAAACTCCTGATCTCAGGTGATTCACTTGCCTCAGCCTCCCAAAGTGCTGGGATTACAGGCATGGGCCATCGCACCTGGCCAGAATTTTACTCTTTTAAAAAAGTGTTATCACTTGGGCAATATACGATAGAATTAATTTATATATGGCATTTGAATTTTCTTCTCAAAGCAAATAGAAACTTTAGTACTGCCAAGCATGCCATATAATTTATCTCATTAAAATGAAAAATGAGGCATTTTTAATTTTAAATGTCAAAATAAGAATTGTGTATATTGTTAATACATCTGTGCTATATTTTAATTAGTTTAATAAATTGCTTTAAATTTCATTTTGTATAATGTTCTCATAATTCCTGCAAACTAAGTTGTTAGCATAATTTTAAAAGTGGGGCAAGGGTTTTATGAAATGCTATGTCTGAGAAGCCCCCAAATGGAAAATATTTTTAAAGAACAGAAGTTCCTACCCTTGTTCAACAAATTACCATTTGGATCTATCCAGCCACTAGTTGTTGGAAGTAATTTTCTAGACATATATGCAAATATCTTGATAGATTTTATTGATTGCAAAAGAAGAATATGATACCAACTCTGTATAGTTTCTTAAATTCAGTACTGGATAGAAGCATAATTTGAAGGAAAACGTTCCTTTTCATATTTGCTTTGAACAGGCACTTGAGTTGTTTTTGAGGTAAATAGGAGATTGGCCACGGGCTTCATAGAAAGAATTGAATAATAGTATAACTGTCCAACTTTTGAATTTGGTGTGTGTGTGTATGTGTGTGTGTATAGGGAACTTAAGACCTTTTGATTTCATAATAAGCAGGGCTCAGGGACAATAAAATTTGACATTCTTAACTGTTACTAGTTTTTGTCCTTATATCCCTGTACAGCCATCTTCTTGTTAACGACATAGAAGCCAGAGTCATAAACTGAGCATGTACCCAAGGTGCCACTGTAAATTGCAAATAGTATTCATGTAATCTCTTCAGGCTAAGATTGAATTGGGGTAGAGAAAGGAGAAGAAAGAATTTTTGAGAGTGGAATGGAAGTAGAAGTCAAGGACAAAGAATACACTAGAAGGACAGACATGTGCAAATGTTCCCTAAGTTTTGCAGTGAGGTTTATTCAGATGGACCTTTTCATATCTGTAAATATTCCTTTGCTCAAAAGCCAAGTCATGGATTGGGATAGCCTCTGCTTCTGGGATGCGTGTGTGTGTGTGTGTGTGTGTGTGTGTGTGTGTGTGTGTGTGTGTGCAATAATGCAGTCATGAGATAATACAAATAATCAGTGAGGGAATAATTAATGATGTAGCAGGGAATATTTTTTGATAAATGCTTGGGGAATGAGGTGACAAGCGTGAAATTAGAAAATTCCTTCAGCGATCTAAAATATAAATAGCTTTTGGAACTGAAAAGAGTTTCACAGCTGAAGATTTTATTGTGTTGAGAGGAAAAACTTTTTTCTCTCCCCCACTCCCTCCTCCTTTGCAAGTTGTTTGTCCATTCACAAAACAAATACTCTGAAGCCCAGCGCAGCTCATGGGAATAAATTTCAGGTCGAATTAGTACAGTTTCCTTGCTGTCAGGATGCTGGAATTAATGGTGTTTTGATGACACGAATTTTGAAGGGCAAACAAAGAAGCTGAAGGGAGAGAGACATGACTCCTTAGAAGCTTGGTCCTCCTCTCCCCCAGCTTCTCTTGTCTTCCCTGTCATCCGTCTGCCAATCTCCCTGTCCATGGTTAGTTAAAGGCGCTTTTTATCCTCTTTTCTTTCCCACAGAGTTTGCCAGATCCGGCCCGGTGCCTGGGTTCCAGGAGGACACGCTGCAGTTGGCCTTCATCGACTTGAGACAAGTAAGTCTTTGTGTTTTTGTTTTTTGTTTTTCTTTTAAGATGTGTGACTGAAGACCATCAGGTCTTAAGGAAAAGGGGAAGGGAGGGGGATTGGCGTTGGCGATTCACATTGGAGACCTAAGGGTTTTCCCTGTATTTGAGGCCACCTCTTTTATTTAGCTATCTGGGATCCTTAGCTATGGTGGAGTTAAAGGTTTTGTGGGTAGAAGGGAAGGCGGGGGTGGGAGGAGGGACCCAGAGTAGAGGGACTCAAGTGACCCTCAAGTGATGCGACCCATTGTGCTGTTGTTGGCTTTTGCAGACATAGCAAAAAGATAACTCAGCAAACCAATGCTAAGCAGGTGCACTGATGCAGAGACTGCCTGCTTGGAGAAGTTTTGTTTGTAGATAATGTGGCCAGCAGCATTTAAGAAAAATGAAATATTTTACATTCTGGATTGTTGGTTGGTTTGTTGACTTTTTCCTGCTGCCTTAAGTCTTCCCGCCTCCTCCTTTGTAGAATGTTGTCAGCCATGGGTAACTAAGTGGTCGTTTTTGAAGATGATTAGAAAAGGCCTGGACCAGTGATGCTAACCCTATTAAAGTAATGTGATGAAAGCTGATACTTGGGCATACCTGAGCTTTGGGAAGCCCATTAGATAGAACCAGTCATTCTATAGGACTGTTTCTTGCAGATTGAACTGGGTGGGTTGGTAGGCCTTGGTGGTTTGGATATAGGGAACAGGGTGAGCGGGGGCCTAGTGAGGGAGAGAGTTAACTGGGCTCTGTCATCTCTTCACTCTTAAGATGGATGGGGTTGGATAGAAAGTGTGAATGAAGTAAGAATCAATGACTGATGCTTCTTTCCTATTAAAACAATCTTTTTTTTTTTTGTCTGTTTAAAAAAGGGGGCTGGCTTTGTTTCTCCTGCCATAATGATGCAGTGCCTCTTGTTTTCAGAGCTGACATAGTTTGCATTCTGAAAACTTTTAGATGCCCAGGGTATTTCTTAAAGCTGCAGGACCCCTTGTATCGGTAGTTCCTTACCACTGTGATTCGATTCATGCTGGAACAGCTTTTAACCCATAATGGATGGCCTGAGCTACCCCTGAATCCTTGTAGATGGGTGGTGTAATCTGTCATCTGATGACAATTCTGGAAAGCACTGTTAAGCAGAAAACAGAAAATTGTGTGTCTATAGACCTGCCAAAGTTTGAGGATTCAGGCTGTGTCCCAGAAACGTGTGTCAACTTAATATTTGGGGGCCAAGGTGGGGGTTCTCTTGCACATTAAGGATTCACCAGCATGATCACAAATGGAACAATCTCTTCCCACACTTAAGACCTTCCACCTGTAGATGTAGCAACTCAACTGAGACATTCAGGTTTTAATCCCTTGACTGATGTAAGATTGAAAGATTGGGATTTTGGTTTAGGGTTTGTGGAGTGATATCTGTTGGATTCCCTCCCACCCTCCTGTTTCTTCTCAGAAACTTCTAACCCAATTGGCTTTTCTTGGAAAGTAGAAATTGAATTTCACTGGAGAAACACAACCAAGGAAAAATGTTTCCATTCTCACTATTCATGAGAAGGAAGCATGGTTATTCTCTCTAGTTTGTGGTTTTGGTCCCTATGGAAAGGAACTAGTGTTCACAGAAAATGTTAACTAAGGGAGTAAGTTAGAAAGCACAGCCAAAATAAGGTGGATCAGAGTCGGGAATGAATGTGCAAGTACTTGTAAGCTCTCAGTGAGCACTGTCATTTATGCTTAAGTTCCTATTTTCTATTACATTTCTCTTCCCAGAGTTGCTTTTATAATGTTTTAATAGTAGAAACCCAAAATCCAAAATTTTACTGGTAATGAAAGAGTATGCCTCTTTCTATTCAATCTGTCACCTAATTTCTACTTATACCTGTCTCTACTGAAGCAGCTTAAAGGGATAATTTTTCTAACCTAGATTGTTTGAAAAACTTCTTTAGTTCTTGGTCTGTAGCTCATTATTAGTAGACCTCAGGTAGGTTGAGTGATTGTGAAAAAAATGATCTCTCCACATCCTGTGCTGAAAATATTTCTCTCTTTGCAGTTCATCTTAGTCATTCTCAGAACTTATTTAAAGTGAGCATCATTTTAAAAGGAGGCTTCTGAACTACAGAGATGTTCAAACTCTAAACAGAAAACCTGGGACTATGTTTTCTTAAATATTTAGGCTTCTAAAATAGAATTTTTGAATTTTGGGATTGGAGGCTAATCTCAAAAATTATGTAGTATAACATTTGGCTTTATACTTCAATCCCTGTACAGCACCCCAGACTTTGATTGAATATCTTCCTTGAGGAGGTTCCACTACCCTAAAGCAGCAAGTTCCACCTTAGGACAATATGATTACTAGAAAGATATTTCTTAAGTTGGCTAAAATCTGTCTCACTTAACCTTAACCCTTTAAATCTTTATATTTTTATTTGGGCATCCCCAATTAGAGGAATGGGCTTCCTACTCATCATTTATTGAGCTTCCTATTTGCTAGTATTTGAGTCTTTTTCACATGTCACATTGTTACCTATTTCTCATCTAGTCCTTACAGGGTTGATTTTATGGACCAAAACTGAATACTACTCTCACTGGTCGGTGTTTTTCTTTCAGACATATTATTAAGAACACAGATTTTTTTCATTACATAATGACCTATCTAAACCTATAACTGACCTCCTGAGTCAGTTATCTAGCTTAACTGAATTAATCATTATGTCCTTAATAAGCCAAAGATAAAAATATTAAATAGGAAGCCCAAGTTAAGGTAAATTATAGGGTACACACTCATGTAAGAAGAGGATCTGCCCCCAGTGCAGTGCAGCAAGGATATTCTTTTACCGTCATTGAGTGTATTTGCCTTGCTGTCTTATATGTGTATTCTGAGCATGCTTCCACAGTGTCTTGCTTTAGAGAGTTTCAGACAGTATCAATTTAATGAATAATTTTAAAGTATTCAAAATGTGGAATATTTGATGAAATCATCTTTGTATAGACTATAATAACGGTCATTTAAAAGTTATAGAATTTCATTAGGAAGCAAATTAGATGCGGATAGCAAAACTATTCATCCTTTTTTACTTGTCCTATTCTCACTTTTCTACTTCTTAAGAGAAAGAGAGAAATGACATTTTGAATATACAAGCTTTCAAGATATTTTACTTTTGTGTGGCACTTCAGAGTTAAAGTACAAATAAGTTAAACCTCATTTGTCAGATTTCTGAGTTTGGAAAACCTACTATTAATAATATCGTGAATTAGATAGTACAAATCAAAATCCCCTTCTTTAACACTTTGTGTTTTCTATCTTTATAAGTAGGATTGCAGTATGACTTCTCATGCAAAAATCAAATATATGTGTATATTTCCATCAAAATCCAAATTTGGGCTAATGCTGAATTTTGAGAAGGGTAGCTTAAAGGCTCATTTAATTAGCTATCTTGAAGTGGCATGTAAACACCAAGTGCTGACCTTTAATGGTTCATAATTGAGAATTATAATAAAGGACCAATAGTAGATTCTCAGTACTTACTTTATTCTTTAAACAGTGGCATGGCTTATATTTTTCTTCCATGGTTAAACATTAAGTAGATAATGCTGATCAACACTAGAATTTGATTTTCATTTCAGTTTATTTTATCAAAGTCTAAGTGCCTACTGTGTACAAATCACAACCTAAGTGTTGTGGGAATACACAAATGAATATAGTATAATCTGTGCCCTCTGGGAGCAAAGGAATGACCAGCAAATTCCTGATTCTAATATAAGGCACACTGTGATAAGTACTACATTGAAGGATGAAGCCATTATGTATGTTTCAGTTAGTTCGGTGACTTTTGCTACAAAATAAATTACCCCATGTTGGCTTAAAACAAGAACTACTTATGAAGCTCAAATTTCTACAGATTCTCAATTTAGGGTAGGTTCAGCTGGGCTTACTCATACTTTGAGGTCTGCTGCTAGATTGGCTAGGGACTGGTTGGTCTAGCATGCTTTAGCTAGGACTACTCTTTTCTACTCTCTGTGATCTCTCATCTACAAACAACCTAACCTAGATTTATTTACATGGCATCTTGGCAGAGTTCCAAGAAAGCAATAGGAAATGCGCAAACTCCTTGAAGCCTACACTTGGAGCTAGCAAACCATCAGTTCTACCACATTCTTGTGGCTGAAGCTAGTCACAAGTCCAGTCCAAATTCAAGAAACAGGGACATAAACTCCAATTTACACTCTAGTTGAGCTATAAGACATATATAAACAATGCAAATGAAGAGCAAGTTTGTACCTATAAGTGCAAAAAGAGGCCGTGAAGTAGAGAGGCCTATGTGTGCCTGAGTAGCTATAAAATATTTCATGGAAAAGGTGAAGAGTCACACTGAAAGTCAAGCATTGTTAAGGGAAGAAAATATTTAAAGCATAGAAAATAGCAGATTTAAGTTTTGTTTAAAAACATGGGTGTTTTGTATGTTAGTTTAATTAGGATCTAGACTGTCTTTTCTCTTTTAAGTATTAGGCTGATCTCTTTAAATCCCCATTTCTTAATTTCTCATATTATTTTTTGTTGTTTGTCTTCCTCATATACCTCTTCTTTTATGTCCTATCTATTCTCCTCATTAAATGCTACTATTTACAGGCTACCCTGAAACATTTCACATTTCTGTTATTCACATTCATTGTAAGTGCTTCTTAACTTCCTTGGATAATAGTTTGCATTATTTATTTAATCTATGATAGTTTACCTTCCATGTTTGGTCAAAGGCTTGAGGGTGTTCCTTTTCTTAGTAACATCCCATTATTTTCTGTTCCTTGGCCCCAACAGTTATTTACTTCTGATATATACTTAAGTTTTTATAAAGCTGAATGAACTAGGTTGTGACATTGCATCAGATCTCGCGAATGGAGCTTGCTGGCAACGACTCTCATACAGCAAGCCATCCCAAGATATCTAGGGCTTTTTTTTAGATTGAGCTGTTGATATTCCCTCTAGGCCAGTTATTCCCCAATTTCTAACCTACAATCTAAAGTAAACACAGTGCATTTCCATTGCAGACACTTAACCTGCCTTGAAAACAACTATAGGACCTAAGAGAAATAGTTGCATGTTTCTTTTGAGATGTTGAACAAATACTGCTGCTATTCCTTTTAGAGGTATAGAGGTAAAACCCGTACCTTTGGTTAGTTAACACCCGTTAGGAAAACTTGAGAACAACTCAAGAACTTAACTATGTAGAACTGCCCCTCCTACTTCTCATCCTGTCATGATCCTCTTCAATAAAATTTTGATTTTCAAATCAAATTGCCCAAGTCTAGTGAATATTATGTGTTCCTAGAAGGAACATTCCCCCCTTTGCTTGACTGCTGTGACTCATAGGAAAAAATCTTAACTTTAATAATTATTTGTATTTTAGCCTCAGTAGAAAACCCATTTATATCAGAAGCTGATCTTTGTTTTCTGATACAGCAATATACCAAAAAGACATGTAGTCCATAGGATTTATTTTTTAATATTTTACCATAACCAGTCTAAACTGTCCCCTAACTAGGAGGCTTCATAGGAGGTGGGGCTGGGGTGGGGCAGGCCCATATCTCAAAAGGTCAGAGATGTCAGTCTTCTGTTTTTCGTTATAACCATTAAACTGTTAACAGGAAGCCATTTCCCACATGTACTTAATACTGGTCCTGAACTTGCTGGAATATAACTTGGGTTTTGGGAGATGAACTGTAGTTTTCCCAAGTGTTTACTGAACAGCTACTGAGCAGTTGATGAAGAGAAGTGTGGGGGTAGGTAGCAGGGGAAAGTTTTTATGAAAAGATATTCTTGGTAGAGAAAATACAGTTGTTTGCAAACCTTCCAGTTGGGAAGTGTACGGACCAGTAATGTTGTCAGTAGAGATACTCTCCAAGCGCTCAGTTGAAATATTCTGTTGACCTTCAGATTGTATGTGATGTCAAATAATGGCCTATAAAACTGGGAGCCATCTATACCATAGTCAGAAGTCAAATAACTTGATAACTCATGGAATTAGAAGATGTCATTACTATGACTGTTGTGGATAATAGGATTAGAAGGAATGAGTTAAGCCATAAAGTACATTATCTTGGAAGAGATTATCTGTACCACTGATAGAGTAGCATGTATATATGAGGAGGGCAGATGAGAAATGAAATCCAGGGTCATCATATCCCAAAGGCATTTGGTGGTTAGAAGAAGATATAGTATTATCAGACCACCTGCACAGATCTCTTTGCAGATGCAGAGCCACTGCATGTCCTGCAGACCATATTTCAGATCTTGACATAGCCACAGCAAGCACTTGGATATAGATATAGACCTCCCTAATCAGGAAATGTTCATTCATTTATTCAACACTGTGCCTAGCCCAGGTAGTAGATACAATGCAGTGAATAAAACAGGCCCTTACCTTTATGGAGCTTGCATTCTTGTATAACATTCTCTTCTCCCCATAGTCTCTCTTCAGGTGGCCTGATGCTCCAAGGGATGTCACTTTATCTAGATTTTTTTTTTTTTGTATTGGTGCCATAGTTCCGTTTTAGGAAACAGCTATAGAGTTTTCTGGCAAGATCTCTAGGGCAAGGCCAACTCTGCTGTACGCAGATACACAGACTTTCAGAGAAGACATTTTAGCTGTGGTTTAGCAGCCCAACATAAATAAGATGGTCAACTTCAAAAGATGGTCCTTTGGTTTTTGGAAGCAGAGTTTTCTGGTCGTTTTGCTAAAATTGTATTGCCCAAGTTGTTTTGACAGATGCCTGTAACCTTCAAGATGATACCTCCAGCATCAAAGGAAGCTCTGACAGGAAATAATTCCTATTCCTAAGTATGGGTAGGGGAGAGCTAACAGCTTCTGGGGATGGTTCTGTGAAAAATAGAAGAAGGAACACCATGAGAATAGGCTCCATTTGAGCTAGAACTTTGACTTTATAGCAAAGGCTGGATCAGCATATGCAAGGATAGGGCACAGATGAATAAAGTCTTCAGCTTCTGGAATGCTTTAGTAGTCTCTGCAAAAAAGATCTATCTCCTTCCCTTGCTTGAGACATTAGTAACTAGAGCCATCAGAGGAAATTAGTAGGAGGAATTGCCAGTAATATGTAACAAATTCTGGGATTTGCTAGAATGTCCTTAATTGATTGGAGGAGAATCTGCTCTAGAACTGCCAAGACTTCATCTCACTTCATACCAGCTTCTTAACTGGGGAGGAAGTGCGTTTGGAAATTCTACCTCAGGGCATTTTTTGATTTAACAAATAGTTCATATTTGGCAGACCAGGACCTCATGAAATAATATCCAAACAGAGCAGAAATCTTTGGTATAGAAAATCATGTAAGATGTCATTTAAGTACCAGGAAAAGACCAAAATTTAATGGGCCAAGTGGCATCATAGCATGTTTGGAAGGCCATTTTCTATTCATTATCCTCTTACTATGAAAATCATTTTAGCACCTCAGGGGTCTAACTTCCTAAAAGTCCCCATGGAATTGTTTCAGGAGATTAGGAATCAGGGGAGAGGGAGTATTCGTAGTAGATGATAACCACACTAAGACCATGGTAGTCTTATGAGAGGTAGACTCCTTTTTATTTTTATTTTAATGGGGAAGGGGTCCTTGAAGGGAAGGTGGAAGGGCTGATGAACTCCACTGTGGTTTTCCTCAGAGAGCAAGCACACCCACTTAGTAGCAATGTAAGCCCCAAACAGTTGGTTCTTTGCACAATTGTATGTGGTAGAAAGGTAACTTCTGGACCTCTTTGAGGGTTGTTCCCTGGAGAGTTTGTGTGTCTGGAAATGCTAGCTCATGAATGACAGGCACTATCATAAATGGCAGATATGTGAAGACAAGCAGCAGTTGAAGGTCCTTCAGTTTGGAGCAGTTCTGACAACCTTTTGGGTAGCAGGAGATAAAATACCAGGCTTTTGACATATTTCCCCATGAAAAATTAATGAGGTTTGGCCTTCTGACTCATGGGCCTCCCAGGCTAAGAGTTTCCATTGTTGCTTTCAACCCATATTGCCACAGTCTAACCAAACGCTGGCTTGCCCAGCACTTTCCGCTTCATCCTTGGAGGCAGAGCCCTACTACTTAGAGGTTCCACCAGAGTATATTATGTTGGTGCAAAAGTAATTGCGGTTTTGCCATTGAAACTAATGGCAAAAACCACAATTACTTTTGCACCATCCTAATAGAACACCCTTTCCATTAGGTGTTAGAATGACCTTTTACAGAACTGTCAGTCTAATCTTTGACAACTCTCCTACCCCTCTGCTTCAGTAGAACAATGACTGTAACTTTTGATGTGGACGTGGTGCCAGCATCACTCTAGATAGCCTCACAGCAAAGTCAGTCAGTTTGAAGGCATTGGTTCCATTCCATTTCAGCTTTTGAGTGAAGAGCTAACAAGCATAACATAGTAAGCCACCTAGCAATTGCTACCTTAGTCCACAGACAGCATTGTCAATCCTCTCACGCTGTATCATAGGGGACCTAGGTAACCTGTGAGACGCCTTGCTGCCTGTCTAGCCTGAGGCATTGCACTACTTTCTGCTTCTCCCAACAAACCAAGCCTGAGGAACTCAGAAGGTTTCTCCCTAACCTCTACCATACAGCATGAATATGCATATCCACAAACATGGAATTTGAAAGTTTTTGAGACAATCACATCTTTATGAGAAGGGACAGGAGAGTCATTACCAGTGAATTTCCCTGGGAGTAGCAGTGGTATCAGAGGCTGTTGTAGTGGTACTGGTTGAATGAAAACTGCTAGGTTTTGAACACGAATCTCATCTTCGTTAACTGCACTGTGTAGCTTTCTACTAGAGGACCCTTACAGGCCAAGGAAAAGCCTTGGAACCCATTTCTAACTACTGCATTCTACTGGTAGCCGGTGGAGGGCAGCAGAGAGTGACACCAAAGGTCCAGATTGAGGCAACTAGGACATAGTTCAGTTTACCAAGAAAGAAGCACCCTTAGCTATAAAAGAATTAACTACCTGGGAGCCACAGTTACAAGCATGGATCCCTGGGGAGCAAGGACCAAAAGGAGAATCCAGAACCCTAATCTGAGTGTTAAAACACTTCCTTCTAGGGCAAGTCCAGGAACCAGGAATGGGTAAAGGTATGAGGTAGGACCGATTATGAAAGGGGAACTGGACAGCATCAGTGAAGGTAGAAAACCGAAAGGACAGTCTAAAGTGTCAAGTCCCAAGAGGACAAGTGAAGATAGAACAGGAATCAGGTTGCTTCTGGACCTCTTTGAGGGTTCTTCCCTCGAGAGTTTGTGTCTGGAAATGCTAGCTCATGAATGAGAGGCACCGTGGGCCATGTCAGATTAAACTATTATAAATGGCAGGTATGTGAAGACAAGCAGAAGATGAAAGCCCTTCGGTTTGTAGCAGTTCTGACAACCTTTTGGGTAGCAGGAGATAAAACACCAGGCTTGAATGAAAGAAAGAAGTACAGTGGGAGGCAAGCCAGAATGAATGAGTTAAAGAGGCAAAAGTACAGTTAGGGAGATCGATCCTCTGAGGCAATGGTACCCAAGGAAGGAGCCTTGTGTAGGGTACATATCTGCAAAGGGAACAATTTCAGACACAACCAGCTATATCTATGGGATTCTCATCTCTTAAATATTAATAGCTGCTTCTTGATTCGCCAGGATCATTTCTTTCTTGGTCTGTTGATTTTAAGGGTAAAATAACTTGTTGAGAATGTGGAGAGAGTGAGAGAGATGATGCGACATTCTCAGATGCGGTTAAGGGATTGTTGTACATGAAATGAAATTCAACGTGGGCATGAAGCCTTTCTGGATAACATTTGTGTGAAAGGACAGCCTGTTTTCCTAGAATAGCTTTTGATATTCCCTTTTCATGTTTTATACTGTAACACTGGCTAAGAATATACAGTAGAAAAGAAAAATGGGCTCTGATGACTAGTTATATAGGCAAGATCCCAGTCAGTCCAGAGACTTAAGATCTGTTCCCAGTAGGTTAGCAGAGAGTTGTGTTTGGAGTCTCTTTATGCTGAATGCTCAGCATTTTTCCAAATCCCCTTAGGTATGAAGAAAGAAAATTCTGCCTCGGTCTATTAAGTTCTAGTGTCTCCCTCTTTTCTTCAACCCCTCAAGCATCAGAAAAATAGGGCTTCTGTAACCACAAATTTCAGGAACCCTCTACTGGGTGGCAGGGCAGCATGGTGATTAGGTTTGGAACTGAGCAGACCTTACGTTACTAGCTGTGACATTTGGCAAATTATTTGACCTCTCTGAGGTGTCATTTCCTAGACTATTAAATGAAAATTTTAAATAGCTTATAAGGCTTATAATGTTGGAGTAAGCATTAAATAAGACAATATAATTATGTTGCTTATGATTCGGTAAGCATTTAATTAATGAAGTAGCTATTATTGTTACTTCTACTATTGCTGTCACTGTACTGTAGTGGCCTACTTAAGAAGTCTGCCTGCATGGAAATGGTATCCAGATGAAAGTCAGGCAACCTGGAGTGATCACTTAACTCTTGCTGATTCATTACATGACAGGATACTTGTGTCTTTGGCTAATGGCTCATACTGGGGCTCCTGCCATTTCTCAGAAAGTAAGGAATTGAGAATGCTAACTATTAAATGTTCTGAGCTCTTCTGAGCATAGAGGTAACTGAAAAGAAATTAAGCCTTGAGTTAATTTTTCATGTTTAATCAAATTACAAGTCATTTGCTTTATTTTTCTCTATTAAGAAGTACTGTTTATGAAAATATTACTATAGTAGATTAAAAATAGTTATCAAAGATGAAAAATAAGCCCTAACTAAATGTTCTATCTTAACACAATTGTTTATTTTGTGGGGCTCTTTCTGGTCTTTTTTTTTATATGCTTATTTGTAATGCCTATGTCCTTTTATATTTAACTTTTTTTTTAAATCCTGCTTTCTCTTTTATTTATTTTGATTATACTTTAAATTCTGGGGTACATGTGCAGAATGTGCAGTTTTGTTACATAGGTATACACGTGCCATGGTGGTTTGCTGCACCCATCAACCCATCACCTACATTAGGTATTTCTCCTAATGCTGTCCCTCCCCTAGCCCCCCACCCCCAACAGGCCCTGGTGTGTGATGTTCCCCTCCCTATGTCCATGTCTTCTCATTGTTCAGCTCCCACTTATGAGTGGGAACATACGGTGTTTGGTTCTCTGTTCTTGTGTTGGTTTGCTGAGAATGATGGTTTTCAGCTTCATCTATGTCCCTGCAAAGGACATGAACTCATCCTTTTTTATGGCTATATAGTATTCCATGGTGTATATGTGCCACATTTTCTTTATCCAGTCTATCATTGATGGACATTTGAGTTGGTTCCAAGTCTTTGCTATTGTGAATAGTGCCGCAATAAACATACACGTGTATGTGTCTTTATAGTAGAATGATTTATAATCCTTTGGGTACATACCCAGTAACGGGATTACTGAGTCAAATGGTATTTCTAGTTCTAGATCCTTGAGGAATTGCCACACTGTCTTCCACAATGGTTGAACTTATTTACACTCCCACCAACAGTGTAAAAGCATTCCGATTTCTCCACATCCTCTCCAGCATCTGTTGTTTCCTGACTTTTTAATGATCACCATTCTAACTGTCATGAGATGGTATCTCATTGTGGTTTTTGATTTGTATTTCTCTAATGACCAGTGATGATGAGCATTTTTTCATATGTTTGTTGGCTGCATAAATGTCTTCTTTTGAGAAGTGTCTTTTCATATCCTTTGCCCACTTTTTGATGGGGTTGTTTGTTTTTTTCTTGTAAATTTGTTTCTTTGTAGATTCTGGATATTAGTGCTTTGTCAGGGATAGATTGCAAAAATTTTCTCCCATTCTGTAGGTTGTCTGTTCACTCTGACGATAGTTTCTTTTGCTGTGCAGAAGCTCTTTAGTTTAATTAGATCCCATGTATCAATTTTGGCTTTTGTTGCCATTGCTTTTGGTATTTTGGACGTGAAGTCTTTGCCCATGCCTATGTCCTGAATGGTTTTACCTAGGTTCTCTTCTAGGATTTTTATGCTTTTAGGTCTTACATTTAAGTCTTTAATCCAGCTTGAGTTAATTTTTGTTTAGGGTGTAAGGAAGGGGTCCAGTTTCAGTTTTCTGCATATTGCTAGCCAGTTTTCCCAACACCATTTATTAAATAGGGAATCCTTTCCCCATTGCTTGTTTGTGTCAGGTTTGTCGAATATCAGATGGTTATAGATGTATGGTGTTATTTCTGAGGCCTCTGTTCTGTTCCATTGGTCTATATATCTGTTTTGGTACCAGTACCATGCTGTTTTGGTTATCTTAAACATTTTTAGGCTGTTAATTCTTAAATCAGTTTTATTCAGGTATAATCTAATATACAATAAAATGTGCCTATTTCAAGTGTACAACTCCATGTACCCACCACCACCACCACAACCAAGAACATTTCTATCATGCCAAAAAGGCTTCTTGTGTGTCTTTGTAATTAGTCCCATCCCTTTGTCCCCAAATAACCACTGATCTGCTCTTTATCACTATAGCTTAGTTTGTATTTTCTAGAATTATATGTAAATCCTAGAATTTATATTCTTTTGTGCACCCTTTGTGTCTGGCTTCTTTGATTCAGCATAATATTTTGAGATTCATCCATGGTGTTGGGGGTGTCAATAGTTCATTCTTTTTTATTGATGAGTTATAGTTTTTCACATGGATATATCATAATTATCCATTCACCTTTGACATTTATGAACATTTTGTTCTTTCCAGTTTGGGCTATTATGAGTAAAACTGCTGTGAACATTCATGTACAACTGTTTGTATGAACATATATTTTTTATTTTCCCTAGGTAATACTAGGAATGGAATCGTTGGGCCTATAATAAGTGTATGTGTAACTTAATTTTTTTAAATGTCCAACTATTTTACAAAGTACCATTTTCCATTCCTGCCAGCAGTAGATGAGCATACCAGTTGTTTCACATCCTCTTCAACACTTGATTAGACAGTATTTTGTTCATTTGTTGGTTAATTAAGGCATAATTTACCTTCAGTAAATTCATCCTTCTTAAATATACAGCTTTATAAATTTTTTTACAAACTTACACAGTTGTATTACCACTACCAAGATCACAGAATATTTCCATTTATCAGAAATTTATTTTATGCCTCTTTGCAATGACTCTTCGCCCTCTACTGTATTCCCTGGCAACAACTGCTCTGATCTCTGGCACTATATGGTTTTGTCTTTTCCAAAATGCCATATAAATGGAATAATGCGTATAAACGGAAACATACTTTTAATTTTCTCTTCTTTCACTTAGCATGGTGCTTTTGAGATTCATCTCTGTTTTTGCATATGTTAGTACTCCATTTTTTTTTTTTTTTTTTTTGAGACGGAGTCTCTCTCTGTCTCCCAGGCTGGAATGCAGTGGCATCATCTCAGCTACTCCACCCTCCACCTCCTGGGTTCAAGCAATTCTCCTGCCTCAGCCTCCCGAGTAGCTGGGACTACAGGTGCTCACCACCATGCCCAGCTAATTCTTGTATTTTTAGGAGAGACGAGGTTTCACCATGTTGACCAGGCTGGTCTTGAACTCCTGACCTCAGGTGTTCTACCTGCCCCAGCCTCCCAAAGTTTATCGTGAATAAAGCCACAATAAACATTTGTGTACAGGTTTTTATGTGAACATATATTTTGATTTCTTTAGAGTTACTGGGTCATATAGTAAGTGTATGTTTAACTTTATAAGAAACTATCAAACTGCTTTCCAAAGTGGCTTTGCCATTTTGTAGTCCTACCAGCAATATATGAAAATTGCAGTTGCTCTGCACATTGCTAGTATTGTCAGTATTTTTTTCAATTTGGGCTATTCTGATATATGTATAGACATATGTCGCGGAGGTTTTCATCTGTATTAACCTAATGACTAATTATGCTGAGAATCTGTTTTTGTGCTTATTTGGTGTTTAATATATTTGTTCAAATATTTTATTCAGTTTCTTTTCTTCTGTGTTTAATGTATTTGTATCTCTTCTTTTGTGTTTAATGTATTTGTTCAAATATTTTATTCAGTTTTAAAAATAATTCTTATTATTGAGTAGTGAAAGTTTTTTATATGTTCTGGTCAACAGGCCATTTCCTTAACAGTATCTTTCAAAAAGCTTAAGTTTTTTCTTCTGATTTTAGTGACATACAGTTATAATGTCACTTTTTTCATGTCTCACGCTCTGTGTGTCCTATCTTAAGAAATCTTTGCCTAATCCAAGGTCACAAAGGTCTGTTTCCTATGTTTTCATCTAGGAGTTCATACTGTTAGGTTTTACACTTAGGTCTATGATGATATGTTTTGGGTTAATTTTTCAATATGATATGAAGTATGGCCAAGGTTCATATTTTTATATGGCATGTACAGTTGTTCCAGCACCATTTGTTAAAAAGACTATGCTTTCTCCATTGATGCACCTTGATACCTTTCTTAGAAATCAATTCACCACATATGTGTTGGTCTCCTTCTGCATTCTCTATATTATGTTCAATTGACCTGTGTGTCTGTCCTTTTGCTATGTCTTGATCTTACTTTTATATTGTCTTGAAATCAAGCAGTTCAAGTCCTCCAACTTTTTCTTCTTTTTCAAAGTTGTTTTGTTTATTCTAAGCCATATATGTGTAAATATATATGAACAAATATGTAAAACTGTATATGTAAATATATAAAAATATATATGTAAATATATATAAATATATATATCTTACAATCAATTTGTCAATTTCTTAAGAAAAAAAAGCTTGGCTGGGAGTGGTGGCTCACGCCTGTAATCCCAACACTTTGGGAGGCTGAGGTGGATGGATCACGAGGTCAGGAGATCGAGACCATCCTGGCCAACATGGTGAAACCCTATCTCTACTAAAAGTACAAAAATTAGCCGGTTGTGGTGGCATGTGCCTGTTGTCCCAGCTACTCAGGAGGCTGAGGCAGGGGAAATCGCTGGAACCAGGGAGTCGGAGGTTGTAGTGGGCTGAGATCGCACCACTGCACTTCAGCCTGGGCGACAGAGCGAGACTTCGTCTCAAAAAAAAAAAAGCTTGCTGATATTTTCATTAGGATTATGTTGAATTCAGAGATCAATTTGGGGAAAATTGACATTTTGACAATTTTAGTCTTCTAATCCACGAACACAGTTCTGTGTTCATTTATTTGAATTCTCTCTTTAGTGCTTTGTAGTTTTCAGCAAATCTTGTGCATATTTTGTGAGATTTATTCCAAAGTGTTCCATATTCATTATAAGTGGCATTGTTATTTTAATGTTGATGTTTAATTGTTCATTCCAAATATATAGAAATATACAATTGGTTTTTGTACGTTGATGTTGAATCTCAAATTTGCTAAACTCACTTATCAGATGTAGTGGTTTTTTATACATTTTTGGGGAGTTTATAGGTGGACAATTACAGCATCTGTGAATAAAAACAGTTTTAGATTCTTTCTTTCCAGTCTAGATACCTTTTGTTTTTTGGTCTTATTGCACTAGGAACTCCAGTACAAGGTTAAATAGGTGCTGAGAGCAGGTATCATTGCCTTGTTTGTGATCTTAGTGGGTGGGGGAGTATTCAGTCTTTTACCATTAAATATGATGATGGGTATAAGTTTTTTTATGCCCTTTGTCCGTTAAGCAAGTTTCTTTTATTTCTTAATTTGATTAAAGTTTTTATTATAAATGGTCCATCAGTTTTACAGACCATCATTTAATTAGCCATTATTTCTAAACTTATATGTTATTTCTAATGTTTTGTTTTTATATTTAAATTATTATATATTCATATCTAAAGCCTTTTAATCTGAATTACTCCTTAATGTAAATTATTTATATAAGAGTTGTAAGCATTCTTATGGGTTTTAAATCTATTGCTGATTCTTAATGAAGGGTTATACCAATTTAAATTATTTCGGGAAGTATAATCATGCATCAGTTTTATAGAAGCCCAACCAACATAGGTTCTTATGATTTTAAGGTTTTTTTTTTTTTATTAACTTCATAGGTATTAGAGTGTACCTTTATTTCATATTCCACTTTTTATTGCTACACATAAAGTAGTATTAAATGGCCCATGAATCTCAGTAAGGATATGAATTTACTAGTGTCCATATTTTCAATTCTTAGTGCCCTATTCTCTGATGGAAGGTATTTTGCAATCTGATTTGATGCATATCTAATTTAACCTTACTGTATTACAATCAAATAAGAGAAGCAGAACTAACACTTCTAAAAAGTTACCTACTAGAGGTGGGTGGATTACTTGAGGTCAGGAGTTTGAGAACTGCCTGGACAACATGGTGAAACCCAGTTTCTACTAATAGTACAAAATTGGCCGGGCATGTGGTATGCACCTGTAGTCCCAGCTACTCGAGAGCCTGAGGCAGGAGAATTGCTTGAACCCAGGAGGCGGAGATTGCAGTGGGCCGAGATCGCACCATTGCACTCTAGCCTGGGCAACAGAGCCAGACTCTGTCTCAAAAAAAAAAAAATTAACAACTAGTAAAATACAGCATGTAATTAAGTGCCAAATGAGTAGCGTGAAAGCACTGTATGAGTTTGGAGGAGGGAAGTATTGCTGTGCCATTAGAAATGATGATTCTTGCCTTTTTTTGTTATTGATTTTACCATGGGTCAGTAGGAACTGATGTTGTTTCTTAGTTTTATTTCGGTTTTTAATTTTTTATAAAAGTATTCTGTGACCAAGACATTCGATAATCACTGTTCATAATGTCTCTGAAAACTATGGTCATCTGGAGAATTTAATCCCATGCTGATAATAAAAAGTGTTCAAACCTTTGCTTGTCTCCAGTGGTACTACAGAAAAGAGCCTTCTATTGGCCAGCAAAGTGAGGGTGTAACTTCTCTATTTTCTGGACCGTGTTAAAAAAGAAATATGCTCTAAAAACCTAATCTAAGGATTGTGGTGTTCATCTAAGCTAAACATCAGTCAGAGAGAGGTCTCCTAGATTCTTTCCAGAGCTTTGATGCTTTCAACCTAATCAAGGCAAGCAGCAGGCTCCTTATAGCAATATTATGGCCCTCTCATAAGCTACTATAGTAGTCTTTAGTATTTAGTGTCTTGGAACCACAAGAAACTAGGAGTGACAATGGAGAGGAAGTGGTTCTCAAAAGCTACTGGTACACCAAGGCTATGTTAAAAAGAATGATCTCAAACAATAGTAAATTGGCGGCATTATTAAAAGTGAATGTGTGTGATGAGGTAAGACAGATGTAATCATTCTTCTTGGTGTTTATACTGCTTATCATTCTTATCATTTGTCAATACAAGCAGTGTGTGTGTGTGTGTGTGTGTGTGTGTGTGTGTGTGATGTGTTCATACATGCTTCCCTGTGTTCTAAATCCATATGGTGTTCTTAATTATTTCTTCCCTTATAAACTCTGAGAGAAATAATTAAATGGGACAAGGTGGTTTTCTGTGTGTTTTTTCTGAGGTACCAGCATCTTCCTTCTGTCTTTCTGTGTGGCATATCTTTTTTCATTGCCTGCTTGATGAAATGATAGGGCATAGAGATGTTTAATTTAGTTAGAGGGAGGTATCGATAGGTTTTGGGGATGGGAAAGGGGCATGGGAGTGAATATGTTCATGGTTATTTCTGCAAAGTATGAAACTCTATTTTTTCTTACTTCTCTTGATCTGTTTTATGCCCTTGCTATTGATGACTTTTCTTTCTTTTCTTCCCTTCTGCCACCTACTATTTAAAAAAAAAAAACAAACCACAATTATCATGGTAGCATTTGCCTGCTTAAAAAGCCTAAGAGCTCTCTCTTGCCCATAAAACAAAAGATGAACCCCTAGCAAAGCAGGTCTGGTTCCAGCTAATCTTTCTAGTCTATTTCTGTCACTCTTCCCCATGTAAGCTTTCCCTAGACTACTCTTAACACCTCCTTGATCCCAAAGCTGGGTAAGCTTTAGGCTGCCTCTGCCTATCACAGAGTACTCTCTCTGTAGAGTGACAAATGCATTCTCTTCCTTCACAGCTTGGCTCAAATGTCATCTTCTTTATAAATCCTTCACAACCTCCTCAGGCAGATTTAATTGTCCCCCCTTTGGGTCCCTGACATTTTGTATGCCCCTTCATTACAAATGCTCTTGTAATTACTTGTTTAATCATCTGCTTTCACCATTAGCTTCTGAGTTCACTAAGGGCAGGAACCCTGTTTTATTTATCCATGAATTCCCCATCCCTCAGTGGGTAACATAGTTCCTATTTCATAATTGCTTGCTGAATGTATTGACTTAATATTGTTTTGTGGCATTTTAGAAGTAAATGGACCTAGATTGAATTTCTGAATAATATTTGTACTCAAACTCCCACAAATAGATTCATCATTTTCCTCCTACTCCTTGCTCTTCATTATCAGTTTACTTTAATCTTATTAAATGAATTGCAGAGGTCACAGCCCTGGAAAAGGCAAAACCAAATATGGGTAAAGTGGGTAAAGGGAACTTAGGTGGCAGTTCCTGGAACCTAGTACATGAGGACTTTCTCTAGTGAGAGCTACTGAAGGAGGGCTATCAAGGAAGTGCTCCATGCAGCTAGATGGTTCATGCCAGAGAGGAACATAACTCCTCATCTGATAAATCACTCTTACTGCTTCAACAGGAGATGACTTTTTAGACTAAATACTTGCTCATATTCTTCCAGTTCTGGTGAGCACCTGGGTTCAAGTGTCAGGTATTGCCTTTTTATTCCTATGGCAGCCATTTTTCTTAATGTAAATACATGCTTGGAGTTCATCCAGAATTTCATCCTTGTTATGTCTCTATAAGACATATATAGCCTACTTAACTGAGCTCCAAAATTATGCCAGAATAACAATCCAAACTCTACAACCAATTCAAGATGCTAAAATCTTTCTAGGAGTGACTTCTAAAGTAGTCTACAAATAATCCTTGCTGAAGTAGTGAGGAGTTTTGAGTAAGACTGATTAATGTGTTGAAAATATAACATAGCCTTATTCTGTATGCTAGAAATATAATTATCTTCATCAGTTATGATAATAGAACATTCTTAGTGTGCTATATTTTATTATACATTAAAATGTCCTAAAGGTAAGTTCCCGATTTCCCCATTGCCCCCATAAAAACCTATTCCTTTTACAGCTCTCTTCATCTCAATTAATGGCAATTCTACTTTTTCTTCTAGGACTAGAAACTATGGAGTCATCCTTGACTCTTTTTTCTCGCACATCACACGTCCAATCTGTCAGCAAATTATGTTTTCTCCCTCTTTAAAATATACCAGAAACCAACCACTTTTAACTATCATTTCTCTTCTCATGATTCAAATAATTAAGTATTCTCGCAATAGCTTTTTAACTGGTCTCCATGATTCTGCCTTTGCCCCTCTACAGGCCATAATCAGTAGGACAATAAAGGCATGAAAAAGTTAAAACAAGTCAGATCATATCATTCCTCTTCCTAAAATCCCACAGGAGCTTCCTGTTTCACACTAAGTAAAAACCAAAGTCCTTTTAATGGTCTATAAGATCCTATAGAACCTTCACACACACACACACACACACATACACCCTTTAACTCTGTGACTACTTTTTCCTCAGTTACTCTGTTCTCACTCTGATAGCCCCTTTATTGTTTCCTAGACATGCTGGGTACACTCCCATCTCAAGGCCTTTGCACTTGATATGACTTTTTCTGGAAGGCTCTTTTCCAGCTACCTGTTTTACTTGTTCCTTCATCTTGTTCAGGTCTTGATATTCAAGTCACTTAAAGTTCACTTAATTGAGACATTTCCCATTTAAGATTGCAACTTCCCTCTGACTACCTCTGCCACCTCCTTCCAAACCATAACCGAAGCAAAATTCTATTCTCTTCCCTCTTCATTTTTCTCTGAAGAATGTATCATCTTGTAGTATACTCTACATCTTACATATCTTGTTCTTCCCCCTAGTAAAAAATGATTTTCATAAGTGTAGGAATTTTGCACATTTTCTGAACAACTTTATTCTTAGTGCCTGGAACAATCCTTAATACATGGTAGGCCTTCAGTAAGGATTTGTTGAAGGAAAAAAGTGTAATCTCAACATGCTTGCCTTAGTTTTAAGTACTAAGTGGTTAATAAACTTTAGGCATGAATTGTTCTACAAAGCAAGCTACCGTACCATTAAAAGTAGGAATTTTAGAAAGAGTTTTTGATCATTGGTTTTAAAGTTTGTTGTACATATCGGATATAAACTCCATACCTTTCTATGAAGTAGAGACAGGATTTTCCTAAAAGTGTTCTTGGTTCTGGATTTCTTTGATTCACAATATAGATTGATACATACCTGCTGATAAATGTTCCTCCGTAACTTGTCACCCAGGATGATAATGATGATACATTTGGTACGGAGAGAAAAACTATGAGCCAGGTGCCAAAGTCTCTGTCACAACTGGCAGTGAGACTTAAGGAAAACCAGATTATCAAGAAATGCAAAATTGACTTGAAATGGTTCAAGTAACTTCATAGAACATGTTTGCAAGCAGTGTTTTGGTAAACTGAAAACTGACTCCAATTGGAAAAGTGTGTTGTGAATTTTAATATTGTTCAGGGTAGCCTCTTATTCCAGCAGAGTAGAGTAGAGTATAATGAGACATGGATAATTTAGTTGATAACCAGGCGATTGTGACAACCCAGGATAATAAGTGTCAGTATGCCAGGAAGAGACAGGGCAAAGTGATAGCAGGAATACAATATTTTGGATAACAATAATCATAACAAAGATAGTTAAATGGCACAGCCTTAAGTTAGGGTAATTATAATTCAGTAGTATATTCCGAGAGGTGGCAGAGAAATCTAAAGTAAGCTATTTAGGGCTAATTAGGCATCTTCTGTTACTTTCCTCATGCCCTTTTCTTTCATCCCCTTTCTCAATGTGGTTCTCAGTGTCCTGGAGGGTCTAGCCTGCTGAAATCTCCCACTGCTTTTACAGGGCATCTGGCAACAGCTCACTGTTCTCAAGTAGCACATTGCCTGGACAGGGATTATAGTATTTAATTGCTAAATCTATGACTGGCTAATTGCATAGATGCTTGGATTGGGAGGCCCAGATAGGACAACTGACTCCTCAAAATGTGATTTTTTTAAAAATTTCATTCTGGATAAGAATGTAAAAGCTGTAATTTTATGTTAGTTGTGTCCCATAATATGCTGGACAGCATAGGTTTCAGAGATTTCTTTATTCTGGCTCCTGCTTTTTGTGAGGTAATAGAGTTTTTAAAGTCTTGGCAAAAAGGCAGATGTGGCGGAGGTGAAGCCATTAACTTTTTTTCCTACTTTCTCTTTCCTATTTTCTTTCTCCAGAATCTAGTGGTAATTTTACATATACACACCCTTCTAAAATCTCTTATGCAGAGATAGTGAGTCTTGATTTGTATACTGTCTATGGTTTTCTAGGCATACTGGCCCCTGCACAAAATCAGCTCATTGCTTTTCATAAATCATCCCCTATATTTTTTGTTATATAAGTAATGAATTTTTTTAACTTTTATTTAAGTTCTAGGGTACATGTGCAGGATGTGCAGGTTTGTCAGATGGGTAAACATGTGTCATGGAGGTTTGTTGTACCAAATATTTCTTCACCCAGGAATTAAGTCTAGTATCCATTAGTTATTTTTCCTGATCCTTTCTCATCTCCCACCCGCCACCCTTCGTTAGGCCCCAATCTGTGTTGTTCCTCTCTGTGTTGTTCCTCTCTGTGTATCCATGTGTTACCCCTATTGTTTTTGAATGGTGTTCTTTATTGATTTTCTAATAGTGCTGAGGCTAAAATTTCTTACATTAGTAATGGTTAACATGGTTTCACTCATTTTTATCCCCCTCATCGAGACACCAGAATAAAGTGGCTGAGAAATCGGCATCAATTTAGCAATAATGGAGCCACCTTCTATGTATCACCTCAGAATTTGGAACATTAAAGAGGAGGTTAGAATGCTTGTGATACTGCCAGCATCTAGGTGATCTTGGGAATGTCTCTGCTTTGTATTTTTATTTCCCCAATGTAAAATGAAAAAATTAGGTTAGATAATCCTCATTTTCACTTTGTTTTTTGTTTTTTTTTTTTTTGGTTGTCGTTTTTGTTTGTTGTTGTTGTTGTTGTTGTTGTTTTTTGAGACAAAGTCTTGCTCTTGTTGCCCAGGCTGGAGTGCAATGGCGCGATCGCAGCTCACTGCAACCTCCGCCTCCTGGGTTCAAGCGATTCTCCTGCCTCAGCCTCCGAGTAGCTGGGATTATAGGCGCCCACCACCACACCCGGCTAATTTTTGTATTTCACTTTGATTTCTTATATCCTATGACTCTTAATCATCCTCACTAGCAATAGACTTGTCCTCTTTAAAGATGGTTTCACCCTTAACTTTTTATGTGTGCTTGCAAAAAAAATTCCTATATTTGAGTTTTAGAAGATGGCATTTATTTAGTAGGAGGCATTTTATCTTTCCTATTACTAATGATCCTCAGCTTATGACGCAGGATCCACCCAACTCTTTTAATTAATACTTTTCAATTCACATGTCTCTACCTCATAGAACTTAATTGACTCAGTTGGGGAAAAAAAAAAAAAAAGTATTGACAACAGGGGATGGCCCGCTTGGTTTCTCCTTTTGAAAATCTGAGGTAAGGACCTTGCCTGCCAGTAATGGAACCAACCATCTAGATGTTGCAAGCTTTCTCCAGCTACCTTGCTTTAGGAAGTTCTAGCAATGATCTATTATTCCATTGCCTGGAGCAAGATGTTCATGGGGAAAAGGTCTCTGAATGTTCAGCTAATTTAGCAGTTCATGGGCTGAGTGTTCTGAGGTATTTCGGGATATATGTCCAAAATTCAAATTTGTGTGGTCACTCCCCAAGTATCAGCACCGTTAAAGATGACAAGACCAGGAAGTAAAAGACTTGGCAAAAGAGCTTTAATAAAGTGAGGAAATCAATAAATCATGAACAGGACAAAACATAAGAATCTTCAAGATCATTGTCCCTTTAGATCTAGTCTAAGCCTATCCCCCTGCTCCTTCTCAGACTTTCTTTTGGGTCTTCTTTCCTCTATCCATCCCTTAATATTGTATTTCAGAGATTTATCTTCAGTCCTCTGTTCTTCATTTACTCTCTGTATTCTATCTGGCTGAAAATATACATCTGTTTGTGTGTGTGTGTGGCAGAATAATATCCTCCCTCCCCACAAGGTGTCAACATCTTAATCCCTAGGATGTGTGACTATGTTACCTTATAGGGTAAAAGAGATTTTGCAGATGTGATATTAAAGACCTTGAGATGGTAAGATTATCCTGATTATCTTGGTGGGTCCAATCTAATCCCGTAACTCCTTAAAAGCAGAAGAAAGAGGCAGAAAAAGTGGTTCAGAGAGATGAGGTAGAAGAAGAAGGGGGAAAGAGTTGAAGTGTGAGAGGAACTCCACCTACCCTGCTGGTTTTGAAGATGGAGGAAGGAGGCCATGACCCAAAGAGTACGGGTGGCCTCTATAAAGGCTGGGAATGATCCTCAACTGGCAGCCTGCAAGGAAATGGGGATCTCAATTCTACAACTGCAAGGAACTGAATTCTGCCAACAATCCACATGAGCAAGGAAACATATCTTATCCTGGAGCCTCCAGAAAGGAATGTAACCTTGCCAACACCTTAATTTTAGTTCAGTAACATCCGTATTATACTTCTAACCTGCAGAACTATGAGGTAATAAAATTCTCTTGCTTAAGCCACTAACTTTGTAGTACTATTATGGAAGCAATAGAACATTAATACAACATATATTCCCTCTCTTCTTGTCAATGTCAGTTTATATTATTCTATACAATAGCAGAATGCAGTATAGAAGAGAGGAAAAGAGTGTGGTCTGTGCATTTAGACAGAGCTGAGTTTGAATCTTGCTTCTGTTATATCTTAGCTGAATGACTTTGAGAAAATACCTTTTTGAGTTTGCTTGTTTCTTTTCTCTTGAAAATGGCTATAATATTAATACTAGCTCTGTGTGTGTGTGTGTGTGTGTGTGTGTGTGTGTGTGTGTTAAATGAAATAACACATGTAAAATGCCTGGCATATGGTAGAGGCTTAATAAATGATAGTGATTACTGTAATAAAAATTAAAGCCAACATTGACATATCTTAGGTATCAAAGGAAGCATCATACTTAAATATGACATCAAAAAAGCAAGTAATAAAAGAAAAATAAATTGGACTTCATCAAATTAAAAACTTTTTGTTTCTTTTGTTTGCTTTTTTTTTATTAAAAACTTTTTTATTTCAAAGGCCATGATCAAGAAAGTGAAAGACAATCCATATAATGGGAAATAATCTTTGTACATCATAAAACTGGTAAGAGACTTCTGTCCAGAATATATAAAGAACTCTTACAATTTAATAATAAGAAGACAACCCAATTTAAATAAAGGCAAGGGATTTGAATAGACATTTCTTCAAGGAAAGCATGCAAATGTACAATAAGCACATGATAAGATGCTTACCATCATTAGTCATTAGGGAAATGCATATCAAAGCCACAATGAGATACCACTTTATACCCACCAGGTTGGCTATAATTTTTTGAAAAATGGAAAATAACAAGTTGACAAAGGTGTAGAGAAATTGGATGCCTCATTCGTTGTTGGTGGGAATGTAATATGGTGCTGCCACTGTGGAAAACAGTTTAGTGTTTCCTCAAAAAGTTAAACAGAATTACCATATGACCCAGGAATGTCCTTCCTGGACATATACTGAAAATTATTGAAAACAAGTGTTCAAACAAAAACTTGCACATGAACGTTTATAGCAGCGCTGTTCACCATAGCCAAAAGGTAGAAACCAGCCAGATGTCTATCAACTGATGAATGGATAAACATAATGTGGAACATCTCTACAATGGAATATTATTCAGCCATCAAAAGAAATGAAATACTGATACATGGATGAACCTTGAAAAAATTATGCTAAGTGAAAGAAGTCAAACACAAAAAGTCATATATGATTCCATTTATATGAAATATTCAGAATAGGCAAATCCATAGAGACAGAAAGTAGATTAGTGGATGTCAGGGACAGGGGAATGAGGACTGACTGCTTAATATGGGTATGGATTTCCTTTTAGGCTGATGAAAAAGTTGTGAAACTAGATGGGTAATGGTGGTTGTACAACATTATGAATGTACTTAGTGCCACTGAATTTGTACATTTTAAAACAGTTAAAGTGGTAAATTAAGTTTCACTGTAGATAATCAGGAAATGGTAAGGAATAGTCAACTTATTTATATGTGTGTGCTGAACTAGCATCAGTGAGTGAAAGAATTTGAGAAATCTTAGAATAGATAAAATTGCTAGAGAGATTGGAATAAGCATGGGTAATGACTTTATAGCATGTAGAGAAATAATCCAGGCATGGGATTTAACTTAGATGCTATTATGATTTAGTGTCTTCTTGTTTTTATTTAAAGGGTTGGATTAGCGAGTAAACGAGGTTCAGCCTAATTTTCAGTAATTCCTCACCTGAGTGAGGGGCATATATCAAGGATTCACTTGAAGGCAAAGTTTTGGAAAAACATTACAAGTATTTATCATTAACTTGGCACCAAATGATGAGACCCAAATTAATCCCCTATAGTAGCCAAATCATTCTCCTCTTTCTAAGCTCTACTTCTCATCTGTTTCTTCTGTCTTGCTTTCCTTCTAGAAAAGTGACTAGGTGGTCATTTAGGATTAATCACAGAAATAAAGAAAAATGAAAGCAGGAAGACTTCAGGGCAATTTTGATTGGTATAGAAAGCAACATCACCCCTTTGGTCATAGGGTTATCTTTTCCTCTCTCATAATTCTGCTTGAGATGACTTATTTTTTAAGGTTTTAAATCAGTCTCATTTCTATCTGATTTGTCATCTTGTATGTTAATAGAAACTATTTTTCTCTTATGAAAGTAAAAGCAGTTTGGTGTAAGTATTTCCTCTAGACATTTATAGTCATCATCTTCATTTAAATTATAGAAAATTCCTTTCTTTTCCTACTAATAAAAAGTAAAAGAAAGCAGATAAGATTGTTTAACTACAGTAGTTTTAGTTATTATAAAGAACTGCCTGCCTGTTAAGATGGGAAATGTCATAATGTTGGGATATCAGAAACTTCCCTAGAAATGTACATATATAGAGATTGCTATTAGCCTTGAACAAACTAGAAGATGTCTTCCTGGCCCAGAATGTTAGCCCATTGCTTTTATTTACTTAAAGCTTTAAGTTCCAGCTACCTAATAAAAGAAATGACAATAATGCCAGGCACTCTCCTAAGCACTTTATGTATACTAACTCACTTAAATTTCCCAACACCTCTGTGAGATAAATACTACTGTTATTCTCATTTTACAGGTGTCTTCTCAGTAGCAGAAGTGAATTAGTTAGAAAAGTTTTTTTACTTTAGCTTAACGTATTCCTTCTTATCCATTCCATTACTTATTTATTTCATCACTGTCCTTCTTCCACATTTCTTAGGTCTCTTGGTTTAGGTTTTCAATATGTCTACAGTACACAATAATTGATTTTGAAAATTAATAATGTCATAAATTTATGACTCCAGAGCTGAGATGTTTAAAGATATGATCCACTGTCATGGAAAGGAGGTAGTATTTGGGGTTGATAGTTCTGGTTGGGCATATGCAGTGGACACATGGGCATTTCCTGGAGGGTTTAGGATTATTTGGACCTAATGAGGTAAATGGAAAAAGAAAATATTGAGGTGTTGTGGTCTTTGCTGAGTATTCCTTCTTTGAGGTCTCTGCGGAAGAGATTTCTTTACCTATTCAATTATATAATGCTTTCAAATGAGTCAAATGCTTTAACTCAGAAATTCTAATGAATTTTCAACAATGAACTCTGAAAGTCAGTATAACTATGTCTTTGCGATGGACGGTTATTTCTTCTATTTTATATTACAAACAAAGAGTATTTGTCTGATACAGATTTTATTAAGTTTACTCTTTGTGTTATTCCTCTGGAGTACTAGAGGAATCCATTAACCTTTATTGAATGCAAGGTATACTAAACTTTGAGTGGAAGAGATGTATAAGAACTGGCCTTTAACCTTGGTTTATAGTCTCATAGGGAAACATTATATACAGTATCATGTTCTAAAACTCCTGAGGCAAAGAATGCCTGCTTGCTAATAGCCTGAAAAAAAGGGAACCTTTGCTGTAGAAAATGGAGTTTTATATAGTTTATCAGAGACAGTAGACATTGAATAAGTAATTTTGAATAAACTGAACTGGGTAGTGAGAGAGCTTTAGCCTGGTGACAGATGTTAATGGCATTCAAGAGTAGATCAGTAAAATGCAGCTGGAGTGAGGGGAGTGGAAATCTTACGGTGAGTGCATTTGAAGACACCAAAGAGGGAAAGGGCATGCGTGGCCAGATGATCTAGAACCATATGGATCAAGTTAGAATTTTGGACTATACCCATGCCTGTAATCCCAGCACTTTGGGAGGCCAAGGCAGGTGGATCACAAGGTCAGGAGATCGAGACCATCCTGGCCAACATGGTGAAAACCTGTCTCCATTAAAATACAAAAGAAAAAAAAAATAGCCGGACGTGGTAGTGCACGCCTGTAGTCCCGGCAACTCGGGAGGCCGAGGCAGGGGAATCGCTTGAACCTGGGAGGCCGAGATTGCGCCACTGCACTCCAGCCTGGCGACAGAGCAAGACTCCGTCTCAAAAAAAAAAAAACTGGACTATACCATTGCAGTCATGGAAAGCCACTGAAGATTTTAAGAAATGAATGTGATGAGACTTGAGTATTTAAAAGGTTGTTCTGATTGTAATGTGGAGGAGAGATAGGAAGAAGGCTTTTATGGACTTGGGAAAACACACTAGGAGGTTCTTTAGTTTATCATATGAAGTAAATTATTATGGTCCTGATCCTAAAAGGTATGATGAAATGAGCACCTAAAAAAGCAACATGAAAGTAATCTCACTTATGAACACAGATACAAATATCTTAAATAAAATGGAATTATCTAGAAATGTATGACTAGTAATTAGGAACTATTATCATGTTTTTTCCCAGAATTTTGGAGATTAAGAGCATATGGAAACTTTACTGCCCATTACAACGGACAAGATTTTTGGAAGTGTAGACTTAGATATAATTGAGTAAATTGCCAGGGTTGTTTTGGAGAATAGTTTAGCAGTATACAACGAGGGTCATAAAACTGACCACTATTTTTGACCTGAAAATAACCTTTATCTTTATAAAATTACTTAAAGAGGGTAAAAGAGAAGTACCACATAAGATGTTTGTAGCTGCACCGTTACTATTTTTAATAAAGAAATATGAGAAACATTACAAATATCTAACAGTTGAGAAAAGTTAAACTATTGTATGTTAATTATAATTGAATATTGCCATTAAAATAACAAATTTGTGGACTAGGTTAATGCACATGTGGGGCATAATACACAAAAAATGTACAACAAAGTAATGTTTTAAAAAGGTCAGAAAATAGCATATTATAATGACACAGTTATATAAAAATGTATTTTTTGATGTTAAAACTAGAAAACACTTGCAGAGTTTGAGTCATTATTTAAGGTAAAGTCACCTAACTCTCTAGAACTCAGTTTCAGAAACTGTGAAATGAGAATATTTTATTATAACGGTATACATTTTCATTTTAATTCTGATCTATTATTTACCTTGTTTTTTATAAATAATGTTTAAATGGATGATATTTATGAATATCTCTTTTTTTAATGTGAATGTATGTTGAGAGATCCCTTACTGTGTCAGCCTGTCCGGGTAGGAAGTGTTCTTCTTTTCTTCAACTGAGTCTGCTCTCCCCAAGAAGGAAAAATGTATTCAGGATTCTCAGGACTCTGGGGCCATGCTGCTTGCTCCCCCTTTTGGAATAGGAGAACAAGACAGAAGGCCCTGGTCATGTATTATGTAAACAAAATCAGAACTTCTAAGACCTAGATTGTAACCCTTTTATTTCACTGGTTTCTCGGGATAACTTGAATCTAATTAGCTAGTGTTCACAGTTTTAGCAAACATAAAATTATTCTGAAGAATTGATAGACATTAGTTTTCTAAAATTTTGGAGCATAATAATACATTGAAATTTTTTGTTTATTAGAGCAGACAAAGATTTGGTACAGTACATTAGAGTGAAACTTTATATAACTATTTAATCATTACAAGTCCATGAGGTAGCTATTATTATCTGTGTCTTGTTAGTGAAGAAACAGAGACAGAAAGCTTATGAATTTGTCCAAGGATCATATTAGATCTTATAGGTCTTATAGATCTCTTATGTAGAATGCAGTATATACTTAATAATCATAATCTACTTTGCATTCTGAGCTGAATAATTTGATTATACAATTTTAGTATTCACAGGTACCTATTACCTTTGCATGAAGACAAAACTTCTAACTTTCCTTCACAGGGTTTACAAGGGACAACTAGATAAGAATATGATTTGGTGAGGACCAAAATCTCATTCATATACATACACATATACATATACATATACATATACATATACATATACATATACATATACACACACCCATATTTCTTCAACTTAATTTTCTAAACATTTCCATGAAATAAGTAAGTTTCCCCTCTAGCCTCAGAGCCAAGGCTAACCTGGCATTTAACTACATGAACTTAGCAGTATGACCTTGGACAAATTCGTAACCTTTCTGTGCCTCAGTTTCTTCACCAACAAAATATAGATAATAATAGCTACCTCATGCACTTGTGATGATTAAATAAGTTAATCCATGGAAAGTGCTTAGCATACTACCTGTCATATGGTGAATATTTAATAAATGTGACTTGCAGTTATTCTGATTTAGTGTACCTCTCAGGAACTTCTTGATCTTTTAGATATATACTCACTTTAGATGTATGATATGTCTGCTCCCAATACTTGTACCAGCAGCTTCTGGACTCCTACTTTCTCAGGAAACCTTTTTCTCAATCTCAACTGTCTGATACTTGCCCAAAATAACCTAGCCCCAATCTTACTGAATTTGCTGCTTATTGTCTAGGGGCCCTTGCAGCTTCAAAGCTGTCAGGTTCCTAAATAGCAGTTTTGCATTTTTGTAAAGGAGATTGGTAACAGAACTGATATAACCAAAAACAGGGCTCTGCTGAATGCACAGTTAACTAACCTTTTCATACCATGAAGAGTATTTTTTACTAGAGGTTGATCTTTGAGTTGACTTTCTGCTGTGCAAAGTTTACTCCTTCTGCTCCAAAGTCTGTTTCATTTAGAATGACTTTAAAGTATCCCCCTTAAAATGAAAACATACATACCTTTTCTAACTATGGAAATTAAAATAATAATTAGCTCTCATTTTTCAACTATTAGATTGGTAAAAAAAAATTTAATCCATGATATCTAGTGTTGGGCAAAGGAACAAAAAAGTTAAAAATATGTGAAGCTATAAATTAGAGTATAAACTGGTGTGGCATGTTTGAGGACAGCTTGAGTAATTACCAATATTTTAAATGATATCTTCTATTTGACCTCCAGTATTCTCTTCTGTTCAGTAATATTCTATTAAGGAAATACTCACATATGTACAAGAATATAAGTATAAAATGTTCATTATAGTATTGTGTATAAGAGAGAGAATTAGAATAAATTTAAATATCCATTAATAGAAGAATGGCTAAATTATGGACCAATCATACTGTGGAATACCACACATTCCTTAAAAAGGTTGAGGCAGTCATATGTACTAACATGAAATGATTTCCAAGATTGGAGAATGGAGAAAAGCAAGGCAGGATAAACGCCCACCTGGGAGTGACACAGAGACAGAGAAACCTCCCCCACCCAGGGAAGCAGCTCTGCAGAGTTGGCAGGATCAGGGGCTAGTCTGAACCCCTAGCACAGAACACTCACCTCACGGAAGAGTGGCCAGAATGTTTTCCACATAGGTCCTGGTCCTCACTTCTCCTCACTGAGCAGGGCTGCCCAACGTGGGACTTCTGCACAACCATCCTGCCCCTGCCTGACCACTTCAATCAGAGGCAGCCTGGCAGTTAAAGGAACACCCACACACAGAGGTGAAAAAGAACCAATTCAAGAACTCCAGCAACACAAATGACCAGAATGTCTTATGTCCTTCAAATGATTACACTACTTCTCCAACAAGGTTCTTAATCAAGTTGAGTTGGCTAAAATGACAGAAATAGAATTCAGAATATGGATAGGAACACAGATGACCAAGATTCAGGAGAATGGCAAAACCCAATCCAAGGAAACTAAGAATAATAATAAAATGATACAGAAGCAGAAAGACAAAATAGCCTATATAAAAAATAATATAACTGATCTGATAGAGATGAAAAACCAAGCTGAGGAAAGAATCTTGGAACTGGAAGACTGGCTCTGTGAAATAAGACAGGAAAAAAATAAAGAGAAAATAATAAAAAGAAATGAACAAAACCTCCATGAAATATGGGATTATGTAAAGAGGCCAAATCTACAAATTATTGGCATCCCTGAATTGGATGGGAAGAAACGAAACAACTTGGAAAATACATTTTAGGATATCATCCTTGAAAACTCCCCAAACCTCACTATGGAGGCCAACAGTCAAGTTTAGGAAACACAGAGAGCCCCTGAAAGACAGAGAGAAAGGGCAGGTCATCTACAAAGGGAACCCCATCAGGCTAACAGCAAATCTCTCAGCAGAAACCCTATAAGCCAGAAGAGATTGGAGGCCTATATTCAACATTCTTAAAGAAAAAAACTTCAACCAAGAATTTCATATCCAGCCAAACCAAGCTTCCTTAGTAAAGGAGAAATAAGATTCTTTTCAGATAAGCAAATGCTGAGGGGGTCTGGTATCACCAGACCCACTTTATAAGAGATCTTGAAAGAAGCACTAAATATGGAAAGGAAAGACTGTTACCAACCAATACAAAAACAGACTTAAGTACACAGACTAATGACACTATAAAGCAATCACACAAATAAGCTGGCATAACAACCGGCTAACAACACAATGACAAGATCAAATCCACACATATAAAAAATGTAAATGGGCTAAATGCCCCATTTTAAAGGCACGGAGTGGCAAGCTGAAAAAAAAAGAAAGAAGACTCAGTGGTATGCTGTCTACCTAAGACCCATCTCACACACAGTGACACCCATAGGCTCAAAATAAAAGGATGGAGGCAAATCTACCAAGCAAATGGAAATCAGAAAAAACAGGCACCGCAATCCTAATTTTAGACAAAACAGACTTTAAACCAACAAAGATCAAGAAAGACAAAGAAGGACATTACACAATGGTAAAGGGTTCAATTCAACAAGAAGACCTAATTATCTTAAGTATATATGCACCCAACACAGGAGCACCTAGATTCATAAAGCAATTTCTTAGAGATCTACAAAGAGACCTAGACTCCTGTGCAATAACAACACTCCACTGACAGTAAGTAACAGATCATTGCAGCAGAAAATTAACAAAGACATTCAGGACCTGAACTCAACATTAGACCAAATGGATCTGACAGACTTCTACAAAATTCTCCCCCCGAAAACAACAGGAATATACATTCTTCTCATTGCCACATGGCACATGCTCTAAAATTGACCACACAATCGAACATAAAACAATCCTCAGCAAATGCAAAAGAATCAAAATCATACCAAACACACTCTTGGACCATAGTGCAATAAAAATAGAAATCAAGATTAAAATAATCACTGAAAAGCATGTAATTACATGGAAATTAAACAACCTGCTCCTGAATGACTTTTGGGTAAATAATGAAATTAAGGCAGAAATTAAGAATTTATTTGAAGCTAATGAGAAGAAAGATACAACATGCCAGAATCCCTGGGACACAACTAAGGCAATGAAAAGAGGGAAATTTATAGCACTAAATGCCCACATCAAAAAGTTAGAAAGATCTCAACTAACCACCTAACATCACAACTAAAAGAACTAAAGAATCAAGAGCAAACCAACCCCAAAGCTAGCAGAAGACAAGAAATAACCAAAATCAGAGCTGAACTGAAGGAAATCAAGACACAAAAAAAATTCACAGGATCAACAAATCTAGGAGTTTGTTTTTTGAAGAAATTAGTAAGACATGCTGCTAGCTAGACTAATAAAAAAGAAAAGAGACAAAATAGAAATAGCAATAGGAAACAACAAAGGGGATGTTACCCCTGACCCCACAAAAATACAAATAACCATCAGAGACTACTACGAACACCTGTATGTGCACAAACTAGAATACCTAGAAGAGATGGATAAATTCCTGGACACATACACCCTCCCAAACCTGAACCAGGAAGAAATTGGTTCCCTGAACAGACCAGTAACAAGCCCTGAATTGAGTCAGTAATAAATAGCCTACCAACCATAAAAAGCCCAGGACTAGATGGATTCACAGCCAAATTCTACCAGATGAACAAAGAAGAACTGGTAACATTCCTACTGAAACTATTCAAAAAACTGAGAAGGAGGGACTCCTCCCCAACTCCTTCTATGAGGCCAGCATCATCCTGATACCAAAACCTGGCAGAGACATAAACACATAAAAAGAAAACTTCAGGCCAACATCCTTGACGAACATTGACACAAAAATCCTCAGCAAAATACTTGCAAACCAAATTCAGCAGCACAATCAAAAAGCTAATCCACCATGATCAAGTAGGCTTTATCCCTGAGATAGAAGGTTGGTTCAACATACACACATCAGTAAATGTGATTCATCACATGAACAGAACTAAAGGCAAAAAATCACATGATTATATCAAGAGATGCAGTAAAGGCTTTTGATAAAATTAAACACTCCTTCATGTTAAAAACTCTCAATAACTAGGTATTGAAGGAACATACCTCAAAATAATAAGAGCTGAGGTGGCAAGATGGCCGAATAGGAACAGCTCCAGCCTGCACCTCCCAGCGAGATTGATGCAGAAGGCAGGTGATTTCTGCATTTCCAACTGAGGTACCCGGTTCATCTCATTGGGACTGGTTGGACAGGGGATGCAGCCCACGGAGGGTAATTTGAAGCAGGGTGGGGCATCGCCTCACCCAGGAAGTGCAAGGGGTCGGGGGATTTCCCTCCCCCAGCCAAGGGAAGCCATGAGAGACTGTACCCGGAGGAATGGTGCACTCGCACTCCGGCCAGATACTGCACTTTTCCCATGGTCTTCACAACTGGCAGACCAGGAGATTCCCTCTGGTGCCTATGCCACCAGGGCCCTGGGTTTCAAGCACAAAACTGGGCAACCATTTGGGCAGACATCAAACTAGCTGCAGAAGTTTTTTTTCCATACCCCAGTGGCACCTGGAACGCTAGCGAGACAGAACCATTCACTCCCCTGGAAAGGAGGCTGAAGCCAGGCAGCCACGTGGTCTGGCTTGGTGGGTCCCACACCCATGGAGCCCAGCAAGCTAAGATCCACTGGCTGAAATTCTTGCTGCTAGCACAGCAGTCTGAGGTCGACCTGGGATGCTCAAGTTTGGTGTAGGTAGGGGCGTCCGCCATTGTTGAGGATTGAGTAGGCGGTTTTATCCTCACAGTGTAAACAAAGCTGCCAGGAAGTTCCAACTGGGCGGAACCCACCACAGCTCAGCAAGGCCACTGCGGCCAGACTGCCTCTCTAGATTCCACCTCTTTGGGCAGGGCATCTCTGAAAAAAAAGCAGCAGCCCCAGTCAGAGACTTATAGATGAAACCCCCATCTCCCTGGGACTGAGCACCTGGGAGAAGGGGCGCCTGTGGGCACAGCTTCAGCAGACTTAAAGATCCCTGCCTGAGGGCTCTGAAGAGAGCAGCAGATCTCCAAGCACAGCATTTGAGCTCTGCTAAGGGACAGACTGCCTCATCAAGTGGGTCCCTGACCCCCATGTATCCTGACTGGGAGACACCTCCCACTAGGGGCCAACAGACACCTCATACAGGAGCGCTCTAGAGCTCTGGGACGAAGTTTCCAGAGGAAGGAACAGGCAGCAATCTTTGCTATTTTGCAGCCTCCACTGGTGATACCCAGGCAAACAGGGTCTGGAGTGGATCTCCAGCAACCTCCACCAGACCTGCAGCAGAGAGGCCTGACTGTTAGAAGGAAAACCAACAAACAGAAAGGAATAGTATCAACATCAACAAAAAGGACATCCACTCAGAGACCTCATCTGAAGGTCATCGACATCAAAGACCAAACTCAGATAATCCCACAAAGATGGGGAGAAACCAGCGCAAAAAGGCTGAATATTCCAAAAACCAGAACACCTCTTCTCCTCCAAAGGATCACAACTGGATCACCCCAAAGGATCGCCAACAAGGGAACAAAACTGGACGGAGAATGAGTTTGACAAATTGACAGAAGTAGGCTTCAGAGGGTGGGTAATAACAAACTCCTCCGAGCTAAAGGAGCATGTTCTAACCCAATGCAAGGAAGCTAAAAACCTTAAAAAAAGGTTAGATGAATTCATCTAGAATAGATGCTACCTAGAATTCATCTAGATGCTACCTAGAATAACCAGTTTAGAGAAGAACATAAATGAACTGATGGAGCTGAAAAACACAGCACGAGAATTTTGTGAAGCATATACAAGTATCAATAGCCGAATTGATCAAGCAGAAGAAAGGATATCGGAGATTGAAGATCAACTCAATGAAATAAAGTGAGAAGAGAAGATTAGAGAAAAAATAGTGAAAAGAAATGAACAAAGCCTCCAATAAATATTGGACTATGTGAAAAGACCAAATCTACGTCTGATTGGTGTACCTGTAAGTGACAGGGAGAATGGAACCGAGCTGGAAAACACTCTTCAGGATATTATCCAGGAGGACTTCCCCAACCTAGCAAGGCAGGCCAACATTCAAATTCAGGAAATACAGAGAACACCACAAAGATACTCCTGGAGAAGAGCAACCCCAAGACACATAATCGTCAGATTCACCAAGGTTGAAATGAAGGAAAAAATGTTAAGGACAGCCAGAGAGAACAATCAGGTTACCCACAAAGGGAATCCCAACAGACTAACAGCGGATCTCTCTGCAGAAACCCTACAAGCCAGAAGAGAGTAGGGGCCAATATTCAACATTCTTAAAGAAAAGAATTTTCAACCCGGAATTTCATATCCAGCCAAACTAAGCTTCATAAGTGAAGGAGAAATAAAATCCTTTACAGACAAGCAAATGCTGAGATTTTGTCACCACCAGGCCTGCCTTACAAGAGCTCCTGAAGGAAGCACTAAACATGGAAAGGAACAACTGGTACCAGCCACTGCAAAAACATACCAAATTATAAAGACCATCGACACTGTGAAGAAACTGCATCACCTAACAGGCAAAATAACCAGCTGGCATCATAATGACAGGATCAAATTCACACATAACAATATTAACCTTAAATGTAAATGGGCTAAATGCCCCAATTAAAAGACACAGACTGGCAAATTGGATAAAGAGTCAAGACCCATCAGTGTGCTGTATTCAGGAGATCCATCTCATGTGCAAAGACACACCTAAGCTCAAAATAAAGGGATGGAGAAATATTTACCAAGCAAATGGAAAGTTAAAAAAAAAGCAGGGGTTGCAATCCTAGTCTCTGATAAAACAGACTTTAAACCAACAAAGATCAAAAGAGACAAGGGCACTACATAATGGTAAAGGATCAATGCAACAAGAAGAGCTAACTATCCTAAATATATATGCACCCATTATAGGAGCACCCAGATTCATAAAGCAAGTTCTTAGATACCTAAAAAGAGACTTAGACTCCCACACAATAATAGTGGGAGACTTTAACACCCCACTGTCAGTATTAGACAGATCAATGAGACAGAAAATTAACAAGGATATTCAGGACTTGAACTCAGCTCTGGACCAAGCAGACCTAGTAGACATCTACAGAACTCTCCACCCCAAATCAACAGAATATACATTCTTCTGAGCACCACATTGCACTTATTCTTAAGTTGACCACATAATTGGAAATAAACACTCCTCAGCAAATGCAAAAGAATGGAAATCATAAACAGTCTCTCAGACCACAGTGCAATCAAATTAGAACTCAGGATTAAAACAGTCACTCAAAACTGCACAACTACATGGAAACTAAACAACCTGCTCCTGAATGACTACTGGGTAAATAACAAAATTAAGGCAGAAATAAATAAGTTCATTTAAAGACACAATGTACCATTATCTCTGGGACACAGCTAAAGCAGTGTGTAGAGGGAAATTTATAGCACTAAATGCCCACAAGAGAAAGCAGGAAAGATCTAAAATTGACACCCTAACATCACAATTAAAAGAACTAGAGAAGCAAGAGCAAACACATTCAAAAGCTAGCAGAAGGCGAGAAATAACTAAGATCAGAGCAGAACTGAAGGAGAACACAGGAACAGAAAACCACGTACCACATGTTCTCATATATAAGTGGGAGCTAAATGATGGGAACACACAGACACAAAGAGGGGAAGAACAGACACTGGGGCCTACTTGAGGGTGGAACGTGTGAGGAGGGAGAGGAACAGGAAAATGAGGAGGGAGAGGAACAGGAAAAAAACAACTATTGAGTTTTGGGCTTAGTACCTGAGTGACAAAATAATCCATACTGCAAACTCCTGTGACACAAGTTTACCTATATAATAAACCTTCACATGTATCCCTGAACCTCAAATAAAAGTAACAAAGATTTCCAAGACATATGAAATTTAAAATGTGAAATCCCACCTTTGCCTAAAAATTTATATTTACCTATATTATAATCTATATTTGTTAACAGCTAAATTATCTTTTCATCTTGAAGGAATAGGGTTTCAGGAGGGAAGAAAGGGAGAATTTCCACTTCTATTTGATTGCATTCTTTCAACCTTTAAGAATATGTTCACATATTACTTACTTTTTCAAAATATAGCAAATTATAGAGAATAAATGTAAAGGTGGAAAATCTCATTTAGAAAATTATGTTCCTTGTCCTCCTTCCTTCTGCAGGTTTAGCCTCTGCAGAATAGCACCGAAGGAATAGTCTTCTTTTCACATGACTGTAACTAATCTTCCTTGGGGAATTTCATTCATGATTAGAAACTGAGGAAAAAAACAGAAAACCATTGTGTTTATCTTGCATTTTCCTTTGCTTAATTTCATCCTATTACACCTAGTTATTTTTAGTCTCTTGAGATGTGTTTTACTCTTCTCTCCTCCTTGACAGTCATCTTCCTTAAATACCTAGAGAATTAGTTATGATCATGTCTTCTCTATTTCCATTTTCAGTGTATTATGTATACATCCCTTTTATTGTGAAACACCTGGAACACTTTTTAGGAGCAGGCAAAATAGAAAGAAAAATAATCATGGAATTATGACATCCTCATCTATCTGCTCTACTCTCCATCTAAATGTATGCTATACATATGGGTCTCTCAATAAATAATGAATTATCTTTATCTAAATATTTATGGAGTTCTTTAGAACTTCCCTTCTTCTCTGTTTATGTGTGCTATGAAGAGGACAGTGGCATTGTCATTAGAAAGCCAAGGAAATTTGACTGTCTGATTTTTGGCAACTCGAAGGCTTTTTCTCTGGAAGAGTCTGAAAGACCCATGTTTCTTCTCCCCCAAACATATCAAGGTACTATTTCAGCGAGGTCATACTATATCACATTAGAAACTTACTGTTTTATATTAGAAACTGCCAGAATGAAGAAATATTATCCTATATTCAGCACTTCAGGATTATATGCTAATTTATTCAGGAACAAATTTATTTTAATATATTATTATTTAATATTATTCAAAATTGAGACATACATGTTCAGGATTCTGTTATAACACTTGCTGGGTATCCTTGGACAAATCCATAGCCACTCTAGTCCTTGAATTCTTCATCTTTAAGGGGATGTCCTTGTATTTATTTCACAGAGAAATTATGAAGTAGTACTTACTGGAAACGCTCCTTACAAAATGTTTAACTTCCTCTTTTGTATGATCTCTTTTTCTACATTCGGAAAAAAATACGTATTTTAAGTCTGTTTTTCTCTTCTTAATTTTATGTACAATAATCTAATCTGTTATAAAATAAATATATTAGAAAGGAGTTTAAAATGTGATATAGTCTAATGGTCAGCCTTTAGGTAGACAGATGCTTCAAGAACTCAGCAGAGTCACCTTTTCTCTGCTTGCAAACCTTCAATCATACAGCATGCAGTTCCTGATATTCAGAAAGTAGTTCTTTAAGCCTTGTTCCACTTCTTACTGTCTTAGTAAACACTAACTGTGGTGTTCCTTGACCATAGACAACAGCTCAGCATCTATTCATATAAACACTCATTAAACTTAAGGGACAATTTTAACTTACCTGTTCAGTACTTGCAACAGAAAAAGAAAGTGTGGCATGCAAAGCCTAAAACAGTCACTCTCTGGCCCTTTACAGGAAAAGTTTACCACTCCCTGCTCTACAGCATTACATGCAAGAAAGTGAAAACTCTTATAAAACTTTTAAAGGAGAAAAGTCTCCATAATCAACTTGTTCATGTTTTTAGGCATTAGAAATATATGTATATAGTTTAAAAGAAAAGGATGTAGTTGTATAGAAGTACTGGTAGATATCATTAAAATTTTTTAAAACATCTTGAGGTCTGAGTATTTTTTTTTTTTTTTTTTTTGAGATGGAGTCTTGCTCTATTGCCAGGCTGGAGTGTAGTGGTGCGATCTCGGCTCACTGAAACCTCCACCTCCCGGGTTCAAGCGACTCTCCTGCCTCAGCCTCCCGAGTAGCTGGGAATACAGGTGCACGCCACTATGCCCGGCTAATTTTTATATTTTTAGTAGAGATGAGGATTCACCATGTTGGCCAGGACGGTCTCGATTTCCTGACCACGTGATCCACTGGCCTCAGCCTCCCAAAGTGCTGGGATTACAGGCGTGAGCCACCCCACCCAGCCAGAGTAATTTTTGAGAGACATATTTTTAATGTTTAAAAACATTTAAGATACTTTATGTAAATATTTTTAAATACTTAAAAATAAGGAACAAAGTCTGAAATCCCTAATTATCTCAATCAGATTGGGAAATGAGAAGAAGTGTGGAATAGATTGTCTTTTATTCTTGAAACTAATTGCTCATATTTAAAAAATTGAATTGAGATTATTTATATATATTCTACGTTATTAGCAAAGACAAAATCAAAGAAAATATCTATGTAGCAAATGAAAGAAAACAAAGGAAACAACAAAGCGTAAAACCATAGAAAACAAGACCAAGAATCCTCATTATGATAATAAATGTAAATAGATTGTGTCCCTACTAAAAGGCTGAGACTGGCTTAAAATAAAAAAGCAAAGACTTTAATATCAAAAAGTGACTCTGAAATGTTAAAAGAAAAATAAAACGCAGCCTGGGCAACCCATAATGAGACCCCGTCTCTACAAAAAGGAAAACAAAAATTAGCTGGGCATTTCCTGATTCTGAATGCCTTGAAATTAGAGCTTCATTGGTCAAAATTATAGAGCTTATCAATTGTATTAGATTCTTGGTGGTCTGCTTCTGTTGTAAAAAATCAATTTGAGGACAGGAGAGTAGAATGATTATAATAAATATTAACTTTGGAGGGTAAACAATACATAATTGTTCATTAAATTCTTAGGCCTCCCCATACAAACCATCTTTTCTTTCTGTTTATCTTTGTGTTTTTTATCTCCGAATTCTTATGAAAGCCATTTAGACTTGTACTTTATATCTGTTGTTCAAGTTACTGAAGTTGTGATTATTACTAACTTTAATGTTTATTGAAATTCTACTATTGTTTTTTTTTTTTCACTGGTTCCACTGTCTCCCTTATCATGACTACTTTTATTGTGGACTTCTTCCTTACATCCTATTGAAAATGCAATGCAGTTTTTACTTTTTAATTTCCTCTGGTTTCTGTCTTAAGTCTTTCCAGAAATATTCTTTTCCTCTGGAACTTGATGGTCTCTTACTGTAATCCTAGAGCCTTTTTCCATAGCTTTTTTTTCCTGATTACTCATCATAAAAGGAAATATTCAAATACATTGTGTATTTCAACAGATGTATGATTCACTACGGTCTTGTCTACTTGGGTTTGTTTGCCATATAGTGTCCCCAGAAATATCAGAAAAGAAAATTAATGCTCTTATATCCAAGTAAGGAGTTAGGACTGTATTACTTATTACAAGCCTCTAATGTTGGCCCATAAGTCACACCATAGCATGTGTTTATTTCTAAGCCAAAAGCTCCAAAACCAGACTTTCACTTTTAAAAACCAGATACCTATTAGCCCTATTTTTGAGTGTGGATGGCCCATCTCAGATCCATAGCTGAAGGGCACATTGACATATGCAATTCCTATCTACTTAGGAATTATCTCATTTTTAACAATTATTCATCTAATGAAACATTAATGGTTTACTGTTTATCATAAGCCTACCCTCATTGTCCCTTTCTCTGATATTAACCAGTAGGATAAATGGAAAAGCTGTTACCCCCAACATATCTTCTTCCTTGGGTCCTCCAATCTGTGCCCATATTGTGTCTCCATTCTTCTACTATATTCTGTAGTATATCATTCTACTATATTATAAAAACATAAGCACTAGGTAGGGACTGAAATGAGTCCCTAGGACTCATTTAGGATATCCAGCTCTGTGTGCCTCAATGAACAGCAATTAATAAGCCAACTGCTGGTGAGGATGCAGAGCAAACAAGTCTCTCATTTATACAGTGCTGGTGGGGACATAAAATGATACTATCACTCTGGAAAATAGATTGGCAGTTTCTTATAAAATTAAATATGTTTACAAACCATGCAAATCAGCAATTCCACTTCTGGCATTTTTTCCTAGAGAAATGAAAACATGTTTGCACTAAAACTTGTCCATGAATGTTCAAAGCAGCTTTATTCATAATGGCCAAATACTGGAAACAATCCAAACGTACTTCAGTGCATGAAAGGATAAACAAACTGTGGCCCATCTGTACAATAGAATACTACTCAGCAATAAAAAATATTAAGCTATTGGTAAAAACTTGGATGGCTCTCAAGAGCATTGTGCTGAGTGGGAAACAAAAGTGAATTTCAAAGGGTTTTATATTATATGATTCCATTTATATAACATTCTGTAAGTGACAAAACTGTAATGATGGAGAACACATCAGTGGTTGCCAGAGGTTAGGGTTGCAGAAGGAAGAAGTTGTGACTAGTAGTAAGTAAAACAAAGGAGTTTCTTTATGATGATGCAACAGTTCTGCAT